>NC_000004.12:101421381-102046381 GCF_000001405.40 Homo sapiens | reverse complement strand
ATTAAAATAATTTTCTTGTATTAATTGTATTATGGCAAAATTATATTGTGTGAGATTAAGAGTAAGATTTATGTCTTTAATCCATCTTGAATTGATTTTTGTATAAGGTATAAGGAAGGGATCCAGTTTCAGCTTTCTACATATGGCTGGCCAGTTTTCCCAGCACCATTTATTAAATAGGGAATCCTTTCCCCATTGCTTGTTTTTCTCAGGTTTCTCAAAGATCAGATAGTTGTAGATATGCGGCGTTATTTCTGAGGGCTCTGTTCTGTTCCATTGATCTATATCTCTGTTTTGGTACCAGTACCATGCTGTTTTGGTTACTGTAGCCTTGTAGTATAGTTTGAAGTCAGGTAGCGTGATGCCTCCAGCTTTGTTCTTTTGGCTTAGGATTGACTTGGCAATGCGGGCTCTTTTTTGGTTCCATATGAACTTTAAAGTAGTTTTTTCCAATTCTGTGAAGAAAGTCATTGGTAGCTTGATGGGGATGGCATTGAATGTATAAATTACCTTGGGCAGTACGGCCATTTTCACGATATTGATTCTTCCTACCCATGAGCATGAAATGTTCTTCCATTTGTTTGTATCCTCTTTTATTTCCTTGAGCAGTGGTTTGTAGTTCTCCTTGAAGAGGTCCTTCACATCCCTTGTAAGTTGGATTCCTAGGTATTTTATTCTCTTTGAAGCAATTGTGAATGGGAGTTCACTCATGATTTGGCTCTCTGTTTGTCTGATGTTGGTGTATAAGAATGCTTGTGATTTTTGTACATTGATTTTGTATCCTGAGACTTTGCTGAAGCTGCTTATCAGCTTAAGGAGATTTTGGGCTGAGACAATGGGGTTTTCTAGATATACAATCATGTCGTCTGCAAACAGGGACAATTTGACTTCCTCTTTTTCCCAATTGAATACCCTTTATTTCCTTCTCCTGCCTCATTGCCTTGGCCAGAACTTCCAACACTATGTTGAATAGGAGTGGTGAGAGAGGGCATCCCTGTCTTGTGCCAGTTTTCAAAGGGAATGCTTCCAGTTTTTGCCCATTCAGTATGATATTGGCTGTGGGTTTGTCATAGATACGCTCTTATTATTTTGAGATATGTCCCATCAATACCTAATTTACTGAGATTTTTTAGCATGAAGCGTTGTTGAATTTTGTCAAAGGCTTTTTCTGCAAATATTGAGATAATCAAGATGGATTAAAGGCTTAAACGTTAGACCTAAAACCATAAAAACCCTAGAAGAAAACCTAGGCATTACCATTCAGGACATAGGCATGGGCAAGGACTTCATGTATAAAACACCAAAGCAATGGCAACAAAAGCCAAAATTGACAAATGGGATCTAATTAAACTAAAGAGCTTCTGCACAGCAAAAGAAACTACCATCAGAGTGAACAGGCAACCTACAAAATGGGAGAAAATTTTCGCAACCTACTCATCTGACAAAGGGCTAATATCCAGAATCTACAATGAACTCAAACAAATTTACAAGAAAAAAACAAACAACCCCATCAAAAAGTGGGCGAAGGACATGAACAGACACTTCTCAAAAGAAGACATTTATGCAGCCAAAAAACACATGAAAAAATGCTCACCATCACTGGCCATCAGAGAAATGCAAATCAAAACCACAATGAGATACCATCTCACACCAGTTAGAATGGCAATCATTAAAAAGTCAGGAAACAACAGGTGCTGGAGAGGATGTGGAGAAATAGGAACACTTTTACACTGTTGGTGGGACTGTAAACTAGTTCAACCATTGTGGAAGTCAGTGTGGCGATTCCTCAGGGATCTAGAACTGGAAATACCATTTGACCCAGCCATCCCATTACTGGGTATATACCCAAAGGACTATAAATCATGCTGCTATAAAGACACATGCACACGTATGTTTATTGCGGCATTATTCACAATAGCAAAGACTTGGAACCAACCCAAATGTCCAACAATGATAGACTGGATTAAGAAAATGTGGCACATACACACAGTGGAATACTATGCAGCCATAAAAAATGATGAGTTCATATCCTCTGTAGGGACATGGATGAAATTGGAAATCATCATTCTCAGTAAACTGTCGCAAGAACAAAAAACCAAACACCGCATGTTCTCACTCATAGGTGGGAATTGAACAATGAGATCACATGGACACAGGAAGGGGAATATCACACTCTGGGGACTGTTGTGGGGTGAGGGGAGTGGGGAGGGATAGCATCGGGAGATATACCTAATGCTAGATGACAAGTTAGTGGGTGCAGCACACCAGTATGGCACATGTATACATATGTAACTAACTTGCACAATGTGCACATGTACCCTAAAACTTAAAGTATAATAATAATAAAAAAAAGAGTAAGATTTATAAAGCACACAATTACATACTTCTGTCCTAGGAGGCTTTACTCTGTATTCATAAGATTTCTTGATATTTTACCTAGAGATTACTAAATAGATTGAAGTTAGTGTTAGTACCTTGTTTCTTAGGAAGACCACAGAACTTGTCATCATCAGATTGTCTTCTGGCTGTCTTTTGTTGAAACACTGTAAAAAGTATAGAACATATTATTTACTGAACATAAACGTTCAAAAAATCCATACTGTAGAAGTCTCCAGGAAGCCAGAATGCAATATATCATTTTCCTGAGTATCAGTTCCTGAATTGTATTACTTTTGAGTAGGAAGATTATCAAATTTACAATTTTCTCATTTGTGCAGCTTATCAGTCATTTCAGAAAGCATTTTCATTGAGCAGAGTAGTATAATGCTGATGCAATGCCTCATTAAACTATTTAAATCAAGATATGATTCCATTTTGATATCAGGTAAGAATAAAAGCTGCATTGTGTTAAAAGCGATAAATGTTAAAATCATATGAAAAATTCCATTTGCACAGAAATTACCCATGCTGACTTTTTGATGATAAGCAAGGATAATGACTGTTTCTCCTTAAATAGGTAAAAAGACTCTTGTATTTCAGAGATGTAATAATAAAAAAGACACTTTATTCTTGCATCATCTATCTAGACCGCAGACTTATTAAAACAGCTTATTCGAATTACTTCATTATCTGAAAAGTGCTTTGTTCTCATTTATTATTTCTCACACGAAATTCTGGGAGACAAGTCAGCATTACTCACCCCATTTTGCAGATGAAAGATAAAGTTGATTGTTTGATATTTATTGAGGACCCACAAAGTTCCATATAGCTTCTGGCATTTGTTAATAAAAAAGTCCAGACTCTTTACAACTTTACTTTAGAAAATGAACATCCCAGAGTTACATTTATTTTTTATGGGCAGTGTGAATTACAGGGTTTGGGAACTGGAAAAGGCTTTGGAGATTTAGTCCAACCTCATATGTTTATAGATGAGGGAGTTGGAAGTAACTAGCTTGTAAAAAGGCTAAGTAATTTTGCAATGATCTCAGAGTTGTTGTTAGCAGAGATGTGATTTAAACCGAGAAGCCTTGAACTTCAATCTATTGCGTGGTTCCTTACAGCACTACTGCCACTTCCCCTCCATAACTATTATCTTATAAAGGTAAAGAAGGAGATAGAGGGAGAGGATTAAAAGGGAAATTAGAACATTTCCAACACAGTTGTATCTCTTGTTCCTTTTAGCAGTTCGACAGAATTTCCTGGGATAATTGAGCTGAGGCCTGTGGGAGTGAACGTGTTTTAACTGGATGGTGCTGGACCACTGTGATTGGCAGAAACATCCCGACAGTTATCCTAGATTTCTGTCTTTGGTTTTTATATTATTTAAACCAATATAAGATCAAGGACATATCTGTGATTAACCCCGGAGACGTTTTTTAGATGAAAATTTCCCCCCATCTGATCAAAAATTAGTAATTAAAAATGTATGATTTGCCAGATGCTGTCAAGACAAAGAGTACTCCCTTCAACTGTGCTCTTTTAAACAGAAGAGGCAAAATATGTTTCAAAGTTTGACGTGTTTGAGAAAAAGTATACACATAAAATCATATTTTTGGTTGAAAACCAGTTTTCTGCTTCAAGTTAGTACATGGAAAACATGCTAAATATAACTAACTGGCAAGTTCTGGGTTTGTGGCTTACTTACATTTTTTCTAAAATAAAATATATTGAGGAATATATAATGTATGACTATACGTTAGGATATTAAAATAAATGTTGTAAGAGGTACTTGATTTTTTTCTATTTGCTAGTTTTAAAAGTCTTTAAAATGCAATGCTTTAAAAATTTTAATAACGTGGTCTCTATGCTTTTTTGCCAATATTGTTAAGATATAACTGAGAATGGTTAAGAGGAAAAAGCTGGCGTCATTCATATGGGAAATGACCTGAATCCAAAGATCTATTCAGATAATAAATTCTTCAAATAAAAATTACATTAATTGATAAGTTTTTAAAATTCTGCTGAGGTTTGAAGCTACAAAGTACTTGGAAATGAAATTATTTTTCCAGCTTTTTGGCATTAATTTGTTACAAATCACTTTACACCTTATATGTTACTGGAATCCTTTTTGCTGATAACAAATGCTCAGCCTGTGTGAAATAACAGTAAATGTTAAACAAATAAATGCTGTCTTTCAGTTACTAGATTAAGAAGTTACAAGGATATTTATTGTCGCGATTTCACCAGGGCTTATATTCGGAACAGCTGGGGACAAGGGCAGAATATTGGGATGAGGCTGTAGGATACTATGAGTGGGGTAATTGTGAAAATGCTGATAATACGACTCTTTAAAAGCAGACGTGTAGTAGGTCATGCCCAGAGTTTAAAGGTTCCCTCTACCTGCTTTACCCACCTCTGAGTTCTCTTTTAATTCACTTGCAGCTGCACCCATACCTCTAGGTTCCCTTTCTCCCACCTACAGATGAGTCTCACTTTCTAAAAAGAAAACAACTAGCAATTAGCATATTGCCAAACACACTGTCTTCTCATCGCTTTCAGTTGGGGAGGTATTTTTAAATATGAGGCAACCTTGGGAAAAGACCTATCTTATTTCCTGAAGAAAGCACTAGCCCATCAAAATTATCACTGAAGCAAACACACCTGTCAAGGACACATATTCCATTAGAATAGATACAAGTAAAATTTCAGAATCTGTTCATCTTTCTATCTTTATAGTTCCTATTAGCTGAAACATTTAAAATTGCTTCAACTAGCAAAACCTTTGTTCTAAAAGACTTTATGTACTTTATATTTACTATGTTCAGCCACCCCACACCACCTTTACAAGAGGTAGATATAAAATCCATAACAGGGTGAGAACTGAGTGTAGGGTTATAGGTCACTCAGATTTATATACAAAAGTACATTATTTTGTAAAGCAAGAGTTGTGGTTAGTTAGACGAGAATTTGTTTTAAATGTATTGTAACCAAAAAGTTGTATACCAGAATACTAGCCAACTTGGCACAGAAGATGGGCTATAGTTTTCTCTTCATATCAACCACATGAGTGACATGGAAAAACGGCTTTTCCCTCTTTCTCCCCAACACCCTTCTGGCCTTTATTTTCTTGCCAATAAAGTTAGGGCTTAGATGTGACGATCTCTAATGTTTCACTCAGCTCTAACATTCTGAGATGTTACCAATTCTTCTTTCCCAAGACACTCCAGGTCCAACGGTGCTGGGAAAAATTCTTAAGTGAGTATGAATTTAAGTGGAATGCTATGTTTTGAGGAAAATATTATTTATAACCTGGGGGGCTTAGACTAACATAAAAATGAGAAAGTTTTAAATCATAGGCCAGTGGTAATTTTTTATCATATATTGAGACAATCCTTTCCCTATGTGTTTGAATTCTTAAAAAATTTACCTCATAAATGTTCAAAACATGCTATCAAAGTAATTAGGATATATGTCAACTTTGCTGACTCTCTCCCCAGTGAAATCTTATTTTTCTCCTCCTACCTAAAACTGAAATTTGAGAAGAAAGAAATATGAATGCATTATTAGTCGTTGTCACCACCTTTAAACATAAAAAGTCCACAGACAAAACAAAACAATTTTTGCGGTTTAAAATAATCCCAAAGAATACAAATTTCCCAAATAATACCCTTTTTTATTTTAAACATTGGTAGAATGACTTCTGTAAAATTTTCTCTAGAATATGACATTGAATGGAAAATTAGCATATCATTAAATATTCAAAATGTTAAGTAAAGCAGAACTAGCAGAAGAGCAGAGGAGGAGGAGAAGGTGAAATTTAATGAGTTCACTTGCACTACTTGTCTTTCCAGGCTGCATCTGCGAGAATATTCTTCATGTCAACCTCATTTGTGGTCTATTTCAAGCAAAGGGACCCTTCCATAGCTGCCCTTCTTAGAAAATCTGATAAATCTTATTTTGAATTATTTCATAAGTGGCTATAGTGATAAAAATCTGTGCAATTAACAACAACATTCATTTTGTGAATGATAAACCACAACCCCCTTGATGGTTGTCCATTAGATGTGAACAGTGAAATGTTATTTAGAGCTGTACAGCTATCATTGATGATAATGCTTGAAAATAGAGACTTTATATAAAATAAAATACATAGATTCGTATTGTGCTCTGGGCTTTCAGGGGATGATGCAGTACAGGATGGTAGCAGTGTGTTTATTTTTCACCAAAACACCTTTCATTAGGTTGCTAACTACATGGCCAAGTCGTGAGGGTGCAAAGGTAAATAAGACACAGTCATAGTTTTCATACTGTCCTCTGTTTTGGTGTGTTCATTTAAATAAAGGTCAAATGTGCCATTACTGCTTACTGATAAGAGGGGATAGGGATGAGGAACCATCAGGAAGGGTCAGAATCATAACTCAATCCTTGTAGCTCTCTATTCTCCCTGCCTTGTTTCCCCCAGCTTCCCAATTTATACTGTTTAAATCTAATCACAAAAAGGCTCAATAAAGTAAAAAACAAACAAACAAGCAACCACAGTGTAAATAAACCCTTTGTCTAGCCAGCAAATACAGGAAACACAGAATGTTTTAACCGTATAAGCAGTCATGTTGATTAATCTGAAGCTTAGAGGAAAGATGTATGTAGGTAGCCTCTTTGCAAATTCACCAAGACAGACTGAGTGCTCCAGTTAGTTCAAAGCCACCATTTAATTGTGCTAGCAGTATTTATAGGTTATTAACTTGAGAAACCTTATCAAATACAGGCCATTACATTTCAACGGGTACATTCAAGGTGTGGACACAGACAGCCACATCAGCCACATAGTATAAAAATCTTTCACCTGAAACCAGTTTACTGCATGGCAGACGTATGTAGGTGGAGTTGTGGCATTATTTTTTTAAGAAGAATCTGTAAATGGTCAGCCAGAATATATGAGATCACTGACTTGGGTTACGGCTTACTATTCAGATAAGCAGAGATGGAAAGGTGGAAAACACACTGCTGCATGAAGGAAAATGGCGTAAAAATTCTAATTCAGTGGTGGTATTAATAACTGCTTTAGTTTCCAGAGGAGAAAACATTAATTTTCCTTTCAAGTTGTAACAAAAACTTGGTTTGATAGAAGTGTTATCATTGAAAGCATCTCCTAAAGGAAGATTTGGGAAATCCCACTATAAATCTTTTTTTCTACTACTAAGGGACCTAACTTTTACCAGAGTAGAACACAAATTGTTTTCATTTGCATATGTCATCTTTCGATACAAACACAAATATTTACATTCTAGAAACTTTTATAATCCAGGAAGGTGAGCCATTCTGAGTGATGACAATTGGTTTGTGGAGCTTGCTCTAATTATAGCTTGAGACCATGGCAATGCGTTTATTAGTAAAACCTCCAGTCACCACTGGGTGAGCAGTCTTCCTCCCTCCTGTTAGCAGGAGGCAGCATGTATTGAACAACTATTGCTTGTATAGCACTGGACTGGGGGTTAGTCTCCTCCCATGAGACTTCATTTGGGATCATCTATTTAATTCTCTTATTACCCATTTGTATTCAATAAGGAAATGGTATAAGTATGGACATAACTCTAGTAACATTCTGAGCAATTTTCTTTTGTTTCAAAGAGAAGTAGTTTGGGCAGCCAATGGAAGACTCTGCAAACTATAATGAGTTTACTTTTTGGTTCATGCTTAGTGATTATCAAAAGTAACTTGCCTCCCTCTCCCTCAATCAAGAAATGTTGCTGTCCCAAGAAGTAGCATTGGGATCATGATTTGCACTGTTATATTTCACAGGATGATAAAACTTGGTACTCTAATATTTTGTTCTCCCTTAAATTTAAAGATCAGCTATTTGATTATGCTCACTTTGAACAAACATTAGAGTTTAATTCTGCTAACAAGATTCAAATTACATAAATGCAGATTGAAAATTCCAAAAGGATTTCAAAAAGGATTCCAAAAAGCTCTCAAAAAGGATAGGGCTGGCCCCTTTGTTCTAGATAGTATTCAATAGTGGAAGTTAATAAATACTTTGAAAAAGTCATGCAAGGTGATGTGTTGGCATATGAAACCCATGCAAAAGGGAAGAAGCAAAAGGCATCCTAACTGGGGTGATATGCCAGGTCTACTTTCACCTCTGTGTCTACAGAATACCTTCCATCACAGGAACTATCATTTCCTACATGCTACCCTGTGCAGGCCACTGTACATATATGGTTTTAGTTCTCATGAAAACCCTGTGAAGTAGGTATTACATTTCTTTAAAACCAAAACCAAAACCAAAAACACATGAAGCAAGGTTATGTAATTTTCACAAAGTTACACAACTGTAAGTGTCAGTCTTCAGTAAAATTCCGTTCCATCTGGCTTCATAATCCTCATGAATTTCACTACACAATGCTGCTGGTCCGTTAGGGGAGACTCTTTTCAATTTTCCAACCTCAGGAAGCATCTTATTTTTCTCGAAGAGCTACTTATTTAGATTACAAAGAATCACGTGTTAAAAGTCCTGGTGGAAAATATTCTGAATTCAAGAAATCTAAAGTGACTAAAAAGACAGTAGTTGTGGATAGCTGTTTCATATGGTTGTTCGATGCACCTGTGATTTCATCTATAAATAATCATTCTCTAAAGTATTTCTTTACTCTGGCTTAACAATGGAAATAATCCAAGTAAGAGTTTCTTAACAGTGTTACTGTTGACACTTTAGACTGGATAATTCTTTGTTATGGGGCTGTCCAGTGCATGTAAGACATTTAGCAGCATTCTTGGTCTCTGCCTAGCAGATGTCACTAGTACTGTTCTTAGTCTTGACAATCAAAATGTCTCCAGACATTGACAAATGTCTTATGAGAAGCAAATCACTGCCAGTTAAGAACTACTTTTATAGGTCAATTAAACTTCTTCCTACAGATGCTTTTAACAAATAGTAACATCATATGTTAAGTGGAAAAAGACCAGAATTCATTGTGCTGTCGAATGAAAATCTAAGTGCTTGATAATATTTGCATTCATTGTCTTGTGTAATGAAAATCTTTTAATGTCAGTTCACGCTACAGCTGATTACTGCCTCCTTCCCATTTTCACTAATATAAAGGAATTGAATTCTTGGAAGATGAGGCTGGAAAATTTCATCGTCATTACGTCAACATGCTAACAGATGGTCTGCAAAGCACTTCTCAGGTTTCATTCAGTATTTCTGTGAAGAAGCCAGGGGATCATGATGTTCTACTGTGAGAATGACAGAAAGAGCAAACAAGAACACCTGGGTTACACGAGCTGACTTGCTTCTCTTCAATGGACAGTATGAACACAGGTCAGAATAATTTCTCCTTTGCAGAGCTACACCAGCACTCTCTCATGGAAAAGAATGAGGCAGAGTCAAGGGAGAAAAACAGGAACATGAGGCTTACAAATAATGATAAATATGTCACTATTCTGAGAGCACCTGTGATATACATACTATGTCCTTAAACTAAATGGTTTGGACAAGGTCACCTATCCAGGGAGGAGGATCCAAGGCAGTTGATCTAAGACCTACTTCAATCCACTTGACCGTATTTTACTAATGAGGACAGAGACCATTATACTCTGTCACGTTTACAATGATATGAATAAATTTTCCTAACAGTTTCTACAAGGTCTTTTTTCTCTTTTTGCATTTCAATTGCATTGTATGTGATCAATTTCAAGTACAAGTGAATTGCAAGTGGAAAACTTCTGAGAGCAAGTGAGTTGCACTTGACATTTTGGGTTCCCTGTAGCTGAGTAGCTCTCAAAAAGGTCACATACAACTTTGTTGCACTGCAAAATGCCAAGGGCAACTCAGTAGCAATTGGAAATTGAAAGGGAAATTATATTCTACCAGAAATCAGTCACATGGATTCTGAAGAAAGATCTTTGTTCTATTAATTGTGTGTGAGGAAAATAGAAAATTGCCCATTGATGCTGAAAAATTTTACCCAATAGGCATTCATCTCTTTGCATGATTTATGGACGTAGTTTCACTACCAATGTATCTATGCCATGCCAAGTGCTCATTTTCTTTCCCTGATTTGTCTTAAATCAAGAATTCTGTCACTAAAGACCATACATCCATGTTAATTCCTCTGTATTCTTCAAGCTTAATGAACCCGATCCTCTTCAATATTACAGGGATAAAAAAAAAAGTAGAGGAAAATATATCTGAAAACAGGTAGACTTCAAAAAATTTTACTTATGAAAAATGAGTTATTCTTGTGATTGTTAACCTAAGATCTGGCTTAGTACAACAGCAATGGGATAAAAAATCAGAAACATATATCTTGATAAAAAAAATCAACATGGGTTCAGTTTTTTTTTTTTTTTTTTGAGACGGAGTCTCGCTCTGTCACCCAGGCTGGAGTGCAGTGGCGCGATCTCGGATCACTGCAAGCTCTGCCTCCCGGGTTCATGCCATTCTCCTGCCTCAGCCTCCCAAGTAGCTGGGACTACAGGCACCCGCCACCATGCCCGGCTAATTTTTTGTATTTTTAGTAGAGACGGGGTTTCACCGTGTTAGCCAGGATGGTCTCACTCTCCTGACCTCGTGATCCGCCCGCCTCGGCCTCCCAAAGTACTGGGATTACAGGCGTGAGCCACCGTGCCTGGCCAACATGGGTTCAGTTTTGCATTAATAAGTTATGTCTCTGGGGTAAGGGGATGATGATGATGGTGAAATAGAGCTTCATGTTTTAAGCTTTGCGGAAGCAGTTAGAGTGCTTAGCTGTATATGAATAACCTAGAGCTTTGTCCAGTTCTGTGTGGGCTCTTCCCTTCAAATTGGTAGTGTTTTGGACATAAGATGGTTTAAAGCAGGATAAATTTAGGAATCAGTAGACTGATATAGTCTTCTGATTCCAGAGTGTTAATGAAGTCTTCTGTTCTACCCACACTGATGTGGATCTTGTCACTTCTATCATTTCATTCAGTTAATATTCACCAAATATTCAGAGTTTCTACTATGAATTCAGCACTGATCTTGGCACCAGAGATACAATGGGGAAAACAGATTAGTTTGGTCTCTTCCTTCATGGATCTTATAGGTTAGAAGGAAGAAATAAATATTAACAAGTAATCCAGGAATAAATATATCAGTGATGGAAATTTGTGGTGCCATGTACTCAGGCATGAGATCCAGATTAATCTGGGTCCAAATCCTGCCTCTTCCTCTTCCTGGTTTTATCACTTTGGGAAAGACGTTGGCACTTACTGAGCATTAGTTTCTTTATCTCTAAAATGAAGTTATCAATGCCAACTATGTGGGGTTATTGCATGAATTAGCAATTATCATGAAAGCTGCCTAATGATAATTATTATAAGAAGATGACTAAGCCAACTTGTTCTGTTAGAATACAGGGTCTTCCTTCCCTCACACACTCCAGCACTACTATTTTCCCTAACTTCTGATTCCACCAGAATCCAAGAAACAGACACTAAACTGAGAAAAGAAAAAGTAGAATTGTTTTAATTATAATGCATTGAACATATACCACATGTCAAGTATTGTGCTGGGTATTTTCTAATTTTATCTCATTTAGAGATTAAAAATCTTTGAAATATATATTTGTATCCCCAGCTTACAGTGAGGAAATTCAGTCTCAGATACGTGAATTTGCTTGCTTGGGTAATATCAGCTAAATTTGGACACAAGTCTTTCTGCAAAGCCAGCATGGTTTTCCTTTGCCTAGTTCCTTTGCCATTACTTCTTCAGTTTCTGAAATAGTAAGATGGGATTCTGCATTCCTGTATTTTTCCTCTATCTTCTATTCCCAATCTTTCCATTCTGGCTATTAACACACCCTGAATACACCAATATACTGATACCATTTTTGGGCTCTGGCAAGCAATGGGGCCAGAAATTAATCTTCTAATTGAGTGAATGGTTTTCTGGGAAATGGTGGCAACTTGACTTAATAGATCTGCCCAAGCTAGGGGAAAAAAAAAAGGAAAGATGTGAGGAAAGGCTCTTACTCTGTGAAATGCAAAGAACACCAAGAATGAATTAGCTGATGAGGTAATCTCTTCCTAATGTGGGAACAGAATGATCAACAATCAATTGCATAAAAGAAAAAGGCAGGCAAGTATATCCCAGTGAAAGAGAAAAGGAAATAAAAAATGGAAAAGGATTTTGGTGACATTATTTGTAGTCCAGCTTTTGCTACTTATTTGGGATACAGGGTAAATAACCATACCTATTTTATATACTTAATTGCCAAAAAAAATTATAGCACTAGTTTTCATCTCCATGTAATACAAATATAATGAGAGTAAATTATATTGTTATCATTGAATTAGAACGACAACTTATAAATATTGAAGGGTGCCAGTCTTGGGATGGGTGAGATAAGTAAACTTTAAAATTTATTAGAAACTGAAGATCTTTAAGATTCTTTAATGTTTCTACGTGTGCATATACCTACAGGACAAATTGCAACATTGCATGTACAAAATTTACATACTTAGGACACAGGTTTTATCATTGGCACTCAATCGATGTTTATGTAACTAATAAATAAACTTAGTACACAGGTTTTATCATTGGCACTCAATCGATGTTTATGTAACTAATAAATAAATCAATGAAAGGAAAACCATCCAAATGTACTTATTTTACTTAGGGATGGGTTGAAAGCCTAAACCAGTCATGGCCCCAAGTTCTTTCTCCAGTCCTGTGAATTGAAGCACTCACCCATAATGGGAGGGTTCTTCATTAGAGAAATTGAACAGAAGTAGTTTTGGACATGGTACACAAGGCACACTGGGTGGCAGGAATTACATACGAGACGGAAAACAGGGAGAACAAGTTAAATTGTGCATTCTGAATGGTGAAATTTCCCAGTCTTTTTCCCGCATTCTAATCTCAGCATGCTGGGAACTGGATATGTAAGTGCAGACTACAGTTAGTTGAAGAGTATTCTAGAAAAAGTTAAAAGCATAGGTGAATAGACTTACATAAATAATATTTTGGGGCCATCCAATGAAAAAGCTGGTTACCTACTTCCTAATTACCCTACAATGCTGTCCATAAGTTAAAAAGTAGAGTTTCCATTGAGGCATTTGGTGCTTCATTTTTTTTTTTTATTTTTATATTTTTTGATGGAGTCTCACTCTGTCGCTCAGGCTGGAGTGGAGTGGTGCGATGTTGGCTCACTACAACCTCCGACTCCTGGGTTCAAGCTATTCTCCTGCCTCAGCCTCCTGAGTAGCTGACATTACAGGTACCTGCCACCATGCCTGGGTAACTTTTTTGTATTTTTAGTAGAGACGGGGTTTCATCATGTTAGCCAGGCTGGTCTTGAATTCCTGACCTCAGGTGATCCACCTGCCTCGGCCTCCCAAAGTGCTGGGATTACAGACATGATCCACCATGCCCGGCCGGTGCTTCATTGTTAAACATGAAAACATAGCTAAGAATAGCCATATTTGATGGAAGTATCAAATGTTACAGGCAGAACAAACAAGTAAAGACAACAGAGACAATATGAGAGCAGAAGGAAAAGTAAGAACAAAAGAAATTTAAAAACAAATCAAAACACAATGAAGCAAAATCAGTAACAAAGATATTGAATTATATCTCTCTGTACCCACCTAAAAGAGAAAAGAATTCTACAAAAAAGAACAACAGAGAACAAGACAGAGATCTTGGAGAACAAGAATATGACCATCAATAGAAGGATGGGAAGATAACGGCCAAACGGTAGACGAACACAACATGGGATTCCATTCTTGTCCTGAGAAACTCCCTAGGCATTGGAATATAGAAGATGAGGTATTTCTTCAAAAATTTCTAGAGTATAACTAACTTTTTGTATCAAGCTATATCCACTTTCTCTTTTAAAAGTATTTACTGGTATTTAGCAACTTTGTCAAGGAGATAGTAATACCCTAGAGATATTAAACTATGAGAGACAACCTGAGAATTTCTAGCAAAAGTTCATTCCCTGACTTTATAATCTATAATCTAGACAACTGTTCCAATTCATGTTTTATTTCAGCTGAAACAGTTGATTAATTTGCTATAGTTTCCTAATTTGTTATAGTTTCTTGAACAATATCAAGAGAAGATCATCATTAAATAAGTGTATTTTATACTGATAAATACTTTATACGTGCTTGCTAAATTTTCTTATATGAATCTCTTAATACATACATGCAGCTTAAGGAACAGAATGGTTTCTTTTGAAAATATTAAGTATATATGAGTAATTATGTTTCTCTTAGGTGGATCTGTGGTATATATTTAAATGTTCTTGTGTTGCATATTATTTATAGGAGTTGAGCATCTTTCTTATAGAATTAGGAAGGAAGTATCAAGGAGAATTTCTACATATATCCTATGGTTTCATGTTCCCTGAAAGACTTGTCATTATCCTTTTTAATGAGGAAGTAGAAACCGGAACTCAATCCATCATTCTTATTTTCTTTACTCACTATGTTTCTAAATTTAAAAATGAGCCAGTACATGGGCAAGGACTTCATGTCTAAAACACCAAAAGCAATGACAACAAAAGACAAAATTGACAAATGGGATCTAATTAAACTAAAGCGCTTCTGCACAGCAAAAGAAACTATCATCAGAGTGAACACGCAACCTACAGAGTGGGAGAAAATTTTGGCAATTTATCCACCTGACAAAGGGCTAATATCCAGAATCTACAAAGAACTTAAACAAATTTACAAGAAAAAACAACCCCCCATCAAAAAAGTGGGCAAAGGATATGAACAGATACTTCTCAAAAGAAGACATTTATGCAGCCAACGGACACTTGAAAAAATGCTCATCATCACTGGTCATCAGAGAAATGCAAATCGAAACCACAGTGAGATACCATCTCACACCAGTTAGAATGGCAACCATTAAAAAGTCAGGAAACAACAGATGCTGGTGAGGATGTGGAGAAACAGGGATGCTTTTACACTGTTGGTGGGAGTGTAAATTAGTTCAATCATTGTGGAAGACAGTGTGGCGATTCCTCAAGGATCTAGAACTAGAAATACCATTTGACCCAGCAATCCCATTACTGGGTATATACCCAAAGTATTATAAATCATTCTACTATAAAGACACATGCACATGTATGTTTATTGTGGCACTATTCATAATAGCAAAGACTTGGAACCAACCCAAATGTCCATCAATAGTAGACTGGATAAAGAAAATGTGGCATATATACACCATGGAATACTATGCAGCCATAAAAAAGGATGAGTTCATGTCCTTTGCAGGGACATGGATGATGCTGGAAACCATCATTCTCAGCAAACTATCACGAGAACAGAAAACCAAACACTGCATGTTCTCACTCATAAGTGGGAGTTGAAAGATGAGAACACATGGACACAGGGTGGGGAATATGAATATCACACACTGGGGCCTGTTGCGGGGTGGGGGGCTGGGGGAGAGATAACATTAGGAGAAATACCCAATGTAGGTGACGGGTTGATGGGTACAGCAGACTACCATGGCATGCACATACCTAGTAACAAGACTGCACGTTCTGCACATGTACCCCAGAACTTAAAGTATAATAATAATAAAAAAATACTCTTAGTGGAAAAAAAATGAGCCAGTATAGCTTAGCTGTGACTTGAAAAAAAATGTTTACTCTTTGGAGTTTTAGAGCATTAATTGCATCACCTTATCCCCTCCTCCCATCCTCAAAATTTTGGACAAAAAAAATTAACAAGTAAACAAACAACAATGATAATTACCTTGAGCTATGTAAGGTGTAGTTTCCTCTTTTGGAGGTATACTTGTGGGTCGGGGTGTGGGGGCAGGAGGTCTATTTATAATGAAAGACCGACTCCCAGTTTTTTTCTTTATACTCAGATTGGCCAATATCATGTCATATTCACTGTCATCAATCTCAGCAAAAGTATATGGGTCTTCTTCCTCCTCCTGCTCTTTTTCCTCTTCTTTCTTCTCTTTTTCTCCTTTGGGTTCATCTCCTGTTTCTTGTCTAACACCAGGATGACCCCAGTTTTGACTTCTTTCCATTTGGCCTTCCACCATTGTCCCTGTTTATGAAATATTTACATGGTGTTTACTCTTCTGTTACATGCAACATTATTGGTGTCCATCTGTCACTTTTTTGAGCTTCCCAAGGTGGCTTAGTCAAGTGCCGTAGGAAACAGTATTAGAGAAGAGCTCGTGACTCCAGGAGAATAATTTATATGTCACCCCCTAAATGCAGAAAAAGTGAGCTGTGTAACTTACTAATAAATCATCCTGCACTTTGTAGTTTAAATTGTATTAAGACAAATACGTGTAGTAAAAAAATCCATGTGCTTAAGACATGGAATTTTTTAAAACATTTAAATACTTTCCATATTATTTTGTGTAGAGAGAGAGCAATATATATATATTATTTTTATATATTATTTCATATATAAATATTTAATGTATAAAATATAATTATATGTATTAAATATACCTTTATATATTATTTTATATATTATATATACTTTTACATATAAAGAATGATTTCATATCAGAAAATCAAGTTATAAATCTATGTCTGAAACTCCACAGCTTTGAAAACTTGTGTTTTTCAAGCATAATATTCTTAGATTTTTTTTTTCATTTGAAGTTGTTTCATGTTTCATATTGCTTGCACTGGATATTTCACCTAAAATTTAATTTCTCTGAAAATGACAGGGAGAAATAGCCAAAGGCACCATTAGTTGGTTTCATAGCAGTCGGTCTTTGACTATGACAAACTGACCTTCAGAAATGCAGCTTTTGTTTTCTACAAGCCAACATGGGCCTTATTCATAGATAAAGGACACTGGCCAATGGCTTCTGTGCCTAATCCCAATGCTTTGGGAGGCTGAGGTAAGAGGATAGCTGGAGGCCAGGAATTTGAGAGCAGCCTAGTGAGACCTAGTATCTACAAAAATAAAAGAATTAGCTAGGTGGCGAGTACTCCTAGCTACTCCAGAAATTGAGGAGAAAGGATTGCTTTAGCCCAAGAGTTTGAGGCTATAGTGAGCTATAGGCATGCCATTGCACTCCAGACTGGGCAACAGAGCAAGATCGTGCCTCAAAAATAAAAACAAACAAAAAAAAAACAAATAAAAAACAGATGAAAGACACTGAAAGTAGAGTTCATGACATAAAAGACAGCATGGATGATCAATGGTGTGAGAATGAATTCACATGAAAAGAATAAAATTATAGGTTTCAGAGTCTTTGATGATTTTTCCATACAGTAATATCTTGACATATTTTTATAAGAATATGTTAAAATATTTTTGTAGCAGTTATTAATAACAGATATAATATGCTTTGATTAACAAGTAAATTAAAAAGAATTTTAATGGCTCTCTACAAGGCCAATGAAGGCTTTTTCTTTCATTTTCATTCTTTTTTGAATTTGCCCTTCGAGAATCTGATACTCCTAAAATTAGTTTACTTATGAAGATTTTAGTGGAAAAACTTAAAAGGGGAAAGACAAGTAGCAGAGCAGAATAAAAGGATATTATAGAAAGATTCAGCAATTGCCTTGGGTAAGATTATGAGGCGAGATTAAGATAATCTCCCAACAGAGTCTTAACTCTTATAGTTTCATTTAGTTTAACTTAAGAAGTATTAATTACCGATGTGCCTAGCACTAACTTTCAATTCACCACGGCTTGCCTTTTATCCTATGAATAATATGGTTTTAAGATTTTGACTTTATGACTTCTGGTTCACTGACAGCAACACAGGTGAAAACAGATTAAGTGTGTGGGAACCACTTTTTCAGTGTTTCATTTTTAGCGGAATGTGTCAACCATCTTACGTTTATGAACCGATTTCCTGAGCTCTTAACTCTCTTTGTTTCCCCACCCACCTCCCTTCCCAACATTTCTAAAGTTGGGCTTGCACTAGAAATAATACATTTTACTTTTTATTTTCCAAAGTATCAGATAATACTTTTCAGTTAAGAGTGGGACCTAAGCTTTCTGAATTCAGGTGGTATATCAATAAAGAAAGATTAAAACAAATCACTTCCATAATTCCAACTTTTGAAGTAATTGGGTCAAGACTGTATAAAAAAGAGAAAAATCCTAATAGCCTAGGAGACCTGTTAATAGAAGCAACTGACACATTCTAATTATAGGGCTTCTTGGAACTGAGTCAAGGAGGGATCCGATAATTACTTTCCAGGATTCTTGGGTTAAAAAGAAACCATGGGTTCTTTATAAACTGTAAAGTGCTCTATAGTATTATATGTTATTAGTTTCTCCAATGAAGAAGTCCGTAAATCCACTGTGAGGAATTTGATGCCTACAGCACTGAGGAGAAGGCTTTTTTTTTTTTTTCCTTCAGTAACTTGATGGCAGATGGAAGCTACTCATAAAGAACAACTCCTGAAGGTATCACTAGCCAAAGTCAAAGACATACAAAGTCTCTGGCAAACAAATAAGTGATAGCTTACAGCCTTGCATTTAAAGGCCAATAAAACATTTTTAAGAAAAAATACCGGCATTTTATTATCCATTTCTAATATCAGTACTATCAAAAGATAAAAGTAACACTGAATATAAAATGTAAAAATAGGGTTTTTAAATTAAATAAGTGAGTTTTTATTTTATTTTGCTTTTTATATTTGCTAGTTTTCAGGAGACATGTTATCCAAGATTACATTTCTGATCTTAGACAACTCATGAAGACCCTTGATAGAGTCGTTTTAGACCTGCTAACCAACATACCATATATAGAAATTAACATTAGGAAAAATATGATTTAATATTAGCACTTTTAAGAGAAATAATCTGACACAAGACAATTTTACCTTCTTGACAATTAATTTTGTTATAACAAATTATTCAGATCTGAAAAAATGAGAAAAATATGCCAGAATTTTGTAGTCAGTGTACTACTAACTTATGATGTTTTCTCCCCTCATAGCTAAATATTAATATATCTACTTCATGGATAAATGTTGAGGGTCCACAAGACCTTCAAATATAGTAGGTAATAAATATCTGTTGAATGAATGAATGAATCAGAGGAATATCCACTAGGCTTCAGAGCTTTCAATTAAGCAGTACTTTCCATCTCTAAATACAGTGCATAAGCTTAATAAAGCTTATGTTGGTAAACTTGGGTCTTCATAGAGAGCCTTCAATGACACAAATGCTAAATTCCTTTTTTTTTTTTTTTTTTTGAGATGGAGTCTCACTCTTGTTGCCCAGGCTGGGGTGCAGCGGCATGATCTTGGCTCACTGCAACCTCCGCCTCCCGGGCTCAAGCGATTCTCCTGCCTCAGCCTCCCCAGTTGCTGGCATTACAGGTGCACGCCCAGCTAATTTTTGTATTTTTAGTAGAGATGGGGGTTTCACCATGTTGGTCAGACTGGTCTCGAACTCCTGACCTCAGGTGAATCGCCTGCCTCGGCCTCCCAAAGTGCTGGGATTACAGGCATGAGCCACTGTGCCCAGCCCAAATACTAAATTTCATTGCGTAAAAATTTACTTTTTGAAACAAGGTCATGTTTTTGTACTTTGTAGCCTTCTAGGACCCAACAACTAAATTATAGTGAAAATGGGGTTTGTAGCCTTCTAGGACCCAACAACTAAATTATAGTGAAAATGGGGTTTTGATAAGGAGTTTTTTTTTTTTAACTAAATTGTCTTCTTAAGAACATTTTATTTGGAAAATAAATATAAATTTGGAAAGTACATATGAAATAATGATCAAAAAGTAGATGATAATTTGTGACTGTAAGAGTGAGCCTGGAGCTGGGAGTTTGTCAGGCTGTTGAACACTCCAGGCAGATAAACCTAATGTGGAAGCTCCTCTTCATGCCCTCCGCAAGGACAGATTCCCCACACCCACTTTCCACACCCCAATTCCTTCGTCTGGGAACAAATGCCAGTGATAGCTATGTTGACTCTTCTTCCACTTGGGTAGTGTATAGAGTGTTTTTAAACTTTGGTGTCAGTGCAGTGTGCGACAAACCCTTTAACGCTTAATTCTCCCACAGCTACCAAGTGATTAAAGTACCCAAGTTCATCTGAAAATTGTCGATCATTAGCATTTCACTTTTTGTCTGAAGACTGAGAGTATGTTTTAAAAGCAATGTTGTATTTCCTTTTCCACAGAATGCCTGAGGTTCATTTTATGTGAAGAACTACAGACTCCTTCCAAGTTTTATTCTCTTAAAGCTTTGTAATAAGACAAGGAAGAAAGAAAGAGAGAAACAGAGAAAAAGTGGGAGAAGGAAGGAAGAAAGGGAAGGAGGGAGGGAGGGAGGAAGGAAGGAAGGAAGCAAGGAAATAAGAAACAAAAGAACAAGGTAGAGGTAGGTATCTCTTGCCTCATTTCCCAGGCCTTAGTTTTTAAAGAATAGGAAGAATGTTGCTATTGGTTTCAAAAGCTGATCTGCTCTGTATAGATTTGCCACTGCACTATTTGCTATGTAAGCCTGTCAAAGATTTGTCTTTGTTTTGTTTTGTTTTTTTCTAACCTTAAACTTACCTGGTAAGGTGAAGTGAGGTCTTTCCAGTTGGAAGGCATTAGCTACAGGTCGCGGCGGGGGGAGAGGAGGTCTGCTGCTCATGAGTGGCTCTTGTGAATTATTTTCTGGATCAGCACCAGGAATGAACACATACAAGTCATCATACTGGTCTTCAGAACTCTCACTGCCAACCTCTAGTGGGCTGTGTTTGGTCTCCATGCCTGATCCATTCTGTTTTCCTTCCCCTTCCATTTCATTTGCCTCAGCTCCATCTGCACTCTGCCCGTATGTCTTCCTGCTTTCATGATGAAATGCTGGGTTCTGTGTGGCTGTTTATGATGAAGATTGCATGATTTCATTTAAACACACCATCTGAAGGCATTTCATATTTTATAAAATTGTACAGAAATAGTAGTACTGCTAATAAAACTTTTATGACCTGATATAGTGAAAAGCTGTCAAATGTGTAACTTTTAGTGAACAGTCATTTATTTCTGGGTTTTTAAAATACTTACCAAATGAACAGTCAAAGCTCCATTATGTCTTGCTATCTGTGTATATGACACACTCATGCAGATAACGATATTCTGATTCTTTAGAGTTATTGTTTGAACAAATTCATATATTTGATAGCATCCTTGCATTTTTATTAGAAAACAATATAACTGACCCAATAAAATAATAAATGATGGAAAACGTAAAGAAAAAAGACACAAACCTTTACTTGCTTGTAAATAATAAATAGAAATGAATCTGACTCTTATTTAGTTATTTTAATATATATTGATCTTTACAGATAACTATAATAATTTTATAATTCCTTATAGTAAATCATTTACAGATACTGTATTAACTTTGGAGCTATTACTTGGGAAAAGTTAATTTTTTTTTGGTGAAAAAGGCATGTAAATCACCAACAGTAGGTAAATCTTTCTGAGGATCAGTTCTTTACCTATAAATGCATTCTACCCAGAAATTTAACCAAATGATCCAAATTCCCTCTACTCTGACAACCATACCATTATTTGTTTTTATATTATATACAGTAAATGCTCTTTAAACACTCAGGAAGAAAGCAGAAAAAAAGAAATTATAATGCAATGACTTTAAATCTTCAGAAAAAACTTTTATTAAATTTTCTTTATAAAAATATTCTCTAAATAAAGGATTCAAAAAATTTAAAACAGTCTTTTGGAATTTCTAAACAGACTTTGGAACCTCTGTAACAGACCTTTGAATATGTGAATTGTTTTCCTTGTCAAGGCAAGATATTGCTGTATTAAAATGTTGCTAAGCTAAAATATAGCTTAAAATCCCAAACAGCACAATGTAGAGAAGAAAGACTTCTTTAAAATGAAGAATTACACTGTAGAATGTAGAAAAATCATGCCCATGATGGTAGCCCATATTATTATATGGAATTTTCTTTTTTTGTTTTTCTATTCTTTCATGTGAGAAAGAAGAAAGATACAGTTTCCAGTACTAAAACTAAACCAAGATTCTTTAATTACCAGCATGGGCAGAGTGGATAGTTATTTGTTTTTGTACAATCTATCTGCACAGATCTCATTCATTTTTCTATCCTTAACACAAAACACTAAGCCTGAAATGAAGTAGTCTCTAGAAATGCTGATGGAGTAGATGATGGAATGGATGGAAAAAATTATTGCTCAGGCTAGCAAAGGAACTTTATTATTTCTGTATGGGCAAATCAGTCATCAACTCAGAATTACATTCACGCTATAGGAAATTATTCTTAGCCACACTTCTGCTTATATATTCAGTGTTTCTTAATACTGAATAAGCAACAGAATCTGAATGGTACTTGTCATCAAATATGCCCAAACTTGGGTTTCAGCCCCGGAAAGTCAGATTTAATGAGTTGGTGTGTTTTAGCATGCTTTGTTGTAATGGTAATACCAATGGAAATCCACTGAGCTAGGGTTCTGTGCTTCACCCTCTCACTCATGAAAGAGACTGGCTTGAGCCCAGTCACACACAGTTTCATATACAAGAGAGTTTGTAGTTTCAAACTGCAAAAGTGAAATTTTTCTTTATAAAGAATTGAAATAATGTTTTATTATTACAGTCAATTCTTCTGAAAATTAAACGTCATGATAAATATATGGTCATTTTCAATCATGGCCTTTATAATCACTTTTATTATAATTTAAATGATAAGATGTATAACTTTAAAGCTTGGTGCATTAATCCATTAATTTAATATTTAGCATTTTTTGTGTCCTGCAATAACTTGAAGAGTTTACTAATTTTGCCAAAGTATGCTAGTGAAGGCATTTACTTGTATTTAACTTTATTTGATTTGCAGGTCCCCATCATTTGAAAAACTTGTGGTCAATAATGTTTCATTGGGCATAGACTATGTTCTGTTACAGGTACTGGGGATACAATCAAAACAGTGAATAAAAAGCCCTAATCCCTTTGAGCATGTGATTTAGAAAGAGAATACAGGCAATAAACAACAACCAGATAAATAATATATCATATTAAATGTTGATAAGTGCAATGAAGAAAAGGAGCAGGTAAAGTGAAATGAAGAGTAGGGTGTCATAAAACGAAGAAAGAAGTGATGAAGCAACTATTGAGCATATAAGGAGAAAGTGTACAGAAGGAATAGAAAGTGCAAATGCCCTGAGGCAGGCACATTATTGGTTTGTGAATGAGTAAGATAATGGTGAGAGATGGGAACACAAAGATTAGGGCCTTGTAGGGGATGAGAAAGGTTATGAGTACAATGGGGAGATATTGGAGGATTTGGAGCAGAAGAGTGTTTAGTCCTTCATGAAAGGTGTTTAGTCCTTTCATGAAGTGTAGAATATCAGAGGCAACAAATGTGGAAGTTGCTATTGAAGGCGTCCTATACATTATTTAGCAGCAGTCCTTCTATCTCTACCCAATAAATACCAGTAGCAATCCTCCCTCCTGAGTCATAACAATAGAACAATTTCCGTTCATTGCCAAGCTTGCAATGTAGGAAGTGACAATGACCCTCCAGTTCTCCACTGTGTTATTGCAGTAAACAAGGGGAGAACTGATGATGGTGTGGACTAGGATAATGAAAGGGGAGAGAAATGGCTGAATGCTGGGAATGTTTTGAAGGCAGAGTCAACAGTATTGTAAGACTGATTGCATATGGGGTAGGAGAGAAAGTAAAAATGCCAAGGATGACTTTCAAGCATTTTTTAACTGACTTGAACAAAGGAGGGAAGGAGTTTTCACTTACTGAGATGGGGAAGTCAGCAGGTGGAGAGGTTTGGCAATGGCAGGAATCCGAACTTTCAAAAATGTTGGATGTGAGATTCCTACCAAACATGCTGGTGAAGCTGTTGAGCTGTATGCCAATAAAGCCTGGCATAATGGGTGGAGTTTACGTACACATATAAACGCGTATATATACACGTTTATATATACATGTATATATGTGTATATATATACATTTATATACACATATACGTTTATATACATGTAGGAACATCCTGAATTATTCTTCAGACATTAGAATGTAGAATCACAGATATTAGGGCCAGGGAGGACCTTAGAGAGTATTCTAGTTCAATATTCTCATTTCATAGCTGAGAAAACTAAGGTCTGCAAATAATGTGGTTATGAGTTTTTAAAAAACTTTAAAAATGTAGTTGTCAAATAGTCCACATAGTCATAACAGAGTTATTTGTGTATTCCCTCTGGGTAGGAAAAATCAGTATTTGATTTTTAAAACTTGAACTTATTAAAAGTATTTAAATTAGGAATATGATGTAGTAGTGTCTCTATTACAAATTAAAAGCCAATCAGTTAATTAAATACCGTGCCACATTCTCTTCAGTCTTGCTTTTTCAGTTACATCTTCCATAAGTCACATATATATGTGATATATATATGAATATGTCATATATATATATAACATGGAAAAACTTACAAGGAATATATGTGGAAAATGAGGCAATATCCTCTTCATAATCATTTTCTTGCTCATTATTTATGTCAATTTCTTGGATCTGAAAAAAATGTAATTTTTAATAATATGCATTAATCTTAATAAATATGCACTGGATGCCTGTGCAAATAAGAAATAGTTTTTGTTTTTATTTAAATATTATATTACAGATCTTGGATAATATATTTGTGCCATCTATAAATGCTCAATGGCACATAGTACTAAAAGTATAACGAGGGAAATAGTACATTTATAATAAA
Organism: Homo sapiens; assembly: GCF_000001405.40. Classification (NCBI taxonomy): domain Eukaryota; kingdom Metazoa; phylum Chordata; class Mammalia; order Primates; family Hominidae; genus Homo; species Homo sapiens. The sequence goes on along the minus strand of NC_000004.12, from coordinate 102,021,314 downwards.
CAATGAATTGCTTTAAAAATAAAACCTATTGAAATAGCTTTAAGATGCAAAGGAGGCAATAATCGTTAAGTTTAAGTGTAATAAAGAAGTTCTGAATAAAATTGAACACAACTATTTCTCTTGAAAACTATGAGCTTTTCTTCCTTTTGAACATTCTATATCTTTTACAGTTCAAAAGATATTCTTAATTACAATTACTGTAATACAGTGAAAGACAATGAAATTATAAAGTGGTTTATTCTCCATCTTTACAAAAAAGAAATAAATCCAGTAAGGGTACTTCTCTTTATTTGTCTTTCTGAAAACAGTTCCACTATATGTACTTCAAAGGCAGAATTAACTGAGAAATGACAGAAACCTCTTATCTCCAGAATTGCTAGTCTTTGTTTATAATCTCTAAAGAGACATGGAGTTTACAGTTGTGGTGCATACTGGTGCTCAGAGAGAAAGCTAATACTAGTGATGGTTCTATTTGTGCAAAAGCATCTAGGGAAAGGGATGGAGATTGACTGGATTTCACATAGGATGTGTTTTGTTACCAGGAACTCCAAGGGATTATTCAAATGACTTACGTTTCTGTTCTTAAAAAATTAATTGAAATAATTTAGGCCATTTGTTCTGCATTTGAAATGTCCCTTCAAAAATTAGAAGCATCCATATTAAAGCATTTTGAAATTTATAGTAGCTTTGATATGCAAAGGTATTTCACCTGCATTTTGACTTCATCAATTAAGTTTATCACCCACTTTGGCCAAAGAGAGCCCAATGGAACTCATTAATTTTTTTTTAAACACTAATGTCATCCAGAGAAGCAAAACAGTCCCTAATTTCCCATGGAATTTTGAAAATGAAATATTTTCAGTATTTTTTACTGAGCCTGATGCAATAACTCATTTTATATTTCAATTATATTTTCCCTTTGATGGACTCCACTAAATTCTAATATGAAAAATTGTGTAGTTTTAGTAGGAGGTTTGACATTTTGATTGATATTTGTATGCTTTGGTATTAAAATCATTGTTTAATATAGCTAATCTTTGTTTCCAATTAGCTTCACCTATATATTTCATAAGGTAGGTCAAAAATATATTTTGAAAACCCATAGTACTCCCAAAACCACTTCAAGGATTTTTTTTTACTAATTTATTAGTAGCAATGGTTTACAAAGATTTTGAGAATTATGCAAAAATTCCTATATATTATTCACAAGCTTGGGCATTATGAGCTCAAAATCACTGTGAATTAATAAACTGACATTAGGCAAGTATGTGGATGGATGTGTATGTACTGAGGCTGAAACCTAATGGAATTGTTTTTGTGTCATAACTGAAGCCATATGACATTTGTACAAAAAGCCAAATACCCTGAACCCAATAATGTCTCAAAAGAATCTGCCTCTAAATTAAGAAAAAAGTCTAGGTTGATTTGAAAACTTTCATAAATATTATGTACAATTGATATTTTATATAATCAGACTATGCAGGGAGTAATTGTTTTCTCCAGAATAAAATGCTCTGTAGAAATATTTATGCTAAAAAACCAATGCTTCTTACTTAGGTTCCCTACACTTACAATCATATTTATTTTGAAAAACATGCCAGATCTAATAATATATTAATGATTCTTCAATAAAATCAATGATGGCTTCAAAGATGAGTCTGAAGACATTCTGACATCTAATCATTTTAATCCTTGGCTGTGTGATGGAGTAGACAGAACATAGACTTTGGAGTCAATTTAAGTACAAATCGCAGCTCTATCATATATTAGCTGTGTGACATTAGGCCAGACACTTAACTCTAAGCCTCAATATTATATCCTGCAAAATGTGGATAGTAATATCTATGTCATCAGTTTGATGGGAGAATTAAATCAGAATAATGTAAGCAAGACACATATCACATCTACCACATAGTAACTGCTCAATAAATGTAATCTGCATATTTGATCTTCCTTCATCTAAGCTATACGCCTACTTTTAAGCAAGCATGTTTCTTTTATTCATTCATTCGTCAAATATTTTTGTAGGCCTACTATCTGCTAAATACTCTGTTAACTATTGGGGAAAGTAAATTGAAAATAGAAAAAGAGATATATTTCCCATTTTAAAAATAATCACATTTTTATTGGAAGAGGAAGATAAATAAAAAATTATTAGAATACAATATTTTATTTATTTCACAACAACAAACTCAGTCCTTAGAGGTGAAATAGAGAATTAAGAAACAGATGATCAGAGCAGGCCAGGCATGGTGGATTACCTGAGGTCAGGAGTTCAAGACCAGCCTGGCCAACATGGTGAAACTCTGTCTCTACTAAAAATACAAAAATTAGTTGGGCATGGTGGCACACCTGTGTAATCCCAGCTACTCGGGAGGCTGAGGCAGGAGAATTGCTTGAGCCCGGAGGCAGAGGTTGCAGTGAGCCGAGATCGCACCACTGCACTCCAGCCTGGCCGACAGAGCGAGACTCTGTCTCAAAAAAAAAAAAAAAAGGAAAGAAAGAAAGAAAAGAAATAGATGATCAGAGCAAAAGTTTTATTCATTTGCTTTTGGGTTTGGAGATTGGATTAAAAAATTATCTTGACACACACATTGATTCTCACTTCTCTAAATGAAAGATTAAGATTAAATGACAGAATCTATTAGCTGAACATGCTTAATGTAATATTTCAACCCACAGATAGTCCTTGTAGCACAGAATGTTTAATGTAATAAATTAAAATCATTCATTATCAAAGATAAATTAAAAAGAGAATATCTTGTTGACTGAGGTATATGAAGTTCCACATGGCTTTGACATCTGGTCCTGTACAAATTGATCATAATATTCTGATTTCGAGGAAGTGAATAAAAACAATCTTCACATGGCAGTTGGTTTCCAAATCATTTTATGAGATTCTGAAGATATTGTAATTGCCCCAACTCTTGCACAACTTTCCACAGTGTTGGTTATGAGTGATTTTTACCAGCTTTTATAAAGCACATTGAAGCCCATGGGATGAGAATATGAAGACAAATATATGTTTGAAGAGTGACAAGTTGACCTTGTAACATTCTATGTATTACCCCAAATAAATGTACTAGGCTGAAGAATTAGAGATAATATTTGAATAGAAAAATATATATTATTCTTACTAAATATTAAAAGTAATGATCAATGTTATACTAAAACCATAAATAACAGAAAACACATTTTCAAAAACAAAACTTGAAGGGCACATTATAGGAGAGTAATGTCTTAGTTCTAATTACATCTTTTAATGTTTTTCCTTAGGCTATCTATGGATATGACCTAAAAGCACATTCATATAATTTCCCATGAAAGTTTCTTTTTATATTACAGGAATTGAAATGCTGAGTGTAAAATTAAGGAGGAACTCCATCCACAGTTGAGAGAGGAATGAAAAGGAATAAAATAGAAATAAAGCTGTTAAACTCAAGGAAAATAAAAGTAGAAATTTTCTTTGTATGGGTTAAAATTTCATTAGAATAACCTGAGTATACATACACTATTTTTCAGACAGGATCTTATTATAGAAAACTAAAGTTATGAAAAGATATTGTGATCAGGTGAACAAAGTCTCATTCAGCACAACAGGAAATGCAATTTTCTAATTGTGGTTTGATCCCCTGCTTTGTAGAAATGGAGAAAGAAGCAGTAGGCATATTGTGACCTTGTCTCTCAATCTTAGGAAGGCAGAATTGAAAATGGTTAGCTTTCAAAATGTCGATGGAGGGTTGGCTTCTGTGACTGGCACATCTCTCATTCTGACCTGTGCTCACCCCAGGCTTCTCTCTCCCTCTGAGGCCACATTCCAGCTGACCTCTGGTGGTGGTGACCCATAGGACCCCTGGTCCCAGTGCTGAAAGCTCTTGGCCTTAATCTTTGCCCATGATTCAGCTTTAACTACAGTTATGAATATCAGGCTTGAGGACCTGTCCTTTTAAAAGATATTCTAGCCCTATTTTAATACTCTTTGTTTCAAGCCCACCATAGTTGTGGCTGTATCTGTGAGGTGTCAGCACCTTTATTGGGCCAAATGCCTCTGACCATCTCTGTCACTAAAATGGAATGAAAAATTAAAATCCAGTTCTTTGTTAAGACTGTAACTATAAATGTAAAAGATAACTACCTTCGTTTAAAATGATGGAACCCCAAGTCTGAAAATAACCTGTAGATAACAACTTGTTTATTCTATTTTTCATACAGTGATATAATATTAAAACAATGTATCACACTAAAACTTGTAATAATTTGAATATTTTTCCAGGAAAAAGTTGTTTTTAAATGTAGTCTATGGTCTGCACTGGCCAACTATCTTTATAAATTTGCTTTTCCTGGGTTTCATCTTTGTCCCTCCTTTCTTTTTACAGAATGCACTCTCCCTGTATCCATTCTTATCCACAGTGGATAAGAGTCATCTTATCCTCTCTGCTGCCCTTAATTTATATCTCTAACCTTATTATTCGTGGGCGTGTCTTTAGCTCCTGGCTTTTCTGAGGTCTAGATTCTAGGATTCAGAAAAGGATATTAGAAGAAAACAGTTATGGAAGCAAAGGGAAAAACCAGAAGGGAGATATGTCAGAAAAATCAGGAGAGAAGGTTTTAAGTAAATCACAAATGTTAACTGCATCACCAAGTGTGAAAAAGCAAAGTCCTGAAAATAGTTAATCAGGTCTTCCAGTCCAAGTCACCGGTGACCCTGATGATGGAAATTACAATGGAATTGTGTGAATTCATACTGGATTGATGAAGCTTAAAAAAGTTAAACGAGGGTGATGAATCCAATGCATCATGTATAGAGTTTCTTTTCAGGAGCCATAATGTGAAGAGGGGGTATAGGACAATTTTGCTTCAGATTTGATTTTTCAAAAATGAATAAAAAATGTTGGAGAGTGCTTCATTACAGGCAAGGGCTATGGAGATGGAAGGTGATAATATCCGGAGGTCACATGCACAAAACACTATACCAGGAAATACAGGATACCCACATATGAAGGTTTCATGATCCCCAACTTCCAATATTTTATAATTAGTGGAGAAGACAAACAATATAGATTAGGCAAAATGAAACATACATTTAAAATATGCATATGCTTGCAAAATACTATAAGATAGAAACATGCAATCATTTCCACTGAGTGGGTGGGATAGACAATTTCAAAGAATAGATGATATTAAATCTGAGTCTTAAAATATGTTCAGTTTTAATCTGCAAAGAAAAGGATGAAATATTAGCGGCCAATGGGGGACCATGAACAAAACAGCAAGAATACTTCGTGGATGGTTTTAGTTGGTTTGGTTAGGTTGCATGGAAGGATATATTTGAGTGTGAAGATATGTTGGTGCATTAAGGTTTTATTTTATAAAGTTCAAACGACTTTGGTGTATGTAATTGTTTCTTAAGAAGTGGAAAGTAGCATGTTCCTGCCCGTATTTTAGAAAAATAATTCTAGTAACAGTGGGTAAGAGGGAGAAGGGCTATATTGATAGTCAAAGCAAAGGGTAATGAGGATTAGTGGAAGAAAATATTTACTGGAGAATGCAAATATAAGAAATAACCAGGAGAGAGTATGAACACGATTTTTCACAGCTTTGATGCCAAAGGCTGGAGGAAAGGGGTCAAACATGGCATGTAAGTTTCTGCTCAGCTCACTGTCTGGTAACCAGTACTATTGTTTACAACCGTCTTTTCCAGGACACTCCTCCAAAGAACTTTTGTTATTTAGAGATAAAGACACTGATTAAAATCACATTTTCTATGCAATTTGATGAGAAGTTTGAGGTCAATTTAATCTACATCTTAAGTCTTTTTGCATTGCTTTCTGGAATATTTGAAATTAAATTTGGAGTGGGGATGTAACTATAAAATGGTGACTCTTTCAATTTCTTTATGAAGTCATGGTATTTACCAACTTGGAAGGCAGAAGGGCAGAAGGTAGTTAGTTGTATGATGACCAAGTAAACTATTAATTTGATCAGTAAGAATTAAATTGCAGAATAACAAAGTACAAAGTCAAAATTAAGTCAAAAAGATACCAAAAAAAGCATAGATAGAAGAAACTGAATTTCAAACTATAAATTATATTTATTCAAATATTGCTATATTCCTTTATAAAAATTAAAAAAAATTTAAATAAGCCTGACATGGAATCAAACTAATTAATTGGGTATCAGACACTCCTAAACAATACACTAAAATCAAACAAAAGCCACATAGTTATGTCTACCATTTATAAATGAAGTTGGATGGTGAGAAGATAGGAAAAAGAAGGGGTTTAGCAAAAAAGAAAACAAGAAAGATAGAAAAATGTCAGAGATAGTCAGAAAGATGACATAATTACATAAGTCAAAGGTTGAAGCTAAAAGACAGAATCATCCTGAATTTGCCTTCCTTGATTTCAGAATGGTATTCAGAACTCAGATAAAACACCTTGAATAAGATATTAAGAGTGAATTTCTGGTGTAGATAACTTTACCAAAACATGCAAAAACTGAGCCCTGGGAAATTCTTAGTATGTACTTCAGACATTCCATCTAACATATTTAGGCATGACAACACCAATACTGCTAAATTAGTCGAAAATACCTTGTAAATGTTTCCTGTGTGTATAATACTATAATACTAGGCAAGTTTCCAGGGGTATACAAGAGATGTGAAATACTCCCAGGATGCTGAATATTTAGCTGGGAAAATCAAAGTGACAACCACGAAGAAATTATAGTCCTTTAATTTTGACTAAATTTGACTCATTTGACTAAATAGTGCAATAGAGAGTAAACTTGTAATAATTCTACTTGGAATAATTAGGCCTGAGTTTAGAAGGATGAGTAGAATCTAAGAGATAATTTCTGAATCTGGTTCCAATAGCTAACGCATGTTTATTTATCTAACAGATGAACAGACAGTACATGAGTTGGTGGAGGAGGGAACAATGTGGGTTTTCTTGGTAAGGAGAATGGAGCAAGCAAAAGCAAAGTTGAGCAGGCCATATGCAAATGGCAAAGAGCAAAGTTACCCAATCAAAGAAGCAGGTGGATTTTGGGAGAAGATGTACATTTTGATAGGAAGAGTGAAGTCAACAATTTTTACTATACTCTAGTTGTGGAGTATTAGACGTATCTCAATTATGATAATGATGATAATCATAACTGATATTGCTGTTAAATATCCCATTTAAACATCTTTAGGTTGTATAGGTTAAGAGTTTGAGATTAGGGATATTGTCAGACTTGGATTCAATTCTTACTCTTTGCCTTATTAATTACATGAACTGAAGGACATCCTTCTCTCTTGGCCTCTCTGGATGTGAAAATGACCATAAATGTACCTTATCTCGCAGGGTTTTTGTGAAAATTAAATAAGACCTATCAAGTGCTTAGCACAGAACTTTGTACATAGAAAACACTCGAAAATTATCTCTATTATCTGCCTTAAAATTGTCGTTTTGTTAAAAAATAATTTTTATGTTGCCCTATTTTTTAATATGACCAAATTGTGTTTATGTGAAAATTTATATTCAATTATAATGTTGAGTGAAGATCAGATGTGTTCAAATTGGAATATAAAGATTAAAAATAAAGACCTCCAAATCTTCAAAAGATTAAAAAAAAAGACCTCCTCCTTTTCATAGCTTACTATGATTTAAAAAAAATCCCTATTTTCAGGTGCGAGAAATCACACCTGACAGATGTGATGATGGGTCAATAGTGGACCATTTGAACTAGCAGAAATTAAGGAGGGCTATAAATGGAAATTCTCCTGGGGCCACCATTCCTATAGACTATGATATGTAAGGTACTCTAAGAGCTGAATGTCAGCAGGGTTGGGGACAGAAGACTCTCAGATGATTCTACAAGCGGTTTAATTCCCAAATGGCTTATATTTGATTTTATAATGTTGATATTATAACAAGAACTTCTTTAGGCTAACATTAAAACTAGCTGGCCTTCTCCCAGCATAAAATGATATAAGAGAGGACCAGTGCTGACTCAGAAGGGTGTTTCATTCCAGGAGCACCAAGAGTAGGGAAAAAGAAGTTGGCTATGGATGAGATACAGAGTATATAAGAGAATAGCGAATAATTGATTAAGGAACTTGGCTCAATACACGAATCTATAATTGCTGCATTCAGAACCTAACTCAGGTTTTCTATCCCTATAACAACGGGGTGTACCAGATAGTAGCAAAAAACTTTGCTTTTGAGCATTCTAAAATCTTGAAATCAGTTTTAGTTTCAAAATCATGTTAATAAAAGTCTATAGAGGAAATGCAAAGTAACACTATGTCCACAGTACAAATCATCTTGCTGCTTTGAATACCTCAATATAATTGTTCAAAAAGTTGCTTTAATTTGGAAAAAAACTACATAGAAACTAAATAATGAATGAATTTACATGTTTCCAGGTTGGCAGATTGAAGTTAGTGAACAGGAACCCAGGTTTACATTTATAAAACTAAGAGGCAATTTTTTTTTTGTTCTTTCTTCCAAGTCTTTGATAATTTGATTACGGGTCAAAGAAAACCAAATGGTAAAACAAACAAACAAACAAAAACAAGCTGAGTAATAAAAGACTAGAATTGTCATCACCACAAGTTGTTGGACATTGCATTTATCTAAACACAGAGGAGCAAGCAACTTCTGAAATCCAAGCTAGAAGCAAACATATAATACTACTTGAACACCTAGCAATTTCCCACACAGATTATACTCTTTTGTTGTTAGATAAGTGTTATTTGACAAATGAAACAAAAGACCTTTTAAGTTTCTATTATTACTATCAGAAAATAAGTGTTATTTGACAAATTAAACAGAGTCTTAAAGTTTATATTGTTGCAAATCTATTTCCAGTAGGTGTTCATATGGCTGGAATAATCCCTCCCTTCCAAGTACAGAATTAAGAGAGTTATTTTTTATTGACCAAAGTGTTTACAACATAAAAGACCTAAAAACGGAAAATGTGAATTGTAAATTCAGTGAAAACATGGTGGGAAAATAAATACAATTTTTAGCCTGACGGCTTCAACTTGAGGGCAGGTAACATCCAGTGCAGGTTGTTCCTGTGGAGTAAGTCAAGATAGATAAAAGTATACAAATGTACCTTCATAAGGGTATTCAATATTATATTTGATACAATGCAACACACCATAGTACCCTAAGTATTTCTTTTCCTTTTACAATTTTACATTTAAATTATGAAATTTAACTTGTAAGAATGCATGTATCATTAAGCAGAGAAGTATCTCATTTAAAAAAATAAAGAAAACTAGGAGACATACATACATATCCTTCATGAATAATTTTCCTTATTAAAAGCCATCATATTCATCTCTTCTCAGTTTGCCAGATTCCATTCATATCAGTTATCAGAAGGCCTTTATGTTTCACTGAACTTCGATGAGTTTATCAGCAGGAGGTACACACTTAGATCTTACCTAAATACAGACCTATTAAAAATTATTTCTAGACAAGAAATACATTTCATGAACCCAAACCAGTGAAAATCTGTAGTAGAATAAATGTGATAAGTTGATAAAAAATGAACCTCTTAAAATATAAATTTGCAGTGTATTTAAGGTGAAATAAAATGGAAAACTTTTCTGGTAGAAGAAACAATATTGTTATTAAAGAAACATACTTCCCCCCACATCGGGACGTAAGATCAAAATAGAAGGGAATCAATAAAACTAATAAGCTCATGTTGGAAGGTAAACTTCCTTTTCTTCATCCCAGAAATCCAAAAGTTTTTAGCTTATAATAATGAAATAAATTTTATTTTGTGAGGCCCTACCCAAGGCGCGAAGGGTGTTGCTATTCATATTCTATCAGTACTGCACAATGAGCCTCATCTGACTTCATTCTGCCCCTGAGAATTGCATACCTCCTTGTTGTGAAGTGATAGGTTAGCATTTAAAACTTCAAGTGATTTATTAGGTAGATTTCGGTCACTTGTGAAAATAATTTCTAATCTTCATAGACATTGCCTAAAAGAAATCAGGACTGGTCAAATCGAAATCAGGGAGTATCTGATATTTATTTTAATTTAGAAGCAACTCCTGTGAATGCCTTAAGCAAACTTTGAAGAAATTTGTCTACTACAGTATTCCTTCAGCTTTAGCTTTACATACCTTTGGGGAAATTTTCCTTGTTCCAAATGTAGAAGGCTATTCATTTCCCGAAGGTAAGGTGGAGGCATTTGATGGAAGGATGATTTCATAGTAAGATATGTGTAAGTTTAAAACAATTGCTTTAAATTAAAAACAAAATTCCTAAGAGAGGATTTCATGCTATTTAGTTTGTTTGAAAGTGCTTCTGAAACTGTTTAAGGTAAAATTGCACATATAAACATAATATTGAAACACTGGGTTATCTAGTTTCTTATCATACTCTACTAACATTCTGTTTAGATATTTGAACAATTTTACATTGTTATGAATCATGTAATTAAAACAGTAAAGTAAGGATTCAGTTACTTTTTCTGGAATTTGCATTTATTAACTAAGTGAATGAATAACATGAACTAAGTGATAAACTAAGTGAATGAATAAAAAAGTAATTATTATGCCCTGTATTTGTAGACATTTTGGTTTTATAATGATTTGTTTCTCACTAAAAAGTTGCCAGGTGTGGTGGCTCATGCCTGTAATCCCAGGCCTTTGGGAGGCCAAAGTGGATGGATCACCTGAGTTCAGGAGTTCGAGACCAGCCTGGCCAACATGGTGAAACCCTGTCTCTACTAAAAACACAAAAATTAGCCGGGCGTGGTGGTGGCTGCTTGTAATCTCAGCTACTTGGGAGGCTGAGGCAGGAGAGTTGCTGGAACCCGGGAGGCGGAAGCTGCAGTGAGCCCAGATGGCGCCATTGCACTCCAGCCTGGCTGACAAAAGTGAAACTCCGTCCCAAAAAAAAAAAAAAAAAAGAAATTAATCAAACTAAAGCAATGTCAACTCTGTTCAGGCAAAGCTCAATCTCTTGAGAACGGCAGCACTGGTAAAAGGACTTCAATTGTTTTGTTTGTTTCTTTGTTTGCTTGTTTGTTTGTTTTTGAGATGGAGTTTCACTCTGTCGCCCAGGCTGGAGTGCAGTGGCTGGATCTCTGCTCACTGCAAGCTCTGCCTCCCGGGTTCACGCCATTCTCCTGCCTCAGCCTCCCGAGTAGCTGGGACTACAGGCGCCCGCCACCACACCTGGCTAATTTTTTGTATTTTTAGTAGAGACGGGTTTCACCGTGTTAGCCAGGATGGTCTCGATCTCCTGACTTCGTGATCTGCCCACCTTAGCCTCCCAAAGTGCTGGGATTACAGGCGTGAGCCACGGCACCCAGCCACAGACTTCAATTTTTAACTTACTTATTCAAAAACATTTACTCAGAATCTTCTCAATATCAGAGAGTAGGTTAGGCAAATGAGAATATAAGGAAGGATAAGTTAATTTTCTCTTAGAAAACACAGACATGCACATCCATATGTATAATTTATATGATATACATAATAATAATATAAAAACAATAACTTACATAACATTTACTATTTACCAGTCACCGATCTAAGTTCTGTACTTATGTTAACATTTAATTTTAAAACAATTTTATGAGGTAGGTTTACTATTTTTAATCCTCATTTAATGAACCGAAAAAAGGCACAATGGGGTTAAATAACTTGTCCAAGGTTATACAGCTAGTATCTTTTAGTGGAGTGGCCAAACAATAAGGAAAATAAGTAAGCAAGCATTTACAAGGAGGAATGTGGCAAGTCACCTAACAATTACTATAAATCAAGAATCATGTTCATAAGAGAGACAGCTGACAACATTTTGCAAGAATGTGCAAGCCTCAGGGTGGCAGCATTTGAGACATCTTTGAAAGACAATAAAATATTCAAAAGCAGGAGTAGAGGCAGAGGTAGGGCATCTGGGCAGTCAAAGCAACATAATTAAAATAATCAAAATGTGGACGTGGGAGAGTATAGGCCATGCTCAGTTGGGAAACAAGTCGGCCAGATTGACTAGAGGGTAGGGGCAATAGATATCTGCCTACAGGGCACGGGGAAACCCCAGTTGTATAGTTCTTTCCTCACCACTTTCCAACACTCAAGTTGGGCAGCAGGAGCCAGGATGTCTGTCAAAGCTGCCTATGGAGCACACATGGGGATAAGTACCGTATTGACTGTTGTCTGAATTATGAAAAACAACAGAAGGCCTACTCTCAATCCCCAAAGAAGAGATGGGCAACACAGCAATCCTGGCATTTGAAAGCACAAGTAAGACATTATAAAACCATGTCATATGGATGCCAACAGAGGAGTGCTGATGAAGCTACTGGGGCCAGGGGCCAGAGAAAACAAGTGAACTTCAGGAAACATGACTTCAGGCTTCCCTGTTCGTTTTTCTCCGCTGAACTTGCTTGCACAAGAGCTATGTGTTTTTTGAGAAACAGGAGACAGCTACATTTTGACATCTGGCTTGGATACAAATATGGTAAAAGTATCTTAGAAATGTTTCTTTTGTTCTGAGAAATAAAAAATGGGGTGAATGGAGATATGTTATAACCCGAGAATGTTGCTTTAGGCCCAGTCTTTCAAAAAAAAATGTTGTAAGCTGAAAATGTTACAAGTAAGAAAATATAAGTTTCACAGTAATATAGTTTGATAACTTAATGGGCTGTTTCTCCTTGGTAGGACAGAACTAAAATGTGCCTGGCTATTCCTTCTAAATCTACCTAACGCAATATACCCAATTACCTTTCACTATACTCATATCACAAATGGGATAACAGATAAATGATTTGTTCATGGTCACTAGATGAAATTGAGTTTGTTGTAATTACAATTTTATTTACAACTCCTTTCTAAGATATATGTGCTATGCAGCTAGCAGCAGTACTCTCTGTTTTGCTGTTAAATGAGAGATGCAGATTCATGATGTGAGACCTTGATTACAGTTCTGTTTATTTATAAAACAATTCATGTTTTTCAAAGGAGTTTCACCGATATCGTGATCCTCATATGAATCCAGCAAGGCAGGCACTGGCCTTCATCCTACAGATGAAGACATTAAGATGAAGAGATGTTGGTTTGTCTACAGTTTGCAGTATATAAAGCAGAGATTCAAATCTAAGATAATTTAGGGCATTGGGATTCATATGTCTCTAATCTAAGTCCACATCTCTTTGTACTACAACATGGTGCTATCTTTCCCTGTCAAAACCATCTGCACTGTGGGCAGATGACACATAAGAGACATAAAAGATAATAGATATTGGGAAATGAAACTTCTTACTCAATGAAGGAATCATATTTGACTACAGTTTAAAGTTCTTCTACTCTATAAATGAAAATGAAAGTTTAAAAATTTATGTTGGTGGTAAAAGCATATTTGAACTTCATATCCTCTAGCTTTGACTAATAGTGTTATATTCTACAGAGTTTGAATAATGGAGAAAATTATGGAATTAATTCAACAAAATTTAGTAATCATTTAAAATTGTGTGATACAGTTCAGGATGAAGGATGACCACTATGACTTCAAGGACATTAAAATATGATTCTGAATATTCCTGATCAATAGAAATATAGAAAATTCTTTATTTCACTGTCTTTATTTACAGCAGTTGAATTTTCTAGAACATGTTACCGTTTTCAGAGGAGAAACATTTTTTATCAGGTAGAATTTAGCTATTTTCTGATAGATGTACTAAAAAGGGAAAAGCAAAATTCCACATATTATTTTTACATTTGTCTACGTTTTGTGACAGAAAAGTTAAAACTCATTTTAATTTGTGGCTTCAGATTACCTTGTTTCCCTGGCCCCCTATTAACATAGCAAATTTCATATCCTTTCTTTCTTATTTTCTGAATTTTTAGCCAACATTTCAAAAACGGCCAAAGAATTTAAACTTTTAGCACTGATTTGTCTCTTGAACCTAATACCCAGTTGCTATTTGACAAATGTTTGTAATCAGTATAACTCCTCTAGCACAAAGCCTACTGATGCTCATTTGCTAAAACAGAGTTGTTGATCTGTGCTTGTTTCTTCTAATTCGTTTTACCTGGTCAACAAATCTGTCCAGATATACATTTTCATTTTTTTTCAGGTACCTAACACATTGTGATCCAGATGTCAGGCATTCTATTTTAGGGATTTTATATATATATATATATATATATAAAATATATTTTTTATATATATATAAAATATATATTTATATATATATAAATATATTATATATATATTTATATATATATAAAATTATATATTTTATATATATATATATTTACCATTAAGATAGTATTCTTTTTCTGACTTGCTCACTAGCTCAATGCTTCCTTTCTTTTTTTTTACTTTAAAAAAATAAATACAGGCCACAGAAAGATGTTCTTTTACATAACAAGTTGACAAATCTTCATTGCCATCCACACTGTAGATTGATGAGACACATGTGGCATGATTCCAGTTACCCCTATGTTATACTTTTGTGAATCAGAACTGCACTAGCTAAACAAGTGTGGGCCAGGTTTACTAAAGATAAAATTACAGTAAGGGCCAGCAAATTAAATAGATCGTATCTTATGAAAGATTGTCTGTCATGAAGGTGAGAAAAAAATGGAATTAAAAATTATGAAATCCTATCCAGAACTATCTAATTGTTTGTGAATGGGTAAAGAAAGCTATTTCACATTTAACATCCATGCCTTGTGTCTTAAAACCCCCCAAATAAGAAAACATGTAAGGTTTCCAATCACTTAAGTTTTCTGTTCATACTTTACACCATCCTGGAAAGAATAATCTAGATTGTGGTGCTTTAGGAGGTTGATACCAAAGACAATTTTAAGATGAGGAACAGCATCAGATAGTGTAGTGGTTCTTTGCCCTGAATGCACATTAAATTTATGTGGGGAGCTTTTATAAACTACCTATTCCCAAGCCCCACTCAAAACCAATTAAGTTAGAATCTCTAGAAGTGGGACCCAGTCACTGGCATTTATTAATAACTCTGCTGGGAATTCTACTGTGCATCCATGAGGGAGAAACATGAGAACAGAGATTAAAAACAAATACTTAAGGTCAGATATCCTAAATTCAAAGTGGCTCCTGATGACTGATGATGAACAAGTTATTTAATCTTTCTCAGAACTAGTTTTCATCTGTTTCTTTGGGTTGTTTCAAGGATTAGATGAACTAGTTCTTGGCATAGATTAGATATCATTAGTATTATACAATGGGGGAAAAGCCATTTCGTGTGCAGGTAAAGTGTAGTAGTGTATGCTAATCTCTGAAACTGCATTGTAGTTCTTGTGCCCCAATACCTGATGGCATTCCAGATTTCCATTATTATATACTCAATTAAAACTTACTTAAATTTTTTCTTTATACGCAATATTGTGCCTTTTTGAAGAAATACAACAGTGTGGTTGAGAGAATGAATTCTGGAGCCAGCAGCCAAGTTTAATTCCTGACAGTGCAATTGGTTAATTCTGTGACATTGTGCAAACACTTAAATTATCTGTCCCTCAGTTTGCTTATCTGTAAAATGGGGTATTAACAGTACCTGCCTCAAAAGAAAAAGAATGTTGTCATGAGTGAATGCATTAATATATATAAAGCACTTAATATATTCCTTGCTCATTGTAAATGCTCAATAAATATTTTCTATCATAATGCAAATAATAATAATGGTGTTAGCGAACTCATTTACTGATGTTTCAACCAATGATGTCTATTTTCCATGAATGAAAACAATCTAACAATGCGCTAACCAGTTCTTTCCATCCTTCTTAGCTGTTCTCCCACACTGTGTCCACTAGAACCAACTGTGAAGTATAAAGTTTTCAAGGGCAAGGTTTACATCTCTCTTTTCTGCTAGTTCACAGAACCTTTGGAATTAATGATTCATATCCATAACCACTTCTTAAAAATGGATTGAAAAACATGTCCTATTGATGGTTAACAAGTAGCATCTTCTTTGTTCATGCATTTATTTTATAATTTTTTAATCATTTATCATATGCTTATACATGATCACAGATTGATGTTGATAACAGAAAAAAATTAAGAGAATTCATAGATTATTGTCATGTTGAAATTCTTATACAAAAGCCTCTTTTTAAGACTTCAATAGAAATATTCTTGATAACATTTTAAGAACAGAGAAGTTTTCTTTTCCCCAGAGACCATTGAACATCTATTTTAGCATTTAATATTATTCTTTTGGCTTCTTCTATAATCAAAATTTAAGATTTTTTAAATGCCGTGCCACAGAAACATTGTGTAATTCATGACTTTTCTAATTTTTTTATTCCCACTCTAGCTATTAGGTAGTGTTTTATCAGAGCCAAAATGATGTCTATGTAGGAGATCACATATTAGTGTCAAGGATCTGCTGAATATTACACGTAGCATTCAATATAAGGTATTTACAACTAAAGCAGTGGAGGTACTTGTCACAGGGATTCATATAATGTATCTCATACCTGACAAAAGGCACATAATAATCTTTTATTGCTTTCTATGCTGTGAGGGCTTTAATTTTTCTAAAGCCACACAAGGTATTTTCTCATGATTTTTACTTGACCCTTAATGTGCCAAAAGATATTTGGGAGTAACAACTCTCATACTTTCTGAAATAAATGCTATTATGAGCTACTAAAACCACCTTAAGGCAAAGCAGGCAACTTATTAACTATGACTTTATGAGGCTTCACAGATTCCATCTTGTGGAAGGCAAATAAAATCCTTACATCTGGCACTGAGTTTTTCATAATACTTCACAGCTGCCATCCAAAAATTCTCTCTGCCAAAGATCCTAGCAATGGCTGGTCGATGAAAAAATAAATAAAATGCAGAAGAAAAGTGGTTATAGAAGTTATATTTTTGACGTGATTGGAAATGCAGATGTCAGGAGTCTCAGTGACATTCTTTCTTTGTCATGTGCAAATTGTGCTATGTATGGAAGAGAATGTCATGAACCCCTCATTTACCTGATGCCTCAGAGTCTAGCCTGAGAGCCAGCATTTATGCTGGTGAATTTATAGTCCTAGATATTATAGGTTGTATCTATTCACACATACATTCATTCATTCAACAAATAAATTGGGCACCTACTATGTGCCAGGCAATGCTCTTGGTAATAAGGATATAGCAGTATATAAAATATGATAAAGTTCCTGCCTCTGTGGTAATTCATTCTAGTGGAGGGCAGATAGATGATAAACAAATATATAACAGGCCAGGTGATTATAGTTGCTGTGGAAAAAAAAAGGAATAGGCAGTGCCAGACTGGGGTTGTCATTTTACATAGCTCAAATAGGTTATATATACATATATGTATATGTGTATGTATATAGATGTATACACATATATGTGTGTATATATACGTATATACACATATACATATATGTATACATACATATATACACACATATATGTATATACATATATGAACATGAAATATATTTAAATATGAAATAGGCATATATATATACATAAGTAAATATATATATGCATGTGAAATATATATTTACATATTTATATCTGTGTGTATGCATATGTATATTTCCCATGCCCTCTACTTCTCCTTCAACATGCTCTTCCAGAGCCTTGCTACTTCCCACCAATAGCAAATATTTATGTTCTCTCTCCTTGAGAAAGGGTGGACCTTTGTGATCACCTTGACTAAAAAAAGGGCACAAGTGCCTCAATATGACTTCTGCAACTAGGTCACAGAAATGATACAATTTTGCCTGGTCTCCCTCTCTCTGAATGTTCACCCTTAGAACCCAGCCACCATGCTGTGAGGTAGTCCAGGAAAAGGTACAGCCTCACCACATGGAGAGAAATAGAGTCCCTGGTTCACAGTCCCAGCTGACCTCAGCCCAGACCTCCAATTGCCAGACATGGGAATAATCCATTTTTAAAGTGTAATCCTCCAGTTCTCTTTTGAGCTGCCCTAACTGAAGTCAGCTGGAGCAAAGATGAGCCTCCCCTGCTAAATCCTGCTCAAATTGCATGATTATGAGTAAAACTCAATCACTGTCATGGTTTTAATCCACTGAGTTTTAGGATGGCTTTTTTACACAACAATATATAGCCTGGGCAATACATACAACTAGGTGTAACTGGTTTGGTTAAACCTCTACTTAGTGTATTCCTTCCAATTTTCAGGATGAGATGACAAATAAACAACTTGAAACTAACTTGGGTGTCTTGAAAAAGGGACCACTGTGCTGCCGACCTTAGCTACTAAGAACACTAGCAGGCTGGGCACGGTAGCTCACACCTGTAATCCCAGTACTTTGGGAGGCCGAGGTGGGCGGATCACTTGAGGCCAGGAGTTTGAGACCAGTGTGGCCCCCATCTCTACATAAAATACCAAAATTAGCTGGGCATGGTGGCACATGCCTATAATCCCAGCTACTTGGGAAGCTGGACATGAGAATCACTTGAACCTAGGAGGCAGAGGTTGCAGTTAGCCAAGACTGCACCACTGCACTCTAGTATGGCCCATTTTACTAGAGTTACCTGCTTTGATGGCTCTGTTAGATTGAATCCTGACAGATGATCTGAATAGTTTCCCTGAATTTGAGTTCTCTGTCCAGGTTTGTCCAGTGAGACACTGATTCTGAGGCCGAAAGCTGTGGATTGAAGCTCTGTGAGTTATAGGTGTATATCTTGAGCAAGTCATTTTACCTTTAAAAATCTTTTTGTATATGAGTAGGTATATATATATGTGTGTGTGTGTGTGTGTGTGTGTGTGTGTGTGTGTGTGTGTGTATTTGTATTAATATTGTCTACCATCAAAAATTGTGAGGCTTAATAATAGTAATAATAATGATTACTAATATTTTGGAGTGCATACTATGTAGTAGGCACTGCACTATGTGCTTTTCACACATTTTTTTTCTTCAAAACTACACACTTTCTTTGGTACTATTGTTACCTCTTTTTTTTTTTCCACAAAGGAAGAAACTGACTTACAAAGAGATTAAGTAACTTGCCCAAGATCAAACATGAAATATTGGAATGGGATTTAAAAACGAAGCCTTTCTGCTAGCAGAGGCAGGTCTCATAACCACTATGTGTCACATCCAATAAGATCATACGTGTGAAAGAGGTAAAGTGCTGAAAACATGGAAACAGACAAGACAGCAGGATAAGATGGTACATATAGGAGGAGCAGTCGTGTTACAGGAAATGAAATGAGAATTTGGAAATGTTGGGTGCTGCAGGCACTGCCAGTTCTATGTTTATATGGCATGAAGCCAAAAACATGGAGGTGTTGGGAGACAGGCTGCCGCAATGCAGTCTTCTTGCTCTGAAGAGTAGGGCTTCAGAGATGGGTTGGAGAACCAAGAATGAAGCACAGTGTTCCTATCTTGGTTTTACCACACTGTATGAATTACTTAAGTAACATTGTTAAGCTTCCAAATTCTGTTTCCTTGGCTTTGGGCTGGTATCAGCCTGTGGCACCCTATCACCTAGACTGATTTCATGATGAATGCTGCCCAATTTTTTTGTCCCTGCTGGCTCCTATTTTACCCCTGCAGGTCCTGGCTTCTGAGGCAATCTGGCCACAATTCTCTGTTTATGATTTTTAACTCTGTATTGTCTGCCTCAACCTCATTGGAGGCTCATGATGATCAGCTGTGGTTGACTGCGCCCTTCACTCTGATTTTTAATTTTTTTCATTGTTATGGTTTCTTGAAACCTGTTCTGTTATCTACACCTCTATGTTATCTGTGCCAGGCTGGAGTGCAGTGGCACAATCTCGGCTCACTGCAACCTCCGCCTCCCGGGTTCAAGCAATTCTCCTGCCTCAGCCTCCCAAGCAGCTGGGACTACAGGCGTGTGCCACCATGCCCAGCTAATTTTTGTATTCTTAGTAGAGACTGGGTTTCACCACGTTGGCCAAGATGGTCTGGATCTCTTGACCTCGTGATCCGCCCATCTCGGCCTCCCAAAACACTGGGATTACAGTCGTGAGCCACTGCGCCCAGCCCAGGTGTCTTTAATTTTTAAGAGAGGAAGTGGTAACAGAATAAAACACTTTGGGCTTTCTTAAGGGACTTCAGTATATGTTGTCTAAGATTTTGCTCAAATTACCTGAAGTGTCCCCATGCCAGGGAAATGAACGTACAGCCTTTATTCACATAGACTTCAGTGTTGCTCCTTTGATATTCTAGAAACCAGCCTGTGACCATACACACTGCTGCTGCTGCATGCCCTTATTTTTAGTGTTCTTCATGGGCTTTGCAGTCCACCAATTGGATTTGGTCTTTGTCTTTCCCATTCCAGCACTCACTGTAGCCATTCGCTGTGACGGCTCAGATCATTTAGAGCTTAGTTTAATACTTTGGAACAACAACAGAAAAAACTCCACTACCCTGGCCCTCAAAAAACCTATACACAAAACACAGTGCAGGTCACTTATAAGCAACACCATCAGGGGATGCTCTATTATGTGTTGGATCCTATAGTCCAATCGATTTGCACAAGGTGAAAACATGGAAACTGTGCTTGGTGTTTGCAACTTATTTCTTCACTATACTCAATCAGCACATCTAATTAATTCTACTTCCTAAATATGTATAGAATTCATCAGCTTTTTGCCACCTCCATTACTACATTGCTAGTTTAGAAGAAGCCTAATTGCTTACCTGAATTATTGCAACACATGTATCAGTTTCCTTTTTTCTTTTTCTCCTTTTGCATACCCACTTCCCAATCTGCAAGCAATCCATACCACAGCAAAAGTAATATTTGTTAAATGAATGTCTAACTATGTCACCTTCCCACCCTCTTACTGAAGATCTTTCCATTTTCCTCAGTATCTTCAACAGGATAAAGAAAAGATTTACATGGTTTATAGGTAGGGTAGTCATATGTCTTGGCTTGCCTAGGACAGTCCCAATTTGTTGCAATTCCCAATTTGCTTCCTTATGTGACAATTATTAATATAATCTCTTTCACTGTTTTTTTTTTTTTTTTTTTTTTTTGAGACAGAGTTTCGCTCTGCCACCCAGGCTAGAGTGCAATGGCACAATCTTGGCTCACTGCAACTTCCACTTCCCGGGTTCAAGCGATTCTACTACCTCAGCCTCCTGAGTAGCTGGGAATACAGGTGTGAGCTACCATGCCTGGCTAATTTTGTAATGTTAGTAGTGATGGGGTTTCACCATGTTGGTCAGGCTGGTCTCAAACTCCTGACCTCAGATGATCGGCCTGTCTTGCTTGGCCTCCCAAAGTGCTGGGATTACAGGCATGAGCCACTGCACCCGGGTATCTCTTTCATTTTCAAAAGTGTATAGGTTTGGATAGTATATTCTATGGTCACCCAATTCATAAGGTCCTTCATTACTTTGCCTCTCCAGATTCATCTCTGTCTCTACTTGTCTAAGTCTCAGATTACATGAGTAATTTCTCTGAAAATACTATACCTTCTTTCACTTCTGGGTCTTTGTACATGCTATATCAATAGCTTTGCCTGTTCTTTGTTTGGATGACTCCTACTTATTCTTCAAGTGTCCCAGGTCACTGAGAAATCTCCTTTCCCCCTCCAAGACTGAGCTATTTCCTTTCTTTTACATTCTATACTTAGCTCTACAAAAGTATTTGTTATATATGGCAAGTCCTTGTATATTGGTTTGTTTCACCTATTTAACTGTAAGCTGCTTTAAAAGTTCAAACAATGTCATGCTCACTATTATATTCCAGTGCCTAGGGCAGTCCCAAAGGCAAAGCAGTTTCTTAGAAAATGTTTTTTAAATGATTGAGTGATGAGTAAATGAATAAATCTAAACTCTAGTAGAGAAGAGAGGTATTCTGGAAGACTAGATATACATCCAGGGAGTTTAAAACTATTTGCTGATGCATCAGTGCTTTATTGACATCCATTTTCTTTGAAACAAGGAGACCTCACTTAATATTAGTACTAGGGCAGAAGCAGAGAGAAATTTGGAAGTGCTATGCTGCTGGCTTTGAAGGTGGAGAAAAAAAGAAAAGAGCCAAAGAATCAAAGTGTAGAGGCAGCTTCTAGAAGTTGGAAAAGGCAAGGAATTTTCACAAAATAATTCATCAAAATATGCCCAAACTGGAGGGCATGAGCTTTAATATTGAGAGTATTCAACTGAGTGTGCAGTAAAAGTGACAAGTAAAGATACAAACCACAGCATTTCACAGTGAAATCTGGAAGACCACCAGAAGGTAGAAGACAATGGGGAAAATGTCATAAAATTTCTAGGCAAAAAAGATTTCCAAACTAGATTTTTATGTTCAGCCAAACTATCAAGCAAAGGTGAGCTCAGAATGTATTTTCAGTCTTATGTTTTTCAAAATATTCTATGTTCTTTGCACCCTTTATCAGGCTGTTAATAAAGCAAGCAGACATCCAAATACAAAAGTAAACTAGGAGGCAGTAGGACATGGGACCCAGGAAACAGAGAATTCAAACACCAGAGAGACAACTAATAATCAAGGGCCAATACTATAAAATATTTATTTACCATTGTGAAAGCAAATAGCAAAAAGAACAGCTAAAGAATTGAATGTGTGTGCTTTTGTGGCATCACAATATAAGTAAAAAGTAGAAAAAGAGAGGATTCTCTGATAAAATGGACTTTAGACCAACAAAGATCAAAAAAGACAAGGGCACTATATAATGGTAAAGGGATCAATGCAACAAGAAGAACTAACAATCCTAAATATACATGCACCCACTACAGGAGCACCCAGATTCATAAAACAAGTTCTTAGAAACCTACAAAGACACTTAAACTCCCACACAAAAATAGTGGGAAAATTTAACACTCCACTGTCAATAGTAGACAGATCAACAAGACAGATAGTTAACAAGGATATTCAGGACTTGAGGGCTCTGGACCAAACGGACCTAATAGACATCTACAGAACTCTCCACTGGAAATCAACAGAATATACATTCTTCTCAGCACCACACCGCACTTATTCTAAAATTGATCACATAATTGGAAGCAAAACACTCCTCAGCAAATGAAAAAGAACAGAAATAATAACAAACCGTCTCTCAGAAAATAGTGCAGTCAAATTAGAACTCAGGATTAAGAAACTCACTCAAAACCACACAACTATATGGAAATGGAACAATGTGCTCCTGAATGACTACTGGGTAAATAACGAAATTAAGGCATAAATAAATAAATTATTTGAAACCAATGGGAACAAAGAAACAATGTACCAAAATGTCTGGGAAACAAGTAAAGCAGTGTTTACAGGGGAATTTTTAGCACCAAATGTCCACAGGAGAAAGTGGGAAAGATCTAAAATCGCCACTCTTACATCGCAATTAACAGAACTAGAGAAACAAAAGCAAACAAATTCAAAAGCTAGCAGAAGACAAGAAATAACTAAGATCAGAGCAGAACTGAAGGAGATAGAGGCACAAAAAAACTTTCAAAAATCAATGAATCCAGGAGCTGGTTTTTTTAAAAAATTAGCAAAATAGACTACTAGCCAGAATAATTAAGAAGAAAAGAGAGAAGAATCAAATAGACACAATCAAAAATGACAAAGGGGATATTACCACTGATCCCACAGAAATACAAACTACCATCAGAGAATACTATAAACACCTCTATGCAAATAAACTAGAAAATCTAGAAGCAATTGATAAATTCCTGGACACATACACCATCCCAAGACTAAACCAGGAAGAAGTCGAATCCCTGAATAGATCAATAACAAGTTCTGAAATTGAGGCAGTAATTAATAGCCTAACAATAAAAAAAAAGCCTAGTACCAGATGGATTCACAGCTAAATTCTACAAGAGGAGCTGGTACCATTCCTTCCGAAACTATTCCACACAATAGAAAAAGAGGGAGTCCTCCCTAACTCATTTTATGAGGCCAACATGATCCTGATACCAAAACCTGGCAGAGACACAACAAAAAAAGAAAATTTCAGGCCAATATCACTGATGAACATCAGTGCAATAATTCTCAATAAAATACTGGCAAACTGAATCCAGCAGTACATCAAAAAGCTTATCCACCACGAACAAGTCGGCTTCGTCACTGGGATGCAAGACTGGTTCAATATATGGAAATCAATAAACATAATCCATCACATAAACAGAACCAATGACAAGAACCACTTGATTATCTCAATAGACGCAGAAAGGACCTTCAAAAAAATTCAACACCCTTTCATGGTAAAAACTCTCAAAAAACTAGGTATTGATGGAATGTATCTCAAAATAATAAGAGCTATTTATGACAAACACACAGCCATTTTCATACTGAATGGGCAAAAGCTGGAAGCATTCCCTTTGAAAACAGGCAAAAGACAAGGATGCCCTCTCTCACCACTCCTATTCAATATAGTATTGGAAGTTCTGGCCAGGGCAATCAAGCAAGAGAAAGAAAAAAAGGGTATTCAAATAGGAAAAGAGGAAGTCAAATTGTCTCTGTTTGCAGATGACATGATTGTATATTTAGAAAACCCCATCGTCTCAGCCCAAAATCTCCTTAAGCTGATAAGCAACTTAGTAAAGTGTCAGGATACAAAATCAATGTGC
The DNA here is from genome assembly GCF_000001405.40 of Homo sapiens. Taxonomy (NCBI): domain Eukaryota; kingdom Metazoa; phylum Chordata; class Mammalia; order Primates; family Hominidae; genus Homo; species Homo sapiens. The sequence continues at coordinate 101,996,767 of NC_000004.12, read as the reverse complement.
AAAAATCACAAGCATTCCTATACACTAAGAACAGACAAACAGAGAGCAAAATCATGAGTGAACTCCCATTCACGATTGCTACAAAGAGAATAAAATACCTAGGAATACAACTTACAAGGGATGTGAAGGACCTCTCTTCAAGGAGAACTACAAAACACTGCTCAAGGAAATAAGGGAGCACACAAACAAATGGAAAAACATTCCATGCTCATAGAAAGGAAGAATCAATATAATGAAAATGGTCATACTGCCCAAAGTAATTTATAGATCCGATGCTATCCCCATCAAGCTACCATTGACTTTCTTCACAGAATTAGAAAAACACTACTTTAAATTTCATGTGAAATCAAAAAAGAGCCCATATAGCTAAGACAATCCTAAGCAAAAAGAACAAAGCTGGAGGCATCATGCTACCTGAATTCAAACTATACTACAAGGCTACAGGAACCAAAACAGCATGGTACTTGTACCAAACAGATATATGGACCAATGGAACAGAACAGAGGCCTCAGAAATAACACTACACATCTACAACCATCTGATCTTTGACAAACCTCGAAAAAATAAGCAATGGGGAAAGGATTCCCTATTTAATAAATGGTGTTGGGAAAACTGGCTAGCCATATGCAGAAAACTGAAACTGGACCCCTTCCTTACACCTTATACAAAAATTATACAAGATGGATTAAAGACTTAAATGTAACCCCAGAAGAAAACCTAGGCAATACCCTGCAGGACATAGGTATGGGCAAAGACTTCGTGACTAAAACACCAAAAGCAATGGCAACAAAAGCCAAAAGTGACAAATGGGATCTAATTAAACTAAACTAAACTTCTGCACAGCAAAAAAACTATCATCAGAGTGAAAAGGAAACCTACAGAATGGGAGAAAATTTTTGCAATCTATCCATCTGACAAAGGGCTAATATCCAGAATCTACAAGGAACTTAAACAAATTTAAAAGAATGAAACAAACAACCCCATCAAAAAGTGGGTGAAGGATATGAACAGACACTTCACAAAGGAAGACATTTATGTGGCCAAAAAACATATGAAAAAAAGCTCATCATCACTGGTCATTAGAGAAATGCAAACCAAAATCACAATGAGATACCATCTCATGCTAGTTAGAATGGAGATCATTAAAAAGTCAGGAAACAACGATGCTGGAGAGGATGTGGAGAAATAGGAACACTTTTACACTGTTGGTGGGACTGTAAACTAGTTCAACCATTGTGGAAGTCAGTGTGGCGATTCCTCAGGGATCTAGAACTGGAAATACCATTTGACCCAGCAATCCCATTACTGGGTATATACCCAAAGTATTATAAATAATTCTACTATAAAGACACATGCACATACATGTTTATTGCAGCACTATTTATAATAGCAAAGATTTGTAACCAACCAAAATGCCCATTAATGATAGACTGGATAAAGCAAATGTGACACATATACAACATGGAGTACTATGCAGCCATAAAGAAGAATGAGTTCATGTCCTTTGCAGGGACATAGGTGAAGTTGGAAACCATCATTCTCAGCAAACTAACACAGGAACAGAAAACCAAATACCACATGTTCTCACTCATAAGAGGGAGCTGAATCAGAACGCATGGACACAGGGAGGGGAACATCACACACCAGGGCCTGTCAGGTGGTGGGGGGTTAGGGGAAGGATAGCATTAGGAGAAATACCTAATGTAGATGACGGGTTGATGGGTGCAGCAAACCACCATGGCACATGTATACCTATGCAACAAACTGGCACGTTCTGCACATGTCTCCCAAAACTTAAAGTATAATTTTAAAAAAGAGGCAATATCAAAAAGTAAATTATGACAATAAGAATTCAAAAGTTGGGATAAAAAAAGAGACAACTTTTTTTGTTGTTGTTATAAACCTTGTAAAATGATTGGCTTCTCAGCTGTGACCCCATGAAACTTCTCTGTGCAATAAAGTGATTTTTCTAGTTTCACTCTCATTTTGAAATTGAAGAATTTTAAATATCACAAGAAATGTACTACCATGAATGAGAAAGATACGATAGGAATCAAAAGATACAGGTTTCCTGCTTTGCTAACAATGAGCTGAGTGTTTTTCCTCATCTACAAAATGAGGGAGTTGGAATAATTGATCTCTAAGGCCCCTATCAGCCCTAACATACTGCTTTTCTGATTCCATTTTCATGCACCATGTACAACAGCATGTAGCCACTTCCTTTTTCTTAAATTGACATGATGCAATTATATTTTTTAAAAAAACAGATTCTATCAATTAATTAGGAAAACAAATAATTGCTAACATTAGACAGATGGTGAAACTCTCTCAAAGTAGGGCAGACAAAATAATGTACAACCCTGTCCAAAAGCAAAAGGGTCATTTATGAGTGAATCCTCGCCTTGCAGAAATCCTCCAGATGTTTTGTTTCCATCAGGAATAGTCTGTGAATACAATAAGCATTTCTGTAGCATCCATCATAATAGCTCCTGGGCTCTAAATACTGTACACTGCAAACTGAAGACTGGATCAGATAACTCATTCTTTAATTGGAATTTAACAAAACTTAGATATGTTCCTTTTGTTAAAGTCTCTGAAAAAAATACGTCATACTTATTTTTCCTCAACTTTTAATCCAAAATGAATCATAAGATATTAAGCCTGGAGGAGACCTTAGTCCAAATGCTCCATCTCACAGATAAAGAAACAGAAGCCCAGTGCGATGAGGTGCTATGCACAAGGTCACAGACTCAAGGATTAGCAGTACTGACAGGGTCAGGGCCTAGGCCTCTGACTGTATGGCACCATGTAGACAAAGACAACAATATCTAATAGAGCCAGTGTGAGCTTGTTATTAAAGTAAAAATAAATCAGGAGAAACCAAGCAAATATAAAATTGGTAAGAAAAGCTTAAACTGCAAATTCTTGGTAGATCTTTTGGAAAATGGAATCTGGAAGGCATTTAGCCAAAAGCTTTACATCATCTACTGTGTTGTGCCAGCTTTTTAATTTGGCAGAAATAAAGGAATATTCTCCGTAATCAAACGCCCTGCCCAGGATTCTGGGCTATAATAAATTAATGAAGTGAGTTTCTTCTCTCTATTAGATTATCAGTGGCTACAATTTTTCAAGACAGAGATAATAAAATATCATACCATAAAGTGCTCTATCAGCATGCATTTCTTCAGTGCCAAGTAATTATTAATGCTGGAAAGGAAATATGCTTGGTCAGCTTTGGCAATGTATTTAAAAATGTCAGGCCCTGAAAGTCTGTATACCTCCACGCCCCAGTTTACCACATTTACTCCCTAAGCTGTACTTCCCTCTTGCTGTTGCTTTCTGTAACAAAGCATTCTAGAATCAGAAAAATGAAAGGGTTTCATGGAGATTCACTAGGCTAGTAGTTCAGGAGAGAAGAAAGTAAATTGCCAAAAAGCTACTGATGATTGCTACTGCTGGTGAAAGCCTAACCAGAAAGTATGAGAAAACGATGTACAACTTTTTCCAGCTGTTTTAGGCCTCCTGTTTTAGAATTACTTCCCATTTCTTTCAAAACTAGAGCATGCAGACATGCATACTTACAGCCACTCACTTAGGCAGGTCCAGTACAGAATCAATGACTAGATTCACAGTTAACAGATTACATAAAATCCTGACCCAGAAAGATGGAAAATAACTTATGGTCTCCATGAGAGCCAACTGTGCCGTTAAGAGTGGTCTGGATTAGCTGTCCAGGGGATCAACAACAGTTCCTAAAGGGCTTGTGAACCTACACATTTAGGACGACTGTAGGGTGATCGACCTGAGACTGTCTAAATTTTAGCTCTGAAAGTCCTGAATCCTAGGAAAACCCTCAGTTCTGGGCGACAGAGATAGTTGGTTCACCATTGTGGTGGTGGTGCTTCTTAAGTACCTTTTTTAGATCTCCGAGTATTTGAGGAATCAGATAATATTTTGACACAAAATAAAAACATGCTTGAAGCTTAAGTAATAGATATTTACTTCCATTATCTTTTGATGTTTAGCAGGTCATCTAGCATATGTTATGAACTTTGGGAAATGTATCATCTTGTTCTTTATTTATTTGCAATTTAAATGAAGCCAGGTGGGGAGAAGTTGTGTGCAGAATTAGTCATACTCCAAAGAGATATGTAAAAAGAAAAATCCTGAATAATGTTTCTATGTGCTTTTCTAACATGGTTTCTATGAACTTTTCTAACATGGTTTCTATGAACTGCTGCACACATCACGCTTATGTCTAAACACAAGCTGTATAAAAAGACTGGTAAGATAATGGTAAAAAAATTTTGAATTTAAAAGTACATAATCCAAGATATTTTTGTCTGAACAAAAAAATATTATTGTGCCCATATTTCCTATGCCATGATTTTGTGATTTTGGTTGGGAGGTTTTACTTACAAATATCTACATTATTTTGTAGCCCTTCTTTTTAAAATTATATTCATAGTTGATTTTATTGAGAAATCCACTGGTCATCAATGCATGATTTCACAAACATTCTTGTTGATTTATAGTTTTAAAAGTCATTGTTCTTTGTTCTTCCCATTGAACTAAAATGTCAACATGGTTCAGTAAGAAAAGCACATGATTAGAGTGATAATAAAAACTGAGTTCAATTTTTAGCATGACAATCTACTAGCCAAATAATTTTAACAAGCCTCTAAACATCCCTGAGCCTCCTATTTTTCATCTGCAAATTGAAGGGTTTCCGTAACATGGGTTGAAAGCATTTCTTATGTCCTACATACCCACATGAACCAAAAGGCAGTGGTTCATTTGCTCTCAGGCTTCAGGCAGAATTTTACATGTTTGTAGGTGGTGGTGAGTATTTCATGGAAACCTTCTCTCTGTGTATCCCTTAAAGACTAGGTCTGCGATGAGAAAGAGATGACCCAACCAGACATGTACATGTATGTGCAAATACACACGTATGTGTACAAACACAAACATACACATAGACAAATCCATAGTTTCTGTTCATCTTTGAAAAGTTCTACTTGCTGGTTCTTCCCCACCCCCACTGCCCCCAGATATACATGGAATTGTTTTGTGTAATGCACATGTGGAATGCTTGGAAAGGCTAACAGGGCCTTATGGCATGAGGCTTGTATGAATTAGATACAGTTCCACAAGGTCACTTGTCCATAGGCTAATTAAACCACCTCCTGGGCTCATTTTTAAAGTCAGAGTGTCAAAAAAATGATAATCCTGTGGAATGTAGAAGACATTTTCAACTTTATCTCTATATCTTTTTAACCCTTACCCAATTAAATCTACTCATGTAAAAAGTAAAAAACAAACAAAACAAAAACAAAAACAACTTATCCACCCAGGAATATAAAGAGCTTATTTGAGACAGTGTGAGCAGGCTTGCCTGCTAGTAGTATTTATCTTGCAAGTTATTCATACTTTAACTTGTAATCAACTACAGTTTTAAAAGCTACTATAATCAACTCTAGGTTTGTTTTCTTTGAAGTTCTAAATGAGAAGGGTTCTTATGGGTTCACACCCTAAGGAAGGCAAGTATAGCACAGGGCTTAAGAGAATTGACTTTGGAGTCTCAGAGAACAGGATTCAAATCCCAACTCAGTCCTTCACCAGCTGTGTGGGGTTTGGTGAGTTACATGACTATTGTAAGCCTTCATTTTCTCATATACAAAACGGGGATAATACTTTTTAACTAATGATTGTAATAAAGATTAATGGCCTAATACATGAAAACTCCCAGCATGGTACCTTACATTGAGGAAGTCTTCAACATATGGAAGCTATTATTAGAGACAGCATTTTTAGTTAATTTTATTGAATACCTACTGCATGCCAAGCACTGTTAAAGCACTTTACGTGATTTAACTTATTATCCTCACAAAACGGTATGAGTTAAATACCATCATCATCTCAATTTTATGTATGAGAAAATGGAGGCAAAGATAAATAATTTGCCTAAATTTTCTGCATAAAGAACTTATATTTTGATGATGTTGAATGTTTCAAAATATATTGCATTCTATGATCTACTTTGTAAAAGCTGATAGAGGTATAACAGCAGTTTGTAGGAAGTAAGGCCAGGATTCAAACATGGGATTTTTGGATATAGATCTTCCTTGCTTTACCACAGGTAGACTGCTTCTGCAGCTCCTAAAATTCTCCTAAGAAAAAGATTTATAAGGAAAAATGTACTCCATCTTTCACATGTCAAAACAGTTTGCAAATGACAATTCATTTTCCAGAAAGTTTGCAAATGACAATGCTTGTTCTGTGAAGAATACAATAGCAATAAGTTTTAACGTGACCATGGTGAAAATTAAGGAAGGTATCTTGGAAGTCATAGGGGAAAGGCTTCTTGTTTATTAGATTTGCAGAGTAACCACAGAATGCAATATATTTTGAAGCATTTAGGGACATCAAAACAAAAATTCTTTACATGAGAAAAATGTATAATCATAAAGTCATTCATGCTAATTCACAGTTAGAGCCAGAGTATTGCTTTTGTTTGCTGTTTTGCTTGTTTTGTTTTTTATAAGCTGAACAAGGAAAATAATTAGATTTGTCTTGTATATCCAAATAGTACCTCAGATGCTTTTTGATTATATGCCAATATTCTCTAAAGTCATAGTCAAACATTTTGCTTTTTCACTAGTGCAGTCATTAATTATTACAGTCTGAAAAATACAAAATGGATTGGAGAATTAATACTGGGAATCCATCAGCTTAATTAGTGTCTTTCTAATTTTCTACTATCACCACTTCACATGATATTTGGGAAAGAGGGAAAAAAAGAAAGGTAGGAGAGAAGGCATGTGAAACCATTTAAAAGTATCTTTGGTTGAATAAGAACAACTGTGTAGTGGAGAAATCTAGAAGACAGTGTGTTGTTTTAGTGATCAAAGTTCACATCAACAGTAATGAGATATAACAACATCATGTCTCTTGATATAATGCACTTAGAAAGGCATGACATCACGTCTCTGGCATTCTTATAAAAAATACATAACCTGGATTTAATCATGAGGAAAATGTCAGACAGCCCCAAATGGAGAGGCTGTCTATACAGAGTAACTATTTTCAAAAGTGTCAGTCATGAAAGAGAGACAGAGAAAAAAAAAAGCTGTCCCAGATGAAATGAGACTCAGGAGACACGACGCTAAATGTATTCTGTCCAGTTTGAATCTTGGCCCCCAAAAAGTATATTAGCAGGAATTGACAAAATTGAAATAAGTTCTTTAGATTAATTAATAATAGTGTATCAATATTACTTTTCTGGCTTTTCTGGTTTTTAAATTCAAGAAAAGCTTTTTTTTTTTTTTTTTTTTTTGAGACGGAGTCTTGCTCTTGTACCCCAGGCTGGAGTGCAATGGCATGATCTCGGCTCACTGCAACCTCTGCCTCCTGGGTTCAAGCGATTCTCCTGCCTCAGCCTCCTGAGTAGCTGGGATTACAGGTGCTCACCACATTTTTGTATTTTTAATAGAGACGGGGTATTGCCATGTTGACCAGGCTGGTCTCGAACTCCTGACCTTGTCATCCGCCCGCCTCGGCCTCCCAAAGTGCTGGGATTACAGGCATGAGCCACAGTGCCTGGCCAAGAAGAGCTTTATAAGAAACAGGGGGTTCTTGCTATGTTGGCCCAGGCTGGCTCAAGCAGTCCTTCTGCCTCAGCTTCCTGAACAGCTGGAACTTCAGGTGGGTGCCATTGTGGCCAGCTACTTTCTTGGTTTTGGAAACTGTTATATAATGTTATATAAGGAATGTTATATAATGTTATATAAAGAATGTTATATAAGATGTTAACCTTTCAGTAAAGCTAGGTGAGGGTATATGGTAATTTCTTAGTATATTTTTGTAACTTTCTGTAAGTCTGAAATGTAAGATGCTTCCTTAATAAAACGTTACATAATAATTTTCAGAGCCAATTAATATCTTGGATCAGTTCTAGTTTTGAATTTATGTACCATGCTGTTTTCTTCTGTGAGTTTGAATAATCAAGGGCTTGATCATTATAAAAATGAAATTCAAGAATAATCCAAGCTAGAATGATTCAAAGACTAATACAGTCCTTGGAAAAGTTTCCTAAGGACTGGTCAAAATACAATTATTTAGAGACTGTGATGAACACATACACATATTATCTGTAACCTCTATAGTGAACAGCTAATATAATAGTGGGAAGGAAATGTTGTAGTTGAAAACTTAATGAAGAGTTGTACTAAAATATTTTCAAAAATACTTTGTTGAGGCACATTATGTCCAGCAGTCTACAAATAAAAGAGAAGAGTGAACAAAACATTCACAACAACTCAAAGCAACAATAACAAAAACAGAACATTAATGACACTACCATATGTGTAATTATGAATAACTTCAAATTTCTCAGGGAGCATCCCTACAAGCGAAATTATAGGCAATTTCAGTGCTAATTAGAACTCTAAAAGCTGTTTTAACACCTAGGAAATATTTTCATGCTTTACATTTATAGAAAACATATATTGTGAAAACTCACAAAGCATAAAATTTGAGTCAAACAATACCACGGGATTTGAGAACTATTCTAAAATTAAACTATTTTCGTTAAACATAAACCATATGAAGGATCTCTAATGATAACTGATCCTTGAAAGACACAGAAACAGCTCGGTTTTGGTAGCAACCACAAACATCTCAGGGGCTTAACTCAAGAAGTATTTATTCCTTGCTCACTCAATGTGTCACTGTGATGTGCACCAGGCCTCTGCTCTTCATGGTTATTCTGGGACTCAGGCTTTAGCTCAACCAGTGCTTCTATGATCACTTCTGCAGTGGGAAGGGGATGTGGAGAATCTTGCACTGGCTTTTCATGCTTTCTCCCACAGGCAACGCACATGACTGCTACTCATGTTTCGTTGCCCAAACCAACCCTGGTGTCCATACCAACATCAGGATACAGGAAGTATAATGATACCATAGGTTCAGAAAGAGGATTGGACATTTTTGATAAAGATGTCTAATGACTCTCACAAACCTGTATCAGATGCAAATGAAAGTAAGATAACAGAGGTAGAATAAGATTTCTGCTCTTTTTTTAATATTTGTCATGAACAGAGGAGCTTCTTTGCATTTAGAAAGTTCTCAGAATTACTTGAACAAGTGGCATGGACTGATCATACAAAGATACACTCCTGCCAAGGTTGTTGAGGAAGAACAATTCCCAATGAGATAAGCTTAATTGGTAATTGGTATGGAATATTTTAGTATTTATATGCTTTAAATGAGTATATCAAAATATATGAAAAATAAGAGGGAGTATACTGGGTGGTTAAAGCCATCAAGGCTGGGTTTGAATCCTGGTTCTGCCACTTATTATCAGCAAGACCTTGAAAATGTAACATAAACTCTCTGTGACTCAGTTTCCTCACTTATAAATGAGGGTATAGTATTAATGTCCACCTCACTTATGAGATTCTTTGAAGACTGAATGAGTACACACACACAGAACACTTAGTAATCCCTAGTAAATATTATAATAAGTGTTTTCTATAATTAACTGGACTGATTACCCATTTGGCTAATTCCTTACATGGACTGGGAAAGTGAAGGATTGAGGACCAATTTTGTTTGTAAAGATAAGCAACCATCTTTCCTAAAGACAACAGCATGTATACTAAACATCAGGAAGCCCAGCTCCAGCCTCATACTTTTGTCTCTAATTGGTTGGGCAACTTCTGGTAGATCACAATATTTTCTTGACATAGCTTTTCTTTCCTTTTTTTTTTTCTTTTGTTCTTTCTAGACAAGTTGAGGTTACTTAACTTAAAAAATATATTTACTGGCAAGCCTACTATATATATATATATATATATATATATATATACACACACACACACACACACACACACATACACACATATATATATACATATATATACACATATATATACATATATATACACATATATATACATATATATACACATATATATACACACATATATAATTTAAAACCTTCCTATGTAGCAGAGGATCAATCACATTAGAAGAAAGAGTAAATGAGAAATAAGTTTGACATGAAATATAGAGCTTCAAAAGCAGAAATAATTTTATGAGGTGGTATTGGTGATAGGGTAGCCCAGTTCAGAGTATGGCATGAGAGCATCTGAATAATAATAATAATTACCAATTACTGAATGCTTAAAAATGCCAAGTACATTTACTCTTACTATTTCTTGTCATCGAAAAAATTCAAAGAGATAAATTATCATCCATATTTTTAAAGTAAGGAAACTGAAGCTCAGCAAGATCCATGTAATTTGAATCCTATTTTGTCTGACCCCAGAAGGCAGTGAGTTTTTTCATTCATGTTATTTCATGAAGAGGGAGGAAAGTAAGGAGTAAGACAGAAACAGTGAGCAACCTGGTTTGCTTGAGCCATTTGGTATCTAGGGAGTTAGCAGGAATGTAATTAAGAAGGTCTATTCCATGCATTAAAACTGTATGTTTCTGTTGTCTAATACTTAAGCTCTATTTTAGGAACATGTGTGTCTTGAATGCCTAAAATACCTGTCTCAAAGGTCCCATAGCACTTTATATGCACATTTATTGGTGCCTTTCTCACATACATTAGCCCTTACACAAATATTCACTGGAGCACTTTAAATTACTTGTTTATGGATCAGTAAGAGAGTTTTGAGTTTCTCCAAGGGAAGAACTATGCTTTATTCACCTTCATATTCCTAAGATCCCATTACAATGATTGGTAGACATTAAATACATATTTTCTGAATGGAGTAAGTGAATTAATGCTTTCGGAATGCAGTTCTCTTTTATCCTTAAATGTTTCCTTGATTCTTAGCTTACTAAGGATTCTCTCAAATCCTTTGAAATCTGACAAAATATAAATCTTCAATAAATGCATAAAGTAAACAAAGACTCATTTTGCTAGAGGTAGATGTTATTTATAATTAATGTCAGAAATCTGACATTGGAAATCTATTAGATGTTGAATGTAGATTTTTATTTTTTTTAATTTCATGTTATTTTCATTTTGGAAGAAAGTTTACACTGATTATAACAGACATAAATGGAAACATGATTGAACATGCAATATTTTTACATGCATCAACTTGAAAAATGTTTCCAAGGTATAAAGCAAGTCAATGAATACTGCAGCAATTAAATAATAACATTAGCAAGTAGCACTCATTTCTAGAACACAAGTTAAAATTTAACACCCTTTACCCAATATTATGAAATCCTACTATGGGGATTTAATAACTATTAAGTAGTAATAAATTTTGAAAACTAAATTAAAAAAAACCAGATTTAGTGATTGTTAATTTTATGTATCAACTTGCCTAGGCCACATGGTGCCCAGATAGTTGGTTAACATTATTTCTGGATGGATCTGTGAAGGCGTTTTTGGATGAAATTAACATTTGAATTGGTAAACTGAGTAAAGCAAATTACCCTCCTCCAACGTGTGTGAACCACATCCAATCTGTTGAGACCTGAATAGAATAAAAGGCTGAACAAGAAAGTATTCTTTGTCTTGCCTGTCTGTTTCTGAGTTGGGATGTTGATCTTCTCTTTAAACTTGGACTCGAATTGGAACTTACACCATTGGCTCTCCTGGTTCTCAGACCTTCAGATTTGGACTGGAACCACACTAGCAACTCTCCTGGGTCTCTAGCTTGCTGACTGCATCCTTCATAATAATGTGAGCCAATTCCTCATAGTAAATCAATCTCTCTCTCTCTCTTGTTGAAATCTCCTATTGGTTCTGTTCTCTGGAGAACCTAATCTAATACAGATTGTATACATGGTTAAATATCCTGCTCCACTCTTCATAGGATCAATGATTGTTATAGGCTTTTATCTTTTCCTAGTAGTTGTCACTTCAGGTCGCATTCGTGATTACATTATCTCAGAACTGCCAAAAAGACTCAAAGGATTTTGTTCTACCTGCCCCCTTTTTCTTATGCAGATAGCTATTTAAAATAACCTAGGATGATGGTTTTCTTTTTGTTTTGAAAGGTCTCTGAGAATGAAGATGGCATTTATTCCTCCCCACAGAATCTCATTTTCACATTTATCACAGTGATAATCAGCAAGTTTGTTCTTAGATCTAATTGAAATTCTGTCTTTAATTAAGTTGGTTCCCTAAGAATTACTGTTATTCCATAACACTATCAATGACAGCAATGATAACATCCCTTAGTGCTTTTACTTCAAAACTACTTAGCACTTTTATTGCAAATTGCATGTTATGTGTATAATAATTCTGAGAGGTCAATGGTAAATGAGATAATATCCTTATTTTCTGGATAGAAAATCTTCATCAAAACAAAAAGCTTTTCCTGGTAAGTTAGTGGTCTTAAAGCTGAAGCTAGCTATCTTTTCTATAAAGAGAATAACTACTTAGTGTCATTTTCATAAAATCCCACCATATTCTAAAAGGGAGGATAATATTGATCTTGGCCTCTACTTTTTAGGCTAACTACCCTAATCCTTAACTTTCTTCCCAGGGCTTCTTTACTAAAGGTTTCTTAACTTTTCATTCCTCTTTTTCGAGCTTTCTTAGGTCTTTTATGTCCTTTTGGAAGTGTGGCAACTTAAGCCTTACATAGTATTTTAGTAAAATTGTGACTAATAAATGTTTAGTTTCTTGTAATATAAATGAAATTCTCTGCTTATCTACACTAGATGCATTTCATATCTGATATCAGCATGTCTTGAGCTAGTTATACATTCCCCTCTCTTATCTATGTAAACATTGTGATTTAATACAGTCAGAACATATTATGATTGGCTCTGGAATTTTTTTTCTTGTGCACTTCAGGCTTTCATATTATCCTCTCAGTACTATTCTTTGCTATTATGCCCTTGCCAAAGCATTAATGCTATCCAATATGTTATTTGGATTACTTTTTGACAAATTAATTAAAATAATATTGAAAGTAAATAAGCTAATTTGGGGAGGCTTTGAAGCACTGACAAATCTAATGCTTTCAGCTAAATAATTTTGCTCTGTGTTAAATATCTGGAACATCTTTTCTCCCTTCTTCCAAAAAATCCTTTGTGATAGGAAGTCTTTAATCAGGTCCATTTGTTTCTTTTAATCTTATGGTTAGCTTTTAAATATCTGTGAATACTATGCTACACTTCAAATAGGTCAGTTATTCATAATCTTGTCTTCCAACAATTTTCTGAAGGGGCTGTACTGAAATTATAATGGCTGCCAGGCATTGTTGTAAGCACTTTATTACATTAACTCACTTTATCCTCACAACAGTTTGTTTTGAACAAATTGTGGAAGAGACTGTTTTATGGATGAGGAAATTAAGGAGCAGAACTTTAATAATTTGCTTAAAGTCACAACAGCTACTACGTGGTAAAGACAAGATTCAAGTCCAGGTAGTATGATCCCAGAGTCTGATCTTTTGAACACTGCACTAAATTGCTAATAACTTCTAAAAGATTTCCATACATTTTCCTCTAGCATATAATATGGCTAAATGTCAGTGCTGTATTTGAGAGTAAGTCATAAATGTGTATTTTAAAATTTAAATATTAACTTCATTTTATCCATAACTTGGCTTTGCGCTTCACATACAGAAAATTTTAAAGATAAATATTTCCATTACTTATTAGGCATAAGAAGAAAAGCAAACCTAAAACTAAACTTGAAGCCTAACCAAACTACAATTTGTTAGGGGATAGTTATACTGCGCCTTGGGAAATGATAGCATAAAAATAAAGTAAAATAAATCTTTAAAAATTGTTATCAGAAAATTCTTCAAGGACAAATTTTCATTACTTAAAGAGATTAAATTTTAGGGAATTTAGGGAAAGCTTCTACATAATCTTGGTGAAATTCCATGCGTATATACATATATATATATAGCCTTAGAATAAAATTATTAAATATGTAAAACCGGTTTAACTTGATGCATTGGTTGGGCGGCATTTTTAAATTATACTTAATGATTATATTCATTGAATATATTTGTCAATGGAATGAAATATGATACAACTGCTGCTCTCTTTACATAATAATGATGTATTCTTGACATAATCAGAAACAAATCAGATATAGTAAAATATATGATAATCCAAAGGTGTGATAGGAGCTGTATATGTTATGAGTGTTATAGTAAGTACTATAGTAAGTACTTTTGCCGAATAAAAAAGTGCTTTAAAAAGTTATTGATTGCCTACAATATGTGTTAAAGAGAATCTAATATTTAAATAAATCATATTTGCTTATTGTCAAACAAATGTATACCTACTTAGCTGAAGTATTCCTTAGGTATGATAAATAGCACAATAAATAGAAAAAGAATTCTCTACTAAACTTCATAATGATAGGCATTTCAGGCCACTAATAGGCCTAATAATTTTTATTTCTACAAAAAGATTGACCAATGTCAGAGTCATAGACCATCAATGCCAATTTATATGGGTTGTTAAAGTTCTGTCTTAAAATATTATTATTAAAATATGTTTTTATTATATAGATTAAAATATCTTTAAAATATTTAAAATATTGTTAATGAAACTAGAAAAAAGACACCATAAAATATAAAAGGTTGCCAAAGCTGCTACTAATTCATTATAGGAGCCAACAGAAGGAAAATGAGGGAAGCTTAGAAGAGATCCCTGCAAAGAGAGTGCAGCTGCAGCAGACCCAGGGAGGAAGAGCACAAGTACACTTCCTCATGGCAAGGGGCCCATCCAGGGGGTTAAAGCCTTGCTGGTAATAAGAGAGGCATGGGGGAACTGAGTGGGAGCAGAACCACAATCCCTACCCACACACACCCTACCACATACCTAGTTTAGCTTCAAAAAGCAGACGGTGACAGGGTTACTACAAGAAGTATGCCAAGCAGCAGTGCTTTCAGGAAGCCTTCTTATTTTGTGGCAGCCAAAACTTGGTGAACCTGTAAAACAACCTGGCTCCTTTGACAGTAGATGGATATCTTCAAAGCTGACTCACTGAATATCATGTATTAATGAAAGAACTAGTATAGTAGCTTAGAAAAGGTATAGAAAGAAAAAATGATGAAGAAAGCAGAACATTTTAACCGATGAGGGAACTCCCACCAGGAACCCTCTGCCATAGATCAGGATAAATATTTAAATATATAATTCCAGTGTTACTAAAATGTGCCAAGGCATATAAAAAAGTATATCCAAATCCTATTTGAAACATGTATAGCTAAAATCATCAATGATTTCAGAAAAACATATGCTACAGAACATTTTAACTCATGCATTTCAATGTTAAAATAATAAAATTTATTAATCAGAAGCCGTCAGCACATTACGAGAAAAATATATCATGACCAAGGGGAATTTATTCCTAGAACACAAAATCAGGTCAATATTATTAAATCTATTCAACTACTTTATTATATTAATTAGTCTAAAGAGAAAAAGAATATTCCTCTCTCCATTGACACTAAAATGGTATTTGACCAAATTCAACATGCATTCTTGACAAATAAAAATTAATTCTCAGAATAGTAATCAATGAAAAGTTATATAACCTGATAAACACATCTATTTCAGTCACAGAGAGAGTATCAGGCTCAATGGGAGAATAATAGAGGCATTTTCACTAAAGTTGGAAACAAGGCAAGGATGCCCACTATCAACTATTAAATAACACTTCACTCAGTGAATAGTTACAATTCACAAGAGGACAAAATTAGAGATATTAAAATTGGAAAGAAGAGGAGAAACTATCACTATATTTGCAGATGATGTCTCATATGCTTGGGAAGCTCATGAAAATCAAGTACAAATTTAATACAACCATCAAAGTTATTTAGTAAGATGCCAGTAGCAGCACACTTAAATTAATAGCCTTGATTACATGTAAACAATAATCTGTTAGAAGATCCTGATGAAGACCAATTCATGATAGCAACAAATAATCAAATGCAGAGAAATAAACTTAACAAAAATGCTCAAAGAAAGAGAAGAAAAAAGAAAGAAGAATGTAAAACCATCTTTGCAAACATGAAAGAAGATGAAGGTAAGTGGGATGACATACTGTTTCTTTGGAGAGAAAGACTCAACATCACAAGGACATAAACTGTTTCAATTTAATTTATAAATAAAAGCAATCCCAGTAACATTTTATTTTTCATAAATACACAAGGTTTTTCTAAAGTTTGAATGTCAAGACAATATAAATAAGAATATCCAAAAAGCTTCTGCAAAAGAAGAGCAACGGGAGGAGGGGAGCAGCCTTATCAGATTAAAACACACTGTCACGACTCATTTATGAACAGAAAAAGAGAACAACAGAACAAGAGAAAGTAAAAAAAAAATAACTCAAATATATATGGCATTTTATTATGTAAAAATAATGACACAGAAAATCACTGGGAAAAAATAAAACTAGCAATTTTTGGGACAATTGATACTCAGGAAAAAAATAAAATCCAATCCTCACTTACTCAACCAAGATAAATTCAAAATGGATAAACGATTTAAATGTTAAAAATGAAAACAAAATTATGAAAAACCTAGCAGAATTCTTTAGAGTCTCTTGAGTAATTTTCTAACATTGACACAGAAATCTATAAACCACAAAAAATAGTTAATGAACTTGGCAACACAAAAATGATAAATTTCTTCACAAGAAGAAACTTAATGCAATCAAACTCAAAAGAAAAATAAGAAAAAAACTTTTGCCACTTATAAAGTGGTAATCTCCCCAAAATCTAGAGAATTTTTCAAAATGAAGAAGTAAAGGACTAACAAGTCAACAAAACAACCACAAAATTGGGCAAGGAATATCAAGTGTTTATAGAAAAAGTAATACAAATAGTTTGAAACAATAGGAAAATATGTTTCATCTGAGTAATACTAAGAGAAGTCAGATACCAATTTACTCCCATAAAAAATGGCAAAATTCTATGTTTGACAATTTATAGCCAAGAAATTGGGCACTAATCTTCATTAATTTGTAAAAGTGTGAATTGGTTCACCACCTAGGAGGGCAACTTGGCAGTCCCTATCAAAATATACATATTTATTTATATACTTACACAAATCTAAATTTCTTACATATACACATATGTAAATGTATGTTAGCAGTCCTTAAGAATGTGAGAATCAAAATCATACATATAGAGAGATAGACATAGATAGTCACGATTTTGTTTTAGTGATCTAACTGAAATAGCAAATTTCATATAATTTATTAACCCTTTATGATTTTCTCTCAGTTTATATGTCTTTCTGAAAACAACTTATTCTCAAAAAAATGTTGAATATTGACTCAATGAAAAGGAAACATTTAATAGTATTGTGAGTCATTTGCAACATTTCAATAAGAAACAGGGAGTTTTTCTACTCAGAACAATAACAGGTTGTTTACTGTTCTTTCTCTTTCTGGATTATATTCACAGCTTTATTGGTTTCCACTGGAATAATTTATACAAATTAATTTTTTATGGTCAAAAACTAATGTTATACAATTTTAAACACTACCAGAGGCAGTCTGTTTTTTTTCTTAAGAAAGCCTTTGCTGCAGTGAAATATAACAATGCTACCATTCTTTTCAGAGAATAGAACATTACATCAGGTATTATCTTGCAAACTTTATCTTAAATTTATTTCTTCTCATCTTATATTTCACAGGTATATTGGATCTTTATTTTATAAAATGGATTGTGCCTAACATTTGCATTACTGCTTCTTTATGCATGTCCTATACTCTTTGACAATTTATAATAAAGATAATAAGATGCAAAAGTCATGTGTTATTCCAAATCTAATTATCAGCCAGCCTCTTTGGCAAATGACATCTACCAATTTTAAATACAAGTAGGAAAGCTAAACCTTAAAGGATGTATCATTACATTGATAAAAACAAATATCACAGTATCTTAATTTTTGAAATTTGGTGATGTTAGTTAAGTGTGACATAAATTTGGTGTTTCTACGGAATATATTGTATTTAAGTCTGTATTTCAATGGGAAAGATATTTTAAGCAAAAATCTGTGGCATTAAATAAGAAAATCAATCAAAACTATTATTGTGGTCAAGCCACAATTCTTTTTTTTTCAATGGAAAGAAACTATGACAAATTACGGTCGGTCACTGATACCTAAGTTTTCCTAACATATTTCAGAAACACAACAAGAAAGCTTTCTAAGTGTCTTGAAAAGCTCTATAGATCTGGAACTATTTGATCAAGAGCTAAATGTACGTATTAAGAATGCCTGGTAATTAAATATTGGGAGAAAAATTGGAATAGGGGACTACCTTCAAACGATAATTGTAATAATAGCAACTAATGTTTATTGAGTACTTACTACCTTCCAGGTACATCATATATATTATTGCAATTAAATTGTTTAATATCTCCCTCTACAGAATTTAATATTACAGAGACAAGAATTTAGTCTCTCTGTTTATTAGTATACTTCTCAGGTTTCAGTTTCCCCATTTATAAAATGATCAGGTTGAGTTGTATGATCTTTGAAGAACTGCTTTAAAATACTGTGATTCTAAAAATAAAGTTCATCATTTTCTGATCTGGAATTACAAAATTGAGTAAATGAAATCATTAGAGTTTCATTGTTTTCTTTTTTTCTTTTTTTTTTTAAGTACCTACTTTTTTATTATTACTTTCAAAAATGTTTTGGAAAATACTCCCAGCTACACGGGAGGCTAAGGCAGGAGAATTGCTTGAACCTGGGAGGCAGAGGTTGCAGTGAGCCAAGATTGCACCATTGCACTCCAGCCTGGGAGACAGGGTGAGACTCCGTCTCAAAAAACAAACAAACAAACAAACAAACAAACAAAACCCCTAAATTTTAAAACATTTAATACTAATTTTCATTGGTATTTGTTGAAATTTGAGGAAGAAATATTTGATTTGTGGTGAGTATACATCTTCATGCACACTAAATAGAATCAGGTATTTTTAAAATAGCAATTCTTGTAATAGTTCTATCATTTTTGTCTTTAAGAACAATGGAGAAATAATATAAGTGACTCATTTTTTGTTAAAGATAGGATTTTTGGCTGGAATGACCATGGATCTCACTCAGGATGGTAATTCATGTAATCTTATTGATATAAGGTCAGAAAATACATGAAAGAAAGAAATTAGAAGAACTCAGAGACTACATTTGTCTGGAAATAATTGTATTCTTAAGAATTGTGGTCCTGATGCTCCAATTAAGTTAATAGCCAATAAAGTGGAAGAATGGGCCACATCACAGGAATATCTTGATTTAATAAATAACAACACAGTTTATGATGAAAAAGATACAAATAGTCACATTTAACGACCACAGTGACAAGAACAATTTTGGGGCTAATCTGCGTCATTAGTGCTGTTTAAAATATTTTGATGCTCCTCTTTTGGGCACATCATAAAGTTGGACTACACTTCTCTCTCCTCCTTGAGTTAGGCTTGGCCATGTGCCTGGCTTTGTCAGGAAGCTTTAAGAACCAGTGTGTGATTCACCACATTCCCTTCCTTATGCTGCAAGAAGCATGGAAATATGAGTAATGATGAAGTCTGCCAGGCTGGGTCCTTAGTGATTATGATGAGCAGAAGCCCCAAGCTGAACTGCTTTCAATGTGCAGTGTAAATGAGTGTCATCTTTAGCCACTGAGAATTCTGTGTTTTCTGTTATTGCAGCTAGCCTATCCTGACTGAAACAGCATCTCTTGGAATTCAGGGACTTTCTTCATCCCTGACTACATGCATCAGACTTAATTAGATGCACAAAATCTGGATGACTTTCACAACACTAAAGTAATTTTACTTTCTAATTCATAATATTTGCTGATTCATATTATTACTTTTGTTATAATAGAAATAAATTGAATACTGCATCCTGTAAAATAATGCTACCTGAATATTCCACCGTAAGATTCAGCTTGCATACAAAATCTCTGATACTTTTAAATCTTTTACAAGTTGCCCACATGACATGCCTGTTTTGACTAAGTTTGCAGATGATTTATTTTCTTAACATTGTTGTTCTAAAGAATAAGATTTTCAGAAGCACCAGTTATAAAACTGACTAAACTCAGATAAATTTTATGATATTCATAGGAAGCATATGGCATTCTAGTGATAATCAAATGAAATTTATAATTGCAAATTAAAATATGATGTTTATCTGGCATGTGAAGGGAGCAAACCTGGACTCTTTATTATCCAAAATTTCCATTTAGATATATTAATGCTCAAAGCAGAAAATTGTCTAATCAATACTTTACTCTGGCTAGAAAATTAAAGAAAATGTCAGGATGCCAATTCTACATGTACTCTCTGAATTAAATATGCCATTAAAATAACTCAAAATCTCTTCAGCCATCTTTTTGTGTATTATTTTTGTGTATTCTTTGCCAGCATTAATCAGAATCCTGGATAGTTCAATACTTTCCCACTTCACAGGAAAGTCTCAGACTTAGAAGATTAGTTTAGAAAATGGAGAAACCTAACCCCTACTCTCAGCATCTTGTGTTATTACTATCGATTTTCCCTGTGGCATTGAAGTATAGATCCAGAGACAGCCAAGCTGTATTTAGAATACTGAAAAGAGGCAACAAAGAGCAATATCTCTAATTCACTGCTTATGACCACAGGAACTTCAGATCTTTGGACAAACTGGAAACCTGAGATGTTTCTTTAAATGCCTTTCAGCGCTAGTTTATACACATACAAGGTGCTGAAAATTATTTACTGAATGAATTAATTTCTAATCAGCTTCTTCCCCTGGTTTGGGGAGGATATGTTGTAGGAAAAGGTCTTTGAGAAAAGACCTTTGAGAGTCTAAAAGAAAGGATAGCATATCTGAATGCGGAAATTCGCACAGAGAAAGGACGGAAGTTATCAAACACTATTGGTGGTTATAATCAGTCACTGGTTCCATTCTCATTATAACAATATGAATATTCATTTATTTATTCATTTAATAAAGTGATTGATCATTTGCCACATCCTTGATCTGTGCTCATTACTAAGGATAAAGAGCAGAAACAGCACTCAAAAAGATTTCAGCTTATCAGAAAATCCAGCAAATAAAACAAATGATAATAATTCCAGCTAACATTGAGTGTTATTGCTAGCCACTAATAAAACCACTTTTAATGCATTAACTCATTTAGTCCTTGCAATAATCTTATGAAGGTGGTGATTTTATTATTAGCACTGCCATTTTACAGATGAGGAAACAGACACAGAGAGAACTGTCTCTGGACAAATAACTAGAAAGAGGCAGAGCAAAGTTTTGAACCAAAGAAGTCTGCCTGCACATTCCATGCTCTAACCACCATATTCTACAATCTCTCTAATGAACTGTAATGGCTTCAAGACCAGAGGAAATATAAAAAGCAGTAAGCCTTTATGATGGGCATAATTTAGATAGTCTAGACTTACATGAACAACTCATCTTTAACTGGAGATCTGATGAAGTTAAATAATTTATATCATTGCTCTCAGTCTGAATAAAAGGAAAAAAGAGTTAGCTAAATGTGTTTAATGACAATCTAAATGTTATCTCCAAATCTGCTTATATGATTTATTTAAAACAAGCTTAGATGAACTCTCCTATCATAGAAGAAACTACTTGTGAAGTCAGTTCTTCCTTCTAAGGATTTTGGAGAATTTTTCCACTGACATCTCTGAAAATGGCTTTAGAATAAAGCAGATTTTTTTCCCCCAGTCCCTCTCTCTCTTTTGTTAAGCAATTGGGAAGCCATGTTTATTAGTTTGGCTTGTAGGTTACAATGAGCACACTGCACCTAAATGTTTCAGTTTATTTATTTATTCTGAGACGGAGTTTCACTCTTGTTGCTCAGGCTGGAGTGCAACGGCATGATCTTGGCTCACTGCAACCTCCACTTCCCAGGTTCAAGTGATTCTCCTGCCTCAGCCTCCCGAGTAGCTGGGATTACAGGCACCTGCCACCGTGCCCAGCTAATTTTTTTTTTTTTTGTATTTTTAGTAAAGATGGGGTTTCACCATGTTGGCCAGGCTGGTCTCGAACTCCTGACATCAGGTATAGAGCTATGTTCTCAAGATGAAACTCATAATGAAAAAGTCAGTATCACAAAGGGTAGAGTAGAATCTCAATAAGACATAACACAAGAGCTACAGTTTAAAATGTATTAGATTTAGGGCCATATAACATTACTGGCAAAAATCTGTTACTGCACAACAAACTATTGGAGACCATGGAATTATTTGGCACAGTGGAAGGTTGTTATTATCAGTCCATTGCTGGCAATCTTACTTTCAATCTAAGAAGCTAGTGATGACATGAGATAAACTTGCACTGCTCTAGTGATTAAACTGATGAAAAGGTAGGAGGTATTATGAACATTACAACTCCTCTCTCTGCTTTTTATCCAATGTGGCAGAAATTTTATAGTATTTAGGCAGGTTGTTTACAAACATGTTTATGATTTTGAGAGGGAAATGATTAAAGTAAAAGGAGTGAAAGCGGCTAATAGCTAAATGCTGCCCTCCATAACTGAAGAATAGAAGAATAAACAAATAGTTGTTTCAGTTCAATTGTCTCCACTCAGTTAGGTTTTTTGACATAAAACAAGATTATTACATGGAAAAGAAGCAGAGAAAGTATTTAAATATTTCTAAATAGGAATATTTATTATTTAAATTCATTTAATAATACATTCTTTTTCTCCTTGAGACAATAAGTATTTACTGAACACCCACCCTACGCCAGGTACTGGGTTCAATTAACACAACAATAATAATTAATACCAGGTAAAAAGCTATGTTGTTAAAACCTTTCAGTGTTAAATGATTAATAATAATTGGAATATCACTTTTTAACAGAGCATTGGTCTGAAATTCAGTAGCTAGTTAGGATTAGGGAAGTCAATGAGCCCTCTCACTCAATTTTGCCATTTAAAAAAAGGACCAACTATAATATGATTGTCTTTTCTATTTCATAGACTATGTAGAAATGTTTTATATGCAAAAGATAATATTACTTTTGTTTCCATTTATAAAACTCAACATTTCATAACATTAACAACCCCGAAATGAGTTATATTATATGTGACTCTGGGGATTTTTTCATAATGTGAAAAAGAGCCAGGGAACTCAAAAACTTATGAAAGTAATGCAAAATGACTATTTTCCACCATTAGAGGAAAATTTAGCATTTCCTGGAATTTCCACATCATAAAATAGTTTATTTACTGATCTTCTATTCCTATAAAAATACTTCAGGCAGGAAAGTTTAGTGACTAAGGCAGTAGAATTTAGAGGCTCAGGAAGAAAGCTCTGGACTCAGTCATGTTTACATTTCAACTATGCAACATATTGACTGTATGGCTTTGAGCAACTTACTTAATATAAGCTGAAGTTTCCTATTCTGTAAAATAAAGATCATAAAATCTACTCTAAGTTTTTTTGAATGTTATTTGTATAAATAAAGTAAAAATCTATGATGGCTGTAGTTTTTAATTATAAATAGATAATATATAATTATGTAAATTTATAAGGCACAAAGTGGTATTATGAATTATTAATACAATGTGGAATAATTAAATTAAACTAGTTAACATATCCATCACCTCAAATACTTGACATTGGTTGTGGTGAGAGCATTTGAAATTTAGTCTCTTAGAAAATTTGGAATGTACAATACTCTATTATTAACTATATTTACCACGTTGGGTAATAGAGCTAAAAAAAAAACCACCACAGATTCCTCCTGTCTGAGATTTTGTACCTTGTGATCATCATGTGACCATCAGCTGCCCTTTTCCCCAACCCACATCCTGCATAACCACTATTCTACTCTCTCCACATGTGAGAACATGCAGTATTTGTCTTTTGGTGCTTGGCTTATTTCTGTTACCTTACAACAAACAAAACACAGAATTATTTGTCACAGTGGAAGTTTGTAATTATCAGTCCATTGCTGGCAATCCTACTTTATGTGCACGTGAGGGGGACTCAAATTTGAGATTATTTGTTATAAGGTTAAGTTCTATTGCCTCTGTAAATTCTAGATGAGTTATGACAAGAGCTGTGAATTTTAGGTATAAGGGCATATCTGGGGAATAGATATGACAGTAATGTTGCTGGAGATAAGAGATCGGGCAGGAATACTACTGACTGCTAAACATTTAATTGAGTTGATTAGAAGGGGGATGATTTTCATTGATGATGAATAGGATTGTGAAGCTAGGTTGTCCTAAGAATGCAAAGACAATAATTCTAGTACTGTGGACAGCTTTTAGTGAGGTGGCAATGAGTGTAATTAAGAGGGCTCAGGTGTTAGTATATTACATGTTTGCAGTTTCAATAATAAGGTCTTTAGAGTAAAGACTCTCTGTTAGAACCAATAAACAAATACAGTAAAGTTGCAGGATACAATATCAACACACAAAAATCTGTAGCATTTCTATACAAATGTATTTATAGAATAAACTATCCAAAAAGGAACTAGCCAATGAATACGTTTATTCAATGAACTATCCAAAAGAGAAATCAAGGGAAGAATCCTAACTACAATAGCTATAAGAAAAGACTTAGGAATAAATTTAATCAAAAAGGTGAAAGACCTATATACTGAAAACTATCAAAGATTCACAAAAACAACTGAGGAAGACAAATAAATTGAGACATCCCACGTTCACGGGTTTAAATAATTAATATTGTTAAAATGTCCATACTATTCAAAGCAATTTACAGATTCAATACCATTCCTATCAAAATTATTGTCATTTTTCATAGGAGTAGAAAAAACGATCCTAAAGTTAACATGAAAACACAAAGAACCCCAAATAGCCAAGGCAATATTGTACAAAAAGAACAAAGTAAAAGTATCACACTACCTGACTTCAAATTATACTACAAATCTGTGGTAATTAAACAGCACGGCACTGGCAAGAAAAAGAAAGGTATCAACGAATGGAACAGAACAGATAGCCCAGAAGTGAACCCATGCAAGTATGGTCAATTGATTTTCAACAAAGCTGCCAAGAATACATAATGGGAAAAGAACAGTCATTTCAATAAATGGTTTTGGGAAAACTGGATGCAGCTACATGCAGAAGAATGAAATATCTCATACTATATACAAAAATCAACTCAAAGTGGATTATAAATACTTAAATGTAAAACCAGAAACTGTAAACTGCCAGGGGAAAACTACATGACATTGATTTGGGCAATGACTTTTTTGGATTTGACCCCCAAAACACAGGCAACATAAGCATAAATAGACAAACAGAATCACATCAAACTAAACAGGTTCTGCACAGCAAAGGAAATAATTAAGTGTGGAGAGATGACCTAGGATAGTTTTAGATGTGAAAATACTAGCTATGTTCATCTTATTGTTTTTTATGAGAGAATGATTTCTGGCTGTATCTCAAGTCTTACCATATGTCTATGCTGTTATCAGAATTTCCACCAAATAGATTCTCACTTATTTTTCTGTTTTTTACACATTTTCTTAATAGAATATTTGGAGACACACTTGATTAAAAGCCACAAAATACCTCAGTATCCCCTGGAGTTTATAAATGCATCTAGTTTTCACCCTAATATATTTAATTGTCCTTTAGCATTATTTATTGCCCAGAGAGTGATCTGTATACTGAGAAAGCTCGAAGTTTATCAGGTAACACCTTTAAGTTATGCTATATTTCTTGCTATTTCCTTTTCTTAATTCATAGTACAGTTCAAATTATGTTGCATGAAGAGTTCATCCCAACATTCCACCTGGTCATTCATCTTTGGCAGCACATCTGTGAAGCCTCATTACACGCCTGCACGCTATGACACAAGTGTGACAAACAACGGGCCAGTTACTTGGGGCTGTATGTTTAGAATCCTGCTAAACAGAAAATTTTTAAATGATCATAGCTGAAATCCTAAGGAAATCATGTTTACTTCTTATATTTCACTCTGGGTTGACCCTAGGGAACATAAAACCAGATTCTACTGATCTTCCCTTATCAGATGTTTGGTTTTCTCTAAGCAAACATCTATCTGGGGAGCATGACAGGGTCATGACAGATTTCCCAGTGGGGACTGTGGAGACTGGCTGGAAGGCTATGAGTGAGTGAGCTGACATCCACTGCAGCCTTTCTCATTTTCTATTTAATTATCATGCCAAGCTGTGCAGGCTAACACGACTTTCCTAAAGTGAATGTTCATCTGAAACAAAGTTAAGAGTATCTTACGTCCAAGCTTGTTTGCTGTTTGGTTGTTGTTGCTTCCTCTCCCCTCCAGGAGAGTGGTGGTGATAGGACAAAGACAGAATAAAATGAAAGAAATTGATGAAAGAAATTGGGGATTTCTCATTTCTGAAACTTTTTCACAGTTACTTTAACTTTCCCACTTCTGATTCTTACAGGTAATTCCTAAATATTCAAACCATAGTTCATTATGCAATTGCCAAACTTTCTTTCCTCAACTTTCCATTTATTGTCTGCATTACTCTGACACTCGTCTCAATTGCTTAACTATAACAATATCCATGGTAATAGTAGCTACCTATTGAATCCGTACTATGCGCCAGCGCCTCGAATCTTCACAACAGTCCTCTGGGATAACAGTGCCTGACACGCAGAAGGAATTCAATAAAAAGTTCAACCTAGAGTCAGCTGGAATGATGGGAACTTAGAGGAGGAAACAGAGGATTAGAGAGGTGAAATAACTTACCCAAGATCAAGCAGCTGGTAAAATCCTTTAAAACTCAAGACTGTCTTACTGACTTTGCAGAGGCAAAACAGGTATCTTATTGATTGAAACTATTGTGGCATTGAAAACCATTCTGTACAAATAATGGGTCCTAAATACACACTCCCTATAGGAAGCCTTCATTGGAAAATAATAAATAATTTTACTGATCTCTGATTATATTAATTTTATTTGAAAATTAGCCTGAAAAGAGGAAATCTGAAATGGTCTCCTACCATTTGCTTTGCTGGTGTGGAGCGGGGGAACACCACTACTCTCCCTGCTGAGGAAGATTGGTTTCCAGTCTATCCATAGTAACAAATAGGGTGTCCATTTCATTCATCCTATAATTCTCTAGACATCATCTGCACATGTATACTTATCCCAAATACATTTGGACAGCAAATTTAGTGAGAGGGTCATTTTTTATTCAAATAAATATTTTCCTCAGTAAACTTTTTTTTTTACAAAGAAACTTTTAGGGATTTGGAAATATTTTACTTTGGAATGGAAGGCAGTGTGTTGTTATAAAATTACCAAAACTTTTAATAACTAACCAAAATTTTTCTTAGTTTATGTAACATTTATCAAGACTCTTTTGGCTATGCACATTAATCAAATAATATCTGAAACTTCACTTTTATCAAGTGTTTCTCATTATGCAAACTTTTAAACTAATTCATAATTAGTTGCCTAGGCATTTTCATTAGCCAGAGACACAATTTCCTTCCCATTTCACTTATAATAGCTAATGGTATAGTATGAACTCCTTAAGTATTTCAGATGACTTCGCTTTCTAGTTTGATTTTTTTAAAAAAAAGATCTTTGCTTTTCCATTTCTTCAAGGTCAGGTATAGAGAAAGCTATAGTTCAGGACTCTGGTCTGACCCTGTTCTCTGTGTTTTGATCTGATTCCCAGAGGAGGCACAGCATCCAATCTTTATCAAATACAAGAAGCTCCAAGTCATACTAAAGCATACTGAGAAGAGTCTATGGTAGAGACGACTCTCCTTCCAATGAGCTCAGATCTCAGCCATTATCTCACAACAGCATTCTTTGTTTTCTGAAACCCGAAACTAACAAAGGTCTGGGAAAGGGACATGGTTTCTCATCTAGACTGTATTACCACCATCACCTTTGGGTGTTCCCATTCTCAATAACATTTTAGCATCACATCATGTTCAAAATAGTCTTTCATTATTTTGCAGTCAACTTTTCTGTTTTCTTCTCAGGAGTAAGGTATCTATTTGTTTGGATTTCCCTCTCTCCACCTCCTGCATAAGAAATTTTCTAACATTTGTATGATACATGAGGGAAGAATTCTTGCTAATTTTTATCTTTTTCTCTGTAGTCCCCTGCAGTTTTAAAACATTTCATTTCACATTTCAATTGGCCTCATTTCCTTCTTCAGCAGTGCCCTTGTACTTTCGTTCTCTGGGAGCAGAGCCCCACCCATCACCTTCTTACTTGTCTGCCCCTCTAACTGCAACCAACGGGGCATTGTTACTCTCCTCTCTACACCTCCCTTTGAGACCACATTTCAGACACTAGAAAAAAAAAAGTTTTCTGTACAACTCTACTTCACACTTGAATTTTTCTATGTAGACCCAAATCTATCTGAAACTTCCTTTGGACAGTCTGAAATATTAGAGTGCCATTTCAGCAGACATATCACAATGTTCTTTATCTTCTATGCCTACATTGAATATGCCATTTTTGTCCTGTGGCTGTTTAACAGTTTCTCTGCAAATGCCTCCCAGCAATTTTGTGGCTTCCTTATATATTTATTTTAACATTTGTCATATAACATTCCCTTCCCAAAGGTTAAATCAAGCTATTTCTTGCTGACAATCTAAATTACAGTAAATAAATCTTTTGACGTAAGACTCAATGAGTAACTAATGCCCCGCCCTCTCCCCTCTGTAGCCTCCTGTGTGGGCATTTCTTCTTATCATCTGTGGGTACCTTCCATGGATAAGAAATCATTGTTCACTTTTCTGTGCACATTTTCTTCCCTCCTTCAGAGACCAATATGCTTTCCCTCACTTACTAGAGATTCCTGTTCCTTCTATGCCAAGACTTGGTCAGAGTTTTCCCATCTCTTGTTTCTTCTAATTCTATGTTACTGCAGTTGGTTGATTGAAAACAGTTAAGTTTTATGCTGTTGAATCTTATTCTGAGTCATCCTAAAAGTCCTTTGTTTCCATATGGCTGTTTAATTTCAACCTCACTTCTTCTAATACTCTTCTTCTTTTTATTTCCCATGTTACCTTTTATACTTGCTACTTCAGATTGGTCCTTTCTTGGGAGTAATAATTAAGTTAAGGTTTAATCCAAAAGAAGAAGCATGTAAGAGTGGAATTCACAAAGTCTGGGATATGAAACCTGATTCTGCTATATATGAGCTGTGTGACCTTAAATCCTTCAGAGCATCGTTTTTTCAGTAAAAAAAAGCGACAAAGTTAGTATAAATTACAGAGACCTGGTGGGTTTATTGAATTGAATGTAATTTTGTCTGAACTTCCCATATATTTATTTTCTCTAAATACCTATTCCACACCCCCTTTCTCAATTTGTTTAAATCTATTATTCTCTTTTATGTGCTGCTCTGTACCTTTCAAGTTTTCTACACAGACACCATCCCATTATAATTCTTTCTCTAGAGACAGAACAGACTGTGATGTGGATTCTGGAGCCATAAACTTGGGCATGAATCCTGGATCTAAATTTTTTAATATCCTTTGCAATTTTCTTGGACTGTCTATGTCTCAGTTCCCTCATCTATAAAATGAGAATTGCAATAGTACTGATGTCATATGACTATTGTTAGAATAAATTAGTTGACACATGCAAAAGACAAAACAGTGTCACACACAGTAATTGCTTAGAAAACATGACTCCCATTTAACTGCGACCCCTTTGATGGCAACATTTCAGTTCCACTCATTTATTTCTCCTAAAAGCAGTACGCGTATTACCTTGAATACAGTAAGTGCTCAATTAACGATTAATAAATTGGACTAACGAGTAAAACTATCTTGAATGCTTTCTGGTTCATTTAGGACACTTGGGAAATGTTTGTTTTCCTTGTGACAACTTTTAATAATTTCCCTTCTGGATGAATAAGCACTGTTATTCTGATTTAGAGAAAGTTTGTCACAGAAAAGCTGTGTATTCAGCAGCCTCCTTGGGTGGGAGTCAGATGTACTGAAATCCAGGTGTTACCAACATTAGGCTAAGATATGCTGCTTCCTGAGCTGACTATGGGTCTTAAGCCCACAAATCCCAAGTCTCTCATCCTGGCCAATGGTAAATATTTCTTATCCTTGAAGTTGTCTTTATGTGATTTATTCTCACTTGGGAGCCAAGGCATGAGGTGGCTGATAGTTTGAAATGTGCCTGAGAGCAGCAATAGTCAACGATAATTTAAGGTTCCAATCTATTTCTAAATCAAAGTCTAATTAATTATCTTTGAATTAAAAGGCATAAGTCCTTGATAAACAAATGGCAAGCTACTTGCTTTTTTCCTCTTTACCCTTTTAGAAGCCTGTAAAAACTCAAAAATTGCACTAACCATACTCTATATTAACTACTCTCCAAGATGTCTATCACAACCAGATTCAATAATTTATTATTATTATTATTGACAATCAAATGACACACTTGTGGTCCAACTATTATTTTCATAGATAACAAACCAATGCCTTGCTCCCTGGCATTGAAAGGAGGCTTAATAAAAATTTTCTAAAACCAAAATCAGGTATTTTTTAAAAGCTTCCCTAAATCTTGTCCTCTATTTTGCAAAAAGGAAGAAGGAAGAGGAGGGGAAGATGGAGAAAATGTTTGTTAGAAAAAGGAAAAGTAGCATAAGCCATTAAGGAAATGGTTACAGATACTGTGTTTGAATAGCCTCCTTGAAGTGGTTCACAAAAAATAAATTTGTTTTTTAAAAATCAATAAGCCAATCTAATAGAACAGAAGAACAAATGAGTAAGAACAGTAACCTTATGTTAGGAAAGGCTTCTGATAAAACAAATGTTCTCATGGCATTTTATGTTGATAACTTCATTTGGGTTTGGTTAAGCAGCAAGCCACAAAGTGAACAGACATTGCCCATGGGGACAAGAGGATTATCAAAGCTTCCTGAATATCATAAGGCTATGAATTAGTTCAAAGTGCCTAGTTTAGCATGTTTCACACTATTATCAAATGAAAATTCCTGAAGAAAGGCTACATCAGTACAACAACTGGGAATTACTGGAATATATATGACATATTGGCAAACAGAAAACTCAGTGGTACCCAAGCATCTAGGCCTACCTCAGTGAATGTCCAACTAATATGAGAGCTGTGGTTTTTGCAGAGAAGTTCCACAATACTATGGTATAATAGGAACTACTTTCTGAGACTTGAGGTTCACACACCATAAAGACTGTGGCTTTATAGGCATTGTGTGTGGCTTCACAGAGATGTATGCCTAGTTTTTTCAGTGTCTTAGCCAAGATGCTGTTTTGTAACAAAAGGTTACGAGAAATAAAACCAGTTTGAAATACTCTTTAGATATCAGATAAACTTTTTTCTAATGGTACTGTACTCTTTAATTAAGAAGACACAGGCTTTAACATTATCCAGGGTTTATAACACTGCATGTCGCATTTGCTTGAGTCCAGGCCTAGTAGTTTGTATACTAGTTTTGTGTCACTGTTTTTTTTTTTTTATTTAGGTGGTTATAAATGCAGACATATTGCAATGGAGAGTGGTAAAAGGCATTTAGTTTCTTCTGGACTTCAAAGTGCCTATCATTTCAGATCGAAAATTCTTTCTGTTTTTGAGTAAAAGTGCAGATCAAAAGGTAGAGGGATTTCAAATATTAGACATAGGAATAGGTCAGTATTTTGTGTGTCTGTTCTTTATGTGGCACATATACACCATGGAATACTATGCAACCATAAAAAATGATGAGTTCATGTCCTTTGTAGGGACATGGATGAAATTGGAAATCATCATTCTCAGTAAACTATCGCAAGAACAAAAAACCAAACACCGCATATTCTCACTCATAGGTGGGAATTGAACAATGAGAACACATGGACACAGGAAGGGGAACATCACACTCTGGGGACTGTTGTGGGGCGGGGGGAGGGGGGAGGGATCGCATTGGGAGATATACCTAATGCTAGATGACAAGTTAGTGGGTGCAGCACACCAGCATGGCACATGTATACATATGTAACTAACCTGCACATTGTGCACATGTACCCTAAAACTTAGAGTATAATAATAATAATAAAAAAGAATACTTCTCTTTAATTTATTTTAAGTTAATCTCATCTTTAATGGAAAAAATAGCTGAGCTTCTCCATCCCTAAGGAGGAAGAAAAAGTCATTTCAGTAAAGAAGTCATTTAATAAGGAGCCTTTGTGAAAAATGACACCCTGTTATAGCTTTTAATATAAATGGATTTTGTAAGTTTCATAATTGAACTTAAAGGTACATGCTAGTTAAAACTGTAATATAAAGTAACATTATGTACCTATAAAATATAAAATTAAATTATAAAAATAAAATGAACACTTTTTTTCCCAAAGTAGGACATTCTAACAGCCAGAAAAGAAAGAAATTACAACTCCAGTTCTATAGATCAGTTACGGTTTTTTTCAGAATTCTGTTGTTTCTGTGGGGCTGTGGGATGGTGCATGTTTAGGGCAAAGTGGCAGTACTATTCGTCAGGAAGAAATGAAATAGCATGTTTTATAAGCACATAAGAAGCCAATTCCCCCATGTTCTGTTGACCCCATCAGTGACGGATGGCCCACCAAACTTTAGTCCATCCATTATTAATACAGAGCAATGCAATGAATAGAAAATGAAACCCCTTAGCTAAGATTCTAGGCTCCAGACTTGATATATTCGATTGAATAAAAGCATATATATTGAGCTCTTCAACAACATATGAAGAAGCAGCACTACATGCTGCAGAAGATATAAAGATGACAAAATGATAGTTCCCACTTCCAATTCATATACAGTCTTAACAGTTCACATCAAATGATTTGCACACACACAAAAAAATGCTATTGGAGCTGTCAATGTAGGAGGAGGTTTCTGTGGAGGAAAAACTAAAATGATGTTAAGATTATCAGAAAAGTAGTTTTGGAAGAGATAGAAA
The DNA here is from genome assembly GCF_000001405.40 of Homo sapiens. Taxonomy (NCBI): domain Eukaryota; kingdom Metazoa; phylum Chordata; class Mammalia; order Primates; family Hominidae; genus Homo; species Homo sapiens. Next base: position 101,963,887 of record NC_000004.12, on the reverse strand, counting down.
TTGAAGGATGGACAGATTGTTGGCAGACTGAAATGAAAAAGTGAAGGAAAGGCCTTTCAGGTGGATGGAGTGCACAGATACAGGAGGGTCAATTGAGTACCAGGTGCGAGAAAAGGCCTCGGGTAAATGATTTGGCTGAAGATGTGTTTCTTTCGAAGTGAAAATTGTTTCTGTTGTGCTTATGGTTTGAAAAGCATTGTATCTCAAACTAAAATAACACAGAAATCTTATAATGCAAAATATGGAAGCCTAAATGAATTAATGAATAAATAGTACACTTTGGTTGAGTGGTAGATCCACACAACCAATCTTTAATCTAAAATTAAACAGGCAATATCAAAAGCTGGCTACTAATACCCAGTTAGAAAATATAATAAAAATGGCATATGTGTAAACAACTATGTTGCTAGAGAGGATTCTGTTAAGTGTCCAAGGCCGAAATGAAGAAAATTATACATATTATTCAGGGATGTTAAAACAAGTAAAATAATTGGAGAGATAAATATCTTGTTTCCAAATGGAGAGATTTCATTTTGTAATGATGTCCAAAATATGTAAATTTAATACAGGTAAATACAAATATTAATTGGTAGTTGTAAGTGCAGGAGAACTTATACAGTCTTAGAAATGCCCAACTTTTATTGGGAGAATAGAAGTGTGAGAATAGCCATGAAGCTTTTGGAAAGAAAGACTAATAGGAGGGGATATGCCTAAGTGGATATCAAAATGCTATAAAATTCAGTAAATAAGATTGTATGGCACTGGTGAAAATCTTAGTAAAGATCAATGGAAATATACCGCAAGTCCAAAACAATTAAAAAATCATCATATATGTTGGGACACAAAATGATATTTTAAATTACCAGAGAATGTATATATAACAAATGCACTGTTGGAACAAGAGCAAATTTGTACATTTTGAGGCTTAATTTGAGAGTATGCTCACAATTTAACTCTTAATAGCTTTAGATGCAGCAATTTCAAATACATATATCAATGATGACCTAATTGTAGCATTGCTTTTAATTAAAAAATGTCTGGAAACCATGTAATATATACCAACAAGAGATTAAAGGAAGTGCCATACTAGAACACTATACAACCACTAAAATATATTTTAAAAATATATTGACCATATATTTAAATAGAAACGAATGTATATCGCAGAATATTCCTTACAGCATGGTTTTAATTGGTTAAGGCTAGTGTGGAAATACACAAGAATCAAAGACAGTTCAAAAGTAACCATTCAACTTCAGATGACAGGGAAAATAGCAGAACTAGTAAAAGAAAGAAGGAAAGGGGAGCAAGCAGTTGGCTTGAAGATGATGAACTACATTTTAAAATGTCAATAGAACAGACTGATGAATTTGTTAAGCAGGTGGTTGAAAGAGAATTGTTGGTCAGTGGAGATTTTGGGAAACATGAATATTTGGGGTCATCTACATAAAGATGAGAGTTTGATCACAGTGGAAGAGCTTCCAGTGGAAGGGAAAACAGAAAAGAAATATTGCCCAAAGGCAAAAGATTTGACAATGCCTGTGTTTAGGCAAGAAGAGAATGGCAGGAAAGAATAAAGACTCAGAGAATCAGAGTCAATGGGGGAAAACTTGGTCTGCATGATGCCGTGGGGCTAAGATGGAGAGTCTGAAGGGGTTGAACCATGTCACTTGGTAAGGAAAGAAGTTCTTCAGAAGGAAATCTGAGCAAAGGTGATTGACATAGAGTTATTGATAATTTGTGAGAGAACAATCTCCAGGAATGTGTGATAAGAAAAGACAGATTACAAAGGAGTGGGTGATAGCACCCCACTATACATTTGATTTATATCTCCAACTTGCTTTGTAACCTTTCTAATTATTTCACCAGGGAGGCACGAAAAAAATGAACTGAAATTAGAAGAATGAAACGGCAGTGACAGTGAAATTATTCCTGGTGACTGAACTTATATAAGCAAGCACTTACAGGCCTACCTAAACATTTTCTAATGTGTTCAGTAAACACTTCAATATAACACTTAGCAGGGTAATTTGCTCCCCATCCTTAAGGGACCCCATTGGACAGAGTTGAGAGATGAAGGGTAAGGCAAAGGATGACAATATTTTAAATAGCACTGAAAGGGCTGTATTTACTTTCTCTCTTTAGTAAAGAACATAAATGATATGAGATACATTTCTCTAATCTATTTGAAACCTTTGGTTTCCTTCTTCACCTAAAGCAAGCTGACTTTCAAAATTTCATTTATTTGCTGTAGAATTGCCTTAAAATAAACGACTAAAAAATAATAGTTTGACAGTAAAACCAATGTGACCACAAGAAAAACAGGGAAACTGACAATGAGGAGGATTAAGATTCTAAGAAAAGTGGAAATGTTCTCAGTTAAATGAAAGGAGAATGACCAAAACAAATATGATTTCACTCATCAGAGAATTGAATCTGTCAAGTCCTTTCCAAGTTGGCAGCTTAGTGCCAGTGGCCCTTCATGTGTGAGACTCCCTGGAGTGGCTGAGTAAGCTAATAAGGATGCAACTCAGCATAATAGGCTCAGTCAGTAACATGAGAGTCTGGACATGGCTGACGCTAACTTTTCCTTCTCACAAGAATGATGTCACTGTCACCATTTTATTAAACATGTGTGTCCACTAATCAAAACTTCCTTAAATATTGTACACTGATGATAGAATCTCAATATAATTCTGTTCATTATGTAAGATTTTAGCTTCATCTCTGGATATCTTCCACTCAATACTTTTATTTGCATTTACTGGCCAATAATGTTTTTCCATGTAATCCTAAATCAGTGATCAAAAACTGGGAAAGGAGATTTTAGAGGGGACATCATTTCCTCCCCTTACATATTTTCAGCATCTGACTAATATTAACTCCTTTTCTCTTGCTTCTCAAGTCAGAAAGATGGAGGTAAGTTGGTTTTAAAAAAAGGCTTTTGTGATCATCTAGTTAATTCCTTCCATCTTGGAAAAATTGAGAACCTGAGAGGTGACTTACCTAGAATCAGAGAACTTGTTAGTAGAAGAGGCGGAGCTAAAAATCCTGCTGCTTTACTCTCAGTCTTTGCTCCTTACATATATGGATTAATTGAACAGTTACTTAACTTGTTGGTGACTTAATAGCACATAGTTATGCTTTTAAAATTGCTTACTGATTCATGAAGTTTTGGTACGTCTGAGCAAAGCAAGACGAAACAACGAAAAGAAAGCTTTGAATCAAATGAGGAAGACAGATGCCACTAACCATCTCCATGTTCTTTCACCACAGTTAAAAACAATTTCCCTTTCCTTCTGCTTGCCCGCTACTAAGTTCTCCATTGCATGTTATCTCAGCTTGTAGCCACTTCAGATCTTTCTAGTTCCCCACTACCCACTAAATAATTAGCTGCATAATTGTCAAACACTCTACTTGTGGGTTAAAAACACACATCAATAAAGAATTCATTGTGACTTCTAGCATTCTTAACCAAGTGACAAAAGTCTCTCAGTGGCCCAGTCATTCTTACTGTTTTTGGCCTTTAATCTTACGTTATCAATTTTTAACTTGTATATGACTGTAAATTATCTACATCTACCTTGAGTATAGAATAAGGTCCTTAAGCAGAAGGGCCATGATGACCCAACCTTTTTCATCCATTTTCCTTACAAGTGAATATAGTGCTGTGCACCCAGGGGTCCCTTAATAAATTCCACTTGCATTTTTAGACTATGGTAATTTGGTGATTTCCAGTAAAAATGCCCTCCTAGTTTTTTAAATAAAAGGAATGATAAATGAGAATTGGAGGTTTTATTTCTAGATCTGCCTATAATCATTCATCTGGACTTCATGTTTTCTTCCATAAAGTGAAGGAGTGCACCCACCCATTTCTCAAGTCCCTTCTTGTTCTAACGTAAATGGGTCAATGTCAGAATCCTGACGCTTGAGGATGAGATCAGGGAAGGTAATGACCACATTTTCTAAAAATGACACTGAGTGCTACTTGGGACAGAGGATATAGAACTTTAAATTCTCTGACAACTTAAACCATAATTCATGATTTTTTAAAAAAATTATATAGCAGTTTAGCCACAAACAATTTCTTCTCGTCAACGTAGCTCATGACAGATGAATCTCTGCTCCTCCAGCCTTGATCAAAGAAACCCTGGGAGAGCAGGCATCACTTCTATTCTGTAGACTGACTGACCACATTTGATTAACTCACCAGTAAGACTGCCTTTCCAATTATTGCTAAAGGTGCTTGCAGATAACACAGGTGAATATATTAGAGAAATTACTTATGATACTTTTATAATCTTTGCATGGATATTGCCACTATTCGTTATACTTTTAGCCTTGCCTTGGCATTTTCATGCTATAGTTGAATTTTTCAAATTCCAAATAGATGTCCTATCTCAATTTTCCTTGTCTGTATACATCAGAACCTCAGAAATCTACTCTCTAGGGCCAGGCATGGTGGCTCACGCCTGTAATCCCAGCACTTTGGGAGGCCGAGGAGGGCAGATCACAAGATCAGGAGTTTGAGACCAGCCTGGCCAATATGGTGAAATGTCTTCTCTACTAAAAATACAAAAATTAGCCGGGCGTGGTGGCAGGCACCTGTAATCCCAGCTACTTGGGAGGCCGAGGCATAAGAATTGCTTGAACCCAGGAGGTGGAGGTTGCAGTGAGCTGAAATTGCGCCATTGCACTCCAGCAGCCTGGGCGACAGAGTGAGACTCTGTCTCAAAAAAAAAACAAAAACAAACAAACTACTCTCTAGGAAGCAGAATAATAATAGTTTTTAGTACTGAAAGTAAACATCTTCAGCTGGAAATAAGGTTTTCCTGGTGCATAGTGTCTGCCTTCAACTTTCTTGCTATAATCATGAATCCATATGGGAGAGCTGATTTTACAGGACCATCCGCAAGTTTTTTACACCAAAGTGAAATTATCAACACACGTAAAGCTTTCACATAATCCTCTCAAATACTTGATCATCTATATTCTCAGCTAGTTGAGGTGTAAGAGTTTCCCAAAATACCTGCACTGTCATTCAGTCTACCACTAGAGTTTTGGACTGCAGCCACTGTGCTAGCAGCAAAGCAGCACTTGCTGCATCAAGAACTCTGCCGAGAAGAGCATGTGTAGAGAGGATGGATGTCAGTATCCATTATCCACACAATTGCATGGGATCCTGCTGACATCCTTATGTCCACATGCTTAGCTCATCAGAATTCATTTTGCGGCAAGGTGGCCATAGTAGAGTGATCACTGCCAGGTGAGCACAATAAATGTTTTAAGGAAATGATGAAGTATGTCTTTGAATAGAAAAGTAGTCCTTTGAAATTCTGGAAAAATAGCAGCAGATGGGCCAAGCTGGCATCCAACTATCACAAACAGCAAGAAATATTTTAAGAAAAAAAAAAAAAAAAAAAGCATGGGGGGCAGTCTGCAAAGCAAAGACAAAAAAAAAAAAAGTGTTTGTAGCATGACAGTAAAAAGGGCATGGGTTTTAATCTCAGACTTGTTTTTAAATCCCAGCTATTTAATTTACTATTCCATTTTGGAAAACTGTGTAGCAACTTTGAGTCTCAATTTAAAAAAATATCTATAAAATGGGGATGGTAGTGTCTTTCTTGCAGAATTACTGTAAGGATTCAGTAAATCAAACACCTAGCCTAGTGTCCAGCACATATCAGATAATAAATAGATGGTTAAGTATAAACAAACATTGACGCCTAAATAACAAACCTAGGCCAGGAGCGGTGGCTCACACCTGTAATCCCAGCACTTTGGGAGGCCGAGGTGGGCAGATCACGGGGTCAGGAGAGCGAGACCATCCTGGCTAACACGGTGAAGCCCTGTCTCTACTAAAAATACAAACAAAATTAGCCAGACGTGGTGGCAGGCACCTATAGTCCCAGCTACTCGGGAGGCTGAGGCAGGAGAATGGTGTGAACCTGGGAGGCGGAGCTTTCAGTGAGCTGAGATCAGGCCACTGCATTCCAGCCTGGGCGACAGAGCGAGACTCCGTCTCAAAAAAAAAAAAAAAAAAGCAAAAAACAAAAAACAAAAAACAAAAACACAACAACAACAAACCTAAAGATAGTTTTCACAAACACAGAGTGGAGAAAGAAGTTTGGCTTCAAAGTTTGTGTTTCCAGTTATGCTTACAGCATCAGGATCTTCAAACCAAAGCTTAATACATTAAATAAAATTCAAGACTTTTTCTCTCTTTAAGTGGAAAATGCAAACACTTTCAAATTTTTCATATAATTTGGAAATATTCAAAAAGTGGAAGGTCAGTGTCCCAAGAGTTTTCCCTTCTAAGTTTCCAGGATGAGTCCAACCAGTATTTTCTTGATGATGTATAAACTTCCCCTAAGCTTGTGAGTCTTTGTGGACTCATAGACGAGAACTCAATCGAGAAAAGGCTGTGTGTTACCCAAATAGTGGCTTCTTCTGAGAGAGGATAGTGTCTGGTAGGCCCCAAATAATCACAAGACAGTAGTTTGCTTCTTAGAAGAATAAAGCCTGTTTCAATGGTAGGTAACAGGAGCTAGGGGCCATAGGAAGATAGGTAAGACAGCTAAGTAGTAATATTCCCAGTCTATGGAATCCTGAAAGAGTGGCTATGAGACTGAAGGAGGGAAAGGATGAACAGCTGAGACCAAGGTAGCCATACTACTTAACCTAAAGAAAGGTAAAATGCAGAGATATAGCTTAGACAGGTTAGATCAGCAAAGGCATTTCTTGCGTTAACTAAAGGAGATTCTGTATCTTCTCATTAGTATGTGTTCTGGTGAAATTAAGCTTATAACTGATAGAAGGGAATGGATTCACTCGCTATACTATCATAGGAAAATAAAAATGGTCGTAGGAACTTAGGAAGGAGATGATGGGCATAATCTTTTTGTACTGAGCGGCAGCAAGGCCTGGGCAAGATCAAGATATGAAAACTGGGTTCTGGCAAGGACCCTATTTTTAAATTATCTGATGTTGAGTAATTCACTTGCATTCCTTAAATTGTCAATTTTCTATCTGTACTATGAGGACCCTGAGCTTTCTCCCTTCTATATAATTCTATGCCTAAGAGGAGAAAAAACAAACAAACAAAATGATCAATCAGTTTCATTACAAATTTCAAGGGAGCATTTTTTTTATTCTCTTTGTTCTACATTGGCAGGAAGGCAGAGCAAGGTGGGAACTGAGGATAAGGGATGAGTGCTGAAATGTTCTTGGTTTCCTCTCCAGATAAGCAGAGAGTTTAAGCTTCATTGTTAGCCTGCCGCTTCTCCAAGTCTGGATATCATCCTCAAGTGCTACATTCTAGATCTGTTACCAGTGTGATGTGCTTTTAGAGGTTAGGGTATTACCAAGGGGACTGCCTAAACTGCCTGAAATAGATGATGTCTAGGACTTTTGGATGAGCGAGGATCTTTTATTTTAACTCTCTGCTCTGAGTTTGCAACCACAATTTAAAAGAATAAAAAACAAAACACAAAATGGGGTAGTATTACAATTGCCTGCATAGTGGGAATTTTCTGAAGGCAAAGACATGATAAGAAACAAAATGATATGCCCGGTTTCCATGGAAATACAGGATAGAGCCTTGAGGAAGTAGAGGTCACTTAGTTCACTTTTTTTCCATGCAGGAGTCCAACAGGTGGCTGCCTGCCTTTGCTCAAACAATCCAGTGACAAAAAACATAGTCAAGGAGCAGTCTTCCTTGTTTTGAGTCCCAAATTATATTTTTTTTGTATTTCCAAAAGATCACATAGAAAACTCTATTTTAAAATAATCTTACGTTTAATGAAAAGGGTAGTGGCATTTTCTAAAAAAATCTATAGGAGTTATTCTGAAAACACTTATTTTGGAAATATTTTATTTTTCTTTTTGGGTTGAAAGTTACTGAGTAGTCACTATACAAATATTGTGCTGTATGTTCTACATCAATTATTTCCAATTATTTCATTTAACCTCCACAACAAGATATAAATAAGCACTACACTACTGTGCTCGTTTTACAGAGTAAAAAACAGTGCTGTGCCTCAGGAAACATTTATGGCTAATTGATGGAACTTGGATGTAAGCACAGACTCATAATCATAAAGTTAAGTTACTATGAAACAAATTTGTAGCTTATTTTTCATTAAATATAGGTTTTTACATGGGACTTTTGGAGAATTTTACAACTCAAAAATGTCAATGATCTTATATCAATAATTTTAACCAAGGAAACAATCATTAAAGAGACAATTTTCCCCTGAGCAAGAAACCGAGTATCAAATTCCTGTTACATAACTATGCTGCATTATCTTTCAAGAGGTTGATGGTAGAATAATATACAGGACATCATTTGTCTTGTTTTATATGATGGAATAACAACTTAAGTGGCAAAATTCATGGCATCAAAGGAAAAAAAAAGACACTGGCTCTAACTATGTGGCAGTATTATAGATAGAAGGAAGGGCATCTAAACTGCACTAGGAAATGAAAATCAAGTTATGTCAGCAACACTGAGAGACAAGAAAGAGATCTAGTCTAAGACCTGATAAATTTCTTTTTTCTTATCTCAATCCAGAAATGAATCTTTTGAACAATCTATTTGAATGTGTAGTACACCAGTAAATACAATGCCAGTGCCAGAAAGATATATATTCCCATGTTAACCGTATCATCTCTTTTAGTAATGATTTTATTGCTGTTTCTGGCTGCTCGCTTGGTCTAATGTGCTCTCTCTTGCTGCTTCATTGCTCGCATGAGCAACAGCTAATCTATCATCCCCTTTCTACAGCACCTGTCACTGTAGCTTTTATGAGTTGTAAATGAGGACTGCACAGCTTATGCCCACAGAACTAACACATGAACATAATCTTTCATTAAGAAAGGTTTTTTTCTTTTCATTAATTAATTTAACTCATGCTTACCTATCACTGACCTTTATATTTCTAATGTTTGCCTCTACAAGCCATACCTTGCTCTCTGAGAAAAACGAACAAAAATTTGGAAAATGTTCCTAAGGTGCTCAAAACTGCTGTCTCATCTAGCAGTAAAAGATTCCTTTTTGGTGAACCACAAATTTTCTTCCCTTTGTAATTTCAATGTGTGTAGCATTACATAAAATACTTATGTTTCAGTAATTGCACATGGTTTTCAAAAATTCTACTTACAAAAATGATGGCATGTTGGCAAACTGTGGTAACAATCAACTTAGAACAATCCACAAAATTCCATGACTATAAGCTCCTGGGTATATATTTTTCCCTACTATTATCTTGGTACATTTTTTTTGTCAGCATGCCAGCCCTCCAAGTGCTTGTCATGTCTCTTCCCTCATCAATCCAATCACCTCACTGGCTGACTGCTTAACAAAAGAGAGTTCTGGTACCATGGGGTTTACTACCACCTTTTCTAGGCCTACTAATGTTTACCTGGCTTCGTTTAGATTTGATCTTCTTGCTAAATGTGAAGAGCAGGACTCCACAAATGAACACTAACTATTCCAGAATATAAAAATCACCTTGATTATTTCTACTAAGTGAGGTTTCCTGACCAACATGTTGTGAGTTGAACTGTCTCTTCCTAAAAGGTATGCTGGAGTCCTAATTCCTGGTACCTCTGAATGTAACCTTATTTGAAGATAGAGTCTTTGCAGATGTAATCAAATGAAGATGAGGTCATACCAGATGAGAATGTGCTGAGTTCATTGACTGATGTCCTTTTAAGAGAGCCTTGTGAAGACACGGACACAGAGATACACACAGGGAAAACATATTGTGAAGACCGAGGCAATGCAGCTGGAATTCAAGGAATGTCAAGAATTACTGGCAACCACCGGAAGCTAGGAGAGAGGCAAGGAATAGATTCTTCCTCGGGTCTCCAGAAAGAACAAACTCTGCAGACACACCTTGATTTCAGACTTCTAGCCTGCAGTACTATGAAAAAACAAATTTCTGTTGCTTTTAGCTACCCAGTTTGTGGTAATTTGCTACAACAGCCCTAGAAAACAAATACAGAAGGCAAGAGGTACAAGATAAATGGAGGTACAAGAAATATTACGCACAATATGCAATATATGTACTATCTTATCATTCACAAAACATATCAACTGACAATAAAATTTAGGCTCATGACTCAGTGGGGTTTTAGTTAAAATATCACTGAGACCATGAGATTTCCAGAAGGCAATTTCTGCACTTAATAGAAAAGTCACAACTTACAAATTCATATGAAAATTGAACTATCAGTGAAGTGAGCATCAAGTCAGGGAGGGAGGTAATCGTGCTAGCAGAAAGATACTTAGCATCATAATTTTTTGTGCACCCTACTTTGAAACACTTGATTTTTTTTTTTTTACTAAATAGATCCAGAAAACAAGCAATGATACAGTGTTGCAAGTCTGCTGCAAAATTTCCAAGTACTAGCATAATTTGTTCTACATATTTCTTCAAGACAGTCTGTTCTCTCCATGCAATTCTGCCATCTACTAATTTTGATATTTACTGATCAAGAACAGAGATGCCTCAGTTGTGGGAAAATTGCTTTTTGTTCACTGTTTCAACATTAAGTGTTCTGTAGAAGGCATTATCTAGAAATATGACAAAAGATGGAGAAAAAACAGTTGGGAACATTTCGTCCACTACTTACCTATTATTTATGCTATCTTTGCTGTCAGCTAAATAAACATCAAGTTTATGGATGAAAGAGCACGATCACCTCCAGGGTTCTTGCACATGGCAAAGTTTCAAGTAATACAATTTCTTTTTTCATTTCATTTCCATCATCTCAGCCTTGGTGTAAGAATTAACCTTGACTCGCCTCTACCCTTACCATTTCACCTGTTCACATAGGTGTAGGGTGTCCTCTATTGGTGCAGATGTCGGCAAAAGCCCTTGTCTAGTTCTTCTCACTGATCGTTAATCATTACTGCAAGGGTATTTGTTATTTTCCGTTGGTTATTACGACAGAAAAAAAGCTGGTAATGTCAAAATTACTGGTTTTGTTTCATTAATTATATCCTACTATCTCCTGGCATGAAAGGGACATGGCAATGCTGGAGTGTGGTAAGGGCGCAGACTCAAGTCTTGGATTTGAAAATCTACTTTGCCATTTCTTAACTGTGAAAAAGTTTATTAACAGCTCTCATGCCTCTTTTGCTAATATGCCCAGCATACGACTCCTGCCTCATGGATTTGCCGTAATCAAGGTCTGGCATTGATTTATTTGACAAATGCTTACTAAGTACCTATTATGAGCCAATGTTTTAGGTTAAATTTCTGTCTTCTTGGAGTCTACAATATAATGGATGTTTTACCAAATTATAATCATATGCCAAGCACTCAATAAATGTTATTTCTATTGTTATAACTATGATCATTGTAACAATTATTGAATTACTAAATATAAATGTCCTTTCGCTTAAGTTTTATTTTCCATTGACAGCAGAGAATCTATTGCATGCATGAGATGGTTCTTGTCTTTAGAAAACTTCACTCTTAAGATAAACACAGGTAGTCACAGTAATTAGAACATTTCTAGTACACAAAGGCTTACTTAGATTTGATTTACAATAAGTTCTCAATGTTGTCAAAAGGGTCTTGGAAATTGCTACTTTAAGCGAAAAAACATATAACCAAGCCATTTTTATTTTTTTCTCAACAATGTTACAACAAAACATTGAACAAAATGACATTATTCAAGGACCTGCTGTACATCATTTTGCTTAAAGTCACAGTTTCCAAATACCTATCAACAACATCAAGTGAAGACTTACTCTAATACTTCATTTATTTCTGCAATTTATTTATTTATTTATGCATTTATTTATTTATTAATAGGTAAAAGCCATGAGTACATGACCTAGCAACCAGATAGTTACTTAAAATCATCCATCAGGCACACATTTTATTATCAAAGAAAATATAGTAAAACAGCATGTGGCCATTTGCTTGCTATAACTGAGCTCAAGGATGATTAAACAAGTTTCAAATTTTTCTACTTATGAGCACACATTCTTTATTTTTTTTGTTTTATAAATCTAAATGGGTTCTGAGTACAAAAAATAAAAACTAAAAATCAAAATTATTTATATTGATAGTTATTTAATTTAAGCTACATGGCTGAAGGAAACTCCCCCAAAATATTTATAGGTTTAATTCTATTGCTTCATATGCAGTTTTGGGTTTATCAGAGCAAAAACAAATTTTTTAAAAAATGTAAAAACCAACATTTTTGTTTAATTTCTCATTGTAGTCCATAAACATCCGCATTATATATATGAGTAAATCTAAGGATTTGTTTTTCTTACAAAGAAACAGTCTAATCTAAGATCCTTTGAATTACAAAAATGTTTGAGATTTTGTTCAAGGTATTGTGGAATAACAATGCAGTTATAAAGTATTTCAGCTTTCAGTGTTAATTGTTAAAGCAACTGTTTTTAGTTATCTCTAACTTTTCCCTGTAAACTGGTGTTTGGGCTAAAGTTTTTGAAAATGGTCCTTGAATAGAAAAACAACATGATTATTGAATATAAAATTGTACATATTTTTATAAAAAGACATTTCCTCTGTTTTTTAAAAAAGCTCTAAGTTCTTAACAAAGCAGTAAGTTAGATTAGGTTTTTAAAAATAACCTTTTAATTTTAGACTAATTTAAGATTCACAGAAAATTTGTAAAGATAATGCAGAGAGTTCCTTATATTTCACACCCAGTTTCCCCCATTATTAGCATCTTACATAAATACAGTACCTTTGTAATGCTGAGCAAAGCAATAATGATACATTACTGTTAACTAACATCCATATTTTACTCAGATTTCCTTAGTTTTTACCTAATGGCCTTTTTCTGTTCCAAGGTTCCATCCAGGATACTACATTACATTTGGTTGTCATGTCTTTTTAAGATCTTCTTGTCTGCGACAGTTTCTTTGTCTTTGATGACTTTCACAGTGTTAAGGACTGCTGGTCAGGTATTGTCTGACCAGAGAGACTTAATGTTTTTCTCATGATTAGACTGAGGTTATGAGTTTTGGGGCGGAAGACCTCAATGGTGGAGCCACCATTTTTAACACATCACATCACATCAAATCAATGTTACATATTATCAACATGACTCATCATTCCTCATCTTATCTTTGATCACCTGGCTGAGGTAGTGTTTGTCAGGTTTTCCACTGTGAAGGTGGTCTCCACCACTCCCTTCAAACTTTACTCTTTGAAAGGAAGTCATTATGTACAGCTTACATTTAAGAGTGGAACTCACGTTTTTTAAACTTTATGTTTGTTATGAATTTTTCCCAATATGAAACTGTAATTAAGTAAATTTGGAAATATTTGGTTTTCAAAGAAAGAGCATTTGAAAATTCATGCAAAGACAATGGTCTCCTTCCTGAGTGAAGCACTCAGCTGGGAGTGATGTTCCAAATGGTGATAGGACTCACTGGATAATTTCCATTCTCAAGAATTTTATTCATTTAGATCTTAGTTCTCTTTAAATCTGTGGAATCTCAGGAATTTGCATAGAGCTTTTATATGCAAATAGTACCTCTTACTTTACTCTTCAAACGTTTACCCACAGTGTATATTGTAACAATCATCTTTCTTAAATTTAATAGTAATTGCCTGTCTTGTGTGGCTTATATATTTTAGAGCTACTACTGCAAGAAAGTAGAAACAGAATAATAATAGAAAACCTCTACCAGCAGATCCAGCCAGTCATATCCTTCAGCTAACTTTATCAATTAGGTCATATAGAGGCAAGGAGCTCAGCAATCTGAGAAGCACCAGAAATGATATTTCTTAGGGTCTCATTTGTGTAGGCACATGCGCGCGCACGCGCACACACACACACACACACACACACACACACACACACACACACCCCTTACTTCCTTAAACTAAATGTAGTTTATAGGCATCCTTGCCCATAGTTAAACCAATAAGATGCTCTTGAGACAATGTCATCTTAGATAGGTCAAGGCTTCTCCTATGGGTTATATTCTTACTCTTTTATTTTCTCTAGAATGTAACTTTGATAAGTGACATGTACTTATTGATAAAGAAATTTAGGCTCAATTTCAATTAACACTGAGTGCTTGTGTAATGAGAGGCACTCTGATGAACATTTTCCTGTACGTTTATCCTATATTTTTAAATCTAACATGTTGATCTTGTACATTTATTACTTTTTCATGTAGATAAGAAAATAGAGGCATAGTATGTTCTTTTCCCATACTAAGGGATAATTCTGTTCTCTGTTGTTCAAAACATTATTTCAGAGTTTAACATATATTTACATACACAATAAAATAATAGTTTTATTGAAAACTTACCACATGCCAGGAATTATACTAAGAGCTTTACGTAATATTTCATTAAGTGCGCCCAGCAATGTTAAGTAGTGGGTTCTAGTAGTATTCTCATTTTACATTTGAGGAAGTCAAGGCTTAGAGAGTATCTTAGATTGACTGCATTAGGGTTCTAATTAAGGCATCCCGATATCCCTGTCTTTTGTCTTGTAACTTTGTAGTCCCCTCTCATACTGATTCTGTCCTTGTGTATTGGTTTGGCCACAGTTCACTGGCAAAGCAGAGGTTTGAAAAAGAGTTTGCATATCTTTGCTTTCTTTTTTGCTTCTCTGTGTTCTTCAAGATAACATGTCCAGGTTAGGATGAGAATATGCTTGTTTAGCTTGCTGGGAAGATACAGGAGCTACATGTATATGAGAGATTGCATAGAGCAGAGCCACGTCATCCTAGGGTCATCTTGAAACCATCCTAAACAAGCCAGATCCCAGCTGACCTGTCAGCTGGCCACAGAAATAAGAGCAAGCCCAAGCCTCAGCGACAGGACCAGGACCAAGGTGAGACAAATGAGGCACTTGCAAAATTTAAGGGGTCACCCACAAACTCAGAAATAAGAATAAACAATATTTTAAGGTAGAAATTCATAAAAATAAAAATTAATGCAACAAGTCATCCATGATTAACAAAATATCAAAATTTTAAATAAAGGCAAGGCAAATATTACTATTTTTCCTCCTGTGTCAGATACCAATACAGGATGGCAAAGCTCTGTTCAGCAGGACCCAAGAACTCATAAAAATAACAAGTGATTTTTGCTTTAAGCTACTACATTTTGGGATGTTTCTTACACATTAGTAGCATACCCATAGGGATTAATTTAAAGGTCTCACAGTAATACTTGAGGGAAAAATATTTGGATCTAAGACTCTAGTCTACCTCTACTGTGACAAGGCAATATCCACAGCACCTCCCAGATTTTGAAATGCCATTTTAGATAGAAGAAAAAGGGTGGGGAGAAAATATAAAAAACAGAGTCATTCACAGAGACTGAGTTTCCTAAAATTATTGCTTTGATTTTTAGACTACAATAAATAACTCCCTTCTTTGCCCTTTAGGATGAAGCCATTGTAAAGAAGATAAAATCTAAATCAAATGTATTATTTGCAGATCTGAGTGTCAATTAGGAAATTTTGCAACCTGTTACATGATTATTTAACCTCCTGAGAAAGGAAGTTCTAATTCACAGGAAATTTGGCTGAGGATGGTGCACAGGCCAGGGAAATAACATCTGAGCATGACACCAATAGCATCACTGTACAAATTCAGGTAGCCTTGAGTGTCAGTCTGGTGGTAGCCACCCCCACAATTACTACAATTTAAAAATTATGTGATCTTCCTCTTTTGTAGGGCTAGTCTCATACTCTGCTCTTTTCCTTGCAAAATGTTCATAACAGGATTTCTTAAAAACCAAGTACACTTATTAAAGTAACAAATGACATACATTCATTGTTTTATTTAACATGTTAAATTGCAGTGTCAAAATTAACAATAGAATTACAATAGTTGTGATTATTTCCAGTACATAGCATATATTAAGGACATATTCATGTTTAAAAAGGGATGAATAATCCTGAGAAGAAAAGAACTGTTGCTTAGAAAATATAGTAGTTGTAAATTTACATCAGTCTCAGGAGATTTTCAAAGAAAATCCCTTACAGAAAGGGAGAAATGAATTTTTCAAAAATATTTTATATGATTGATTCATTTGTTGTAATGAAGGAGAATGATAAGTGAACATGACTAAACTTGAAATTCTTACAATTTCAGTTGGTAGGGGTAAAAGAAAATAATTTGGAGAACAAAGGTCAGTGGGATTATTCAGAAGACTGGATATTAACATAATTATATATATTTCTTTGGATATTCATAATTTAATCTTATGGATTATATTTTATTGGTTTATGGGCTGAATTAATGAATCATAAAGAATAAATTTGCAAACACTGAATCTAAAGTGCACATGGAAAGATAATGTAAAATAATACCATCTGGAGATCTAGTAAATTAGACTTCAAGCTTCTATGTTTCTACTTGAACCTATCAGACATCTTTAATAAATTCAATTAAATGATGTATTCTTCAGTTAAGTTATCTTGGGTGCCCATGAGAGTTTCTAGACTCATGGGCATCCCAGGTTTCATACACTGATCAATTCAATCCTTTACCAGATGAAGAGTGTCACTCCTGAATATGATGAAGAATATAATACATAATACATATACATATATATATATATATATATATATATATTTACAACTTCTTCAAACACAACCCTCTCTCACTTCCCCTGAAACCAGTCCTTAATTTTTATAGGGTTCTCTTTAGAGTACACCTACATTTGAGAAAATGTAAAACCCTAATGAATATTCAGAATTTACTGAGATCATAAATTTAGGACACATTTCTCCACAAATACTCAAGCACATTGCAGAAATGCTTAGTCCTCAGGTGAGTATGGTATCTCAAATCTGTCCTGTGAGTGTTGAGCCAGGTTTTCTTTCATTTATGACTTACTTCTCTTTGCCCAAAATGTAATTGGAGAAAAAAATGCCCAACTCATAGAATGTCTACCAAACTACTAAGTTCATCATAAAAGAAAATAAAGAAAATGCATTGCTTTACATTTCTAATTTTATATAGAATGAGTTTATTGTTAAATGGCTCTTCTCTCCTAAGTATTCATAAACCACATGACCTTCTAGAATTTCAGCGGGGATTGGTATTAAATTTGTTATTCCATAGGTTTAAGGCAGATCTTTCATCTGTTTTCGGGAAATAAAGGTATTTATCTAACTTGGCAGCTTTCAAATGTCCATTATTTCTTGAAGATCACCAGGAGTAGTCCCTATGTTTTAATGACCAGATATGTAATATGACTGAGGCTGCAAACTTGGACTCATTTAAAAGAGTGAGATAGTCTTTAATCCATCTCGGTTTTCAAATCCTTCATGTTCCTTTGACTTTTCTAGTTTGAATATGCTTCATTTCAGGAGGGATGGAAACAAAAGGCGTCTGCATTTTGCCGTCTGCTAATATTAGTGCATGACTACTTCATGCAGGATACCTGGCCATTCTTTATTATTCTAATTCTAAACATAGGTAAAGAACTTTCTCTGCTCGGCTTTAATATTTTCCCAAACATAGGATTAAGTAATATAACAACAGATCTTTCAAAGTATCTATTACGTGCCAACACAAGGTGGAACAAACGTAGACTCACATCATGACTTTTTGTTTATATTTGGCCATACTGGCTTGGTCACTATTCCTGTAATCTTCTCTGCATGTTCTTTTTAAATATTATCTCATCGCATAACATTATAAAACTTCATTTCTTTATAAAAGATCTGATGTCTTCTTATTGTGTGGAAAGTTAAAATTTTATTGGTTTGTGTTTATTATTGGATTATGTTTATCATTTGTTTGATTATTGTCAAGATCCAAAGTTAATAATCCAAAATTAAGTTTACTTATTCTTATTCGTTCAAACTTCTGAGAGATGAATTTTCTACAAGGTAAAGTAAGACTATATCCTGTGTTACTTTTAAAGGAGCAGGTTCCCAATGATATCTGGATAAACGTAGCCCCCTCTCACTAATATAAGTTGTATTTTTGCCAATTTTGTAATATTTACTAGAAAAGCATATTGCACATTCTTCTTCTGATTGGGGGGTATGTAGTATATGTCCTGATGTCATTGGTGTTTCTATCCTCTCTTATGCTCACTGAAATACATTTCAATAGGCTTCTACTCAGCTTTCGAATTTTCATCCATTCATTTAGCAAATATGTACTGAGAGTCTACTCTGTGCCAGACGTGGTTCTAAATACTCAGGATACAACCATGAACATAAAGGAGCAGGAGTTCTGTACTTGCAGAATTTCTCTGAGTTGAGTAGGAACATGTAGCCCACATGTTCAACTCACTCTGGTGCTGTTTCTTGTTTTCTTCTGTTGATTCATGGATTCTATTGATTCATGGTCTACTAAGTCATTTTTTACTTGAAATAGTTAATCTTTCCAGTATAAATACTATATTATTTAAGAAAAGATGTGAGCTTTATCTGTAAAATTGAGATAATAATACCTCATCACTATTTTTTGAACAGTAAATAAAATGGCATGTGCATGGTGAATAGCATATTTCCTGGAACATAGCAAGGATGCAAGAAAATGTTTGCCCCTCATGCTCCAAAGACAAATGAAAGTTTATAGTAATAACCTGAGCAATGATAAGGAAAAAAATAATTTAATCAGTAACAGATATGGCCTTCCTAGTATCAATTCAAGTTAAATCCATTTGTCATAATAAAAATTATGTTTAACCATGAATGAGGTTATCATAGTATTATACTTATTTAAAGTCTCCAAAGGGGGCATCTTTTGATTTAACTAAAATGCAAAAGGTAAATTGTACAAATATCAACAGCACCCAAACTCAATAGCTAGAGGAGAGGTATAATAAAGCACCCTTATAAGCACTTGGGTAAACTTTCCATCTACAAGTTTGCCCCACCCTTTAGAAAACTGAAGCATCTTTTTAGAAAGTATCTAGGACCTGACTATTGCTATTCATTTGAAATGCTTTTATTTTCCGCACACACTTGCTTCTGTTTGGTCATGCACAAGAGCATTCCCAGCATCAGGTCTTTGGAATGCAAACACTCACTCCACATGCAAACTTTAATCACTCTTGAGGTACATTGTGATCTCACTTTACCATAGGGTCACACAACTGCATTCAGCTCTTCAGCACATTGTCCAATATTTAAAAAGGCTGCTGTCCATTGGAATCACAGATCAACAAAACCTGCTGGCTCTAATTAATCACTTCTACAATCTCTGGGAAGTGTTCCTAATCTGTCCATAAGTGTGTATGTCCTTTGAAGGGCTCTGCTCTTGAAAGATTTTCCTGGTCACTCTTGTTCCCACTGATTTTTTTTTCCTTCTCTAGAGTTCTTGAATAACTATGAAAACAAAAGTGCTTTGAGAGAGAATAGGATGCTATGGAAAACCTAACAGGGGAACTAATGTAATCTGGGGTCAGAGAAAGTGATGTTTAAGCTGAGATATGGATGGTGGAAATTGACCAAGTGTAAAGGGTTAGCAAAAATTTTAGGAAACAGGGGTGAACATCCTAAGGCCCATACCTAAGAAAAGGGAGATCATGGAGATATTGGATGAGCCAAGGGAGGTCCAAATGGCTGAAGCTGAGGGAAGACTGGGAGAATGTTTTATTATTCACTATAGTTTTACACACTCTTTTTGCAACCCTTGTAAATGGTGAGTTTCCTGGTTACTTTGCATGTTTTATGCTCCTCACATAGCTTTTACCAGCATACCATATGCTAAAATTTCTCGACTGATACATTGACTATAAGGAAAACCGGCTTACTGAGGAGTATTAAATCAGTTGGATCTGTACACACACACATTCACACACTGCTTCTCTCTCTCTCTGTCTGTCTGTCTCTCTCTCTCTCTCTCTCTCTCTCACACACACACACACACAAACACACACACACATTTACTGGTTATCTACAAATACCAGGCACTATTTAAAGCAAACTGCATATACTATTTTTTTAATCCTCTTAACTATTATTACCATTTTACAGAGGACACGAAAGACTAAAGATGGTAAGTACCTATCTCTCAAGAATAAAAACCGTCAAGTAGTATTCAAATCCAGAAAATCGGGCAGTATAGTTTCAGAGCTTGAGCATTTCATAACAATGAATACAAAATGCTATGAAATATCTTATGGTTTTTCAAAATTAATTCTTTTAAACTGTGCTCTGTTAAGGTTCCCCTTCCATTCCCACTATCTCTACTATATCCACTATACCTCTACTTGCAGCCCAGAACTGCCTACTAGCATCTACATTTAGATATGAAATAAGTATTTCAACTCAATCTGTCCTAAATTGAGCTCATATTTCTCCCTCAGATCTCCTCCTTCCCCTTCATTCACTGTACCAGTTAGGAGCCCCACCATTTATTTACTTAGACACTTAAGCCAGAAGCCTTCTGTCCCTTCCATCCCCACACCAATCCACCCACCATGACCTGTTGTCCTGTTACCTTAATGCCTCTCTGGCTGGACTGCTTCCCTCCTTCCCCTCTGTCACTACCTCAGTTCAGCTCCTCAGAAGCAGTCATCTAATGGATCTCTTGCGTTTGATGTTCCCTGACAACGTTCTCCATCCTGTGGCTAGGATGTTCTAAGTTTTGATTACTATCATGCCACTACCCTGCATAAACCCCTTTAATATTCTCCATTGCCTTGAGGGCAAGGCACTAATTTGCTAATATGACTTCAAGCTTACTTCTATGACCTTATTTCTTGCAAATTCTCCTGTCATATGTCACATACCTATTTAAATGCTATTAAAGTTACTTGAAGTTTTTCAGATTCATCACATTCTCTCTCACCTTTAGCCTCTGCTCATCTTACTCTTTGTGCCTGGAAGGTCCATTCTTTACTCCTCTTGGCTAACTACCATTGGCTCATTGGAATTCAATTTAGAGGTAGAATGGCATTTCTGAGTGTTCTGATAATATACCCTTATTAACAATACTTACCATACTTCTTACAATCATACCAGATTATCATGTCATTCAAGGCAGAGTCCATTTCATTAATGTTTGTATCCTTAAAGCATGCCACAGTACCAGCAGCCTAATTTGATATTTAATAAATATTTGTTGAATTAAACATTTTATTTTTAATAGATACAACATCTTAAATATTTATAATGATACTTTGCTATTTTTCTACCTTTTCTCTCATTTACCACCCAGGACTTTATCTTCCCTTTCTGTGCATGGAATTAGCTACAAAGTCTGATTTTACATTGACACTGACCCTAAATTATATAATTTTATGTAAGAGAATTGTAAATTCTTCAGGATTCCTTTTGTAAAGAAAGAGCTCAATATTTCTCTGTACAGTGACCTAACTTTAAAATGTAACACAATTTCAGAATTCCTTAGAGCTTGCCCATTTATTTATTTTCCATAAGAGAGCATTGTCAAGATGTGTGCACTTATTCATGTTATTTTCTCAATTCTAACTTTCTAGTTCAACTCTTAACATAGAATCGTCTACAGAGGACTTTGGGCCTCTAGAGCTCTCTCTGAAGAACAGGTTCAAGATGCCCACTACAGGCTCTGTGCTCTGTGGTTTATTAGAGGAATTTCCCACTGTGTCGATGAAGAAGGCTGCCTGGTGGCATAGAACTTTCATATGCATTAAAAGCTGGCTCTAAGGTTGTGAAGTGAGATAAATTTTATGGAATGACTTTGTTTGATGCAGCTGCAGAATCAATTAAGGCTGAATAGGGTCCTTGGTTGCCAATTTTAGTAATAGCAGAAAAATGCAAAATGCTGAGGCTGGTAGTCACCCAGATGTTTCAGTCCTGCTGACTGGCACATCAGTGTTCATTCTTCCTGATCTCTCTTTGGTTCTTGGGCTTACCTCCTGATATAAATAGCTATTGTTCTTACTCTCTTCCATGAAGTCCAATTACTGAAGTGGCTCAAAATGGTACAATAGAAAATGTGCTCTACTGTTCTATTTTCATGGTTGAGGAGTTTCAGTCTCAGTTACCCCACACAAGTGGATCATCATGAGGGTCAGTAATAAAAACAACAAAATGAAGAGGAAAGTCAATGGTGAAGAAACCCTGGGGAAACTATAGCAGTACTCAATTGTCAAAATGAAAAATATGGAATACAATTCAAACCTCCTAACTTTTATTAGAAAGCATATGTGTGTGTGTGTGTGTGTACACACACATCTGAAAGCATATATATATATTTATAGTGGGTATGCATATATATGTATAGTAAGAGATCAGACTTTTCACACTGTCTTTAATTAACATAGGGCCACCTATACCTCTGACGAATGATGTCAGCCTCTGGGACAAAGCTCCCACATTCATTTTTCAGAATTGGTGATTCTTTATCCTCTTGTAGGTTTCCACAACTGTCAACATAACTCATATAAGAAGAAAAAGTCTTTTATTCTAGACAAGGAATGTAGGAAATCCCAGTAAGCCTGAGGTTGACCTCCATCAAAACTGAATGAAAAACACATATCTCTCTTTGTCTTGTCAGCTGACAGGGTCTAGAGGTAATACCTAGTAGCAGTGAGCACCTCTAGCACCCAGATCTTAATTTCTACTATTCTCCACTTAAAGGAATCAGAGCTCCTTGAGAAATGATTGATACTAGGACAGGGGCAGAAAATACACATGTTAAATATACAAAACACAGTGCTGAAAAGTAAAGAATTATCCAACTCCACCCCCGCCCCACCACACACAGAAACACAATGATGGGGTGTATCAGAAGGATAAAGGAACCAACTGAAACAGCTCCCAATGGCCAAAGCTGGAATAATTTGAGCAAAAAATAAAGTAGTTTTGGATTATAATCCAAAATATAAATGTCCATGAGTTCATACAGATATAAATAAATGATTGCATAAAATAAGTAAAGGGGGGAGAGTAGGCAAGCCTCCTGTGTAGAAGGATTCCACATACTTTACAGTCTTTGTCCTCAAGGAGGTGGAGCATAAACCCCCACTCCCTAAGTGTGGATTGTGCTTAGTGACGTCCTTCCAAAAAGTTCAACATGAAAAGGTTAGAGGAGGGGGAATATCTTTACAGTGGAGAAACGTGACAAACATTACCTCAGCCAGGTGATCGAGGGAAACATCCATCAGCAATGATGAGTTATGTTGATAGGAAATATCATGAGATGATGTGATGTGATAAGAATGGTCCTCCACCTCCATGGTCTTTCTCCTCAGAACCCTTAACTTCAGTTTAATCGTGAGAAAAATATTAGACAAGTCCCTCTTGGGGGACGTTCTGCAAAATATCTGACCAGCACTCCTTAACACTGTATTAAGTCATCAAACACAAGGAAAGTCTGAGAAACTGTCACAGACAAAAGGAGTGTAAAGAGATAATGACAAACAAATGCAATATGGCATGTTGAATGGGACCTTGAAACAGAAAAAGGACATAGGTAAAAATGACAGAAAACTAAGCAAAATGTGTGATTTAGTTAATGGTAATGTATCAATATTGGTTCATTAATTGAGGCAAGCATACTATAATAATGTAAGATGTTAACAACAGAAAAAACATACTTGGGGAGTATATGGAAACTCTGTTCTATGTTTACAACTTTTTTTAAATCTAAAACTATTCTAAAATACTAAGTTGATTTTTAAAAAACTTAATGACTTTCGAATCTGTTTTTTTTTTCCTGCTTAGAAAAGTTAAGGGAAAAGTCCCTACCATTGCAATATTTAATATACAAAACATTAATCATTCTAATTATATTCATTTATCTAGAGAAATAAGTAAATATCTCATAATCATGTCCAAGGGAGAGAAATCTGAAAGAACACATCTCTTAGGAACAATAATCAAAGAAATGAATTAGCATGAGTTGACAAAAGATGAATGAGCTCTATGTAGTTTGGTTTATGGATGCATCAAATGGTCAATAGGGAAGCTAGGAGATGAATTTGCTCTTGCTCAAGTTAATGGTGTCATTTAGAAGATATTTGAATAGCACCAGAAAAGCTAACTTGTCAGAGAAGCTCTGTTTCCATAATTTTAATATGATATTTGAAGATTATTTTCTTATTGATGTATTTTTTTTTCTTTGCTTATGCCTTCAGAATATCTGGACACATTCAAAATGTGGTTTTATTAAAATCATGTCAACTTTGAAGTTTAATTTATCATGTCAGTGCCCAAAGCTGATGTGCAAATTGTGTGTGGCAGAGAGAGTTCTCATCAAATATTCCTTATACTCCCCTACATTTCTCATTCCTTGTAGCTAAGCTGGGACCATGTGGCTGGTTTAGGCCAATGATTTGTGAGAGAAAGTGATGTTAGTCACTTTGGGGCAGAGGCAGTTAAAAGCCCATGTCTCTCTCAACCTCTGTCTCTCTACTCCCCTGCCATTGCAACTTCAGAAACACGTTTCCAGGTAATGCTGCTACAAGATGGAGGCATCCACTAGTCCAAGTTTCTGAGTTATTTTGTTGGGAAGACATCTCTCCTCACATCCTGCCAACCTTTGTTGAACATGTAATATATATTACATACTATGTGATGCCCTAAGTCATTGGAGTTTGTTGCTATATTTAGTGTTAATTATTTTACAACTTGCAATGCAAATTGCATATATTTTAAGAAACAAATTTTGCATTTTAGACGGTCTTGTTATAGGTAGTCAGAAGTAGCTTTTGAGATTACTATAAAGATTGCTTTCCACAGATCCAAAATCACAGTACTTCATCCCCTTTAAAACATCTAATTTAAAAGGGAACACGTCTAGAAGTTCTGACTGGAAATAGCTCTGACTGCAGAACCCATTTGGGAAAGAAATGGATTCTTGCAAAACTAGGAAAAATGACAAAAATTCAAAATATTGGAAGAATGGGGATTTTGGCAATAGATTAAGATTTCATCAGATAGTATTTCAGGAAATGCTGCGTCTCAGGTAGAGGGGTGATAAATCACAGCTACTGCTTGGCCTGTGACTTTCAGAAATGTGGGGTGAATAAACCACAGCTTTTGCAACTTAGACCATGTTATTATTGCCTGAGATAGGGAGAGATGAGAGTTGACTGAATGTAGTTTAAAGTATTTTGGGGACTGAGGATAATTTGCTTTGTATAATTTTTATAAAATATGGGGATATGAACAGAGAACATATATTCACAGTCTGCATGCAAAGGCCTTGCAGACAAGCTTGGGATGCATTGCCATTAGTCATTATCATTACAGTAAATAGCTTTTATGGACTGAAGTTCTCCAAGAGCTATCTTTCATTCATATACTCAAGCTTGATATATGTGTTGTTATGTTTTTTATTTCTCCTGGTAACTTTTTTACTTTTAATCTTTTGGGGTACATAGTAGGTATATATATTTAAGGGGTACATGAAATATTTTGATATAGGCATGCATTGTATAATAATCATATCAGGGTAAATGGGGTATCCATCACCTCAAGCATGTATCATTTATTTGTGTTATAAACATTCCAGTTATACTTTTTTAGTTATTTTGAAATGTACAATTATTATTGACTGTAGTAACCCTGTTGTGCTACAAAATACTAGATCTTATTCATTTTGTTTAACTATATCTTTTTACCCATTAGTCATCCCCACTTTCCCCCATCCTCACTACCTTTTCCAGTCTCTGGTAACCATCATTTTATTCCTATCTCTATGTGTTCAATTGTTTTATTATTATTATTATATTTTAAACTCTGGGATACGTGTGCAGAACGTGCAGGTTTGTTACATAGGTATACACGTGCCATGGTGGTTTGCTGCACCCATCAACCTGTCATCTACATTAGGTATTCCTCCTAATGCTAACCCTCCCCTAGACCCCCACCCCTGACAGGCCCCAGTGTGTCATGTTCCCCTCCCTGTGTCCATGTGTTCTCATTGTTCAACTATCACTTATGGGTGAGAACATGTGGTGTTTGCTTTTCTGTTCCTGTGTTAGTCTGCTGAGAATTATGGTTTCCAGCTTCATCCATGTCCCTGCAAAGGACATGAACTCATCCTTTTTTATGGCTGCATAGTATTCCATGGTGTATATGTGCCATATTTCTTTTATCCAGTCTATCATTGATGGGCATTTGGGTTGGTTCAAAGTCTTTGCTATTGTGAATACTGCTGCAGTAAACATATGTGTGCATGTGTCTTCATAGTAGAATGATTTATAATCCTCTGGGTATATACCAGTAATGGGGATTGCTGGGTCAAATGGCATTTCTGGTCCTAGATCCTTGAGGGATCACCACGTTGTCTTCCACAATGGTTGAACTAATTTACATTTCCATCAACAGTATAAAAGTGTTCCTATTTCTCCACATCCTCTCCACATCTGTTGTTTCCTGACTTTTTAATGATAGCCATTCTAACTGGCATGAGATGGTATCTCATTGTGGTTTTGACTTGCATTTCTCTAATGACCAGTGATGATGAACATTTTTTCATATGTTTGTTGGCCACATAAATGTTTTCTTTTGAGAGGTGTCTGTTCATATCCTTTGTCCACTTTTCGATGGAGTTGTTTGTTTTTTTATTCTTGTAAATTTGTTTAAGTTCCTTGTAGATTCTGGATATTAGCCCTTTGTCAAATGGATAGATTGCAAAAATTTTCTCCTATTCTATAGGTTGTCTGTTCACTCTGATGATAGTTTATTTTGCTGTGCAGAAGCTCTTTAGTTTAATTAGCTCCCACAAATGTGTGAGAATATGCAAAGTTTGTTTTTCAATGCCTGGTTTCTTTCACTTAACATAATGTCCTCCAGTTCTGTCTATGGTGTTGCAAATGACAGGACTGCATTCTTTTTTATGGCTGAATAGTACTTCACTGTGAACACATACCCCATTTTCTTTATCCATTTGTCTGTTGAGGGACACTTAGGTAGCTTCCAAATATTGGCTATTGTGAACAGTACTGCAATAAACATGGAAGTGCAGTTATCTCTTCAAAATACTGATTTCCTTTCTTTTGGGATCCAGCGGGATTGCTGGATCATATGGTAGCTCTATTTTTAGTTTGTTGAAGAACCTCCAAACTGTTCTCCATAGTGGTTGTACTAATCTACATTCCCACCAACAGTGTATGAGAGCTCCCTTTTCTCTACATTCTTACCAGTATTTGTTATTGCCTGTCTTTTGGATATATGCCATTTTAACTGGGGTGAGATAACATCTCATTGTAGTCTTGATTTGCATTTTTCTAATGATCAATGATATTGAGCAACTTTTCATATGTCTGTTATTTGTATGTCTTCTTTTGAGGAGTCGCTATTCAAATCTTTTGTCTATTTTTTAGTTGGATAATTAATTTTTTTTCCTATAGAGTGTTTCTGGTTATATATATACACACACATACACGTATACATATACATATATGTATACGTGTATGTGTATCATCTTATATGTCTAGTATACATGTATACATCTTATACATATATGTATACACATGTATGTGTATATATCATACATATAAAGTATATGCAAACATGTATACATCTTATACATGCATGTATACATGCATACGCACATATATACATGCATGTATGCATGTATGCACACATATATGCATGTATGTATACATGTATATGTACATATATATGTATGGATACATATGTGTACATATGCATGTATGTGTGCATATATGTGTACATATACATGTATGCATACATGTATGTGTGTCATATATGTATACATATCATATATGTGTACATGTACATATATGATATATAAAAAATATATATATCATATATATTTTTTTCTGGTTATAAGTCTCTTGTCAGATGAGCAGTTTGCAAATATTTTCTCCCATTCTGTGGGTTGTCCCTTCACTTTGCTTATTGTTTCCTTTGCTGTATAGAACCTTTTAACTTGGTGTGGTCCAATTTTGCTTTGTTTGTCTGTGCGGGGTTTACTCAAGAAATCTTTGCCCTGACCAATGTGCTGGAGGGTTTCACCATGTTTTCTTTTAATAGATTCATAGCTTGACGTGTTAGATTTAAGTCTTTAATCCATTTTCAGTTGATTTTTGTATATGGTGAGAGACAGGGTTCTAGTTTCATTCTTCTGCATATGAATATCCAGCTTTCCCAGGACCATCTATTGAAGAGACTGTCTTTTCTCCAAGGTATATTCTTAGCACCTTTGTGAAAAATGAGTTCACTGTAGATGTATGGATTTATTTCTGGTAATTAAACTTCTTAATATGAATGTAGAGAGAGGATTTATTCCATGTTTCATATATTCCCTAGGCACACCCCTAAACTAATTACTTGAGGGAAAGATGACAGATTCTATCAATTACGGTGTTACACATAGATAAGATTTTCAATAGCATTTGATGATAAATTAAATAATAAATGTGTTGAATTCAGAAAAGATTCCTTTTAACTCCCCCACTTTCAAGAAATTCTTGATAAGTGATTTCAAAAGTTAAAATAAATACCTGCTCAAAAAGTAGATTATGGGTCTTGGGTTAAGACATTAACTGTATATTTCTCTCCACTTAACTAATGAGTAGTCCCAGTGCCCCACTAATGAGCCAAATGTATTTTTCAGCAAGTTAACAGCCCACAGAAAGATTTACATTTCAATTTGCCTTCACAAGGCAATTTTCTGACACAGCTGTTTTCCTGATTGACTACTTAAGAACTTTTCTTATAACTTTTTTCATTGCTTTGCTTTTAGAATTGCAGTGTGAGTGTTCAGTTTTACTATGTTAATTTGGGTAACCTGCTTTCTTCAACTATAAAAAGATTGTTAATTAAATAAAAACAAAACAAAGATCCCTGTCCTCATGGTACTTATATTCTGGGGATGGGTTGGGGTGAGGTAAAGGCAGACAATAAAGGGTACCATGAGGTATTCTAGAAAGTGATAAGTGCTATGCAAAAAGAAAAAGTTGAACTAAAATAAATGGGAATTAGAATGGCAGATGAAGTGGGGTGGGTATTGGCAATTTTAAATAGTATGGTCAGAGGAGACCTCATGAAGAAGATGACATTTCAGCAAGAGAGTTAGCCATGGTACTGCTGTGAAAAGGGCAGGTAAACACGGCTCATAAAATAAGTGTGCAATGAAGAATTGTGGCATTGGTAAATGTGTATGAAATTCAAAAGAATTCCTCCTAGTAAAAGTGTTTTGAAATGGCATTAGAATATCAGCGCAGTCATAATAGTGCTTGTTACAGTGCTCCCTAGGGAATTGTCCATTTATTTATGAATTGTTCTGATAGTTTACAGGTAAGTCAGTGGTTTTGTTTTGGCTTTTTGTTTGGTTATGTTCCAGCTATGGTCATAAGGTTACTGACTACATTAGTTAGGAGGCTTATTAATTCTTGATTGTCTTGTTTTGACAGAAATGACACAAGGAGATCTCATCATAAATCTCAAGACAAAGGAGTAGCTCTGGTTTCTAAAATTCATTTGGGATGCATGTGATGGAGGCTCTCACTGCTCATAATTTTCTTTTATTTCCATCAAAGGGATGAAGAGTTTCTCCTTCAGTGACCACAGTCATCATTTCCCCTCTATTCCTCCCAATTGTCTGTTTCTCATCGTAGCTTCTTAGTATGTCAAGGTCACATACACAATTCAGTCTACGCCCCTAGTAAACCATGAGTAGAAAGATATTGAGAGGCTCATTTCAAACAAGTAAGTTGTAGGACTGCAGTCTTTTAAAAAAAAAATTAATACTAAGCTGTTTCAAAATATTCAGCATACCCTTAGGCTGCTAACAAGAGTTTTTATCTACTCTGGAAATTTCATCAGTTATTGCTAATACATGTTTGGCCTTCTTTCTAGTAGTAAGAGATCCTATCCTATGTGCTTAATAGCTTTACCCTTATCTTTTGTCTTCATACCCTGTGAAGCTTGCTAGTGGCACCCAGACCCTAAGGCAGGGTTCACAATATTTACGTGGTTGCAGTGAAATATGCGTTCAGACACCAGGGTTTTTTGTTTGTCTGTTTGGCAGCAAACCAAATGGATGAAAAGACTCAAATCACTCTAAAAAAGCCAGCAATAATTATGGGGTAATCTGGACTCCTAAACGACAGTGTCTCATAGAATTTATAAAACTATACACAGTTAGGGCACTATCAGTTCGGTAGCCCTTCAGCACTGTCATGAGATCTGAATAGAGCTGTTTACTGCCCTGACCACCTTCCACTAGACTGTGAGACAGAATTCTCACTCTTTCAATAAATGTTTGACCTTCCACTGCTACACAGTTGATGCTACTTTCTGAATGCTGATTTTTACAATAATTTGTTCCTGTATCTATATTGCATTGTGCTACCTAGCTCAACATTTTCTTTGACAGTCATCAGTATAACATTATATATGCTAAATTATATTTTAAAATAACTTATGAAATCAAATATGATGATATACTTGTGAAGAGACTGCAACACAATAGTGAGAACCACTGCCCTGGAAAATACTCACCTTTATTAGGCTACAGACATAACAACCCTTGTGTAATGGGCAGAAGGTGCCAGTGGCATAGCCATGTAAAACTCCATACCCCTTTAATATGCTTTTCTTCCACTGACTTGCTTTTTCTGAAAAGAAATTACTGCCAGTGAATGCTCTCATGCTTAGCTTTTTTTTTTTTTTTTCTCCTTTCTTACCGGTCTCTCTGGTGGCCATTGAATACGCTACCTGTCACTCCAACATAAATAAAACTCTAAATCTTATTTCCACTAGTTTCTCCAAATAATCTCCCTTTCTATGGTCCTATCCCTACCATGGGCCATTGTTTTTGGTAAATTTCAAAATAGCCATTTGCTAAGTATTCATGCCATTATTATGTCTAAAACTCATGCTTGCATTTGAACAGGAAGAGAGTTTGCAGTGTAACTAATTCACACTACAAGTTGTGGAAACAAGAATATTTTTCAGTGTACATTTTCCGGGTGATAATATGGTATTGCCAAAATATAAGCCATTTCAAAACCACAGGGAAAAGACAGTAATATCAGACAGCCCTATATAAACACCTTTGCCAGATCCATTTTACAAAGCTAAAATATAGCTACAGAGCTATACACTAAAGATAAATTTAGTTTTAGTCTGTAATTTTTACCCATGCACAAAATCTATTGTTTTGTTTTTAATCTATCTGTGAGAGGTTGGTTTGTTGAAAAGAGCACCTCTCTGTTCCGTCTCATCCAGTACATGTATATATTTTCCCAGAGGAATGAGCGGTCTCACAATATTTCTTCTTTCAGAAGTGTAAAAATGTTACTCACAAGGAAGAGTAATATCTCATTAAAGTAGGAGATAGACATTTAGCAGATGGCATATAATACATCAGCTATAATTTTATCTTCAGTTTTCCTTTTAGAAGCTATCCAAGCTGTGCTCTCTGGTAATAGGGTGATAGCTGTCTCTAGCAACATGGAAGTCCTCCATTTTCTGACATACTACCAATTATTAAAATTTTTACATATAAATATTTAAGAAAACAAACTTACAACAGGACAACTAAGGTGAAATTTAAAGAAAAGTCCCCTTTAAAAAGTCCAAATTTTGACTTCATAGTTAGTGAAACAGAAATTTTATGTACATACACAAACATATATAGGCATATGCACACATATATAAAAACATTATTCAAATTCTATTTAATAGATCTACTTGCCAAAGGGATAAGGAAATCAGGAAACAGTTGAATTCTAGGTTTATTAAGGTTAGAGTGGGATTGGTGGAAAATCTTTTGCTACTATTTCTTAAGGAAGGATCCACCGATGTTTTGGATAGGCCAGTTCTTCACAGGGAGGGATTGTCCTCCACATTGCAAGGCATTTAACATTCATCTACTAACAGTCAGTAGAACTTTTCACCCATTAAAACAGGTCCCTTTACTTTCTTAAAATACTTCCTAGGAAGTACTTGAAAATTACCACAGGATCTTAAACAAACTACATTTTCTCATGAAGGAATATTTTAATCATTTTCATGTTATTTTCCTAAAACAACTTTAGTTAGTTACTCCTGAATTGTTATGGATTTTTATAGCTTTGCCATGGCCCATGTTTCTGCTCCTCTCTGTCTGCCTTCTAGGGCTCTGCATATCTCTCACTTCATCTCCAGCCCTCCAGCCCTCTCTCCATGTCAATATTCCACACTCAGTTTCAGCTCCAACAACAAACTGTAACACGATATGATTAAACTAGCATTCAGATTATTTCCTCATCTTGATTTTACCATTGAAAGACTGAGGGAAGAAAATGTCATAGAGATTTAAAATCAAATCAATACTTGTGCTATTCAAAGTTCACCAGAGTAACAGAACCAATAGGATGTACATATGTTATATAGAAAGAGATTAATGATAAGGAACTGACTTTTGCAATTATGGAGACTCGTAAGTCCCCACATCTGCAGCTGGCAAGCTAGAGACCCAGGAAAGCCAATGGTGTGGTTTTAATTTAAGTCCAAAGGCCTGAGAACTAGGAGATCCCATGGTATAGTTCTAGTCCAAAGGCTAGCAGAAGGAAATACAGAAAGGGCTGGTTCTTAAGTTCAAGACCAAAGGCAGGAAAACACAGACATTCCAGTTCAAGGAAAGGTTCCAGTTGTGTTCTATTCAGGCACTCAACTCATTGGATGAAGCTCACTGATATTTGGAAAAGCAATCTGCTTTGCTCAGACTACAAATTTAAATGTTAATCTCATTCAAATTATCCCCACAGAAACACCCAGAATAATGTTTGACCAAATATTTGGGCATCCTGTGGCCCAGGAAAGTAGGTACCTAAAATTAACTATCACAATACTCTTGAGAGTCAATAAAACTGTGGCAATAAAGCAGCCAAAGAACAGAGCAAAGGACAGTGTTAAAAAGTTAGGTACATGACAGCCATAACTAAATTTAACTCAACCTATAAAAACTAGAATTTGGTATTTTCTTTTACTGGATTCTGAGAGGTGCTTTAGTCCATCTGCATAAAACACAGGTAAAACTGAATTTGGACCCAGACTTCCATCTGAATTGAATCCTTTGTGATGTTTAGCAATGATTTTACATAGAAAGATGGTCTGTCAGATTTGCAGTGGGACAAACTGTTAGAGAATATACTAAAAATGGTTAAGTGTGCCTTTTCTAAGTATTAGATGTAATCTAGTGCCATGTTAAAGCATGTAGAGCTACACTGCCTGGGTTCAAAACTCATCTCTACTTATTACCAAATGTGTGACCTTGGGCAAGAACTTAAACACTCTGTGCTTTAGTTTCCTCATTTGTAAAACCTGGATAGTAGGACTGAGCTGTTACAAAGCAGCAAAAACAGATACTAGTACATAGCAAGTACTATAAAATTTTTTGCTAATTTTATTGTTTTTGGATTTTATACTAACATGTTATTTTTTTCCAGAGTACTTAACTACTATCTGATATTTCACTGGCGAATGGCTATGGGGGTAAAGTTAGAATTTTGAAGAAGGACAGATAATAAAGAACACTCCCTCCCTTGTTTATCACTTTCAAATGTGAGCTCATGAGACCAGTGACTTGTCTGTCTTATGTTACTGTAACTGTAACAATACTCAACGAATAGTACATGCCCAATAATTTTAGAAAGAATTTATTCTTTTTATACAATATAAAAGAATGAATAGGTAAATGAATATATATATATTCATATATACACACATAAACACACACACCCACACACAAAGAGAGAATGGGGGAAGGTAGAGAGCATCTACTCAGAGATAGTCACTGCTGAACATGGCAGATACAATGATGAACACACACTCTCATAAAATTTACAGTTCTGTGGGAGAGATATTCAACCAATATCCACATACATATAATTACTATGGAACTATAAACTCTGATATGTTCTCATCAAATTTATAGTCTAATAAAGGAAACATTCTAGATTTGAATTTATTAATATATTAATTATTACATATTAATACCTGATTAGAAGTGTTATGAAGATGTCATGAGAGAAGGAAAAACTAATATTAAATGAATGTTTTATTTATATAACGTGATATTGAGCATGGTGTAACAAATATATCATTATTTCTTGTAACTAGACTTCAATTAAATTTTTTTTACTAATTAAAAAAATTGCAGCATTTATCACTTTCTGAAATTACTTTGTGTGTTTATTCATTTTTAGTCCCCCCCCAACAAACTATTAATACAATATAAGCACCAGGAAGGGTTATCAACATTAGCTGAATGTTGCTAAATGCAATCTCTGGCTACTTTAAATGATTGCAACTTAAATTTTTCTGAGAACTGAAAAACTCCATTGACTTAATAAGTAGAAAGCAGACAAAAAATAAAGGATAGTACATATATTCATTCCCTGAGAAAATGTTACAGTTTAACCCATTTAAGGAGAAAATTTGATAAATATTGTTTCCTACATTCGTTTTGAAAGCCATATACAGTAGAAAAGAGAGAAAAATTCATGTGTCATATAGTTTTTTAAAATTAGAAATGACTTAAGTATTAAAATAATTCACTTTCAAAGTGTTTAAAATATTAAAATTTATTTATGGGAAGTTTTAAAATGGTGATGATAATATTAAAAATGGTGCTGAAGCTTTACAAATCCTAAAGGCCTTTCATACATATAATTTGGACCTTCCAACAATCTGATGTTTCATGAAGTAGATTTTAGAGAGGAGTCAAAGTACAAGGTTCCCTCCTTTCTCCCTCCCTCACCAACAATTCCTAACACATCAGATGTAGACTGAGTGCTTGCTAAATATTTGGGAATTATTATGATAATAGTATAGTGATGAGAGTGATATTTTATTCAGAGGCATTGTATGGACATCAGGTTGAAATGTCAAGAAAAGAACAAAGGAGAAGCCAAAATTGGAAAGAATCATTTGAATCATTACAGAATTCAAGAAGTGAGACCATAAAGTTAGCAGGTTGTTATGAGTAGCCATCTTTTGGAGGCTATTTGGTGGCTTCACAGCTCACTAACTCTCCAACTTGTTAGCCTCAGTTTCTCAAAATGTAAACTAAGTAGAAATTCCTCAGAGGGTGGCAGAGAACATGGAACCAGAGGGTGTGCATAAAGTTTCTAACCCAATCTGGCATATAATGGGCCGTGAACAAATGTTCAGCGCCAGGCGCTGCTCTCCACTCCCACAATGCTATTGTAGTTGCACTGTGGGCTTATTTAGCGACGTGGTCCAATACTGCAGTAATGAACCAGATTGACTGGATAATTGGCATTCTCCCCTTCAAATTCAAGATTGATAGGTTCAATATAAGTCTATGCAGTTACCCATTCTTATAATAGAGAGTTCTCATTAAGGAAATGGATTAATTGGCTTGCTGATATTTTACCAAGAGCCAAATTTGAATAAGTGAACTCGGCAGTACTGAGAAAAGAAAATTAAACACTAACAAAGGGAGAAGTGTTCTTGCTTAGGCTGAAATCTCAGCCACAGGCTCAAATCAGGGATCTGAGTTTACGATTTTTCACTATGAATGGACCTTAATGTCTGACAGATAAAAATGCTCTGATTTTTTTTTCCCTGACAGTTCACTTTCTCCACAAGACACTCATACCAGCTGGAGACTGAATGTTGTCTCCTCCTCTACATTTTCTTGAAGGATTCCAAACCACATGTCAGGAAATGTGTTTCTAAAATAGCATCATGCTTCACTCTTGTTTCCACAAACAGCTAATAAGACGTATTTGGGACAAACTAAATTAGAGCAAAATATTCATCAGAATTGTCCCCAAAGTATCATAGAGCTCATGCTTCATTACAAAATTTATCTTAATCTCTCTCCTCTCCCAGTAAATCATCTTTCCAATATTTGGAAAGGCTTATTATTATGATAACTAATTTTTAAGGAGAAATACATAAATATGCACATACAAATATACATACACATGTTGTTAAATCAAAAATTTGATTATCTGTCCTATCTTAGTTGACCTGTCAGTAGCATTTAATGTGGCTGTCCACTACCTCATCTGTGAAAATCTTTCTTTTACTTGGCATCCAGGTCAATAGATTTCTTGATTCTCTTCCTACCTCAAATGCTGCTCGTTGTTGGCTTTTTCTGTTGGTACTCCCTATAACCTCTACTTCCAAACTTTGGAACATAGTAGGCATTTCAAATTTAACGTGTCCCAAGCCAAACTCCTGATTTTTCTTAACAAACCATTTCTTCATTCAATCTTCCTCATCTCAGTAAATGGCAATTAATTCCATCCTCCGCTTCTACCAACATACTTGGAAATATCAGTAACTACACACTTTCTTTTATATTCCACCACCAAAGTCAGTAAATTCCATTGCCTATACTAAAAAACAATGGCATATTTCAAACCTAACCACTTCTGGTTGTCTTTGCTGCTGTCATCCTAGTGGAAACTAGCATCTTTTTATCATCTATCATCTGGACTATGGGAGTAGTTGCCAGTCAGGTCTTATCTGTCCTTCTTGCCCTGTATGGTCTGTGATCAATATAGTTGTGACTCTGATCAATTTAAATCATATGATGCCTGATATGGTTTGGCTCTTTGTCCCCACCCAAATCTCATCTTGAATTGTAATCCCCATAATCCCCATAATCCCCATATGTCCAGGGTGGGACCAGGTGGGAGGTGATCAGATCATGAGGCAGTTTTCCCCCATGCTGTTCTTGTGAAAGCTAATGAGTTCTCATAAGATCTGATGGTCTTGTAAGTGTTTGACAATTCCTCCTTCTCTCCTTTCACCCGCGGCCATATAAGACGCGACTGCTTCCCCTTCCGCCATGATTGTAAGTTTCCTGGGGTCTCCCCAGTCATGTGGAACTGTGAGTGAATTAAACCTCTTTTCTTTATAAATTACCCAGTTTCCGGCAATTCTTTATAGCAGTGTGTAAACAGACAAATACAATGCCTCTCAGAATTCTCTAATGCCTTTCTCCAAAATACCAAATTCTCATCATTACCTATACAGCCCTACAGATCCGGCCTTACTTATCTTTCTGATGCCATCTAATTACTGTTTCTTTTATTTCTCACTTACTTTGCTTCAGTAACATTGACCAACTGGCTCTTTTGTGGATATCCACATCCTACCAGAGCCTTTGCCCTTGTTGTGCCATTTTCTCTTATTGGAATACCTGTCCATATAAATGCATGAATTTCTCTTTCATAGTTTTAGACAGTTACCAAAAAGTACTCCTCAGTGAATACTTCCCTGACTACTCGTTTCAAAATTGTTCCCCCTCCCATCTCCTTTTACGCACCACTTTATGCAATGTGGTTCTTTCTATTTCTTCCTGGCCTTAAACTTTAATTTCCACTGGACACATTGTATATCTTTATTTATTTATAGTCTTATTTCCCATTAGGGTAGGAGTTTTGGTCTGTTCTGGATTTCCAGTGTTTAGAACAATGCTTGGCACCTAACAGATAGTCAATAAATATTCGTTGAGTCAATCAATCTATTTGTTAAACTAAAATGGAGACTGTTTTCTGGCTTAAGCGAGAGTTGATTAATTTATGTAAAACAAACCCAAAATTTAGCCTTCAACTGGTGCCATTTATTTTCTTTTTATACTGTATTTTTTAGAGGCAGAATAAGTCAATCATAATCTTTACTTTCTCACATCTATATATATATCACAAAGAGAGTGTTGCTACATAAGGAGAAATGAAAAAAATATATTGTTGAGGCTCAGAGCTGTAATATTTGATGAATATTCTTGTTTTTTCATAAGTCTGATTCTTTTCATATGCCTGGAGAGGCCTTTACATGAATTTAAAGTAAAAACCATTTCATGATACTAGTAGAAAAGTATATACCCAATCTACATTGGATTATATTAAATACCCTTTCCTATCTTCAAGAATCAAGAATGATGGAAATTCAAAGCCAGTTAATGGAGAAGAATTTCCAGGAACAATATTTTTCCAATGAAATTTTAATTCAATTGCCTTTGCATATTTTCCTTCTGAAAGGACAATGCCGTGTGTTTATTTCATGAGGGCCACGCTCGACAGATATGGTGTCAATACTGATTGCTTTAATTACCATTAGTGATTAATTTTGCATTCTCTGAAATTGCATTTCCTTTTGACCAGCAGGCATGTAAGTGAGAGCTCTAGGTTACCCTGTTCTACACAAGCTAATTGGTTTGAAAGAAGCCAGAAAAAAATGAAAGAACTAAAGTTTAGAAGGCTTCTGAGAAATCAGAACTCTAAAAATTACAAAAACTTAGGTATCCAAGGGTCTTTAAAGACGATTTAGCCCCCATAGGCAAGGATGTGACTCTTAATAGGATCCTGGAGACTGCCAGCATGTGAAGCAAATGTATAAAAGATAACAAATTACCTATTTAGAATAAGATACTGTTTCAACTTTAAAAAATTATTTAATGATGTATTAAGGATCTCTATTGGAAAAGAACTGTAAGCACATGTATATTATTTCCCTCTATTACTTTCATAAATTGCCTTATCTGTGGGTATTGAATTAATTTTAATGCAATGAGCATAAAAATCATTACCTACTGAGGCATAGGTAATCAAAATCATATCATCACTTGTCCTCATATACCATGATTGCATTCATAGCAGCTATGGCATTTGGTACAATGAAGATAAAAGCAAATATATTATAAATTCTTCTGAACTATATAGCTGTTATATCTAAATTTTCTACCCTAGCTCTGTTCCATATATCTGAGAACAGTGGGAAATGGGCTTAAAGTGTAGATAGAGGGCCTTACCCTAACTCTAAATAATATTTTTTCAAAAGTGAGAATAGATATTCAAATAAATACTACAAGGTAAATCTCATTTAGGAATAAAATTATGATAGCTCCCAAAAACAAGATTCCCTTCTGCCTGGGAAAATAAGATGTGGCTTTTCAGAGTTCAGCTGTTGCTAGGACAAAGTGCCCTCTAAGGTTTATCAAAAGGGTCATTATTCTCAGAAAAATTTTTAACAATAAGTTATTTTTTAAAATACTAATTATTCAATTGAGGGAAGTTATGAAGTAAAGGAGTTAATAGATCTTGGAATAAAAAGGATAACAAATGTCTACATTATGAAAAATGTGTGTCTCCTGTTTTTATGAGAATATAACATTTCTGATATAAAAAACCTGAGTGATGAATATAATACATTATGCTTATTCGAGAAATTGGAAATACAAATCACACACTATATTCATTTTACAAAACCTCTATTTTGTTGAATTTTAGGGCTAATTTATCTTTTGGTGATGTAAATTGATAATGCAATAATCTGTTTATGTGTCTGAGTTGTAAGAAACGTTCAAGGACTATTCAGATATTTTACTCATCTTGCTTTTCCCAGTGATGCCTGCTCCCCTTCCCAACGCACCGCCAAATGATTATACTGCTGTGGAGGCTAGCTGTACATCATCCTGACCCTTTCTGCTTCTGTTTCCTACTCTGCTGAGGCAGAGTAATGAATGAGAACCCAGGAAAGCTTTTAAAAAACTATATTCTGTGTATATGGAAAGAGAGTGTACAGACACTGATTGCTATTCTAGCAACTTTATGAAAATATAAATCATTTATTACATAGCAAAACACTGAGAAAACAGCGGCTGTGACATCTGAGAATAGTTATTCCTGAGAATTACAAATGGGGTTTTTGCTTTACTCTGTTAAACCAAACTAACATGATTTCTGGGAGAAAGAGATTACTTTAAGCAGTCTCACACACTGGGCTTAGTAGACATGAGAAATCTCTTTCCTAATGAACATTCTACTGATGAATAGCCTAAGGACAGTTTTTCTAAATAATATATTACATCTCATAAAATTAATTTGGGAAATTTATTTTTACAGATTTTTCTATTTGAATCTAGTTATATCATACACGTTGCATTAAGCATACAACCTGTGCAAAGCGTGTAAATAAATAATTAAAAATCAAGTATTTTCTTACAGTATGAGTAGGCAAAAATACCGCAAACAACTAGGTTTTTATGTACTTACCATTAAGTTGTGTATGAGCTCTTTGGGGCTCTACAAACATTTCTTAGTATATATTTTACCAAAATCCCATATCAAATGTTAAGTTTTCTTTTAATAGATGCATAGTCTTTTGTAGGTCATTATCATAAGTTAAAAAACAATATGCATTCTATGAAAAAAAGTCAATAACAAGATTTGGTTTTCTGGCCTAAGAAGTCAGAGTTTACCTACTCTGCCTTCTTCACACAACTGCACATCCCATTTCTTTCACCATATGCATCCTTCACCTTTCCCATTAAGTGCTTATTTAAAATCCTGTTTATAAATTTTCTTCTGCTTCACACAAATTCCACATGATTTCATTTGTTCCAGCTATGACACTGCCTTTTAATCACAAGTGAAGAGAGTGCAGAAAGAACCTTTCCTGATGGGGAAGACAAGAAAGTCACAAGGGGTCAGTGGACCTTCAGAAAGAGGGCAGGGTCAAAGAAAGCAATGTCAAAGGTTGTGCCAAAAGATGTCTGAAAGAAATCCACTGGATCTGATACATGGTTGATTATTTATGGCTTTTGACAGAGCAGCTTTAGTAGTGAGCTAAATGCAAAGCACACACACACACACATATATATATATAGTCTTTAAACAATACAAAACTATATGTCTATGTAAAGCATGTACATATATATTCTTGAAACACTTTTTCAGGGAAGAGTCAGTATAATGAGAGAGATTAATGATGCAAGAAAAGAGAAGGTATGATTGACAGTGAAGTCTAAATTTGATATGAATAACAATAAGCCAACAGAAAATAAGGTGAATGCAATATTTTTTGTGGGTCTTCTATATATTTAATAATTTTACATTCATTTCATCAAATCCTAAAGTGCTCTATGAGGAATTATTTTTTCCAAGGATGCAAACTTAGTTTTTGATGAAGTTAGGTTTAAAATCCAGACCTGGCTGAATTCCAAGACTCTAGGAGTAAAGGAAAATGGAAAATTTGACAATAAAGCAAAAAGATTTAAGGGAGTTTACATAGCATGTTTAGAGCTGCAGAGTTAGGGCATCAAAACTGGGTCTGAGGACTTGGAGAAGAGAAAAATTCTGTGATAGCCAGATTTTTGAAAGAGATTCCCAAGTAGTTTCAAGCACAAAACTGACACATAAATTTATAATGCATGCAGTCAAATGCAATTATGTGACTTATTCTAGTTTCTTCAATTCTAACAGAACAGAACATCAATATTGAATAAAAGCCAGAATTCCAAAATTCATACTAGTTGGGCCTATTAAAATATATGCTGAAGACAAGCAGTAGGGCTGTCTATGAAGTCTCCGAAACTAAACTTTAAAAAAATTCCAAGTATAGGAAATATGACCAATTATTTTATTTACCATATGGGACCTAGTTAAGTATATGATTGGGAAAGTGAAATAAGACAAGTCTTTCAATTGGACACCAACCTTCTGTACCATCAACGAGAAAAATACATGCTGAGCACCTTTAGTGTACCTGATGGTGGGAGGGGAGGAGAGCCCACTATCCATCACAAGCTTCCAGACTTATAAGAAAGGAAAAACTACATAAGCAAAGCAGGATATGCTGCCATTTAAACTAAATTATATAACATGGATATATACTGAATTAAATGGAACAATCTACTTGTAAAATACTGAGAGGGCAATGCTGAGAATGAGAGAAATAAAGAGCCAGGAAGAGTGAATGTTTACTAGCCTAAACACAAAACCTAACTTCTGAGTAATTGGTTCTCTATATTACCCAGTCAATTATTGCTTTATATTAGGGATATTGTAAATGCTTCAACACCTACCCCTCCATACCTGTATTTTAAACCCAAGCCCTTGACTATCTGAAAAAGATTAGGGCCTGTCAGTCAGATACTGGAGGGCAACAAAATCTCTCTGTCTCACACACACACACACACACACACACACACACACACACACACACACACGGGCCCAGTGTCCACAGGGACAAAGAGCAGTGTAGGGATAGATTAAGGAGAGCCTGATGCCACAGGAATCCCATCGCACACATGAGCAATAGAAAGATTCCCAATCAGGAGTACTTCTGAAAAGCCAGTTAGAGAATGTGCATGGAAAGCTGATTTTCCCATTTCTTAAATTTTCTTCATCAATATTTATAATTAACAACTTATTATATTCATGAAGAAAATTTAAGATACTTAAATATTTAAACCAAACTACAAGTGAACACAGTGGTGGAAGGAAAAAGATATTTTCTGGATATTGTTTCTAAGATAAGTGAACACCTGTCTCCAATTCCATAGCTGGCCAACGAGGAGAATGTACTTTTCCTTGTCTATTTACACATTGATGTAATCATTTTGTTAAGGGTTCTAAACGGATGGGAATGGATGGGGTGACATATGTGAGCTAATACAAGCAAATATTATTTATATCTGTTTGCTTAAAGTACAGACTAGTCTTGTACACTTTATCTTAAATCTCAAAGCACCTCAATCTGAGGCCAAGTTCCAGTTTGTTTTCAACTTTTCATGCACGTTTTATTTAAGAGATAAGTTTCTGAAGGCTGAATCAATCATCAATGTCACTATTTACTATTTAAAATGTCCTGGGCTTTCCTTATGAATAATGCTAAGCAAATCGTTGTTCATACGCAGTTGTGAATTTAAGTACCAAATCTTTTGCCATTTTCCCATTTACTTTTCATATTAATTCTCTCAGGTGATATTGTTAGAAACTGAAAAATGAGTAGATATTTGAAATACTTTATGGATTATAGAAATATATGATATTATTATCCAGTAATAGCACTGAAAACATAAATGAAGTACAGATGTTAATTACATAACTTTATCAAAACATGAAAGCTATTCATTCATAATGAAGAGGCTCTATTCATAGACTGTGTATAAATTATTAACCTCTCAAATAAAAAATGTCATGAAGCAATGTAAGAAATGTGATTTCAGGCCCCCTTCTTCTCCTACTCTCCTCCTTCTCTCCTTTCTCTTCCTCCCCTCCTTCCTCATTCTTCTCTTTATCTTCATCCTCCTCCTTCATATACCTAACAATAAGACATGGTGCCACTTGGTTTATGAATGCTTGCTAATGCTTTTGTGTTTTCTCTGTATTTTTCTAA
Organism: Homo sapiens; assembly: GCF_000001405.40. Lineage (NCBI taxonomy): Eukaryota > Metazoa > Chordata > Mammalia > Primates > Hominidae > Homo > Homo sapiens. The sequence goes on along the minus strand of NC_000004.12, from coordinate 101,920,837 downwards.
AATCATAATTTCTTTTTTCCTTCTACCCACTTTATTTAGTGATGACCCAAATCACTGTATTGTAACTCCCTGTGAAATTCTAAAATGAGCAATGTTTTATTGATGGGGGATTAGGAAGTACTGAGCAAATCAGTAAATTAGTTAGGAGCAAAATATGTTGGAATTTAAAAATAGATATTTCTTCAGTAGAAGTGTAGTCCACTAGTAGATTGTAAACCTCAAACTTAAAAATATCTGCTCCTTTAAACTATTCTGAAACAATAGTTCATGAAAAATTTGAATGCATTTGTGAGGATCTTAGATTTATCAGAATCTAAGTCATTATAACACTGAAGTGATATAGAGGCTTTTAAAGCAACAGTAAAGTATTTTAGTAGTATAATGAGATTCCATTTTTCTCCATCAGGTTTACATACACTCTTTAAAAGACTTAAATAACAGTATTTAGAATAGATAGTGTCTTTTTTATTATACTTTAAGTTCTAGGGTACATGTGCACAACACACAGGTTTCTTACATATGTATACATGTGCCATGTTGGTGTGCTGCACCCATTAACTCATCATTTATATTAGATATATCTCCTAATGCTATCTCTGCCCCCTCCTACAACCCCATGACAGGCCCTGGTGTGTGATGCTTCCCTTCCTGTGTCCAAGGGTTCTCACTGTTCAATTCCCACCTACGGGTGAGAACATGCGGTGTTTGGTTTTTTGTCCTTGCGATAGTTTGCTGAGCATGATGGTTTCCAGCTTCATCCATGACAGTGTCAACATATGGTTATCTAGCATACCTTCACTCAGAAGATATGACTTCCAAATTTATTTTAGATAAAATTGATAATTAGAAGAATAATTTATGTGTCATATAAATTGACAGGAAACATTTTTCCATGAGGGTCAAAATATAATACATATGTTTCATTTTCTTAACTACACATTTGCAAAAAGGCCTTCGTAGCTTGCAAAATTATTGTATATAAAATTATCCATGGTCATGAAAACGCATTGACAGATCTGTTGGCACTTGCAACAGCTACAGTCAATTCCTTACTGACAGCAGAACATTCACAAAATAATTGATCTATCTTAACTATAATGGTAACATTTACTGTAGACATTCAGGCAGAAATAACAGCTTACAAAGATACTATAGAAAATTATGTAACATATTTCACACAAGAATTATCAAGTATAACTGTAAAATTAGAATGCAGCGACTACGAAAAAGTGATTGTCACCTAGATACAATGATAGCAATCAAATTCTATCAGTGCTGTTATTGCAGGAGCAGAGGTATAAATACTGAGAGGGTGTAAGAGAAAAAAAATTATATCCCACATCCATCAAACCTCATATCCTACCATTGTACTTACTTTCATATCTACTGTCATCATTATGTATTATTTTGTTACTTATGGAGCACCTGAAGTGTGCATGGGGTTGAATCTGTCAAAAGCTGAGTCTTTACTGGAGAGCAAGAAGTGGAAGAATGACTTTTTGAAAATCAGGGATTATTTTAGAAAGCATCCCTAGATGCTAGGACTTCCAGGGAAAATTTTAACCCAGTGTACCAGTGGCTAAAAATTAAAGACTAGAGTTGTATAGAGTTAAAGACAGGCAACTAAAATGTATTAAATAACAGTATTAATGGAAAATATCCAAGGCTGAATTGACTTACTGACTTACCCCAGATAGATACCATGCTGCCCTATTCAATGCCTGCATACAGTGAACAATTATGAAAATGAATGCCCTCATCAGATAAAGAATGATAACTAGTTAAAAACTAGCATATATGACAATCACTGTCTAAAATCCTTCCAGCAATAAAAATAATGGTTATTTCTGATTTGAAGGACATAAGACAAAAAATTAGTAGTTTATTAATTTTATCATAATACTTCATGTGCTATATTTATTTTAAATATACTCTCTGGAAATCTCAAATACCAATGATTGTTTCTGAAGTCCAATATTAATTAGATTGGCTTAATCTGACAATCAGAATAAATGCCAAAATAGCCAGAAGCTTACAGGATTTACATATTCTATATCAACTCTTCCTTGACAACAAAATTATTTGTTTTAAATACTCAGGGACAAATTTTGATAATTTATCAGCATAATCATTGTCCCATTATATTTTCCAAAGAGCCATCAGAGTATAATTCACTTTCTGGAGCAAAATGTGCATATCTTTGTTACAACCAGAAAAACAATTGCTTTTCTAAACATGATTATGGAAACACAAAGTGTGTTTTATGTACTGAGATAGTATCCCCTCCTTCTTAAAATCTTCTTTGGTTACATTCTTACAAAACTAACATTCTTCAAAAAGTGTTCTGAAATTTGGGGCTTCAACCTTCATAAGACAGAACTGGGACTTAACAGGGAGAAGGAGAAGGAATCACTTAAGGAAAACAAATTTAAGCAACATAAATTAACTTTTTATTGGGTAGACTTTTTGAATTATTATCAAATTGTTTTTCTGCAACCTAACGATTATTGATATGTTTTCATGTGCCTAATAGTGCCTTAACTAGAGTCTTAAAGAAAACGGTAAAGGTAATAGGTTTTTTCTTCTTACAGTCTCTTCTACAATATCAAACAGAATATACAGAGATATAATTTAAAAAAAAAACTTACTGAAAAGTCTTCGAAGATTTTCTTGAGTTCTTTGTGACCATGCCTTTCAGCAATATGTGCGGGGTCTGAACCCTCCATATTTTTCATCTTAGATGCCCAGGTTGCTCCTGAACATTGAAGCAAATGAATAGCCAGGTTCTTTAAGCCAAATTTTGCTGCACAGTGGAGAAGAGTTGGAAGTTCTTTGAAATGAGTATCTGTAAGCATAAGAAGTAGTAGGATTTAATGTTTTCATTTTATTGGCAATCTCATTAAAAGGTCTAACACAATCTGCTCCTAAAAGTAATTCCCATAAAGCACAGCAGACTTTTTGTGTAAGAAACTATCAATAGTTCTAGAAATTTAGAATCTTCCCCTCGCTCAATTACCTATATTAAAATAAATATAAACTAATATTCTCACTAGCATTAATGCACCAATCTTACTTGTGAGGTAAGTTTAATTTAAAAAGCCACATCAACCTCTTAAATGAAAAAAAAAGAAAGAAAAACATGCTGTAATAACTCCTTTTGAATGTACTTAGACATTAACCAAACGCTAAATAACGAAATTCTGCAAGTTCATCTATAAAATAATTTTATATTCTACCTCCTTGCCTAGTTTGCTTCCTTCCAAAGTTGAAATGAACATGAAATTCTTTGAGGGGTTATATTAGATTTCTATATAAAATTTTTCTTTCAAAAACTAACTGCATCAGAAAATACAGGTGAGTGCTTTCATAAATAACTTCAGTGTGGAAATTTCCATCTGGATTTTACAACTTTTTTATCAATGTCTTAGAGTTTGATTTTTCATAATTATTAACTATCAATTAGAAGATATTTATTAATTTTATATCACTGTAAAATGATGAATGCAACCTGTATCCCAATGACAAACAAAATAAAACACAAATGAATGATGGTTTGTTATTATTCTATACTTTTGCACTTAGCTGAGAAAAAGTTATAGAAATTACACACCAACATAATAGCTGTGGCATTATCAGAAGTAAGGTGAAGTCTTATAGCCACAGAATCAAAGGAATCAAAACCAAAGTCAACTGTCTTCCAGCAAACTTTTAAAGCAATGGAAAACAGCCATCTCATTGCTTTTTTGAAAACTGTCAATTTGCTTTAATCATCTTAGTTCATACACTATGTAGTTATTTTCTTAAATGCACACATTTACTTTGCAAACAATTTACAGTCTCACTTGTTAGGTTAAAATAATAGATTTGTTTAGGAGATACAATAAACGTTTAGCATGTGTTTAATCTACAGTGTACATTTGTTTCATTTCATGGCAATTTTCATTTAATTAATCTAGATTAACTGCATCTGTTTTTATTACCAAGGTGTAAATAGAGAAGCCATAATTCAAACCAAGGTGTGGCAAATTTACTTTTCATTTTCTTCTAGACCAGATACATTTTTAGTTTTCAGTTGTTTCAGCCAATGTCTTTCAAACAGTAATTTCATGAGAATAGAATAAAATGTCTGGGGGAAATTTTTTAAAGAGAAGTCCAATGTCACTTGTTTTACAAATACAAATAAACAGGTGAATTAGCACATAGCAAAGAAATCAAGTCATACATTTGTTTGTGCAGAGTTGCTCCTAAACTTTCTGAGGCAGTCTCTACAAAGATGGCTGATAATTAAATTGAAGTAATCAAACCAACGATTTCAAAAGATTAACCTAGCTCACTAGAATAATAAAATGAAAATATACTCAAGTTTAGAATATAAGCATTAAACAAGAATTTAACAGTAAGATGAGTATTAAAACTGGAAATTCATGACCATGCAATCCATTTGTTCTCATAAATCATTATCTGGAATAGTAAATATTCATTCAGAGTAGAATGACCACTTTGGGGTGGCTACTTTGGGGCAAAACAATAAAGCACACAATAAAGAGAAGATTAAAAATCAGGAAATCTGCATTCTAATCCCAGCTCAGCCACTAAATCTGTGGTTCTTAAGAATTCATCTTGTGGACCTCAGTTTCCTAATTTATGAAATGAAAGGGTTGGGGGTCAAAATTATAGAACTTCTGATATTCTTCTGGGCTTGATGCCATGTCACAAATGCTTTAAGCCAAGAAACTCTCTGGAAGGTAATTTTTCCTGGGTTTTAATCAGACACCAATTAGAGTAGGGAAGGTAGCTGAAAAGTTGAAGAAACAACAATTTTCATTCCTTTCATAATAGTATTTGAAATCTGATGAAATGTTATTATTTCTGTGGATCTGTAAAAACAGAGCATTGCTGTGTTTATGAAACCTTTTGCTCTCTGACAGGAGAACCATTATATAACATGTGAGGTGTTACTCTTCCAATCCTGTCAAAAGATTAGACATATAATTCTATTTGGAATTTTAAGAAACAAAAAAATGCTGCCAAGGTTATCATGCTTCTAAAACCTTGATAATGTAAACAAAATGCACAAAGGAAATAGTCCATCAAAGCCCTATGCTACAGTTTTGTTGTTACCTCTCATATTACATAAAATATCGTAGTGGAAAATTCACAAGTAGATACATACTTTACTATTAAACTCAATATTGAATCTACCTCATTAACTGTTGTAATTGAATTCTTGTTACTAAAATATTCTCTTAAATAAGAGAAAAAATTAGAATTTACATCTACTTGGTATTTCTCTTGTTAATTGTCTCAAGAAACTTCATACAAGATACTCTGTCTTTCAAATGTTTTAGTTGAATAGGTTATGTCCTAATCTGCATAATATTCAAATGAGTCTTAATTTCTTCTTGCTAAATAAACTTCAAAATAATGCCTTTTATTACTTAAATACCAAAATTCTAAAACTTAATATTTATCTTTCATGAGAAGCAATATAGTGTAGCACTTAAGCATTAGGACTTTGGAGCCAGATTGTATGCATTAAACCTATAAAATTTAATTTAATTCTAGTATTTAGTCATAGTGTCATTTGCACAAGCTACTTGAACTTATGCATCTTATTTTTCTCAATATTCAATTGGTGACCATAACATCTACTCAATCGGTTATTAAACCTATGTCCAATGTATTCTTCCATGCAAATAAGTACTGTTGGTCCTCATTATTTGGGAATTCTGTTTGTGCAAATTCATTTACTCACAAAATTTGTTTGTAACACCTTAAGGCACTTTCCCAGTCATTTGCAGACATATGTATAGCAATGAAAAATTTGAGTCACCCAAAGCACACATTCCCAGCTGGGGTCAAACAAGGCAACCATATGCCTTCTTATTTCAGCTCTCAAACTGTAAACAAATGTCCTGTTTGCAGTCCATTTGGTGCCACAACTGTCACAGTTTTTGTGGTTTATTTTGGTGAATTAGCTGTTTAAAATGGCCCCCAAGTACAGTGCTGAAGTGCTGTGTAGTATTTCTAAGCACTTGAAAGCAGTGGCATGCCTTATGGAGAAAATATATGTATTAGATAAATTCATTCAGGCCTGAGTTACAGTGTTGATGGTGAGTTCACTTTGAATCAACAGTGTATATTAAATAAGGTATTTTTAAACAGAAACACACATAAAGCAAGGTTATGTATCAATTGGTTGATCAAAACATTGTGACCAGAAGCTCACAGGAACCTAACCCTATAACTCTCCTAGGAGCAAAGGTTCAGCATTGACTTATTCGATTACTTTATAGAACATAACTACTGCAAATAATGAGAATCAAGTGCATTTTAAAGCAATCTAGAGGCCCCTTTTAATTTTGGAGAGGGAGTTCAAAATTGGTTTCCCATTGCAGCATGGCCAGTTATTTTCTGACTTACGGTGCCTTATTTTCTTTGCTCCTCCATACACTCAGGGAGGCTCTGAGAGAAGCTATGGCCCCTGTGTACTGCTCCTCGGGGTGAGGCCAGAAAAGCTGTGGAGCTGGGGGAGGCAACTGTGACCATTCAAGTCTATGACTTATGAGAGCTTCTCCCGGGCTATCTCTGTGTTCTGGGCCCACTCAGTTAAAATCCAAACTGGGAATGGTTAGAATCCACTTCCACAACCATCTTGCAAGTAGAAAGAAAGAGCAGTTCTAGAGCCTTGATTCTCTGTTGTTTATTCTTATTGTCAGGCATAGACAAACAACAGGAAAAACTTGGGATAAAGATGAATAGTTACTCTGTTGTTCTCAGATAATTTCTTTGAAAGACTGTACATTTGAAAATTTTTGATAGAAATTCTTCATTTTGTTGAATTGTACGCTTAAGATTTGAAAGTTTTGTAAAATTGTAAAAATTGAGTTCTAGAATGTCAATATTCTGTCATCCAAAGCACCTGCATGATGAGTTGACAAGTATGAGAAATAAATGGAGCATGTCATCTCAAACCCAGAAGGGACTCATTGCTTTCTGAATATCCTAGTGGATGGAATTCACCCTAAAATTAGCAGCAGTAATGATAGGAGGAGGAGGAAAAGGAAGAAGAAAATATAGTGGTTAACAAATGGAATTGGAGAGGTGGGGGTTTCAGGTACCTAGTGGCAGATTGAGCAAGAGAAGAGCAACAGAACAAGGATGTGGCAGGTGGCGAAAGATGCTCTGATTTCAGAAAAAGAGTCTTTGAGGACACACTATGAAGTGCCTTCTTATCTAGGGCTGTGGGCTAGGGATCGCCAGAGAGAAGTAGGCAATGAGCAAAACAAGGTTGAAGCAGGGCTTAAGGCCACAGACAAACAGCCTGGGAGCTTGCGGTCCATGTGTGGAGGTAATTCTAGGAAGCAAAGGGAGATGTGAAGTGTTTGTTAGAGGTTTCTAGAATTGACATCAAATAAAATTAAATCTCACAATATTTAAATACGTTTATTTTCCATTTTCTACTAGAAAACCCAGACAATGTTAAGGCAATAAAAAGAGCTGGACAGTTTCCTGTTTATCCAATCCATCCAATCTGTAGCTAAACTCTGGTTAAAATAAGAAGCCTCTAGAAATTTTATTTCTATACAAATGTGTTTGCATTCTTTTCCTCTACATTCATTAAAAAAAATTCCTTTTGAAAATTACCAACTTTGTCTCTGCTGTGTCTTGACAAGACAAGAACCAAGAACCAGGAAAAGATCCAGGAAAAGTTGAACAGTAAAAGTGCACAAACCAGATGGGCTGGGTTGGGATCAGATGGTTGGGCACTCTAGCACAGGGCCATGGCTTACAGGTAGAATGCTACCTATTGGCCTTTATATGGGTTTCACACAGACATTCAAGAAATCAGGGCCACAAAGCAGTAAATCAACATGTCGGCCAAGGAAACTTTACTTCATTAGTAAGGACTATTTCAGCATTTTAAAAGGAATTCCTTTTAGTCTTGAGCACTGGAGTCATTCTTTTAAAATATTAAATGATTTGATAATAAAATGCACAAAGACAAGGAAGTAAATCTAGGAAATCTTTTGGGCAGTAAAAGGAGTGGGGAGAACTTAAGACGCCTTTGGAAGCACTGCCATATGTATTATAGGGACAAAATGAAAATGGAATATGAGAATGATTAGGGAAACCCCTAAGTGCCAACCTGCCCTGCATATTTCAGACCTGCCAATATTTATATTTTATATTTATTTATATATTTATTAATATATATTATGTATATATTTAATAATTTAATCTATATATTCAATACATATTTTATATATATGTTATAGAGATTTATTATAGATAATATGTATTTCTATGAACCTATCTCTATCTATCTTTCAACACACATATACACACACATTTTATTGGTTTCTCTTGAGAACCGTGACCAATACAGTGAGGCAGATGCTGTGGCGGCTTTGGCAAACCATAACTTACAGAAAGAAGGCATAAAAACAAGTTCTACATCTAAGTCTCTTTCCTTTTCAGAATAATGTAATGTGAGTTTTCAAACCTTAAGATTTTTAAAAATAACTATTTGGTAATGGCAGAATCCAGTAAGCAAATGGGTCCTTTTAGAAAGGGGAGGGAGGTGTTTTTAGGGTGGATTAATAATAGAGTGTGGTATACAGTGGTTTCTGAACCTCTCTAGAATTTCAAAGAATTTCAGACGTTTGAGGATCATTACTACATAACAACTGCAAAAGTAAGAGGAAGTTTCCTAAGTCATAACTTATTCAAGACATTAATTAAAAAGCCCATTCTGCCCTACCTCCTCTGTGTGTGTGTGTATGTGTGTGTGTGTTTCTAATTGAGGCCAACCCATGCATATTTTCCTAATTAAAATGAATGGATATTAGAGAGCCTATTTCCTGTTATCAGTTACTAATAGATACTATTTATGTTTCTTTTCCTAACTCTATAATTATAGATGCTTATTACTGTTGACCCTGAAAAACCTACAATTTGTGTGTTGGTCCAGAGAAGACAAACATATGTGCCTTGGTACTTGAGCACAGACAGTTCAGTGCAGCATATTCAGAAGGCACACATGCCAATTTTTCATTCTGCTAATAGCAGATGCCATGAATAAGAAGAACAAAATAAAATGAAAAACAAAACCATGACAATCTAAATTGCTGCCTTAGTCCAACAAACAAGAATCATTTTATTTGGGGAGCTCAAATATTAATAATTTGTATCTATTGATACCAGGGTTTTATTTTAGTCTATGGTTAACCTGGTTACCATTAGCTAAGTAATTAATATAATAAATTTTTACTGAGCACTAGATATTCTTCTAGGGACTGGGAATTAATCTGTGAACCCAATGGGGCTTCTTCCTAAAGGGCAGTATTTACCCATAAGGACAAAATGGCTGATATGTAGGAAATCATATACTAGGAAACAAAAATTACAATGTTTCTAGGATTGCAAAAATAATGAAAAGAGTATCTGAGGTTATTTCAAACTTGTTATAAGTTATTCATTGTAATAGTAATTTATATAATTAGGCAGGAAAACTTGAGAGTCCTTCCTTTAAATTTAAGATAATCTGCCCTGTAAAGTTTCCTCTGACTGTTCTCTTTCTTTTTCACTTCAATGACACCCCGAGCTCATGCTCACTATAGTGTACCGAGGCACAGTCGTCTGGGGACTAGCAAAGTGGCCACTGGAGCTAGGCTGCCTGGATCCAAGTCCCAGCTCTGCCACTTACCATCTGGGCAAAGTATGCAACTTCTCATCTGTAAAGTGGAGATTTAAATGGTACCTACCTCAGGATCATTGTCAGGAAGTAAATAACAACATAAGTAAAGTGCTTAGACCTGTTTGACAGAGTAAGCAAAACGCATGTTAAGTACTATGTGTAGTGCACACACTGTATTCATGGCACTTATTTTTGTAGTTCTGTTTTCTTGTTCCTTGGCTTCTGTGCCCTCTGAGAGTGTGGGCTGTGTCCTGTTTATCCCACACTCTTCTACTTTCCTTCAGTATCTAGAAGAGTACCTACTATGAAGTGGAGTATATTAAACTTTTTGTAAGCATTTCTGAGGGTTTTAAAAAAATGGTATGGGAAAACATATTTTTAGATGAACAGTCACTCTAAGACTACTTCATTCTGCACCCATGGTTTTTTTTTTTTTTTTTTTTCGAGACGGAGTCTAGCTCTGTCGCCCAGGCTGGAGTGCAATGGTGCGATCTCGGCTCACAGCAACCTCTGCCTCCCGGGTTCAAGTGATTCTCCTGCCTCAGCCTCCTGAGTAGCTGGGATTACAGGCATGCACCACCACACCAGGCTAATTTTTCTATTTTTAGTAGAAAATTTAGTAGAGATGGGGTTTCTCCATGTTGGTCAGGCTGGTCTCGAACTCCCGACCTCAGGTGATCAGCCCGCCTCGGCCTCCCAAAGTGCTGGGATTACAGGCATAAGCCATCACACACAGCCTCTGCACCCATGATTTTAATTCAAGGACACAGATGGAATAAAAAATCTATCTTGACTTTAATTTGATATATGTCAATTTTAGTTATGTACATAACAATGATGCCAATCAATTACTGTTCACTCAGTGGTTCTCATTGGTGATTCACAGGAGTAGAATCAGCATCATATAAAAATTTGTGAGAAATGTAAATTCTTGTACCCAACCCAGATCTACTGTATCAGAAATGTGAAGAGAGATGGCAGCAATCTGAATTTTAACATATCCTTCAAGTGACTCTGAAGCCTGCTAAAGTTTGAGAACCATGGCATTAAATAAAAGAAAGAACAGGGGCTTGGTTCTAACAACTAAAAAAAAGTGGATAGACAAGAAAATTGGGGTTAACCTCACAGAGAACTAAATAAAACTGCAAAGTGTACAAAGTAGTGGACTTTCTCTCCATTCTGTTCACAGTTTCTGTAAGAAAACTTCCCTCTTCTGTCATGGTTTACATATTTTAAAATACATTTTCAATAGAGTAAATGGAAAAGACTATAATAGAAGTGAAAATTATGTGTATTATATTTGCCCCATGTCTTTTTACATTTTATGATGGTATGATTGACAAATAAAAATTATATATATTTAGTGTGTACAATGTGATATTTTTATATATGTTGTTGGGAGCAGGCCCCCCAAAATCTGGGCATAAACTGGCCCCAAAACTGGCAATAAACAAAATCTCTGCAGCATTGTAACATGTTCATAATGGCCCTAATGCCCACGCTGGAAGGTTGTAGGTTTACAGGAATGAGGGCAAGGAAAACCTGGCCCACCCAGGGGAGAAAACCGCTTAAAGGCATTTTTTTGTGTGTGTGTGTGTTATACTTTAAGTTCTAGGGTACATGTGCACAACGTGCAGGTTTGTCACATATGTATACATGTGCCATGTTGGTGTGCTGCACCCATTAACTCGACATTTACATTAGGTATATCTCCTAATGCTATCCCTCCTCCCTACCCCCACCCCACGACAGGCCCCGGTGTGTGATGTTCCTCTTCCTGTGTCCAAGTGTTCTCATTGTTCAATTCTCACCTATGAGTGAGAACGTGCAGTGTTTGGTTTTTTGCCCTTGTGATAGTTTGCTGAGAATGATGGTTTCCAGCTTCATCCATGTCCCTACAAAGGACATGAACTCATCCTTTTTTATGGCTGCATAGTATTCCATGGTGTATATTTGCCACATTTTCTTAATCCAGCCTATCATTGATGGACATTTGGGTTGGTTCCAAGTCTTTGCTGCAATAAGCATACGTGTGCATGTGTCTTTCTAGCAGCATGATTTATAATCCTTAGGGTATACACCCAGTAATGGGATGGCTGGGTCAAATAGTATTTCTAGTTCTAGATCCTTGAGGAATCACCACACTGTCTTCCACAATGGTCAAACCAGTTTACAGTCCCACCAACAGTGTAAAAGTGTTCCTGTTTCTCCACATCCTCTCCAGCACCTGTTGTTTCCTGACTTTTTAATGATCACCATTCTAACTGGTGTGAGATGGTATCTTATTGTGGTTTTGATTTGAATTTCTCTGATGGCCAGTGATGATGAGCATTTTCTCATGTGTCTGTTGGCTGCATAAATTTCTTCTTTTGAGAAGTATCTGTTCATATCCTTCGCCCACTTTTTGATGGGGTTGTTTGTTTTTTTCTTGTAAATTTGTTTGAGTTCATTGTAGATTCTGGATATTAACCGTTTGTCAGATGAGTAGATTGCAAAAATTTTCTCCCATTCTGTAGGTTGCCTGTTCACTCTGATGGTAGTTTCTTTTGCTGTGCAGAAGCTCTTTGGTTTAATTAGATACCATTTGTCAATTTTGGCTTTTGTTGCCATTGCTTTTGGTGTTTTAGTCATGAAGTCCTTGCCCATGCCTATGTCCTGAATGGTATTGCTTAGGTTTTCTTCTAGGGTTTTTATGGTTTTACGTCTCACATTTAAGTCTTTAATCCATCTTGATTTAATTTTTGTATAAGGTATAAGGAAGGGATCCAGTTTCAGCTTTCTACATATGGCTGGCCAGTTTTCCCAGCACCATTTATTAAATAGGGAATCCTTTCCCCATTTCTTGTTTTTGTCAGGTTTGTCAAAGATCAGATGGCTGTAGATGTGTGGTCTTATTTCTGAGGGCTCTGTTCCGTTCCATTGGTCTATATCTCTGTTTTGGTACCAGTACCATGCTGTTTTGGTTACTGTAGCCTTGTAGGACAGTTTGAAGTCAGGTAGTGTGATGCCTCCGGCTTTGTTCATTTGGTTTAGGATTGACTTGGCAATGCGGGCTCTTTTTTGGTTCCATATGACCTTTAAAGTAGTTTTTTCCAATTCTGTGAAGAAAGTCATTGGTAGCTTGATGGGGATGGCATTGAATCTATAAATTACCTTGGGCAGTATGGCTATTTTCACGATACTGATTCTTCCTACCCATGAGCATGGAATGTTCTTCCCTTTGTTTGTGTCCTCTTTTATTTCATTGAGCAGTGGTTTGTAGTTCTCCTTGAAGAGGTCCTTCACATCCCTTGTAAGTTGGATTCCTAGGTATTTTATTCTCTTTGAAGTAACTGTGAATGGGAGTTCACTCATGATTTTGCTCTCTGTTTGTCTGTTATTGGTGTATAAGAATGCTTGTGATTTTTGCACATTGATTTTGTATCCTGAGACTTTGCTGAAGTTGCTTATCAGCTTAAGGAGATTTGGGGCTGAGATGATGGGGTTTTCTAAATATACAATCATGTCATCTGCAAACAGGGACAATTTGACTTCCTCTTTTCCTAATTGAATACCCTTTATTTCTTTCTCCTGCCTGATTGCCCTGGCCAGAACTTCCAACACTATGTTGAATAGGAGTGGTGAGAGAGGGCATCCCTGTCTTTTGCCAGTTTTCAAAGGGAATGCTTCCAGTTTTTCCCCATTCAGTATGATATTGGCTGTGGGTCTGTCATAAATAGCTCTTATTATTTTGAGATATGTTCCATTAATACCTAATTTATTGAGAGTTTTCAGCATGAAGTGCTGTTGAATTTTGTCAAAGGCCTTTTCTGCATCTATTGAGATAACCATGTGGTTTTTGTCTTTGGTTCTGTTTATATGCTGGATTACATTTATTGACTTGCATATGTTGAACCAGCCTTGCATCCCAGGGATGAAGCCCACTTGATCATGGTGGATAAGCTTTTTGATAAAGGCATTCTTAAGCCACAAACAATAGCATGAGTGATCTGTGCCTTAAGGACATGTTCCTGCTGCAGTTAACTAGCCCAACCTATTCCTTTAATTCAGCCCATCCCTTCGTTTCCCATAAGGGATACTTTTAATTTAATATCTATGGAAACAATGCTAATGACTGGTTTGTTGTTAATAAATATGTGGGTAAATCTCTGTTCGGGGCTCTCAGCTCTGAAGGCTGTGAGACCCCTGATTTCCCACTTCACACCTGTATATTTCTGTGGGTGCATCTTTAATTCCTCTAGTGCCACTGGGTTAGGGTCTCCCCAACTGAGGTGGTCTTGGCAAGTGGCGTCCATTGTGGGGGCTCGAATCCAAGTTGATGGGTCTCAGAGCAACAGTTGGAACAGAAAACTAGCTGGAAGACACCCTAGTACTCTTAAAGCAATCCCCGTGGTGAGTAAGAAGGGGAGCTCAGAAGCATCAGGGTAACAATGGTACAGGTGTGGGGTCTGGTTCGTTTCACTTTGGAACTTTTTCACACTGATGATGAGGAGGAATGAGAGTATAGCAAAGTAACAGAAGAGGTTACACAGCATGTTTATTTACCAGCTAAAGCTAAAGCGGCAAAGGAAGGGAAAGGTTCATCCCTACCCTTCTGCACCCCCTCCTTATTATTTGAAGAAAAAGACCCTCCAGATCTTTATTTTCCAGAGGACACTGGGCAAAAAGTGGTTGCCCCAGTGACTGAGCAGCGCCTTGAACGACCACTCTTAGTTCTATTCAGGCAGGAATTCAGCAAGCTAGATGAGAGGGTGATTTAGAGGCTTGGCAGTTCCCTTTTAGAATATACCCCCCGATCAACAGGGAAATATTATAGCTACATTTGAGCCTTTTCCTTTTAAATTACTCAAATAATTTCCACAAGCTATAAATCAGTATGGACCAGGTTCTCCTTTTGTAATGGGACTGTTAAAGAATGTTGCTGTTTCCAGTTGGATGATTCCTACTGACTGGGACACTCTTACACGAGCTTGTCTTACTCCTGCTCTGTTCTTACAATTTAAAACTTGATGGGCAGATAAAACTTCCATTCAGGCTGCTCGCAATGCCCAGGCCCAACCTCAAATTAATATAACTGCAGACCAACTTTTGGGGGTTGGCACCTGGGCTGGTTTAGATGCACAATTGGTCATGCAGGATGATGCCATAGAACAGCTTAGCAGAGTGTGCATTAGAGCTTGGGAAAAAATCACTTCAAGTGGGGAACAATACCCTTCCTTTAGTGCTATAAAACAGGGACCAAGAGAACCATACGTTGATTTTATAGTTTGGTTACAGGAATCTCTTAAAAAGATGACTGCAGATTCGGCTGCTCAGGATATAGTGCTGCAGTTATGAGCTTTTGACAATGCTAATACTGTTTGCCAGGCTGCTCTGTGACCTCTCAGAGGGAAAGCACATTTAGTTGATTATATCAAGGCCTGTGATGGTATCGGAGGCAATTTGCATAAAGCTACTCTGCTAGCACAGGCAATGGCAGGACTGAGGGTGGATAAAGGAAATACCCCATTTCCTGGGGCTTGTTTTAACTGTGGGAAGCATGGTCATACTAAAAAAGAATGTAGAAAAAATCAGCGAGTCAGGCCGCCAGATAGGGAAAAAAGAAAACTGCTGATCCTGAAATATGTCCACAATGTAAAAAAGGAAAACATTGGGCTAATCAGTGTCACTCTAAGTTTGATAAAGATGGGAACCCGATTTCGGGAAACACCGTGAGGGGGCCGTCCCATTCTAAACGGGGGCATTTCCAGCTCAGGCCATTCCCTCGCTCCCGTGCAATGTCTGTCCCCCACCACAGCTGGTAGTGCCACAGTAGATTTATGCTGCACAAAAGCTGTGAGCCTTCTGCCTGGGGAACCCCCGCAAAAGGTCCCAACAGGAGTCTGTGGACCCTTGCCAGCAGGGACAACAGGATTACTTTTAGGAAAGTCTAGTTTAGGTTTAAAAGGGGTACAAATACATACAGGAGTCATTGATTCAGATTATAATGGAGAAATTCAAATTGTTGTATCTACTTCTGTTCCCTGGAAAGCAGAGCCAGGAGAACACATAGCACAGTTCCTGATTGTGCCATTTGTGGAAATGGGAAAAAGTGAAATTAAACGAACAGGAGGATTTGGAAGCACAAATAAACAAGGCAAAGCAGCTTATTGGGTAAATCAAATTACTGATAAATGTCCTACCTGTGAAATAACTATTCAGGGAAAGAAATTTAAAGGTTTGGTAGATACAGGAGTGGACATTTCAATCATTTCTCTACAGCACTGGACGTCTGCATGGCCAATTCAACCCACTCAATTTAACATAGTTGGAGTTAATAAAGCCCCTGAAGTATATCAAAGTAGTTATATTTTGCATTGTGAAGGGCCTGATGGACGACCTGGGACTATTCGACCAATTATAACTTCTGTACCTATAAATTTATGGGGAAGAGATTTATTACAACAATGGGAACACAAGTTCTAATTCCAGAACAATTACATAGCCCTCAAAGTCAACATACAATGCATGAAATGGGGTATGTCCCTGGTATGGGTCTAGAAAAAAATTTGCAAGGTTTGAAAGAACCACTTCAAGAGGAAAAACAAAGTTCCTGCCAAAGATTAGGAAATAATTTTTGATGGAGGCCATTGTTAAGCCTCCAGAACCTATACCTTTAAAATGGTTAACAGATAAGCAAATTTGGATAGAACAATGGCCACTAAGTAAAGAGAAACTGGAGGCTTTAGAGAAATTAGTTACTGAACAATTAGAAAATGGGCACATAGCTCCAACATTTTCCCCTTGGAATTCTCCAGTTCTTGTAATTAAGAAAAAATCAGGCAAATGGAGAATGTTAACTGACTTAAGAGCTATCAATTCAGTCATACAACCTATGGGAGCATTACAGCCAAGATTGCCTTCTCCTGCTATAATTCCAAAAAACTGGCCTTTAGTAGTCATAGATTTAAAAGACTGTTTCTTTACTATCGTTTTAGCTGAGCAAGACTGTGAACAGTTTGCATTTACAATTCCTGCAGTAAACAACCTGTAGCCTGCTAAACGTTATCACTGGAAAGTGTTGCCACAGGGCATGTTAAACAGTCCCATAATTTTCCAGACGTTTGTGGGGCAAGCAATTGAACCTACTCATAAAAAATTTTCACAGTGTTACATTATTCACTATATGGATGATATACTTTGTGCTGCCACCACTCGAGAAATTTTACTCCAATGTTTTGGTCACTTGCAAAATTCAATTTCTCGTGCTGGTTTAATTACAGCTCCTGATAAAATTGAGACTGCTACTCCTTACTCCTACTTGGGGACCTTAGTAAATGACACTACCATTGTGCCACAGAAAGTAACCATACGTAGGGATCAACTAAAAACATTAAATGACTTTCAGAAATTACTAGGGGACATTAATTGCATACGACCTGCTCTAGGCATTCCTACCTATGCCATGAGTAATCTGTTTTCTATCCTTAGAGGAAATCCTAGTCTTATTAGCCCTTGGCAATTCACAAAGGAGGCTGAGGCAGAGTTACAACTAATTGCAAAGCAAGTCCATAGAGCTCAAATAAATTGAATAGATCCAGAGAAGACTCTAGATTTGCTAATTTTTTCAACTCAGCATTCACCTACTGGTGTTATTGTCCAAGAACATGACGTAGTAGACTGGCTTTTTCTTCCACATACTAATTCACAGACTCTAACTCCTTATTTACATCAAATTGCTACTATGATAAGAATTGGGAGAACTCAGATTGTTAAATTACATGGTTATGATCATGGAAAAATTATTGTCCCTCTCATGAAGGCACAAATACAGCTAGCTTGTATAAATAGTCTTACTTGCCAAACCCATTTAGCTGACTTTGTGGGTATTCTCCATAATCATTTTCCTAAAATGAAGGTGTTTCAGGTTTTGAAATTAACTAATTGGATTCTCCCTAAAATAACTAAATCCAAACCAATTGAAGGTGCTGAGAATGTTTTTACAGATGGGGCTAATAATGGTAAAGCTTCTTATTCTGGCTCAAAAAGTAAAGTTTTCCAGACGCCCTATACTTCAGCTCAAAAAGCAGAGCTTGTAACTGTAATTAAGGTATTCACTTCTTTTTATATGCCCATTAATGTGATTTCTGATTCTTCATTCGTGGTTCATTCCACACAGTTAATTGAAACTACTCAGTTACGATTTCATACAGATGAACAACTGATGACTTTATTTACCCAACTGCAAACAGCAGTTAGAAGTAGAATGCACCCTTTTTACATCACTCACATTAGGGCTCATACACCTCTTCCAGGACCTTTGACTAAAGGGAATCACATGGCTGATCTCCTAGTTGCTAATGCAATATCTAATGCTAGACATTTTCACAATTTAACCCATGTTAATGCCTCTGATCTCAAATGCAGATACAGCACTAAGGAATATTTATTTGGAAGAACTGATCATATGTTGAACTTAAAGCAAGGCTCAATAAATTTCAAAGATGTAAAAAAGTATATAAATGGACAATTATAAAAGATACCATTAGAACAACAGCACAGACCTTTGTAAATATCAGATGAAAGTAAAAAGGGAATAAACATCAGTCAAATTAGTAAGTATAGATTAAATCATCTACTTTAAAAATATTTTAAAATTGCAATCCCAACTAAAGCCCACATCATGCTAACTTCCAAATACCCTTTATACAAAACAAATTGAAAATTACATGCTAAACAATATTTATAATAATTTATTTCTTAGAGAAATATAAAACCTTAATAGCATTTTTAGAAAAACAGTATTGTTAGAATAATATTTCAACTAAACATTACCCATTATATTCCTACAAAAGTAATTTCCATTTGCATCTTGTAGATAATGATCACGAGGAAGATAATTTCTTATAGTCAACCAGGTGTCATGGGTAGATAGAGGTCATGCTTATTTTTCAGATTTCTGTTATTGTCAAAAGTTTGTTCTGTAAGAATGTATGAATAATTCTCATCTTTCCAGGTCACATTTTCAGCTTCCAAGATGACACAAGTCAGAAACGGATACTTAGCCAGATAGGAATGGTGTAAAATTGGCTGGAGATGGGCCAGGCGTGGTGGCTCACACCTGTAATCCCAGAACTTTGGGAGGCCGAGGTGGGCAGATCACGAGGTCAGGAAATCGAGACCATCCTGGCTAACACGGTGAAACCCTGTCTCTACTAAAAATACAAAAAAATAGCCAGGTGTGTTGGCGGGCGCCTGTAGTCCCGGCTACTCAGGAGGCTGAGGCAGGAGAATGGTGTGAACCTAGGAGGCAGAGCTTGCAGTGAGCTGAGATTGCACCACTGCACTCCAGCCTGGGCGACAGAGCAAGACTCTGTTTCAAAAAAAAACAAAAACAAAAAAACAAAAAGCGTCTGGAGATAATGCAGCCAACTACTTCAGCTTTCAAGCCTTGTTTGCTTTTTATCATCTGCCTCTTAATGCTGGTGTTCTCCCACTTTTTGAGTTTTTGAGTTCTTTGCCTAATCTGTTACTTTTTTTTGATGCATCTGCTATTCTGTCCTTTGTATTTCACATGAACTTGTTCATAATTTGTCCTATAGCTTCTAGTCATACCTTTCCCAATATCTGTGCATCTTAACTCAGTCTTATTTATCTGATATAAACTCTGGAGATGCTTAAAATAGGGAAAAGGTATACAGCAAATGAAACTGAGGTTCACTACATTGGAAAATGAGCAAAAAAGCAGTCAATTGAAATTTTACATAGACCTGTTCTACGTTTTATCTGGATAGCTCTTTTTCCTCTCTACTCATTAACACTTTGCATTGTCTCAATCAGTCTGCATTCCCATCTGTTTTTAGATATTTTGTGGCTTTATATATTTGGGGTACATAATGAATCAGAATTATAATTCTTTATCTTCCCAGGCATTTGCTCTATAAATAATACCTATTGGTACTGAGTTTCACGAGAAACCAATATATCTACATTATTTTCATGGCACAAAGAATTGGGAGTACCTAGATCCATGGGGGTACATTTCTAGCATTAATGGATGGTGTTGTGTATATCACAAGTTATTTTGTGGGCTTTTTTCACTTCTCTCTGGAGTAGGACATGACATGGTTGATAATTTTCTTCTCTCAGAAACTTTATCTTCAGTTGGCTTTTAAAAGACCTTGAGTGGCTGCTTCTTCTCAGTCTCTTTATGGAAATTTCTCTCCCAGGCCTCTAAATACAACAATGCGTAGGACTCAGATGTTTGCCCTGCTCTGCCCTCTCTGCAGAATAATCTCATTCAGGCTATGGCTCTGAATATCACATATGAGCTCCTTCCTGGGTGTTTGACTTATATACTTAATACCAACCAATGTATTATCTTTTAATTAACATAGCCAAAGTAGAACTTTTGATCACACTGTCAAAACTATTCTTGCCATAGCACCTCTATTTCAGTTAACAGCATTGATATTTATTTTATTTATATTTTTATAAACATGTCTTTAGTTACACACAGACCCGTCCTCTCTTTCCTTCATCTGCAATCTATCAGTATGTCCCACAATCCTTACTTTCAAAGAGCTACCAAGCTCAAGCAAATCTCTTCACCTCCACTGCTAACACCCAGGTGACAGCCACCTTCAAGCCTCTCCTGTCACTACTAAGACAGCCTCCCATCTGGTGTTCCTACTTTCATTTTTACACACCATCATCTATTCTCTGCGTAACAGCAAGAGTAATATTTTGTCTTATGTAATTAGATGATATTAAGCGATGTGTAAAATCCTCACATGGCTTTTCATCACTTCCTAACTATCTTCTCACTTTATTTTTCTCATAACCCTTATCACTATTTGCAATGGTCTTATTTTGTTGCTACTGTTTTATTACTCTGTTACTCTCAGTGACTTAAATAAGTTTCATGAAGAAGAGCTTTCCTATACAGGCCGCCTGTTTCTGGAGCACCTAGAAGAGTGGCTCTTAGTTTGTACTTGTTACATAAATGAATGAATAAGATTGCTTAATAATCTTTCACATCAAGGTGTTCTAATTGGGAGAAAATACTATGTCCACAGGCTTACCTTTTTCATCTATAATTACAGGGTCCTCTATTATTTCAGAATATGTGTTGTTATGGTAATGGAATTGGGCTGAGAGGGGATTATAAAGGTCATTGAAAAGTGGAGAAGGGCTTACCATTCCTAAATGCTTATTCCTTAAAGCTGGACTCAGGATAGCACATTGCCTATGCTTCGCAGTGTTAGATTGCATCCTGAGGCCAAAAGATTTCTTTGACTCTGTAAGAATGTCCTGTCTTCTCTATCTATGCTCCTTGTATACTCAGGCCAGAGGTAATTCCTTGTCTGGGGAGTGATTCTAGGATGACGAAGGCCAAATTCTCATCCTGGTATCAACCTTGTTGTTTAGTTTTTTTCCTTTTTTCTCTCCCTTCTTCTTTCCTTCCTGTTTTGTACTCACAGCCTCCAACCACAGTATGTTTGTAAGCATACCTTTTCAAAATTCACATCTGGGGAAATATAGAATCTTTGAAGAAACACTGTAAACGTGAATAACAATAGTATAATTTTGAAAAAATCTTTTTTTGGTTACGCAGGTAAAAAAAATTTGGAAGATTCAAACTGGCTGTTTTATTTTGTATTATTTGATTCAAACTGAAGCATCAGTTCATAAAATTAGCTTGAGAATATGCTAAAATTATTATTGGCAAGAGATGCGAAAATTTGTACTTGTGGGTTGTATTAGCAAAAAAATGGAGTGGAAAAATCTATAATTTTACAGTCAATTTACATGCCAAATCTCCAATTTAATCACTAGAAGTTTTTATAATGTCTTATGTATACATCAATCCCTAATTTAGTGTGTTTACTTAATGATGATGTGTTTGTTACTAATTTGAAATGAATTTACAGGACTACATTTTTCCCTACCATCTATTACTTTTCATCCCAGAAAAAATACTCTTGCCCATTTTTTTTTTCTTTTACATTGATTTCTTCACAGCTTCTGATTTTCTTCTCAGGGGGTTTAAAATGCAAACGGAACAGGTCCGTAAAACTTCATGCTTCGCAAAATTTGTATACTGGAAAAATATCTCAAAAAGATTTCTTATAAAATCTCCTCAGTGTTGATTTTATCTTTTCTTAATTTTCTTTTCAGAGAGTAGTAATTCCTCACTTGCTAAAAGTCTTCTTTCTCTGTAGAGCCATGATACATTATATAATATTTGGTTTCATCCCAATATTATAGAATATTATTTGTTATGTATTTTCCCTCTTATTTCCACCCACCCATATAATGCAAGAAAACATGAGTGTATTGTCTAGAGAGGAATAAAAAATGACCAAGACCTATTGACATGGAATGGTATTTTACTTATTATAAATGAAGTGGCAGGAAACTAAACCCAGAATTTACCAAAATAACTCTAAATTGAGGATGCGGCAATAATAAGATTTTTTGGTTGATATAGCATTTCACTCCATACTTTTAAAGAACCATAGGTATCTGCAGGTAATTCCATGACAAATCCTTACGGTAGGTCAATCTTAATGTATACTTTTTCAATTCCTTATGATTATGTTCTCTGAGAGAGACTCAATTTCTCAATTTCCCATAGCTAACATACAGAGAAATAAATAATAATTGTTTAATAAATAAAATAGTTCACCAAATAAAGACCTGTCCTCAGGATAGATACCTGGGGTAACACCTGATTCATGGTTTGCTGAATTCACCTCTCAGAATGCCTCTAGTAGGTTCTTCAGCAACCCACCATTTCTCTTTCCAATTCCCTTGATTAATATATGTATAAAGGTAACTTAAACCCTATCAACTTGAACATTATGAAACACAGGTGCAAAGTCTTAAAGGCTAGATATTCTGAAGCTGACATTGATCCAAGACTATTGGATCAAGGAGGCAAGCAAAACCCTAGCTGAGTCATATTCATGTCTTTACTGCATATTCTTATTATATATATTATGTTATTTTGTATTTTAATTAGAAATTAGAGCTTAATGTTATGGAGATTCTTTGGCTCTGTTATATATAGGTTTTATGACATCTGTTATGCAATAATACCCAGCAATAATGCTTCTGAATGAGTTATCTGGATTATAGTAAACTTTTCATTTTTAGCTTTAAGTTTTTTTTTAATTTTATAATTTTTTTCAGATACAAAATTACCATTAAATTATAGTGATGGTTCAAAACTTTCATATACTACTATCTTTATAACCTTTGTTAAGAGAGGGTAATATTTTTTTCTGTGTCAAAATTCAATATAAGGAAGAATTATTTTGCTGGTCTATAATACATTGAAGCAATTAGGGGCTAGTAAATTTGACTGCCCATTGAAATCACCTGGGAAACTGTAACAACTACTGATGGCTGGGACCTACTCCCAGATTAATAAATTGGTATAGGGTATGGCTTGGACATAGGATGTTTTAAAAGCTACACAGGTGATTGCAATATGCAGCCAAGTTTGAGAACAATTGCTCTAAAGTCTTAGTACCTAGTGAGAGGTATGAGGTGTAGCAGCATCAGCTTCACCTGGAAGCTTCTTAAAAGGCAAACACTTAGAATGTACCCCAGCCCTGCTGAACCAGATTCATATTTTCAGGGACTCCGATATAACCCATCCAGAGTTCTCCATCTATAAAAATAAGGGGCCACAATTGTCTCAGCTTTTTTAGCTCTAAAATTCATATTCCACAACCTAAACAGTATACCGAGAGGCAGTTTTAATCTTATCTGGAATTCTTTACATATAAAAACAGGAAACCAAAACCATGCCATCTTCTCCATCTCCACAATTTTGATTCCAGAAATCTAAGCAAATATAATGCTGAGGAAATTTGTAAAATTGTGTCATAATTCCATCTTCACACCATTGTATGCACTTTCTCTTGCCTAGAATTCCTTTTTCCTTTCTCTGTCTTCATTGGTTCCCTAGCTTGAATGAAGGTTATGACTAGTATCAAATCACTCAAGACAAACGATTACAGGAGATGAGGAGATGGGTCAATTACCAAAACCATGAGGTGAGGAGTGGTTTGTGGAACAAAAGTTCCTAATTAAGACTTTTGAAATAATTTCCAAATAGAACTAACCTGTTACCTAGCCTGCTTTTTATTCAATTAAGTATACATTGGAACATTATTCAAGCCAGAAAATACATTTACAATAACATTAATTTCTGATGGTTGTATTAATAGATGCACCAAAATTTATGTAATCAATTATCTATCTTTGGAAGATTATTTTCATTCTTTTGGCAACTATAATTATTTAAGACCTAGGTAAAATCCCACTTCCTTTTTGAAGCACATCTTGAAAAATAATGTACCCTTTATCTAAAATTCTATTGTTAATATAATCACTACCACCAAGTTTATCTCATTGATTCTTTCTATAAATACATGTATATTATTTGTTTTTCCAATTAAATTATGTGTCATATGTAAAGAATCATATGCTCCTTTTCTATTCTCATCTAGTATTTAATTTTGTAAGTGAATTACATATTGTTAAAAATGTATATTGGAAACAAAAATAAAATGTCGCTAATTTCACAAGACTACTTATTCACAGTTAGCATACCATTGGCTTTTCTTCCTAACGGAACCTCACCATTATGCAGCTTCTCACAAATCTAGGTGAATCACAAGCAGTTGTGCCTTAGGATTCCTACTCTTTTCTTATTACTGTCTTGAAGCCTTCCAGGCTGATGACAAAACTGCTTTAAATAGCACAGAAACCCTACAGAAAATAAAACTCTGCTCATTAATTTTTAATATGTCAACATTAGACTTCTTACATTCTTTAGCTTCATGTCTGTCATATTCACCATTACATCTCTACTTCAGTGTTTCACACATAGGCATATAAATGAATTATAAACAGTATGTCAACAAACTATGCAGGAACAAAAAAAAATTCTAAAATATACTACTGACCTCACGATGACATCTGGAAATATAATTTTTCATGTATATCTCCTACATATACTTTTCTTGATATTTGTATATTTTTAACCACATATATAATACACAGTTGTAGAAAATACAGACTCAATAAGGTGAAACAAGATGTAATATTTGAAATTGCACAACCCAAACATAACTACTGTGAACATCAATTTACATATATAAACTTATCTGTCCAGACCATCAATTTATATATATAAACTTATATGCTGTTAAATGTACACGTACTTTTTTAAACAGATGATCACACTCTCTCTCTGCTACATAGCCTGCTTTTTATTCACTTAAGTATACACCAAAACATCACCCCGGGAAGCATAAATTTATAATAATATTAATTTCTGGTGGTCACGTTAATAGATGTATGAAAATATGTATAATCAATTACTTATCTTTGTAAAATATTTCCACTTTTTGGTTATTATAAACAATGACATGATGAATAATTTCTATCCTAAATGAAGTTGCCCAAACATTTCCTTAGAGTAAAAGTCAAGAAGTAAGCTTTTTAATTGCAAAAGTTACGTGCATTTTTAAGGCCTGAGATAAAAAAAATTACCAAACGAACATTCAGAAGTTTGTACTAATGTACCCTTTCACCAGGAGTCAGGAGTTGTCTAAATCATCTCATCAGCAGTGCAGCTACCTATATTTTTGGTTATAACATTCATTAAAGAGTTACATAGAATGGAATGTGATAAAAAGAATAATTGATGCAGCTGGAAAATACTCACATTTGTTTTGAGAACAAATTTCAGTTTGAAGAGACTGGAACTCATAATATGGTATCTCATGTTTGAATATGGATGTAAGGACACCATCAAGTTCTTCAATGCTATTCTGTTTTCAAGTGAAAAAGAAAATTTTCACTAGGTTAATTATTTA
This sequence comes from Homo sapiens, assembly GCF_000001405.40. Lineage (NCBI taxonomy): Eukaryota > Metazoa > Chordata > Mammalia > Primates > Hominidae > Homo > Homo sapiens. Next base: position 101,895,259 of record NC_000004.12, on the reverse strand, counting down.
CATAGAAACTCATTTTAGTGCAATTTAACAAAAATTTATTAACTGGAGTAAACAATGGCTAATCTTTAGTAATACTGATAACTTTTTAGAAAGAATAAATCAAAACATAAGGGCCTTGCCTAAAAACCAATTACTAAGATAACAGAAAAATGGATTCAAGAAATAAAAGTCTCTGCTTTTGGATAAGAAACTATAACTTTGGATAAGAAAATATAACTTTATATTTTATAACTATAAAATATAAATTTTAAAAGAGAATTACAATAGGTCAAGGATAACCATGAAATTTGTTTCAATAATAAATTTTGGTAAAAATATATTTTGCAGTTTAATAAATGAAATGATAAAATGATCAGTCTTTTTCTTCAACTTAAGGATCAGAAGTGAAATGGTTTAAATTATATTATTGCTGTGTCTAAGTGAGGGAAAATATTTATCTTGGCCTTTCTTTACCCCTGCAGATACAGAGTAACTATATTCTACTCTATTTCTCTAACCTAAGCATCTTGGGAGGAGCCATCCAGTATTCAAGTGTTCTACTGCCCATGATATAACCTGTTACAAAAACCAGTATTCTTTTCAAGTTGTCTTATGTCATGCTATGACTGGGACGAAATTGCTCAAGACACAGGTGATTATAGCTAAGGAGGTGGGCCAATCAACAAAGTCATGGGATGAAGAGGGAACTGTGGAACAAAAGTTTCTAATTAAGAGTTTTGAAAGGATTTCCAAAAATAAAACTATAAATATTGTCAAGACATAGTCACAAATTAAATAACTGTACTGAAAAAAAGATATTTTTGTTCATTTATTTCTTAATTTTTCAGAATTCAGGGTGCAAGTAATAAAGTGGTTTAGGTCTCCCTGGATTTCTTGAAAGTCGTGCTAAGAAGTGAAAAGAAGGAATGAAAAATCGTTTTCTCAACTTGTAGCTATGTAATGCATAACAAAACCCAGCATTCATAAGCATCTAGTAAACACCACAGATTGTGCAAAGCTCTTAGCTCTGGATTACATTTTTTTAAAAAAGAAGGGAAAATGTGACAAAAAGCTCTGCCTTCCAAAAATTCAGTAATGTAATCACATATGGGCAATGAAGAGTCCCAGATACCATGTTGAAAGTCACTGTGAGTTAGGTGTAGGGTGGGCAAAAGGAAACTGCCTCAATTGCACGAAGAAAGAACTGGCCAGCAAAGGCTTTATGGAAGACATGCTCCAAATTGAGATGACCATACACACAAGGAGCATTCTAGACTAAACAAACAAATTGCATATAGGCATGTAGGTATCATATGCATGGCCTGGTTAAGGACTCTAGGTACTTCCATAAGAAAAAGAAGAGTGAGAGATAAAAAAGAAGTGGGGATTTCAAATAAGGCCTTGAACACCTGATAAGTTTGCAATTCATTTTGTACTCAATGAGTAATTGTTTCAGGCCTATAATGCTTAATGTGGAAACATCTATAATGTGAAATAAATTAAACTTATTTAGGTTTTAGCATAATTATGATTGTTTATGTAGTTGAGTATTTATATTCAGTGGAACCTATCCTATAAATGAAGATGACACAATTTTATATTAGTTGTTATTACTGTTTTAATCTCTTCAGGAAGCCTTTGAAAGGAGCAGTGGGGCAAAAAATTATTGGTAATATGTTGACACTTTATACTAAAGCTAAAAAAAGTGTTTTAGTGATACAAACTGATGAAAGAAATTTTAAATATATGAAAATCATAACATTAGTTTGTAAATTTTCTTTAAAATTTGTGTCAATGGCCATGACAGTTCTGTATAGCATATTATCTAGCCATTGACATTTTTACATGAGGAGCTCCATCGCCATTTCTTTTTAAAAATATACAAAATCTAGTGGGTAGAGATTGATGTGGCATAGAGTTATTACACTCACGTATAAGTTAGGCATAAAATAGCTTCTGGGATTCCTTCCAGATCTGAGACTCTAAAACACAGATGAGAATTCAAAACAGCAAGAGTTCCCACTAGGAATATGAAAACTACCATTTCTCATGGAGGGTACCACAGCACTTTAATGAGAGAAATGCCATAGATAATATAGTTAAATTTTAAAAATAAAGTAGCAATGTATTCAGAATGAGAAAAAAAGGTCACCACATAGACAAAGACAATTAATTAGGAAAGAATATGGATAACTCTTAATATTCCAGCCCACCATAGTTAGTTGAATCTAACCACTTCTATTTTAATTTAATAATCATACTCCTAGTATTATGCTTGCACATAAATAAGTGGTATATAACACAAAACAAAGATGTGAAAAATCACAGAAATGGCTATGAAAAATAATTCCAAGATTTCTCCTTAGAAGACAACCTAACCAAAAATATCTGACTGGAGTAGTTATGCTCCTTTTAAAATTATGTTTCAAAGACACAATATGTATCCTTTCTAAACATTGGCATTGAAATTTTAAAATGACATAAATTAGAATTTTTCTCTTCTTATAATAAATTGTGCAACCCAAAGAACATTTGATGAAGTTGATACAATTGTACAAATCTTTCAAAAAGAAAGATTGAAATAAAATAGTATAAAGTTTGCTCATCAAAAAATCACATTTATCCTAAGACTTTAGTTAATGAACTTGATGTGAAATTAAGAATAGAACAAAATGATGAAATTATATTAGTGTTATTATTTTGTTATTGAACAAATTAAACACATATCCATAATATATACATATATATATATACATATACATGCATACATGCATCTGTATTTATTGACAATATTGGAAAAAGAAAACAGAAAACAGACTGAGAAATGAAATAACCAGAAGGCTGGTTAAAAAACAATGCTTTATGTTCATGAAGAAAGTGTTAGACTACTCCCAAGAAAATTTTTTTAGTTCCAGATGAGGGAATAAGGGATTGATGAATGTAACTTAAAAATCATTTGCATATGTATTTATAAATCACAACTCTATTTGAATCTGAAAGTGTTATATAAATTTACACTTATTTCTGATAAATAACTTTATTATTATAACTATTTCTTCCTAACTAGAAAATATAAATATAATAAAGATATAAATTATATTTTAAATAATATTCAGAATTATGGAATTTACTTCTGGAAAGATGTAGTAGTCCTACTTTCCTTTTTCCTCTCCCTAAATACAAATAAAATGTCCAACTTTCAGTAGAAAATCACTTTTTATATGAAGTACCTGGACGATCGCAAATTGATTGTAAAGAAACAACCAATAAAAATGCCAACACCAAGAGGACAAAGATGTTAGAATTATCTGTCAAAGGTTTGAAAACAGCTCTGGTAAAAAAAGTAGTTCAGCAAGCAATTATAATCATGCTTGAAACAAATAAAAAATAGAAAGCTTTATCAGGAAAACAGAAATTCTCAGCAAATAAATAGAAGATACAAAGAAGAACCAACTAGAATTTTTAGAACTGAAAATACAGTAATCAAAATTATACCTCACTGGGTAGGCTTAACAGTGACATGAAGAGAACAGAGGAAACAATCAATGAACTTGAAGACAGAACAATAAAAATTACTCAATCTGAACAATAGGAAGAAAATACACTGAAAGTAATAAGCAGTTTCAAGCACTTTTAAGACTATAACAAAAGATTGAACATTCTTGTGATCAGAGTCCCAGGAAGAGATGAGAAACAGGGTGGGGATGAAAAAGCACACAAGGAAATAATTCCTAGAAACTTCCTGAATTTGGCAAGAGGCATAAACCTATAGACGGAGCAAGCTGTGAAAAGCAAAAACAGGATAAACCCCTCCAATTCCATGCCAAGACTAATCATAAAACTTCTGGAAACTAAATACAAAGAAAATATTTTGAAAAAAGTGAAAAATAAATAAAACTTTATCTATATGGTAAAAACAATTAGATTGCTAGAAGCAGCTATGAAGGACAGAAAGAAGTGGCAAAATATTTGTCAAGTGTTAAAAGAACTATCAACCCAGAATCTTATGCCCAGCAAAAAATACCCTTCAGGACTGAAGAGAAAATCAAAGCATTTCTGATAAAGAAAAACTAAGGGAATCTGTTATCAGCAGATGTGGCCTAAAATAATGGAAAAAGAAAAGTTCTCTAAAGTATAAGGTTATAATGAAAGAAGACCTTTTGGCACATCAGAGAGCAAGAACACAATAAGCAAAAGTATAGGTAAGTATGATAGACTTTCCTTCTTCTCTTGAGTTTTCTAACTCATACTTGACAGTTAAAGATAAGGTATAACACTGTCTTATGTGTTCTAAATGTATGTAGTCAAAATATCTAAGACATTTATATTATAAATGGGGGATGGGTAAAGAGAAGTCAAAGGAGGTAGGATTTTTATACTTCACTCAAACTGGTAAAATGAAGACAGCGCTAGACTATAAGTTTTGTATATATAATATAATACCTACATCAACAACTTAAAAAGTTGTGCAAATAGGTGCATTTAAAATACAAGAGATACATCAAAGTGAATTTCTTTAAAAAAAAAATAAGTAACACACAGGAAAGCAAGAAAAAAAAAATAACAAATGAAAACAGAGAAAATTAAAAACAAAAAATAGAGTGGATTTAAAAATATGATTTAACTATATGTTCTCTTTATAATAATAATTATAAAATTTATTTATTTTTTATAATAAATAAAATCAGGTTTTTATAATAAATAAAATTATACTTTAATAATATTTATAATAAGTAAAATTAGCAGGTTTAAGTAGAAGAATAAAACAGATATAGCATGCAAAAATTACAAAGGAAAGCAAAAATGGCTATATTAATATCAATAAAATAGACATCAGAGCAAAAAAATTTACAGGAGACAGAAAGGGACCTTATATAATGATAGAGTCAATCCATCAAGAGGACATAGTAATCCTGAATACATATGCACCAAAAAACAAAACTTCAAAAAATGTGAAGGAAAAATGGACAGAACTGAAAGGAGAAACAGACAACTCCACAATGACAGTGATGACTTAAATATCTCTCTTTCTACAATTGGTAGACAGAAAATCAGGAAAAAATAAAAAAATTCAAACACACCATCATCCCAATGATCTAACCAATCAGCATCAATCCACATACATAGACCACTCCATCCAGTAACAGCAGAATACATTCTTTCCAAGGGTTTGAGAAACTTATACCAAGATAGATCATATCCTGAGGCATAAAACAAATATTAACAAATTTAGAATAATTTAAATCATACAGTGTCTTTTCTGACCGCATGGAATCAAACTAGAAATCCATAACAGAAAGATCATAGGAAAGTGTCCAAATATTAAGAAACCAAACAACAATGCTACTAAGTAATCTGTGGGTCAAAAGGAAACTCTGAACAGAATTTTAAAAATACATTAAACTGAATGAAAGTGAAATACAACATATCAAAATTTTTGGAACATAGCTAAAGGAGGGCTGAGAAAATTTTATAATACATTGGAAAAGAGAGAAAGTCTCAAATCAATTATCTAGGTTCCTACTTCAAGAATTCAGAAAAAGAACATAACAATCTCAAAGCAAGCAGAACAAGAGAACAAAAAGTATAACAGCTGAACTCAAAATTGAAAGTATGAAAACAATAAAGAAAAACTATAGTAACAAGTGATTCTTTTTTTTTTTTTTTTTTTTTTTTGAGACGGAGTCTCGCTCTGTCGCCCAGGCCGGACTGCGGACTGCAGTGGCGCAATCTCGGCTCACTGCAAGCTCCGCTTCCCGGGTTCACGCCATTCTCCTGCCTCAGCCTCCCGAGTAGCTGGGACTACAGGCGCCCGCCACCGCGCCCGGCTAATTTTTTGTATTTTTAGTAGAGACGGGGTTTCACCTTGTTAGCCAGGATGGTCTCGATCTCCTGACCTCATGATCCACCCGCCTCGGCCTGTGATTCTTTTAAAAGATCAATAAAATTGACAAACTTCTAGCAAGACTTACAAAGAAAAATAGGGAGAAAATGCAGATTACAAATATCACAAATGAAAAAAAAGATATCAATACAAACCCTGCAGACATCAAAAGAATAAAAGGGAGTATATGAACAATTCTACATACATGAGTTTGATGATTTAGATGAAATGAACCAAGTCCTTGAAAAACACAAACTACCATAATACACAGTCCCTTTCTATATAACCTACAACTATATATGAATGTACAATTATCTAAAAAATAAGTTTAATTAAATACTAACGATCCCCCCAAATATTTATTACACAAAACTGAATTCCTTGAGATATATAGATACTTATATAAAAGCACCCCTTCGAAGTTGGATTTCACTCCTCTCTTTGATGAGGGGTGTGAACACTGAGCAAAATGGCATCGAGAGGCTGTATTTGAAAGCATTTTAGGACAGTATTACATAATGTAAATAGCTGGGAAGTATTTCAGATCACTGGAGTGCTGTAAAAGGATATGTTATAGGAATAAGCATGCAATGAACGGATTCAAACAGTTTAACTAATAGTAATAACTACCACATGCGGAGCACTGCTAATGTGCCAGGCTCTATATAAGCTATCTCTAACTTTTATAACATCCTGCAAGGTAGATTTTTCTAAATGTCTACTTTTATAGAGGTGATAAGCATGATACAAAAAATTCAGTAACACGCAAATTGGCAGAGCTAATAAGTGGTAAATAAAGATTCTAACTTAGATCTTTACATTCTAAACACAGTAAATTTAATCCTACATTCTAATCGTGGAGAGAAGGATAAAATCTGAAATAGTATTTAAGTAAAGAATAAATTATGCTCCCATGGCTTCAAGATCACCACTGCAGTTCCCAACATTATACTGATGTTTAGCCAGAAAGAGGGAGGAAAGTGATGTGTGTGGGAGGTAGGGGTACTGGGAGAGGGGGCTACAGCCAACCATATCTATTCTTTTTCTCTGTTTAACCAGAAAAGCAAAAGTTTCAAAGATGTCCCCTTGTGTCTCGTTGTTGAAAACTCTCTCACGTGATATGTCTAACTGCAAGGTTAGTTAAAAATGTTGGAATCTGGTCTTTCTAGCTTCCATAAATGGAGGTAGGCCAAGAAGTATCTAAAAGGAAAGTCAACGGTTGAGCTGAAAACAGCCTTGCTCTTCTTCTTATAACAAATTGCTGTGCTTGTTTAAGTTTCACTAGTAAAAGAAAGGTCATCTCATTTGTTGCTCTGTTCTTAAATGTGTGCCATGAAAGAGAGCCAAAACAGCCGTTTAAAGTGAAATTTGATAAATAGTTTACATATCTTTAAAAAAATCTTACTGCAGCTTGTAAAGAAAATGATAGAAAAAAAGAGCAAAGCAAATGTTTTCTAGGGTTATGCAAAGATTTTTTAAAAACTTTATACGTGCTCAGCTCAAAGCAGTTAATTTAAAATAATAATGTAAATGTATAAATCTAAAAGAGATATTTTCTTTTATCAACTTAATTTTCTGTTTTGAATGAATCATTTCTTTGAATTGCAATATCTGTGACTATAAATATAAAAACAAACATATAAAACAATGAAAATGATTTTATATGTATTATTGATTAGGTTTTCATATAGTTGTAGAATCTCTTTAAATACTTGCAAGTGGTATTATTACATGAAGAAAATATGTTTTGAGATTCAAGGAATCTGCATTTAAATGCCTGCTCCAGGACTCATTAGCTATGAATCTCAATAATAATTAACTGACAGAATTTTTTAGAAGTTTAAATGTAAATATTAAATGTAATCTTGTAAGTGTAGATATGCAAAATTTCCAGTAAAAATTCTATTTTCTCTAAATACTATTATGTGAACTCTTAGATACAAAAACTCATGAAATGTAATCATGATATAAGAAGAGCATGTAAGTCTAGCAATAAGGAGATGTGACCCTCCAAACTGGCTTTTCCACTGACAAAACACATAGTCTGTTTATTATTTTTAAATTCTTAAATTAAATAACGCATAACTTTTAAATTAGTTAGAATGTAGATTTTGCTATTGCAATACAGAGACCCAAAGTGATAGTGGCTTAAACAAGAAAGAAACCCTGGATTTAGGCATCGAGGCCCTTTCTGTCTAGAGTTTCACTGTTATATATCATCTTCATGGTACAAGAAGGTTCATCCATCACTTCCTTGTCGGAATTCAAACCAGTCAAAAGAAAAAGCCAGTGAGGGAGAGAGCATGACTCCACCCATCTTTTAAGGACATGCTCATAAATTTGCACATATTGCTTCCACTGCCATGCCATGCCATTGGGCAACACTTAGTCATATGGCTACACCTAGCTTCAAGGGAGGAAATGCAATATTGCCATGTCCTCAGATGAATGTTATATTATGCTGTAAGAAAGGAAAAAAAAATACTGGGGAACGACTAGCATCCCCATCAATCATGCAAAATCCATGAACATCATAATTTATGTAAAGACAATCTGATAAAAGTTTTCTTAATACACTTCTGGAGTAATGACTGAAGCTTGATTGTGCTCAGTTTTTCAACATGCCCCCCCCCCCAATATATTGTTAATTCCTAATGTCAAAAGGTCTCAAAGTTTTAACTTGAGCAAACTTGAACAGACTCATTAATGGAGATACTTAATGACATTCATAATGTAAGAGACAAATCAAAGTGTTTCTATTGTAGGCATTAAAGAAATCAAAAGAACCATGCCCTTTCTTACCTTTGCCTCTTTTTAGTAACCATTTTGTAACAACGTACTGTTAAATATAAGAAGTTTTAAAACAAATATAGCAATAACATACTCAAAACAATGTCTCTCAAAAATGCTTTCTATAAATGATGCCATGATTTATTGAAAACATTTCAGAAATTTCTTTTTTAGTTTGTTTTGGGAGCCAGGTTCCAAGTTATGTGACAGAATCCATCTTGTTTATATTCATTTGATTCTTTCCTTTCTGGCCCTTCCCTTCTTTGCCTTGCTGTTTCTGCTTCAGCCAGAAGTCCCACTGCCTCCTCAAAAAGGGGCTGTGCCTGTGCTAGTGGCAACTGGAACAAAGGGCTCTAATAAGTGGATCACTTGAAACTGGGTGGGAAACTTAATGTATAAAATTTTTTCACCTCCTATTTGCCCAACAAAATATTTATTGAGCAGCCATGTGTCTTACAGTACCCTTGGTCCTGGAGATAAAACAGAGAACTAAATACAGCCTTGTAATGCATAAGAATATTTTGGTCAATGACAGACCTCATATACAACAGTGGTCCCAAATTATAACAGAGCTGCCTATGGATGCACTTTTTAAAAATATTTTATATTACATTTTAATTGTATTTTCTATGCTTAGATATGTTCAGATATACAACTACTTCCTATTGTGTTATAGTTGCCTACACTATTCAGTACATTAATGTTCTATACACGTTTGAGGTCTAGGAGCAACAGGCTATACTAGGCCTAGGTGTGTAGCAGGCTATACTCCTAGCCTAGGTTTGGATAAGTACACTGAGTGATGTTTGCACATGGTGTTTGCACAATGATGAAATTGCTTAACAATGCATTTCTCAGAACATGTTCCCATTGTTAGCCAATGCACAACTGTAGATAGTAGCTTTGCCCTTATTGACCGTGGTCATGAAAGGCAGGCATTAATTTGAGACATGTCACACACATAGATGTCAAATTAGAATGTGATCAGTTTTACAAAGAGATATACAGGGAGTTGTATAAGATGAGGGAAGGATTCACTGAGGAAGAGATACTAGAATAAAGAATTTAGAGGAGCAATTAGAATTAACTAGGTGAAAGTAGTGAGAATAAAGGGGGAACTGGAAAAGTACTTCAGTTAGATAGAGGAGCACATGCAAAGTTCCCTGTAGTAGACTGCATGGCATGGTCTGGGAAATAAGCAGACAACTGTGCCTGGAATGCACAGGGAGAGGGAGAAAAGTGAGATTAAACTGGAGAGAAGGAGAAGGGACAGTCTCTGCAGGGCTACATGGCTCATGTCAAATATTTTAATTCACCCCAAAATTGTAATCCATTGAAATGTTGGAGCAGAATTACATGCTGAGAACTTTGTTTGTAAAAGAACCTCCCAGGCTGGGTGCGGTGGCTCACGCCTGTAATCCCAGCACTTTGGGAAGCCGAGGTCGGTGGATCACCTGAGGTCAGGCGTTCCAGACTAGCCTGCCAACATGGCGAAACCCCGTCTCTATTAAGAATACAAAAATTAGTCGGGCGTGGAGGCAGGCGCCTGTAACCCCAGCTACTCGGGAGACTGAGGCAGGAGAATCGCTTCAACCAGAAGGGGAGAGGGCGCGGAGGTTGCAGTGAACCCAGATCGCGCCACTGCACTCCAGCCTGAGTGACAAGAGTGAAACTCCGTCTCAGAAAAAAACAAAACAAAACAAACAAACAAACAAAAACCTTCCAGACTATGAATTTGAGATAGTAGGAGGTGTGCAAGAACTTAAGGTGGAGGACCAATAAGGAGACTATTATAGTAGTTTAGGCAAAAGAAAAATCGATGGACTAAAGTGTTAGAACTGTTGAGATATGAAGAGAGGTGACCAATATTTAGTAAGTAACATTGATATGTATTAGTATGGATTGAATTTGTAGAGTAAGTATGTAAGAAGATATTAAGGAGACTCTTATGTTTGCGGTTTTTAAACTGGACTGATGAAGATGCATTTCCTGAGTTAGAGAGCACTGAAAAAATGGGGTTTAAAGGGAAACCACATTTGAAATATATCTTAAGAACCAATGAGATAACATGTAGAGGGAATATTTATCAAGGAATAAAGAGAGTCTAAGAATCAAAACTTGATCAATTAGTAACTTTATTTTATAGGTAACAGAATGAAGAAACTACAAAGAATATTGAGAAGGAAGCATCACAGAAGTGAGAGGAAAACCAGGAAAAGATGGCTCATGGAAGCAAAGAAAACAAAAAAAAATTGAATCAGGACAGTAACTTTGGTCAATGGTGTTAATTGCTGCTGAAAACTCAAGTTAAATTGACACAAAAAACGTCCATTGGATTTATTAGGAAAGACTTGAGCATAACTGATGTATACTCGTTTGTGTTTTGCTACCTAAGGTACCAAGGTTAACAAAATTAAATGGCTGAACTATAGGGAATTGGTGGGGAAGCATTCTTAGAAGTTACATTTTCCTTTTCAAATACTTCTTTTACTTATTTCCCATGTCATGATTTGGTTTACTGTAAAAGCATAATTTAAGAATTCCAAAGAGAGTTTAGAGTTTCCAAATTACATATCTACTTTATTTCTTTATCTTATTATTGATACTGTACTATAACTGTTATTAGTACAGAGGCCCACAAGATTGCATGGTGACTTTTAGAAAATACAAGCAAGCATATTTTTGGCCCGGGAATTTTTCAGTCTTCTAATTTCCAAAGAGTTATTGATGATTTGAGGTTTGTTCCTATCAGAAGCAGATCGTCTAATTTTCTCTAATTATCTTATTATGGAATAGTAGTTGTAAAGAAACATTATTAACTGTGTTTGACTTGTGCTTTGTTTTTCTGGATTGTTTTAAAACGTTTCTTCTTGTTTAAGACATGAATCCTCTAAAAAAGCAGGTAGTAAAAACCAGAGACTTCCCTTGAATGGGGTTGGTTACAGGCAGCACTCACATCAGCACACAGTCATCCTCTGCACGGGTGATCAAAGCCAACCTCAGCCAATGAGACAGGGCCACATAAGAAGCATGAAGATGCTTTAGTTTGGGATAAATAAAAAATGAAGAGTATTCATTGCCACTGAGTGATAAGAAACTATAAATTAATAAGTCATTAGTGAAATGTATTCTTAACAGTAGCTAAATATAAGTTATAACATATGGGGGCAATAACTATGAAAATAGACGAAGATGACTTATAAGATTTAAAAAATTGTAGAGAATCAATATTAAGGTTGTATTAATGGCTAAGTAATTGTACTCAGAAATACACATTGTCTTCTCACAACAGCTAGTATATCTGCTGTTAAATTTAACCAATTTATTATTTTTTAATAAATGCATAAGTGTACTAAGTGGTATGCTTCTGTTTAGTTCAATGATTTGTAACTGAAGTGAATATAATCATTAAATCTGAACTACCCCAATTTGGAATTATTTTCCTTTGACTATTATTACAGGTGGAAATGCAGCACAAAAGAAATGTCACTTATGTTATCAGTAAAATACAAGCTTCAATAGATATGCCTTATTCTTATTGACCCATTCTAATAAGGGACACAAATAATATGAAAAAGTGAATCCAGAAGTAAATCACCAAATTGCATTTTATTGACTGTTCTTTCTCCACTCATCTCAAACCTTCCATCAGGAATATGGAACAAGTAATAAAAGTGATGGAAGATACACAGAACTTGGACGATTTGCTTCTCCTTTGGACGGACAGCTAAGAAGAAATGCAAATAAAAGTGAAATAAAGCATACACAGAGTGCCCACATATTTGTAAGTCGATCTTCCAGAATAGAGAGTGGTTGTAATTCCCAATCTAAGAATTTTTTTGGCATAGAATTATGGAATACTTGAGTTGAAAGTGATCTTGGTGATAATATATTCTAGCATCTTCATTGTACACATAAGGACATTCCTTTAGCCCTAAGGAAACAGAGCTTCCATGAAGTATGTGACTGCTGATTTAGTAAAAGAATCTAACTCTTGCTCCTGCCTCATTCAGAACTAATGCACCTATGCCATGCAGCCACTTTCCATTAAAGGAAAAACAATATGCAGTCTTTTGAAAGAGTGGTACTATCTCAGGCCTTTTTGAATAGCAAATATTTCCTTAAAGGTAGGACTAGAATTGTATGCTGTTAAAAGTCAGTAAAGAAATGTATTAACATGGTGTATTACTAAGGTAGAAAATGAAGAAAAGTGTACAGAATAAGTTCTTAATTTTTCTAGTACCTGACACTTCTTAGAGTTCAACACTTTCTTAAGCATCAGATCATTTATTCAATTTCATAAATAAAAAACAAAGTATTTTAAGAGGGCAGCTTTCATTTCACTTTCTATCTTTTTTTGTTTTGTTTTTTAAATTTTAAATTTTGATTTCTGTGGGTACATATTAGGTATATATATTTATGGGGGACATGAGATGTTTTGATACAGGCATACAACGTGTAATAATCACATCGTGTAAAATGGGGTATCCATCCCCTCAAGCATTTATCCTTTGTGTTACAAACAATCCCATGACACTTTTTTAGTTACTCTAAAATGTACAATGAAATTACTGTTGACTAAAATCACTCTGTTGTGTTATCAAATATTAGGTCTTATTCATTCTTCTTTTTTTTTGGACCCATTAACCATCCCCACCTCCCCCACCCAAACCCCCACTAATCATTCCAGCCTCTGGTAACCATCCTTCTACTCTCTAGCTCCATGAGTTCAATTGTTTTGACTATTAAATCAACACATATAAATGAGAACATGCGATGTTTGTCTTTCTGTGCCTGGTTTAATTCACTAAGCATACCGTCCTCCAGTTCTATCCATGTTGTTGCAAATGAGAGGATCTCATTCTATTTTGTGGCTGAATAGTACTCCCTTGTGTATAAGTATGACATTTGCTTTATCCATTCATTTGTTGATGGACACTTAGGTTGCTTCCAAATTTTGGCTATTTTGAACAGTGCTGCAACAAACATGGGAGTGCAGATATCTCTTTGATATACTGATTTCCTTTCTTTTGGGTATATACCCAGCAGTGGGATTACTGGATCACATGGTGGCTTGACTTTTAGTTTCTTCAGGAACCTCCAAACTATTCTCCATAGTGGTTGTACTAATTTACTTTCCGACAAACAGTTTTCTCCACATCCTCACCAGCATTTGTTATTGCCTGTCTTTTGGAATATAAGCTATTTTAACTGGGGTGAGATGATATCTCATGGTAGTTTTGATTTGCACTTCTCTAATGATTAATGATGTTAAGCACCTTTTTGTATGCCTGTTTGCCATCTGTACGTCTTCTTTTGAGAAATGTCTATTTAGATTTTTTGCCCTTGTTTTTTTAAACTGGATTACTAGATTTTTTTTTCCATAGGGTTGTTTGAGCTCCTTATATATCCTGGTTATTAATCCCTTGTTAGATAGGTAGTTTGCAAATATGTTCTCCAATTCTGTGAGTAGTCTCTTCACCTTGTTGATTGTTTCCTTTGCTGTGCAGAAACTTTTTAACTCAATATTATCATATTTGTCCGTTTTTGCTTTGGTTGCCTGTGCTTGTCGGATATTTGTCAAGAAATTTTTGCCCAAACCAATGTCCTGGAGAGTTGTTCCAATGTTTTCTTTCAGTAGTTTCAGAGTATGAGGTCTTAGATTTAAGTCTCTAATCCATTTTGATTTGATTTTTGTATGCGGTGAGAAATGTGGGTCTAGTTTCACTCTTCCAATATGGATATGCAATTTTCCCAGCACTATTCATTCAACAGAGTGTCTTTTCCCCACTGTGTGTTCTTGACACCTTTGTCGAAAATGAGTTCACTGTAGGTGTTTGGATTTGTTTATGAGTTCTCTATTCTGTTGCTTTGGTCTATGTACCTGTTTTAACGCCAATATCATGCTGTTTTTTGTTACTATAGCTCTGTAGTATATTTGAAGTTAGGTAATGTTATTCATCCAATTTCTTTTGCTTAGAGTTGCTTTGGCTATTCTGAGTCTTTCGTGGTTTCATATAAACTTTAGGATAGTTTTTTTTCTATTTCTGTAAAGAATGTGATTGGTATTTTGATAGGATTGCATTGAATCTGTAGATTGCTTTGTGTAGTATGGACATACTAACATAGGTTCTTCCAATCCATGAGCATGAACTGTCTTTTTATTTTTTCATCTCTTCATTTTATTTCATCAGTGTTTTATAGTTTTAATTATAGATATCTTTCACTTTTTTGGTTAATTCCTAGGTACTTAATTTTATTTGTGGCTACAGTAAATGGGACTTTTTTTTATTTCTTGTTCAGATTGTTCACTGTTGGCATACAGAAATATCATTGTTTTTTGTATGCTGATTTTATATCCTGCAACTTTACTGAATTTGTTTATCAGTTCTAATAGTTTTTGGTGAAGTCTTTAGTTTTTTTCCAAATATAAGATTATTTCATCCGCAAACAAGGATAATTTGACTTCTTCCTTTCCAGTTTGGATGCCTTTA
The DNA here is from genome assembly GCF_000001405.40 of Homo sapiens. Lineage (NCBI taxonomy): Eukaryota > Metazoa > Chordata > Mammalia > Primates > Hominidae > Homo > Homo sapiens. The sequence continues at coordinate 101,880,112 of NC_000004.12, read as the reverse complement.
TTTATTTCTTTTCTCTTATTGCTCTAGCTAGGACTTTCAGTACTATGTTGAATAACAATGGTGAAAGTGGGCATCTTTGTCATCTTCCAGATCTTAGAGAAAAGTATTTGAGTTTTTACCCATTCAGTATGATAGTAGCTGTAGGTTTGTCATACATGGCTTTTCTATGTCAAGGTATGTTCCTCCTATCCCCAGTTTTTGGAGGGTCTTTACCATGAAAGGATGTTGAATTTTACCAAATACTTTTTCAGCATCAATTGAAATGATCATATGGTTTTTGTCCTTCATTCTGTTGATACGATATATCACATTGGTTTATTTGCATATTTTGAAACATCCTTACATCCCAAGAATAAATCCCATTTAGTCATGATGAATGATCTTTCTAATGTATTGCTGAATTCAGTTTGCTAGTATTTTGTTGAGGATTTTTGCATCAATATTCATCAAAGATATTGGCCTGTAGTTTTCTTTTTTTTGATGTGTGTTTGTCTGGATTAGGGTAATACAGGGCTCGTAGAATTAGTTTGGAAGTGTTCCTTCCCCCTCTATTTTTCAGAATAGTTTGATTAGGATTAGTATTCAACCTTCTTTAAGTATTTGCTATAATTCAGCTGTGAAGCCACTGAGTCACAAGCTTTTCTTTACTGAGACTTTTTAGGCTTCAATTTAGTTACTTGTTATTGGTCTGTTAAGGTTTTGGTTTTCTTCATGGTTCAATCTTGGTAGTTTGTGTGTATCTAGGACTTTGTGCATTTCTTCTAGATTTTCCACTTTGTTGGTATATAGTTGCTCACAGTAGCCACTAACGATCCTTTGGATTTCTAGGTATTGGTTGTAATGTCTCATTTTTCACCTCTGATTTTATTTATTAGTATCTTCTCTCTTTACCATTAGCTAGTTTTGCTAAAGGTTTGTCAATTTTGCTTAACTTCTCAAAAGAAAACTTTTTCATTGATCTTTTATATTGTTTTCTTCATTTCAATTTTCATTTATTTCTGCTCTGATCTTTATTACTTCTTTTCTTCTACTAATTTTGGGTTTGGTTTGTTCTTGCTTTTCTAGTTCTTTAAGATGTATCGGTACATTGTTTATTTAACATTTTTCTTTTCTTTTTTTTTGACATAGGCACTTATAGATATAAACTTCCCTCTTAGTACTGCTTTTGCTGTATCTCATAGATTTTGGTATGTTGTACTGCCATATCATTTGTTTCAATACATTTTTCAGTTTCCTTCTTAATGTCCTTATTGATCCACTGGCCATTCAAAAGCATATTGTTTAATTTCCATGTATTTGTAAGTTTTCAAATTTCCTCTTGTTATTGATTTCTAATTTTACTCCATTGTGGTCAGAGAAAATGTTTGATACTATCTCAAATTTTTGACTGCTCTAAAACTTGTTTTGTGACCTAACATATGGTCTATTTTTGAGAATGGTCATGTGCTGAGGAAAAGAATGTGTATTCTACAGCTCTTGAATGAAACATTCTGTAAATATTTATTAAGTCCATTTGGTATAGTGCAGATTAAGTCCAATGCTTCTTTGTTCATTTTCTGTGTGGAATATCTGTCCGATGCTGAAATTGAGGTGTTGGAGTCTCAAGCTATTATTATATTGAGGACTATTTCTCTCCTTAGGTCTAGTAATATTTGATTTTATATCTGGTTGCTCCAGTGTTGGGTAAATATATATTTAAAATTGTCATATACTGTTACCGAATTGAATCCTTTATCATTATACAGTGAACTTTTCTGTCGCTTTTCATAGTTTTTGTCTTGAAATCTATTTTCTCTGTTATCAGTGTAACTACCCCTGCTCTTTTTTGGTTTCCATTGGCATGGGATATCTTTTTTCATCCTTTCATTTTCAGTCTATGTGTGTCTTTATAGAGTGCATTTCTTGTAGTCAACAGATCACTAGGTCTTTTTTTTTGTTTTTAATCCATTCAGCCATTCTGTCTTTTGATTGAAGAGTTTAGTCCATTTACATTTAAGGTTTTTACTGATAAGTAAGGACTTAATCCTGCTATTTTGATATTTGTTTTTTTGGTTGTTTTGTGGCCTTTTTGTCCTTCTTTCTTTTTGTCTCTCTTCCTTTTAGTGAAAGTAATTTCCTCTGTGATATAATTTAGTTTCTTGTTTTGTATTTGTTTTGTGTGCCCATTGTATTTATTTTGGTTTGAAGTAACCAAGAGGATTGAAAGTACTATTTTATTTATTTATTTAGAGACAGAGTCTTGCTTGGTCACCCAGGCTGGAGTGCAGTGGCGCAATCTTGGCTCACTGCAACCTCTGCCTCCTGGGTTCAAGCAAGTCTCCTGCCTCAGCCTCCCAAGTAGCTGGGATTACAGGCACCCGCCACCATGCCTGGCTAATTTTTGTATTTTTAGTAGAGATGGAGTTTCACCATGATGGCCAGGCTGGACTCAAACTCCTGACCTATAGTGATCTGCCAACCTCTGCCTCCCAAAGCAAATATTATTTTATACCCCATTATTTTAAGCCGATAATAATTTAATACTAACAAACATACGAGCAAAAATAAAACTAATACAGGATCTACACCTTAAGTTCATCCCCTGCTTTTAAACTTTTTGTTGTTTCTATTTATATCTTATTAGACTATGTCTTAAAAAGTTGTTGTAGTTACTATTTTTGATTGGTTCATCGCTTACTCTTTCTAATTGAAATAAGAGTAGTTTACACACCACACTTACAGTGTTACAGTTCTCTGTGTTTCTCTGTGTACTTACTATTACTAGTAAGTTTTGTACCTTCAGATGCTTTCTTATTGCTCACAGACATCCTTTTCTTTCTGATTGAAGGACTCATCTTTAACCTTAGGGAGTTTGTGAATTAAATGCCTTGAGGTAGTCTTCTTTGGGTTAAATCTGCTTGCTGTTCTATAACTTTCTCATGTTTGGACATTGATATCTTTCTCTAGGTTGGGAAATTATCTGTTATTACCCCTTTGAATAAACTTTCTACCCCTGTATCTTTCTTTACCTCCTCCTTAAGGCCACTAACCCCTAGATTTGCCCATTTGGGACTATTTTCCAGATCCCATAAGTGTGCCTGATGGTTTCTTTTTTTTTTTCTTTTTCTCCTCTGACTGCATATCTTCAAATAGCCTGTCTTCAAGCTCACTAGTTCTTTCTTCTGCATGACCAATTCTGCTATTAAAAGACTCTGAGGCATTCTTCATTATGCCAACTTCATTTTTCAGCTCCAGAATTTCTCCTTACTCTTTTTCATTATTTGAATCTATTTATTAAATTTCTCTGACAGAATTCTTAACTCCCTCTCTGTGTTCCTTGAATTTCTTTGCGTTTCCTCAAAACAGCTATTTTGAGTTCTTTGAAAGGTCACATATCTATGTTTCTTCATGATTAGTCCCTGGTGCCTTATTTAGTTCATTTGGTGAGGTCATATTTTCCTAGAGGGTCTTGATATTTATAGATGTTTGCCTATGTCTGGGCATTGAAGAGTTAGGTATTTATTGAAGCCTTCTCAATCTGGGCTTGTTTGTATCCATCCTTCTTGGGAAGGGTTTCCAGATTTTAAAGACTTGTGTGTTGTGATCTAAGCCGTATCTGTTTTAGGGGGCATCCTAAGCCTAGTAACATTGTAGTTCTTCCAGACTCATAGAGGTACTGCCTTGATGGTCTTGGACAAGAACTGGAAGAATTCTCTGGATTACCAGGCAGAGACTCTTATTCTCTTCCCTTACTTTGGCCCAAACAAAGCCTCCCTCTGTTCTGTGCCACCTGGACCTGGGGATAGACAAGGTTCCCTTTACTTTTCCCTCACTTTTCTCAAGCATAGAAAGTCTTCCCTCTTAGCCACTACAGCTGGGAATGTGATGAGTCTCACCTGAAGCCAGCAAGTCTCACCCAAGGCCCTTGATGTAGTACCTGGATATCACTGCTGTTTATTCAGGGCCAAGGGCTCTTCAGTTAGCAGGTGATGAATGCTGCCAGGACTGGATCCTTTCCTTCAAGGCAGTGGGTTCCCTATTCTGACCAGTGTCCTATCCTGTTGCGGCTGAGCTGGTATCCTATATGCCACACAAAGTCCTCCCCACTCTTCCATTCCTTTCCTAAAGCAGAGGGAAGGGGTCTCTTTTGGAGCCATGAGCTTTTGAGTCTGGGGTTAGGAGAGGGGTGATACCGTCACTCCTTTAGCCACTCCAGCTTGTGTTTCACTGGGTTGTGTGCCCCCAAGTCCACTGTCACTGGGCACAGTTGAGCACTAGGAGTTGCCTAGGAGTTGCAATCCTTTTGGCCTAGATTGCCTTTCAAGTTTATTTTGTGCCACAGACCACTTTAGCCAGTAGTGGAAAGGCTTGCAGGAACTCAACTTCAGAGTGCTGGAATCAATAATTCTCTGGCTAGGGCTGGTTTACATGCTCTCTCCACAAGTGGGTTATATGGTTTAGCTCTGTGTCCCCACCCAAATCTCATCTTGAATTGTAATCCCCATGTATCTAGGGGGGGACCCTGGTGGGAGGTGATTGGATCATGGGGGTGGTTTCTCCTACATGCTGTTCCCATGATAGTGAGTGAGTTCTAATGAGATCTGATGGTTTAAAAATGTGTGGCAGTCCCCCCAACCACCTCCTGCCAACATGTAAAATGTACCTTGCTTCCCCTTCATCTTCCACCATGATTGTAAGTTTCCTGAGGCCTCTCCCGCCACAAGAACTGTGAGTCAATTAAACCTCTTTTCTTTATAAATTACCCAGTATCAGGTAGTTCTTTATAGCAGTGTGAGAATGGATTAATACAGTGAATGTCAGCTGAGTTTGGTCCTGTTTTATTTTCTGTTATAATAGGGCAGCTCAGGGTTCAATGCCTCATAATTGCTGTGCTCTCCCTCTCCCCAACACACAGAAACAGTCTCTGCACCACACCTGCTCCCAGAGGATCAGTGAAGGTTGGCATTGTTGACTCAAGATTTTTTCCTACCTCTTCAGTGCCTCTTTCAGTGATATAACGTTAAACCAGATTCTTTAAGTGCTCACCTGATTTTTTGTTCTTATGAAGGTGGTTTTCTTATATAGACAGTTGATAAATCCTTGCAGGGGGACAATTGGTAGAGCCTTCTATTCTGCCAATTTGCTCCACCCCTTCCTCTCACTTTCTATCTTTATTTAAATTCCTGTTCTATAAGTTTTCACTTATCTACTCAATTAGCACTGTAAAAAGCAACTGTTTGTGTTTTCCCCACTTTTTAAGCAACAAATATTAGTTGCCCCCTTGTATCAGGAACTAGTTGTGTGAAAGATACTGGGCATGCAAACATGAAAAACACAGTGTTCATGCATTAAAGAAGGGAGAGGCCTGAAGAAAAGAGCATAATATGCTCTAAAAGAGTGGCTAGAACATAGCAATCATAGAGTTAAGAAGACATGGAAAAGATGCGCCTGTGAAAGGAGTTGATTCTGGAAAACACTTGGGAACCTGCAGTCTGTGTGACATTCAAAGAAGTTTGAACCTTCTTATCCAGTAAGCCACTGAAAGTTTGTAGCAAGGAAGTATCTTAGATAACACTGATGTATGGTAAAGCTTAGAGACTAGACGCATTTGTACCTCTTATCAATAGGAGCTGGTGAAGAGAAAAGAAGGTTTCCATTAAGCTTTTGAGAAAGATAGGGACCTAAAAGCATTTCTGAAAGGCAGGAGACTTCCCAGTATCTCTCGATGGGAAGAATCTCCTGAAGAATTCATTAAGGGAGACAACTGCTAACATCTAAGCTTTAATTCAATGAAGAAATTAACCTTTCAGGGAACTATTAACAGAAGCACAGGGAGAAGTTCTTCACGATGAGAGTTCCCTAAGTCCGTACCTTTCCTAATTCAAAACCCATTTGGCTTTACATTGTATCAAATATTTGCAGGCAGCAAATCAAAGATTGAATAATACATGCAATTGAATAAAAACAGAAGTGTACCTGACATGAAAATGAAAATAATATTTCAATATGTGTAAAGTAAAATATGCAAAAGGATAAATACGTGCAAAACAAAGATACCTTTTTACTAATAAGCAATATAACTAAGAAGAATTATTTGGTGTCATTTCAAAAATCTTTTACTGAAAAGGATCCTACTACTTAAATTAATAATTACTGTGTTCTTTTAGCCTTTCGATGTTATTTCCCTTTTATATTGTTATCTAGTTACAAAGTTAACTTTATTATTTCCCCAAGACATTTTTGTAAATAGGATGAAAGTCTCAAAGATTTTAATTACCTTAGTTCAATAGGAGTTACCAGTATTTCTAACACTAGCACTTCAATTCTAATTATCATCCCAAACTGGGCTTTGGATTTCTTTCATTTGAATCTCTCTTATATTCACTGTTTTAAGTGATGTTCTGGAAATTTCACCTTTATGAGGCTATGTTCTGGGATTCAGTGTTTATCTAACAAAGATGAAATGATTAAAAAAGCAGATAGATAATTAAACCATTCAGATTAGTGTTCTAAAACCTAATAGACATCATTAAAAATTAAATTAGAAAGCCAGATTTCTCATTATTACTTCTTTTCTCAAATTCACAGAACGCTCATTTTGCTATATGCGCAGTTTTTTTAAAATGATAATACAAGGTCTCTTATTACAAACTCAACAATTGCTGAAACTTAAATCCTGCAGATTTCTCATTAGTAATTCTTTCCTCAAATTCACACAATGTTCATGTTATTACATGCCCAATAGCTTTTAAATGCTCATGAGAAAGATCTTACTACTAATTTTTAGGATTACTGAAATCACATCTGCCATTAAAATTTACTAGAAAACTCAGGAAAGTTCTTACAATATAACATTTCAGCTAAGTAAGTAGGTTATTTTAAAAATTCAAATCTTCTGGCATATATTCTGACATATAAACAGTAACTATGCTAAATAAAATTACAATTTACATTGTGTTTTCAATACAGATGTTCAGAGTGAACCACGGGCAAAATATTCACATTTCTTAAAAAAAATGGCTGAGTAGCCCATGAAAGAAACAATTACTGAAATGTTCTAACCTGGAAAAGAAATGTACAGCTTTCCACAAAATGCTGGGTTTTTTTTTCTTTTTACTTTTCTTTTTTTTTTTTTCTTTAGTTTTTGAGACAGAGACTTATTCTGTCACCCAGGCTGGAGTGCTGTGGCGTGATTTCAGCTCATTGCAACCTCTACCTCCCGGGTTCAAGCGATTCTCTTGCCTCAAGCACCTGAGTAGATGGGATTACAGGCATACATCACCATGCTCGGCTAATTTTTGTATTTTTAGTAGAGATGGGGTTTTGCCATTGTCAGCCATGCTGGTCTTGAACTCTTGGCCTCAAGTGATCCACCTGCCTCGAACTCCTAAAGTACTGAGACCACAGGCGTGAGTTACCATGCCCGACCACAAAATTTGTTAAATATATATAATCTATGTGGGAGCAAAGGCAAATACAGAAAGGAAAACCAAATGCCCTGAAGGAGAAACACAGTGTGGGCTAGGACAACTCCCTCGAGGTCAAACAAATCTAAAATACACCATGGCAATGCCTCTGCAGTTGCTTCCTCAGGGGTAGAAAGTGCTTTTCAACTTCTCAGTGAGTTCACAGATACCCTGTGTGGTCCAGATGCCAGAAGATTTAGACAAACCCCATGTCACACTTAGTCCAAGATGTTTGGGAGACTGACTCAAGTGCAGCCTTTCCTTCTATCCCCTGTTACAGTACAGCTTGATCTGGTCTGAGATCCCAGTCTCAGATTTTGTTTTCTCTAATCCCACAATACTTCTAGGTGCCCTCATGACAGTTGCAAAACCTCTAAACCTGCCTTAAATTACATAAATTAAACAATCTCTTAATGTCTCTCCTTGCCATGCCATGGTTTGCTGCCACTGGGTTAGAGTAATTCTGTCCATCATTACTCAGACCTCTGACTTAAAATGGCTCTCTCCTGATGGTAAAACCTGAATCATCCTGTGCCTGCCCAACATTCTCCCTTCTACAGGCCGCCAGAGCTTGGTGGTAGAGAAAAATCCTTGAGAAAAGCAATGACCCTTTCTTTCCCCTCATTTCCAGTACAGAGGGTAAAAATGAAACAGCATTTTTCTACTTATCTAAAAACTAGCAAACTCACTTTTTGTTTTCACTTCAAGCTGTAAAAGAAATCATGACTTGTGTATTTATAGCATCCTGACCAATTGTCCAGGAGTCATAAATTACATTTAATTTTTACTATATTCAAAGATCCCCACCCACAACAGAAAGACCAACAGAAAATATGTTTGGAGACTACTTTACTTCTACACTGACTGGATAGTCACAATGCAATATATTACCTTTATTAATCTTTTTTGTTATGAATATAATTTTTAAGTAGAGGATAAGGTGGACTTGTCACAAGAAAATGAAACAGTCTGTTTTTTAAGCTATTACTTTTCTACTTGCTTTGGAATTACAATATAGACATTTTGTCAAATGTCCTCAGACTCTCCATTTTGACAAATGTTATTTCACTACCTGTCTTAATGTTTACCTTTTCTGTTGTTCTAAAATATGTCGTTCATATAATATAAAAATAAAACCCTAATAGAAAAATGTGTCACATGAAATAACAAATCCTCCAATTCTAAACTAGTTTAAACACATAAAGCTTCATGAAAACTTGTCAGCTACATTATCATTGACAGTTTTGTTAAAAACCTTACAGGTTTTTATGGTAAATTTGAAGATAGGTTTTTATGGTAAATTTTATGGTAAATTTGAAGATACTTCGACTTCCTTTCTCTACCCTCTTCTACCTCTCACCCACGCAAAAAACTGAGACAAATAAGCAAAGTTACAATTCTAGTTATCAAATTGTTATAAATAGAAATGGCATTTCACTCTGAAAATTTGATGGAATAAGCACATATTCCCAATAAACATCACAAAGAAAAAATAATTTTCACAATCAGATAACAATGATAAATGAAACTAAGAAAAACATACACTGAGCTTAGATGTGTCCACATGAAAGTAACAATTTCTAGATTGACACCACACGTTCCCTTTTTGGTGATATTTTGGTTTGTCTAACTCCTTAATCTCAAAGCATGAGACAGATGATTAGACTTTCATTTTACTTTGTGTTATGCAGATCTGAATAAAGAAGGAATTCATTTCTTAGGAGTTCTTTCTAATTGCTCTCCCTTTATCTGCTTGTAACAGCTTTAAAATGAGCCCATCACAATGGCTACCTTGTAATGAATAAGCTGTTTTCCATTGACATTATCTGTTTTTTTTTGACCTAGGCAAAGTAATTTGTCTGCATTTTGGCACAACAGAGGTTGCCTCTTCCCTTCCTATTGATTGGTAGTAATTCACTGTTATTCAATCCACATTCAAACTTATACCAAAGCATGAATCCTCTTATCCTTCATTAGCTCTTCAGCTTACATTATGATTAACTTCGTGGAAAGATTAACTTACCTGGCACAAACTCTCTCCTGAATCTGCCATTCTGAATAGGCATTCCTTTGCCTTTGCTGTTGGGTAGTACTTAATTTTGGTTGTAGCTTTAACGATTCCATCACAGTAGACATTGACATGGACTGAACCAGCAGGAAACTCTTATGAAAAACAAACAAGGGTTAGGGGCAGAGTATATAATGCATATTCATACTATTACATCTTTTAGAGAATATAAAAGAAGCCTTTAAAAATTCATAACACTTTTACTCATCTCTAGCACTTAAAATCATTTTTAAAATTCTTGGTAGTTGGAAAACACAAAATGAAATGTACAATTTTAGACTTATTTGCTTAAAAATAAACTTAAAATATAAAAACATGTTAAAATAACAATAAAAGTAAAGCACTAAATTATTTGTCCCTACTTACTTACTAGTATAACTTTTCTTTGTAATAATCTATAATCTTTACATAATTCTTTAGAATTTGGAAAAGTATAGCCATTTATCAAAAGTTAGGTATTTATTATTTATCTTATGAAAACAATTTAATTAATTACAGGCAAGTGTCTCAAAAATAGTAATTTGAAAGAGTACAGCTGATTTAAATGATACAATTTGTATTCAATTGACTGCAATGAAAAATCCTGGGAAAGGCAAGGTTTAATCCCCTGATACTGAAGTACTGTTTACATCATACATTCATCCAAAGCCTTTTTGAGAACAAGTTGTTCAAAATGAATGATACACTACATTGTGAATTGTGCTGTAATATATGAGCAGAATTAAAGTTATATAAGAATTTAGGACTTTCTATGAAAGAATATCAATAAACAATCATTTCAATAAAAAAGTTATTGTGTTTTAGTGTAAGAATACTAAACAAAATGTAATTCTTTAAATTCATCTGTGGAACAAATTTTAAGTGCTTTTAATCTGTCATTGAGATATTTCCCAAATTCTCCCAGAAAACTGTCACTCAAATATCTAGGGTTAGGAATAGGTCATTAAATATAAGAGCTTTGAATATTTAAAAGTTTTTAAGGATTAAGTATTAATTTCACTTTATCTCATGAAGCTGTTAAAGGACTTCTTATAATATTGCTGAGGGAAACTTAAATGCAACGAAAGCAATCTTAAGCTTAACTAGGTCAAGGAGCTGAAATTTCTTCCTCATATTTCTTGAGTAGACACCTCGCCTGTATTACAAAGAAGATGCATGTAGAAAAATAGGAGCTCTCTCTTCCCAAAGAAGTATCCATCCAATAGAGAATGTAAGAGAAATTACAACAAACAAAAATGAAAGTTTTAAAGCACATCTCATCAGCTACAGCAGTACGCATATGGTAATGGAAGTTCTGGAGTTATTGGAGTCAAATGAAATCAATTTCAGTAGATTTTATAAAGATAAATTTAAATTTAAATGTTATGATAAGTCATAAAAATTATTTTGAAATAAGATATTAATTTTGTTTATCACAAAAGAGATTAGGAGTTTTACCATGGGGAGTTAACTTTTTGAAAGAAAATCGGTAATGAATCAGGAGAGGTATATGGTGAGATTTGCTTGGTAGTTTTTTGATACAGAGTAGATAAATATTCTATATATTTTTAATCTAACATGAAACTGAACTGATTTATTTCTTATATATTGAATCCTTAGTTAACTCAAAATTTTACTGGTGGATCTACCGATAATGATGTCGATTTTAGAGTAATCCTCCAATGAGATGCCTTTTAAAGGATTGTGTTTTCTGTATACATTCTCATATTTGTTAAATGGCAGTTATTAAATCAATACTTAATTACTGCTCTCAACTGTATGTCAGAGAGAATGTCTTATAGATTCATCTGGTTGGAAGGCCCCCTCAGTAATATATTATTGAACTGACCTTCACATGAGCAGTACTCTGTTCTGCTTCCACATTATTTAACTTTAATTTTGGTTCACTATGATGACTGTATTTTACAGCCTCTCAGTAAAAATAAAATCCAATTAATGTAAGGACTCAAATAGAAGAGAGTAAAATTAAATGTTGCTGTTTACCATCTAGATGAAAGTAGTCAGGCAACACCTAACCCTGTAAGTACACACAAATACAGGTCAAGATCTCCAAACCAAGCAAGTATATCACAAATCTTATACAATAGTGGACTTGTCTATTGCTCTTTTCAATTCCAGCAGCTTTTGCTTTACATATTGTGACACTCTGTTGTTAAGTGCATACCTGTTTAAGAGTTTTCTGTTTTCTTGGAGAATATATCTTTATCATTATATAATGCTTCTGTTCATTCATGATAATTTTTCTTTTTCTAAAATCTTCTTTCTCTGAAATTAGTACAACTTTCCAGCTCTACTTTGATTAGTGTTAGCATGGTATTAGGTTGGTGTATCTGTGTTTTGATCTCTGTCATTAATATTTGAATATTTCTTGTGCTTCATTTTCTCATTCTTCTTGTATTTCAATTTCATTACATTACTTTCAATGCCATTTGCAAAACCGCAATTACTTTTGCACCAACCTCCAACCTACCTTGCTCCAACCCTTTCACTTTTCACTTTTGATTTACCCGTGTCTTAATATTTAAATTGAGTTTTTTATAGACAACATATTATTGGGTCTTGCTTGTTATCCATTCTGGCAATCTCTGTCTTTTAATTGGCGTTCTTAGACTATTCACTAAACTTAAGTAGTTCTTACTTGGCTTCACTAACGTGGTTGGGTTATATCTCTCATACTTGTAATTTTTATTATTCCCTACATTTTTCTTTGTTCCCGCTCTCTACCCCAACCTTTTCTGCTCTCTGTCAAAATTACTTGAGAATTTTATAGGATTCTATTTTCTCTCTTCTTAGCCTACCATTTATAGCTTTTATTTATTTATTTATTTATTTATATTTATTTTTTTTAATTATACTTTAAGTTTTAGGGTACATGTGCATGGCACATTTATAGCTTTTAAAAAATTTTTAGTAATTGTCCTAGAGTTTGAAATATACATTTTTAACAAACCTAAGTCCCTCCTGTCCCTTATGATATTGCTGTCATTACTTTCACTTATCCATATGCTGTAATCACCCAACACATTGACAGTGTTTACTTCAGACACACATTTATCTTTTAGATCAATTAAAAATAAGGAAAATGAAATATTGTGTTTTTACCTTCATTCATTTATTCTCTATGCTCTTTCTTTACGTAGATCTAAGTTTCTGACCTACATTATTTCCCTTCTTTCCCAAAGAACTTCTTTTAAAATTTCTTGCAGGGCAGGTCTGCTGGTAATGAACTCCTTCATTTTTCTGTTTGAAAAAATCCTTATTTCTACTTCATTCTATATTAAGGATAATTTCACTGAATATAGAATTTTAGATTGGTGGGTTCCTTTTTTTCACAATACTTAAAATATTTTACTCCACTATTTTCTTGCTTGTGTGGTTTCTGAAGAGAAATTCAACGTAATTCTTTTTTTTTTTTTTTTTTTTAAATTTTTTTTATTATACTCTAAGTTTTAGGGTACATGTGCACATTGTGCAGGTTAGTTACATATGTATACATGTGCCATGCTGGTGCACTGCACCCACTAATGTGTCATCTAGCATTAGGTATATCTCCCAATGCTATCCCTCCCCCCTCCCCCGACCCCACCACAGTCCCCAGAGTGTGATATTCCCCTTCCTGTGTCCATGTGATCTCATTGTTCAATTCCCACCTATGAGTGAGAATATGCGGCGTTTGGTTTTTTGTTCTTGCGATAGTTTACTGAGAATGATGGTTTCCAATTTCATCCATGTCCCTACAAAGGATATGAACTCATCATTTTTTATGGCTGCATAGTATTCCATGGTGTATATGTGCCACATTTTCTTAATCCAGTCTATCATTGTTGGACATTTGGGTTGGTTCCAAGTCTTTGCTATTGTGAATAGTGCTGCAATAAACATACGTGTGCATGTGTCTTTATAGCAGCATGATTTATAGTCCTTTGGGTATATACCCAGTAATGGGATGGCTGGGTCAAATGGTATTCCTATACTCATTTCTCTACAGGTAAGGTATTCGTTTTCTCTGGCTTCTGACAAGATTTTCTCTTTTGTTTTCAGTTTTCTACAGTTCGAATGTAATATGAATAGGTGTCAATATTTTATATTTATCTTTCTTCATGTTACTTGAGCTTCCTATATCTGTATTTTGATCTGTCATTAATATGCGAATATTTATTGTGCTTCATTTTGTCATTCTTCTTGTATTCCAATTACATGTATGTTAGACCTTCTGAAATCATCCCACATTTCTTAGATGTTTTGTCCTTTCTTTAAAAAACAAACAGACAAAAAAACTTTTTTCTCTTTACCATTTAAGTTTGGGAAGTTTTCATTGACCTGTCTTCAAATTCAATGATTCTTTTCTGACCTTTGTCAACTCTACTAGTAAACCTATTAAAGTTATTTTTTAATTTTTGATACGGTGGTTTTGATTTCTAGAATTTCCTGTTGATTCTTTCTCAAAGTTTATCTCTTTTTATATAATCAATATGTTCTTTCATACATTTTCCATGTATGTCATATCTAATTCTAGTCTGATGCATGCTTTGTCTCTTTAAATTGTGTTTTATCTTGTCTTTAGGAATGCCTTGCAATGTTTGGTTTATGACTAGATGTAAGGTAAATACTCCTGTAGTGAAAGAATTTATAGGAATCCGTTTAGGAGTTGGACTGTATTTAATGTTTGTTGTAGCTATCAGTGCTAGCAGCTTTAAATTCCTCTAGCATTCTTGTTTCTGTCTCTCTTTTTGATTATGTACTTTTCTAAGTACTTTACCGAGACAGAGTCTGAATCTTGCTGGGTTTTTTTGGTTGGTTGTTTGCTTTTTTAAACAGTAATCCACTGTCATTATGCTGGAATCCTGTTGTGGTAACCATAAGGTGGTAGGGAAGGAAAGCATTCTACATTCTTATGATTAAGTCTTAGTCTTTCAGTGACTCTTCGTTGTGACTTTACAAGGGTTTTTGCTGTGGCATACCTTCCCCTAATCCCCTTTAAGTGAGACAGGAAGGCCAGAGGGAGCCACAGTGAGATGATGTCCTTTCCCAGCTGGAATGAGGCTCTGGTGAGGTGTTTTCTTCTGGAGAGTAGGCCTGTGCTATGGAGAACATGCTGGGAGTATTTCACCACGATTATCCTTCCTCTGACCCCACCAGAGGTTCCATGGGCTCTTTCTCAGATCTTCATTGTAAAAACCTGGTGGGATTCATGGAGGTAAATCCTACAAAAGTGTGGGGACATCCTAAAACTACTACCCCCAGGAGTTTCTCACTCTCAAACTAATCCATATTCAGCTTTCAGACATTCATCAAAATTAACACTTAAGTGCTCCTACTAGTTTGTGGCTCCAGTGGCTTCTGCTCTAGGTAAGCAGATTTCAAATGACACTCTCTTAGTTCATCGTTTTCTCCAGCTTTTGGAATAGTGGATTGTCCTTGTCAGAGTTCAGAAGACAATACCCCAAAGTATGACGTGTTGGTGTGCTGCATACTTTGAACTAATGAAGACTAAAGGGCCTCAGAAGCAAGGTCTTTCTGACCTTCCATCCTCCTGTCTCCAACCCTTCTTCCTGCCCCTGATCAAGTCATAGAAGCCAGAATTCCTCTTCCCCAAGGCAGGTCATAGAAACTAGAGCTCCTCTTTCCCAAAGAAAACCACAAAACCAAAAAAGGTCTCCCTTCTCTCTTCTGCCTTAAAGATCCTCATTTCAGAGAAAGCCTGCTCCATACCTGGGAGGAAAGAATGTGACATAGAGAAGCCAGCAAAAATCTGGACAGACAGGACTTACTGGGTCCTCCTCCCCTCAAGCCTGTTACCACTAGTTCATATTCTTTTGTTCAATCACTGTCCTACACGGCTGTTTATTCTTCGTTGAACCTAAGCATAAAAATGGACAGTTTCCCATTGGTCCTTGGGTCTTCATTTCTGAAGGCTCCCATAAATCTTTGATTAAATAAATTTGTTAGGCTTTTCTCTTGTTAATCTCTCTTTTATTACAGGAGTGACAACTGTGACCCTTATGATGGTGAGGAAAGGTATCACACCTGCATCTAACACCTTGCAACTTTAGTTCTCTAATGGGTTCAAGAAACGTGGTCGATTTTGTAGTGGTTCAGCTTTTTCTTGTAAAAATGGGCTCTTTACTGTTCGAGCTAAAACCATTCATCTAAATATTACTTGTAAAACCTTTGTTTTCCTTATATATCTGTGCATATGTACTGGGTCATGATGTAAAATGTAGTTCTTACTAGTTGTTCTTAGTAGGGTTCAAAACATTTCAAAATACAGTGACATGAAGCAGAGAAAATAAGGCTCTGGGCCCATTTCTGCCAAGGCAGTTTCCATCCAACCAAACAGGTTCAGGTAACCATCTTGAATATTGCTACAAAGCAGCCAACATTTTGGGAGAAAATTTCTCATCAATTTAAAGAATACAACAGTTGAAACGAATACTTAAATAAGTTTAATTATGATAGTTGGTAAACAGTGGTTTATTTATTTATTACAGATTTGTTGTTTAATCATGAAGACAATAGTATGTCTTGGTATATCTTGGAAGCATGGCATATTCATTTTCTGCTTTTCTTATAATTAATTTGAACTTTGACATGTTTTATTCTTTATACTGCTCTCACCCAGTAGGTATACTGAGCAAAAATTCTTAAGTAATGTGAATAATTATATTTGACATCTTGATCTGCTATTTGGGAAATATTATTTAAGTGCTTCTTAATTTGCAATATTGATATTTCTATAGTGTCTTTAGTCTAACTAAATTTAAATTCTGAAACTAATTAGTTAGAAAATTTTATTCATTAAACCACTTAAGAATGTGACATAATGAAGTAGGGGGCATTGAGACAAGAAAGAAAGAAAAGGAAAGAGACAGAGTTTTTCTCATTTCACTTCTACACATGCTTATCCATGACAGAAAGCAGTGTCTGAAATGTTTATAAATGTTTAGTATGGAGTTTTTCCTTCTTATAATCCAACTTCAGTCTAAGCTGTGCAAGGAAATCCATACACATGCCTTCCACACAAACAGAAGTCTGTAAATGCTTTGTAAATAGACTGCATAATCACTATATTTTAAAAGGAAAAAATGTTCAAAATGTGTTTGACATGATCTTTAATTTAAAATATTTTTGCCACATTTCCAAATTCATAACAAGATTGAGCATCTTTTTATTTCAAAATATTTTATAAAGTTCACATTTATGAGGTTTAATAAGATGATTTTATTCTCTGATCAGGAAAAGACATCATAAATGTAAAAACCAAGCAGTTTTACATTTATATTAAAATATCCAGAAATTAGTATTAGATTAATATTAGATTTTGATTTTAATACAATTATTGTTGCAATTATGGTTATTCCATCTGGAATTTTAAATCTGATACAATTTATCATGCTATAAGCAAAGCTGGATAATCAAATGATTAGCTTTGTAAGTGAGATGAGGAAAAGATGAGAAGATTATATGTACAAATTGCACCATACTGATAAAATAATGGGAAAAAATGCTTTTCAGAGTAACAAAAATATACCAGAGACTTGGGGGAAAAAAGAAAGAAAGGGAAAAAAATAGAGTTTATTAATAAAACTCAAAATAAATTGCTAATCCAAATGTCACAAAAAAGCAAACAATTTTAGTCATATGTTTAGTGGTTGCCATAAATTAAAATGCTCTCTGCTGACATATTTAAAAATGTATGATGTTACTGGATGTCATTTCATTACACAGTATACAAACTAATTTCTCATAATTTACATGTTCTTACTTTTGCAAATCCAGATTAATAATAACAACCTTGGGTATGTGAAAACTAAACACAGGAAACACCTGCAGAACAATATTAGTTTTTGTAAGGAAGTGAAACCATTTATTATAAATTTATTGGAAGGAACTCAGGATAATGTTTTATGCTTATTAAATCATAAACATTCTTACCTAAAGCTTTCATGCACCAGACTTTCTTATTCCAAAGGGCTGGCCGTGTTCTAATGCGCTTATTACTTGATGTAAATTCAACCTCTACAGTATCACCAATTACTTCATCTCTCAAAATTATGAATATTTCACCAGGATTCTGTAAGATGAAAATGTAACCCATTTAAGCATTTGGAAAAGTTTACATTAACCAAAGAACCCATTACATTTCTTTATAATTAAGGTAATACACTATTATTGAATAAGTCTTCTATGGTGTTTGTATTTTCAACTGTATCCAGAAATAAAATACATAAATGTGATTCTCACTACATTTTAAATAGTATCAAATTTCTTTTTATTGTACGCTCTTTTTTTCCCTCTAATGCCATATTTTGCAACTTAAAGAAACAGTATGAATATAGCCTCTTCCTTTTCTTCTTGCGTCTTCCTCAATATGGCTCTCTGTACCAGGGTATAAGCATCATTTCGCAGACCAGCAGAAGGCTATAATTCAGCTGTTAACCAAATCATTTTTCCAAATCCCTTTTTTAGTCCTTTATATAACTTGGTTCCTTTATCTATAAATGATAGAATTGAAAAAGTTTAAGATCTCTTACAATTTAAATATAATGACTTTTAAGAAGTCCAATAGTTTTATATTTTATGTAGTAGAAGTTCAGTGGCCACTCTTTATTTGTGGTAAGTGTCTGCCATGGTTTTTGAGTTGACTAAAGGTTATAAATCTAAAGTTTCTAGATTTAATTAAGATGGAGAGGCCAAATGTATAAGGTGAAAAAGGTTATTGAATAACTTTGTGAAAAAATATTGAGAAAAAATACTAGGAATGAAAGATTGGGGTTAATACAGAGAAAAGAAAGGCATAAACATTTATTATCTATTTTATACTAGAAATTATACTCAGCACTTTTTAAATAAATATATTTCCTCTAAACCTAACTGAAACAGATAAACACAAAGACATACAGAAAGACAAACACACACACACACACATACACATACCAAAATAAATGGATAAGGCTATTTCTTTTTCTCTTTTAGGAAAAGGACAACTAATATACAGAATTACATTCTGAAGACTAATCAGAAATATTTAATTTCCAAATCCACACTAATCCTTATATCATGCTGTCGAACCCCATGAAAAAATTAAAATAAAACATTCTTTTTATGATTATCTTAGATATCACCCTTCAAAAGCTTTCTTCAAGTCATAATAAGTTTCAATTCCATACTTAAAAAAAACAGGGATCCCATTTATATGCTCTTATAAAATCATGTTTCTCAAAAAGTTACTAATTTCAAGATTCTCTTAAATGCCCCTAAGTATAAATTACTCACCAATAAAACTTACATCTTTATGCTTTATCCAAAAGAGTTTCTAATTATGTTGATGTTATAGAATCATTTCAGCTCACACAAAAATCTACTTCAGGCATTTTCCACCAGAGTCTAATACTCCTAAATATTTTTCCACAGGGAAAACTAAATTTCTCCTCAGAATTTACAACGCTCATCGGGAAAGGATCCTATTTCAAAGGAACTCCCACTATTCCACTTGTTGCTCTTGCCCCACACATGCAATGTGTCAGAAAAGCCGGAGTGTAAGCCCTCCTGTTCCTCACATCTGCAACCTCCTCCTCACAGGGCCTCGCTTCTAGTACAGTTCTTTTGTTCCTTTTGTTTCTCATATCTGCCCCTTACCTCAAATCTTTAAGAGCCAAATAATGTCTTTCCATTTCACTTGGGCTCAGTTAGTCAAGATCCTCTGCTTTAAAGTTCAAAGATCTTTCCTGTGTGTGCATCATTCCTTGTTTAACTTTGACTTATGGCTTTCCACATTTGGATAGTACACATGCACTCTCCCAGTGTTTTATCCACCCAACCGACTCCCAACTCATGACTGCTTCTGACACAGGAGATTCCTCACTCAGGGCCGGGTGCGGTGGCTCATGCCTGTAATCCCAGCACTTTGGGCGGCCGAGGCAGGTGGATCACCTGAGGTCAGGAGTTCAAGACCAGCTTGGCCAACATGGTGAAACCCCATCTCTACTAAAGACATGAAAATTACCCGGGCATGGTGGTGCACACCTGTAATCCCAGCTCCTCAGGAGGCTGAGGCAAGAAAATTGCTTGAGCCCGGGAGGCAGAAGTTGCAGTGAGCCGAGATCACGCCACTGCACTCCAGCCTGGGCGACAGAGCAAGTCTCTGTGTCGAAAAAAAATAAAAATAAAAAAAAAAGAAAGTCAGGACTCCACCTTTCAACCATTTCCAGAGAAATGTTCTAAGCAAAAGACAAACACACTGACCACCCCAAATGAGGCACTCACATCTTCATTTGTACCCATGGCCAGCTTCATGGGCCCATGACCTTACCGTCACACAGGGCCCCACACTTAGAAGGCCCTGTATTTGGTTTAATATTCTGCTGTAATTACCTTGACATTATAATAATTTGAACATGGTACTTTGTATTTTCATTTTGCACCGTAAACTAGGCAGCTGGGCTTGCTTGAACATAATGTTGGCATGATATTTAATTCCTT
The DNA here is from genome assembly GCF_000001405.40 of Homo sapiens. Taxonomy (NCBI): domain Eukaryota; kingdom Metazoa; phylum Chordata; class Mammalia; order Primates; family Hominidae; genus Homo; species Homo sapiens. The sequence goes on along the minus strand of NC_000004.12, from coordinate 101,860,117 downwards.
TTCTCCTTCTATATCCCCATATTTATCCTCTCCAACAATGTCCAACTCAGGTCTCACCAGCTCCACAAAATCCTCCTGCAACTTCAGCTCACAAAGAGTTTTAGAACTTTCAAAGGAACACTAAAGCACTGCATATCCATAACCATCATTTGACTGTTTCTGCACTGCATATCCATAACCATCATTTGACTGTTTCTAAGAGTCATGCTCTCTACTCCTGATTAGTTTTTCATGTCTGTGTCTTGCCTTTCTAGCTAGATGTTAAACATCCTAAGGGTGTTTTTATTTTCTTATATTATCGTAGCACCTTTCAAAAATTATTCACGTAAAAACATTCTGTATATATATTTTTAAATTAAGGTGAAGTAAGTCTGTAAAAATATGACACTTTAACATTGAGCATGCTCAGCTCTGTTCCATACTTCTCTCAGTACTCAAAGCTTCCTCAACTCCCGGGAGTAAGCACTGGCTCTTAATTACATTAGCTAATTTAATTCAATGGAGAAAATATTAGGATCCTCAAGTGGTCATAAATTAGTTTTACCACTTACGAAGCTATTGTTTTGCTCCCAATCTTTCTGACTCCTCTGTGAATCCCTTATTTAGGTCAGAGCATTCAGGGAAACAAAGGTTTATGACAATTATCACTTCCAAACTTTAAAGCTTGGCTACATTGGTCATAAGCCTTGAGACCTAACAAAAGAGGTGAAATCTGGTCTGCAATGTGGCATTTATATCCGAATCTCTGAGGTAGGACACAGGCATTATTTTGTGTGTATGAAAACTCCCCTAATAGTCCCTGTATGTAGCTTAGTTTTTGATAACCACCTATTTAAAAGAAAGAGACATCTTTTGGTCACTGTAAAACTTCACCTCTGAGAAGGCATCACTTCACAATACAGACTTTTCAGGCATTAATGCACACAAGCATCTTTTGCTGCTTTTACTGTATTTTCCAATTAAATCACAGGATTGGGCTTTAAGTTAAGGTTGGTTACCAAGGACTAGTTTGTGATTTGGTATCAGAAGTAAGTGGGTAGTGCTGTTAGCTTTTGTACACTGTTTTAAATTGTATTCAGAGTCAAGGGATGAACGGGCAAAAAGGTAATCTCTGAGATTCTTATGGCCTTTAAGAGTTACATTCTTTCATGTCATCTCAATTTATCTCTATATTTGTTTATTACATAATCCATGGTCTGTCGAAGGGCTGAAGACTCATATTAGGGTTTTAGCCTTAGAAGTGTGTCAATGAACAGGTCATATAAAATAAAGACCTTTATTAGGGAATATGGTATGTGGTAGGATTCTGATTGTAAAAACATTCAATAAAATTAATATAGATCCAAATGCTGATAAAGCCACTTTAACGGTCTTTTGTGGTTGCACGATGACTTTCAGAATTAAATTTTCTCAAGAAATCAATAAGTGACTCAACTGGTTTTTCAAATGTCTCTATCTTAACATCAGGATAGCAGCAGTGGGAAAATAAAATAAAAATAAAAGAATTAGGGTTGATTATATTAAAGGAAGTAAGAGATTTGGGGAGAAGGAAAGTTGAGATTACAGTGGGCAGATTCTACCAAAAGGAAGGGAAAATGATATATTTAAAGATCTGGGTTTAAAGAAAAAAAGAGATAAAGAAAATAAGCTCACTCCTAATTGTTCTATAGGATGGAGCTACTGCTGAGAAAATATGGAAGTCATTTCTGAATCTGTGACTAGGGATCACAAAAATAAGATTTAAACTTGACACTGTTGATATTTTTGGACCAAATGTGTCACTGTTGTGGGAGCTGTTGTGTGCATTACAGGAAGTTTAGCAGCTTTCAGAGTTCTACCCACTAAATGCTAGTAGCAACCCCCTAGTTATGACAATCAAAAATCTCTGCAAGCTTTGCCAAATATCCACTGGGTAGAGAGGGTCAAAATCACCTGCAGTGGAGAGCCACTTCTTTGAGGGAGTTTGCCGGTGTAATGGACTGCACAGGGAAGAGAAGTTACTAAAAAATAGATCAGGTCAAGTTCTGGTTTTGTTGTAATTCCAACGGGAGAGTACCTCACAGTTGGATTTTTCATCAGGGAGATAAAATTGGATGAGGTTCGTTTGAACAGTGGATGCATTTGGGAGACCTAGAACTCACATCTCTCATGGTCAATTGACCCACACAAAAAAACCAAGAGGCATATGCTAGAAAAACAAATGTCTTGGCCCATAAACAAAGAAAAGTCCAAAAAATACTAAAATAGAAAAAGTGTGCCAGTCTTATAGAAAGTAAAAGAAGAGGTCAAATTAAGAAACAGATTGGAACTACTAAAACTCACCTAGGTATTTCTCAAAGACACAGATAATTAACTTACATAAATAGGACAATGGAGGGATATCTTCACTAGTGCATGGGGAAAAAAAGTTAAAGAAATAAAGTAAAATATTTTTCTGCTGTTTGAGAAGTGGCACATAATTTTCAAGGTCTAGGAAATCCAAATCTGTGGAAAAGAGCAGTGCTAGGAAGAGTGACAAGGCAGAGGAATCAATATTCCCAAGCTCCAAGGGTCATAGGTAGTAGCAACAGCACCCACTGCCTTAATTAACGATAGACTAAAGTTAATGCTGCAGAGCAGATGAGGGCAGAAAGAAGAGAATTTCTCTAGGAGGCAGGTCCATAGACCTCAGCAATTCCACAGCAAGAGGCAGCAGCAGGAAAAATTTAAACTAACTCCCTTTTCATCAGAGAGAATGAAAATTACGCAACTATAAAGAGCTCATAGTCAACCCAGTGTTAGCATGCTGGAAACACAAAACTAAAAAGAGAAATTAACACAGTTTGAAGATACTGGGTATGAATCAGGCACATCTTAAGGAAGACCTGGTGACTGACTGAGGTAGTATGGTAAAATTTCTAGATTTTTTAGGATGATAGGGAAGCCTCAACTATCATTTCCTTAAGGCAGTAATCTTAAGTGGTCTCTATTCACGGACTACTTGGAAAACTTCTCAGAAATGAATTTGAATTCAAAGGTTGTGCTTTCAGACAGTTGACATAGGCTGAAAGTTGTCGTGGCAAGTCTGAAACATGATTTCCACTCAGTGGGTAAAAGTGGTCTTTTCTCTGGTGGTTGGCAATAGTCTTATGGATTCAGACTATACTAAAATCTAGGTTCTGAAAACAAAAAATCTTGTCTGGGATAACTATTTTTGGTCCAATGATTAGCTTACTTTGATTAGAATGTGGGGCTGGCACTAAAATAACTTTGTATAACCTTTTAAATGTTTAGGATTCTTTAAAAAGTGGGGTACCTAAAAGAAATTTTATATTGAAATAATTTAAATCCAAGAGTCTGAAAGAATTATATCAATGTCAATAAAAAACAGTCCATGATTCTCCTATTGAAAAAACCCTTATCTAACTAGCTATCTAAATAACACATCTTTGCTTAGATAGCAGTGAGGTTTGATTTTGGGACTGATTTCTTTGAAAATTTAGTAAGAGAAGGGTCTTACAGTGCTCGAATTTTACTGTTGCAGATATTTTTAAAAGCAGCTATTTAGACTCACTGTATAACTCCTGTTGAGCTACTTTTAGTTTCAGAGGGTTTTCTTTTTTCTGCTTTGATTTCATCTACTTGAGAGTAGTTGCCATTTTTCTTTTATTACACTTATTTTCTGTCTTTTCCATTGTTTCTGACTCAGTAGGAGCCACGAGTTCTGACTGTTCAGCCTGATCTCCTTCCTTTAAGTTCTGAGCCCTTGTAATTTTTCTTTGCCTGATCATCTGTGTCAGTTTCCTCATACCTGTATAGTTCCGTTTCCTGGGGTCTCTAAGGTAGTGTCAAAGCATTTTTTTGTTCCTCTGGAACTGACAGCAAATAGCTTAAAACAGCAATTCTTCTGCTTAGGCATGGGGTAAGGGTCTAGAGAGTGAGGGTGAGGAAACTAAACTATACCCTTCTACACAGGATATTCCACCTCCATCAGGACCACTGGTACCAGTAGGATCAGGAGACCCACCCAAAGGTCAGTGAGCCCCTGTCACTGGCTTCTATCAGAAAGACTCCTTCAGGCAACTCCCATAACGCTCTCCTGTATCTCTGGCTCTTTATACTCAAGGATGCCACAAACTGAGGCCCAGCATCTTTTTCATGTCCTAAGATTATATAGTCAGATATTTGGAAAGGCTTATTTTAGTGGTTCATTCCAAGCAAGATTTAGGAGGAAGACATGCTAGGAACATATATTCCCACAGTCACCTGCCCAGAAATCATCCCCCCACATTATACTCTTATTTCCTGAAGGACTATCTCTTCTAACTTTTATGGTATTTCCACTTAATGTCAGCCTTTAATACATGTTTCTTCATTGAAAATATGGTGTGGTCCTAAAAATAAAGTATTTTAAAATTCTATCCAAGGGTATGTTTCCCTTTAGGAAAATAGATCCTTAACCTATTTACTGTGAATCTAAATTTCTTTTGACTAGCTTGAGAGCTATTGCAATTGTACATCTATTTGCAAAATGTGAAGTCACAGTTGATAAAATTAAGCTTCCATATAACCTTCACTATTTAATTTTTCAACAATTATGTAACAAATGCCTATTAATTCAACTATCATCCAGTGTGTATCAAATGCCTGCTAATTGCCTAGGTTCAGAGGATAGCCATGAACAAAGCAGACAAAAATGACAGCTATGTTGGAGCTTGCATTCTTGTGAAATACAATATCTATTAAAAAAATAACAGGTGGGCTGGATGCGGTGGCTCATGCCTGCAATCTCAACATTTTGGGAGGCTGAGGCAGGAGGATCTCTTGAGGCCAGGAGTTAAAGACCAGCCTGGGCAACCTAATGAGACCCTGTCTCTCCAAACAACAACAACCACCACCACCACCATAACACAATGGGGTCACTTAAATAACAAGGTATCTTTACTGACCTCACATGGAATTTCAGTGGGAAGCACCACTGCTAGTGGTATGGTGTTTCTTGAAGCTTCTGATAGTTCTTCAATTTCCTTTCTCTCACTTATTTCCCCAGAATGTTTTGCTCGTAGGTCTGTTGGAATGTTGACCTCAAAGTAGTCTTCAGAATCTAGAGAAAATTTTATGAATGTAGATTATAATATAACTAAAGCCACAGTATTTCCTCCATTGCTATAAAGACTAATTGCTAAACAACCAATTTAATATACGGGAAACCGAACTGAGTTTAAGATAGCTGAAATAATTGAACCAATGTTAATAATTAAAATAATACTTCACAATTTAACTAGTTTTATAATCTTTATGACTAAACTAAATCAACTATGTAATACTATGTTCATCTACTAGTTAAGTGTTTTCCAAAAAATAGAATCCAGTCACCATATCTATTTTCTCTTAATATTAAAACAGTAGATCTGTAAAACATAAAACCATTTGTTTTCCATGACGGTTATTAAGGACATTTATTTTAAGTCAGAACAATTTAAATCAGAATAGTTATTTGCCCCTTACATATTTCTAATTTAAAAAAAAAACAGAAAGCACAATTATGGGACAATCACTAAATAAATTAGACTAGTATTTATTTCTAGGAAATACTGGTTTAATAGTGAAATACTAGTACTTACCAAAATGTTAATGCATTCTATGGAAATAAGTGTCTATATCAAATAAATTGGGTTTCCTTATAGCAGTATTACTAAGAACACTGAAATATGCTAATGTAAATTTTGAATCTCAAAGAAGCAGCATAGCATCTGATTTTAAAAATTTTAACAGTAATTTAGCATTTAGTCTTAATCATTAAAACATTGTTCTCTATTTGAAAAAATGTGTTAAGAGAAATAGATCATGTTTTATTATTATTCAGTGTCTCAAAGCCCAAAATGTTTCACTATGGCACAGAACCAATGTGGCTAAAATTAAAACTCTTGAAATGAGAAGGTCACATCTATAAACTCATGCCCACCCAAAAGCAGCCCTGAAACCCCCCAAGAAGGGAACTGGAAAAAAGAAAAGCAGCCCCTGACAGTTAGAAACTAGGCTGGCAACATGAGAATGCCTTGCTTTTCCGGAAGTTAGCCTGCTACTCAGAGGCGGAATCTGGTTTTCTACTGAGCACCAACAACATCGAAATTAGACAAGGCCACTCTGTCACCATGATGAACCAAGAGAGTGACAAGACCACGTTGTAATCATGTCAGAATCTAGACAAAATAATGAACATTGCCCAAACCACAAAAATGAGCAAATCCTGGCTAGTATGAATGACTGCTTCTTTAGCAATTCCAGCTGTAGCCTCATCTCATTTCTCCTGCCCTCTACGCGGTGTGATCCACTCCTCCTAGTTTGTCTGGGAATTTCCTGGTTTGGGTTCTGAAAATGCCTTGCCCCAGGAGACCCCTCAGTCTCAAGCAGACCAGAAAAGTTGGTCCGTTACTTCCAAGTAGAGTCATTAATATTCCATTAATATGTCAAATCATAAAATTACGCCTGCTTCTTGATAGCAGGCAAACTATATCCAAGCCCTGCTTCCTTGAACCCTCCTCAAATCACTGAACACAAGTCTAAATCTTCCAAGTCCTTTCTAATGCCCTTTTCCTGAGATACCCCATGGTTCTCCCTGATGTGCCTTCTCTTTATTGCAACAAGAAAAAAAATCCAAATACTTCAAGTGCAGGTACATTCCTGGTGCTCTTTGGCTAAGCAGCATTGACAGGGTAAAAAGAAAGAGTCAAAGGCAGTAGATTTGGAAGTAGTTAGAATATTGGTCTCACTGTATCCAAAAAAAAGAGAAGTCACCAGCTCCATATAGGTAATTCTATCAGAAAAGCAGAGTAACAAAAGAGAGCCTCCCTTGAGAGGGAGGAGCTGTCTCCACGCTGTTTCTGAGAAGAAAAGTTTTCTTGTTTTCTTCTGTCTTATGAAAGTTGCAGAACTAAGGCACAACAGTACCTAGGACTTCCAGCTTCCTCTCAGTACTAGTCTTGTTTGAAATGAAAAACAGTCCTTATTTCACTAACAATTTAAAACACTTTCATAAGCAATCTCTTTCTTTCTTTCTCTCTCTCTCTCTTCCTCCTGGCTTATACACACACACATAGACATACACAAATCAAAACAGTGAAAGGTTGTATAAAACTGGCTCAATACTTTTGTGAGTTTGTAGAAAAACTAAGAAATGGATTTTATTTAATACACCTTAAAAGAAGGAGAAGTCATTCCACCATGGCAGTATCCAGGATTTTCTGCTAATTCTTCTGTGATATTAGGTAAAAAAAAGTTATTTTATTTACCCTGGGGACATAATCACAAATGTACAAAAAGATTTATCTCTATGAATATTCACAGAAGTAGTGTTTGTAATGGAGAAAATTGGAAGCAATCTAAGAAATAAGGAATAAGATAAAAATATCTTATGCGATAAAAGTTGTAATTGATAAAACTAATAATTCTATCAAAGAGTATTTAACAGGCAGCAAGAAGTTTACGATATAACTGAAAAAATTCAAGTTACAAAACTGTCAATTTAGTAGGCTCCTATTCTAGTAAAATAAAAACTGTACATATACAGAGCTATGTGGTAGGAATTAAAGACATAGGCTTGAATGAATGAGAATAGACTATATGTGTGTGTGTATATATATATATATATATATATATATATATATAGCCGAAAAATATTGAGTGGTTCTTTCTGGCTTGTGGGTCATGTGTAATTTACTAAATAGATATAAATATATAATATTAATAACATCTAATAATACAGTATATGTAATACATATTCTGATTTTTCTACACTGAAAATGTATTTATTTTACAGGTTTAAATTATGTATGTATATTTAATTCAAGTAGAGGAATGAAATGATGAAGATTGCAGACTGAGAACATGTATCTATTTTCCTACTCTACAACATATAAATGCAATAATAGAAAAGATTGCTTTTAAGATAATGAATGTATTAAAGCACTAGAAATTGATAAATGGTGCAATTACATAAGAACAAATTTTGAGGAGTTTCTCAAAGATAAAAGTTAATCTGGAACTAAATGAACAGAGACATCACAACAGAGAAAACGGAGTCCAAAACATGTTTGGAAAAGACAACTTCAAATAGAAAATTCGTTTTCCAAAACTAATTACTTTCCAAAACTGAAGAAACCACGAACTCAAAATTCAAAGAGCAGAAGAAGGTCCTGGGACAAAGATAATGTTAATAAGTTAAAACCTAATTTGGAACAGAGATAACTGGGACTTTCCCAGCTGCTACTTCTACTGAGCAAAAGGAAGTTTTGCTTTTGCCCTAAGAATAAAAGAAGCCTATTTTATAAAACAAAATTAGCTAGTACTGGGACTGAATAAGGGAACAGAATGGAACCTGCACTTACCACCCTTCCCAAAGACAACAGAGAAAGAAAAACTGATAAGAGAAGGGCTAACTCCAGCAATTTTTTTCCAAGGGTTAAATGTGTAGGCTTGGCTCTCTGCTTTGTAGGTGTTTTGACCAGGATATTCATAGGAGCAACAACTATTAACTGACAGTGATTCTCAACTAAAAATATAAACCGCCACCCAAGATTATCCTTCCCCTCTCCTTCTACTCTATCTCCCACCCAAATTCACTCATTATTCCTTTGAGGCACCTTTTCTTACCAACACCTTAGTCGAACTTGACACCTCTATATCTCTAGTGCATACAGTTGTGCCTGGCACATGGTAGAGGCTTAATAAATACTTGTTGCCTGGTTTAATAATCAAATAAATCCACGCCTAGTTAGGTTTTTTTAAATGATTTATATCTCAAGGACAGTACTTTATTCTATCTACCACATGCCTTGCTCTGAAAAAGGCTTAAGGACATATTATGGCTGTTTTGATGTTCTATCCAGATCATTCAAACTTTCTCCACATCAGCAATAAAGTTGTTTTGCTTTCTTATCATTTGTGTGTTCACTGGAGTAGCACTTTTAATTTTCTTCAAGAACTTTTCCTTTGCACTCACAACTTGGCTAATTGTTTGAAGAAAGAATCCTAGCTTTCTACCTATATTGGCTTTTAACATGCCTTTCTCACTAAGCTTAATTATTTTTAGCTTTTTATTTTAAGCGAGAGATGTGTGACTCTTTCTTTCACTTGAACACTTGGAGGCCATTGTAGGCTTATTCATTGGCCTAATTTCAATAGTGTTTTGTCTCAGGGAATAGGGAGGCCCAAGCAGAGGGAGAGAGATGGGGGAATACCCAGTCAGTGAAGCAGTCAGAATACACAAAACGTCTATTGCTTAAATTCACTGTCTTGTATGGGTGCAGTCCATGGCACCCAAAACAATCACAATGGTAACACCAAAGATCATTTGTCACAGATCACCACAACAGACATAATGATAATGAAAAAAGTTTGAAATAGTGCAAGAATCACCAAAATGTGACACAGAAACATGAGGCAAGTGCATACTGTTGGAAGAATGGTGCCAATAGACTTGCTCAACAAAAGGTTGCCACAAACCTTCAATTTGTAAAAAATGCAGTGTCTGTGTAGCACAAAAAAGCAAAGCACAGGCCGGGCACGGTGGCTTATGCCTGTAATACCAGCACTTTGGGAGGCTGGGGCAGGCAGATCACTTGAGGTCAAGAGTTCGAGACCAGCCTGGCCAACATGGTGAAACCCCGTCCCTACCAAAAAATACAAAAAAAAAAAAAAATTAGTTGGGTGTCATGGCACACGCCTGTAATCCCAGCTACTTGGGAGGCTGAGACAGGAGAATTGCTTGGGCCCAGGAAGCAGAGGTTGCAGTGAGCCTAGATCACACCACTGTACTCCAGCCTGGGTGACAAAGCAAGACTCCCTCTCAAAAAAACAAACCAACCAACCAAACAAACAAACAAACAAAAAGACACCCAAACACAAATTCAAAGCAGAACAAATCAAGGTATGCTCATATTAAGTGCAATAATAAAAATATTTTATACTCTAATGAGTTTTTACAGTTTATCAAGACTTTTACTGACATTGTATTTCATTCTGAACACACCCTTAAAAATATAATCCCTATCCAGTGATGGATTACTGAATTTCTGTCAAACATTTAAAACTATTTGTAGACAGCTCTTATATTCTGTGAGTGAGAAACTGTTCCTCCTCAATAAAATGTGAAGCCAAATAGAATCTTTCTTTCCTCTTCTAACACTTTTCTAAAATGTGCAGAGAATATAGTATTTTGTATCAAACAGACATAGAAAACTAAAAAGCAGATAGAATTAACCTAGGAATAAAGTAACAGAGCCATAAGTAGTAAATTCAATAGAAAAATCCCAAATTTTCCAAAGTAAATAAATGACGAAGTTTTTCCGGCCCTTGGGTAGAAAATGAAACTTCACTGATGTTTAGATAACAATTTGAGTTAATTTTCCTTTTTATATAAGCTTTAAATAGTTTAGAAGGTAATTAGATAGACATAATCATATATATACACACACACAAATTTTATTGTGTATATATACACACACATAAATTTTTTTATATAGTATGTGTTAATACATACAAATTACCTATATTTCCATGTCCTAAGAATATGAGTGTGTGTATACATATATATGCTTATATATTTGTGTGTGTGTGTATATGTGTGTGTGTGCGTGTGTATCTCCATGTCCTAACTAAAAACGCCACCACCACTGTATGTTCATTGTTAAGCTAAAGACATGTATTGGGCATTCAGGTTGGCCTCCTCAGAAGTGGGTCTGAAACTTAAAATGGTGAAGAGAAGAGAGAGAACATTCTAGCCATTGGACCTATATTCTCATAACTCCTTTCTCCAGTCTCCATGAGATCCAGGAAGTGACCAGCACTCAATAACTATTGGTAAAATAAATGCATTATTGTATATCAACTGAACATACTTCAAGGAGATGAGGTTGGAAGAAGCGGATTAAGAGTAAAAAAGTACCAAACCTCTCTTTGAGAAAGGCCTACCTGCAATTGCCATGAGACTCCAGGAAGTAATGACAACTTTAATGTTTCAATTTCTGGTATTGCCTTCAGTACACTACAGGTTTTTACATGTAACTGTGGAACCTAGTGTGATAGGCTTAAGTAAAGTACAAGGGGGCTAAGTGCAGGGAAGTAAGAGCAAGGCATGTATGTCCAGCCCCAGTTGCCTCCGTGGCTCAGCAGATAAGGGGATAAGCCTATGATGCAGCTAGAACTTGGGGAGTGATTGCATCGCTGAAAGGGAGAGGTGGGAGGATGCTAGAAGGGCATAAACAAGATCCTGGAATGAGAGACTAGGAAGAGAATGAAGGGACATCCATCTCTAATGCCTAAAAGTTAGAGACCCTTGCCATTGCAAAAAGTATGAAAAAGAGGCTGTATATTAAAATTACCTATGTTTAAGTAACAATAGAATTGTTTTGTTCTGTTTTGTTTTTACTATCACGATTGAATAGCTAAATTAAATAATAAAGCATGAAGCAATTAACAAAATAATATTACTCTTCACTTTAAACTGCATGCCCTTGACACTGGATTGTATTTCTCTTATATCTCAAGTGCATGACTGTATTATCTTAGCAAATGGATCTAGTGCCTAATCTTTCCTTTCCCAGTGTAGCAAGGTAAACCTTAAGTTACTGTGTAGAAACTGGAGTGTTTTTAGTGATGACTTCTAGCTAGCAAGTGAAATGGAAGCCATAATTAATTTATTGCCTAAAAGAAAAAAAATTAAAATATGGGTTTGACCTAAAATGAATACCGGAGATCATGGCGGACAGGAGGAGGCAGGACTAGAGTGCAACTCCAGACAGAGCAGCAAGCGGGGGCTCGCATTGTGAATTTTAGCTCCAGATTAACTACAAGAACAAACCAGCAATCCCGAGAGGACCCACAGACCCTCTGGAGGAAGCGGACTGCTCCTACAGGACCCAGGAGACCCCCCCCAAAACTATGAGTGCCCCAACTGCGGAAGTGGGAAAGAGAGACCCTCCTCTCCCGAACACACAGCCCCACTGGAGAAGCTGAAGATCTGTTTGCGGGAGAAGTGTCTAACTTTCCCTGACTGAGTCAATTTGGAGAGCAGAGCAAAACACCGAGGTAGAGGAGGTAGCAGAAAGGCCCTGGGAGCTCACTGGGTTCCCAGGCAGCCATTCCTCGCTGGCGCCAAAGGGATCCATCAGGAAGATGGCCAGAGGAGCAGGGGGTAAAACTCCACAGGGAGAAGGAATTCTCTAGCTGAACTTTGTAACAATTTGAACGGGGCAAGAAGCTTCCTGGCCAGAACTCAGGGGAGGGAGCGAATCCGGCAAAATCGTGGAACCAACCCAAATGCCCATCAATCAACGAGTGGATAAAGAAACTGTGTGAGACATATGTGTGTGTGTGTGTGTGTGTGTGTGTGTGTGTGTGTGTATGATGGAATACTACGCAGACATAAAAAGGAATGAATTAACAGCATTTGCAGTGACCTGGATGAGATTGGAGACTATTATTCTAAGTGAAGTAACTCAGGAGTGGAAAACCAAACATCGTATGTTCTCAATGATATCTGGGAGCTAAGCTGCGAGGAGACAAAGGCATAAGAATGATGCAATGGATTTGAGGGACCTGTGGGAGTGAGGGATAGAAGACTACAAATATGGTGCAGTGTATATTGCTTGGGTGATGGGTGCACCAAAATCTTACAGATCACCACTAAAGAACTTACACATGTAACCAAATACCACCTGCACCCCAATAACTTATGGAAAAATTAAAAATAATAATAGTAAAAAAAACTAAAAAGAGACAAAATACAAAAATAAATACCCCAAACTTCTCATGAATATGAATAACAACTAACAACTACTGAACATTGACTATGTGCCAGTACTATTCTTAGTGCCTTGCATATATTAACTCACTATATACATACACACACACACACACACACACACACACACACACACACTCTGCCAACCCAAGAGGCAGGCAATAATATTATCCTTGTTATATGGATTTCTTTGAACAAATATTTACCAGCCAACTATGTACCAGGTGCTATTCAGGATGCAGAGGACATGGTGGTAAGCCTTCCTTCATACGACTTGCAATCTAATGAGGGGAGGCAAACGATATATGAGTAAAATCTGGAGCGCAGCAGATGCTGACAGGGAGGGTGAGGAAAAGGGATGGAAGTTGCCATTTTTAATAAGGAAAATAAGGTTCTGAGCAATAAATGAACTCTTCAAGGCCACACAGCTAGTTATTGCTGAAGTCAGGAGAATACCTAGCTAGTCAGACTTCAGAGAACCTTGATCACTACTAGATATGGTTTGGCTCTGTGTTCCTACACAAATCTCATCTCGAATTGTAATCCCCAGGTGTTAAGGGAGGAATCTGGTAGGAGGTGACTAGATCACGGGGGTGGTTTCCCCCATGCTGTTCTCATGATAGTGAGTCAGTTCTCACAAGATCTGCTTGTTTAAAACTGTAGCACTTCCCCTGCCCTCTCTATCTCCTGCTGCCATGTAAGATATTCCTTGCTTCCCCTTCACCTTCCACCATGATTTTAAGTTTCCTGAGGCCTTCTTGGCCATGCAGAACTGTGAGTTATTTAAATTACCCAGTCTTAAAAATTACCCAGTCTTCTTAAAAATTACCCAGTCTTAAAAATTACCCAGTCTTGAGTGTTCTTTATAGCAGTGTGAAAACAGACTAATACACTACCCTATACTGTTTCCCAACCCACAGTTTTATCCATGCATACAGCAGTCAATTTATCACAGGAATTATCTGATGGAATCAAAAACACAAAATTTTCAGAGCTGTTAAAAACAACATATCCTTGCAATAGTTTGCTGAGAATGATGGTTTCCAGCTTCATCCATGTCCCTACAAAGGACATGAACTCATCATTTTGTATGGCTGCATAGTATTCCATGGTATATATGTGCCACATTTTCTTAATCCAGTCTATCATTGTTGGACATTTGGGTTGGTTCCCAGTCTTTGCTATTGTGAACAGTGCGGCAATAAACATACGTGTGCCAAACACCACATGTTCTCACTCATAGGTGGGAATTGAACAATAGGAACACATGGACACAGGAAAGGGAACATCATACACTGGGGCCTGTTGTGGGGTGGGGGAAGGGGGGAGGGATAGCATTAGGAGGTATACCTAATGGTAAATGACGAGTTAATGGGTGCAGCACACCAACATGGCACATGTATACATATGTAACAAACCTGCACGTTGTGCACCTGTACCTTAAAACTTAAAGTATAATAAAAACAAAAACAAAAACAAAAACCCTATGGCCCAAATCTCTAGTAAAAATGTCTAAGGCATTAATTCTTACCATAGCATAAGATTATACCTTATTTGACATTGCATTGATGTTTCAGTTAGGATTGCTAATTTACATAGAAATGACAATTTATGAGTAAGTCAGTATGCTTATCAGTTCTTGTTTCTCACTGAAATATCTCACAAGGATGATTTACTTTACAAAGAATTCCCAGAGGCAGCTATATGTTGTCAATTGGTTTTCACTGCTAGAGAAAATGATTATTTTTATTGTGTCAAATGTGTAATCCTTACCAATAGGTAATAATGATTCTTCTTGGTCTAAAATGGATTTGAAAAAGACAGGTAAATATCTCAGTTGTTTTCTCTCAAGTAGCTTCAAATTCTTTACAGTTATCTAAGAGGTAGTACTTGAATTTTGACAGCAGGCTTTTTTTGGCATGTTTTTCAGAATATTAATCAACATATTAATCTGATATATTTAGGAATATTTTCATAAAATTTCAGGGATGCTATATCTGAGGATTTTAACTTGTAAATTTAAAATATCTGACTGCTATATGTACATAAATAAATTGGTGATGTAGTATCTTTTTTAATTTTTTAATTTTTAACTTTTGTTGGTACATAGTAGGTATATATATTTATGGGGTATGTGAGCTATTTTGGTACAAGCATGCAATACATAATAATCACATCATGGAACGGAATAGTATTTAGTTTCATATTTTCATATGACTAGGTAAAATGATTTTGAAACTGCTTGCTTCCATATAAAGCAACCTTCTAAATAATATTTTAATTTCCTTTCACTTTCTCAGAAATATTATATATAAGTATATCCGATCCTCAGCTTAAAAAATTGTAGAAACTGAGTCTACTCACCTTTGAGACAGAAATAAGTTTTGTTTATCACCCCATTTATTCAGTAGGGTATGTTAAATTAAAAAAGGACCCTTCCCAGTTAGGTCTAGGAAAACTTTCCTTGAGGATCACTCTATTGATAGATAAAGCCCTAAAAGAAGCTTGTTTGGGGTTGGTGTAAAAGTAAGCTAGTAAGTACTGAGTTTTGACTATGTCTCAAATGCCCTATGTAGAAATTTATATCCATAATCATATTTAATCCTCACACTCATCCCAAGGGATGCAACCATTATCTTCTGAGAAGAATTATGATTTTACTAAGAATTGAGTTTTTAAAAAGTTAAATAAATTGTCATAAGTCACAAAGCTTCACTTAAACCCAGGTCTGTCTGACTCCAAACCCTCTGCTCTTGGTCACAAAGTCATACTTTGCACTGAGGGTAAAAGACCTTTGGCAGATCCACCTACATCTTGTCCTTCCTCAGCCTCACACAAGAGAAGTTCTAGCAAGTGGGCCTTGTCAGCAGACTTGCTTGTGTTCTGAGATAGGAAAGGCCCTCATGACCCACCTGGTTTGCCATTGCAGTCTTTCCAATCTTCTCACCAGTTCCTGAAACCACAATCTTTCATTCCTTCATATAGGCTCTTCTGTTTCGCCTATTGTGCCTAACCCCATTTTTCCCTCTAATTACTTTACAACATTCACATCAATGGTTGCTTCTAGTGGAAGATCCTTCCTATCTCCCACTTGGCAATAGCTCTTTGGATGCACTGCACCTCATTAGAACTATTGTCACACTGCATTACATTATTTACATATTATTTACTTTCCTGTCCCTTTCATTAGATAGTGATATCTGGATGTCCATAATCAATAATCTTTACATCTACCTCAACTCCATGGATTAAAGGCCTGCCACATAGTAGAAGCTCAATAAAATCCACTGATTTAGCTAAAACCATTATTTAGTGGATAAGCAGCCAAGCCAAAGGGGAATATATGTATTCCAAAAGAATGTAATTATTCTTGTAGCCATATATTTATTTATTAATTTTTATTTTTATTTTTTTTGAGACCGAGTCTTGCCCTGTCACCCAGGCTGGAGTGCAACGGTGTGGTATCACCTCACTTCAACCTCCGCCTCCCAGATTCCAGCGATTCTCCTGCCTTAGCCTCCCAAGTAGCTGGCATTACAGGTGCGTGCCAGCACGCCCAGCTAATCTTTTTTTTTTGTATATTTAGTAGAGATGGGGTTTCACCTTGTTGGCCAGGCTGGTCTCAAACTCCTGACCTCGTGATCCACCCACCTCGGCCTCCCAAAGTGCTGGGATTACAGGCATGAGCCACCAAACCTGGCTGTAGCCATATATTTAAAAGAAAATTACGCAAAGACAATATACTAGACACAGAAAATATGAATTTTCTGGTTGATGGACAAAGCATCACTAATATCTAAGTGGGTTCCAGGGTTATGGGAAAGCATTCCTAACATTTGAATATAATAATAAAGGAAAAAATGATAAAATGTGTAACACTAATGTTTCAATTAACAATGGGAAAATACATCCCAGAGATCAAAAGGATAATATGAAGAAAGTGCCTGAATGCATTTTGAGCAGAGTAATTTGGTATGATTAATATGCTCTTGAAGAAGGCACTATGGGGCACCATTTTACGTCATTGAATCAAGATTAATATAGTGGAATATTTATCAAAAAAGTACAAAATAGGGAAGTAATACTGATAAGGAAAAGTGAAACTAAACCTTACTATAATAAGACCAAAGGGGAAAGTAGGTGTACTAAGAAGATGGTACATTAAAAAAGTGGACACTGTTTTTTGTTTGAAATTCTGAAATGTAAAGCCTAAAATGAAAGGAAATACATTTTTCTGTATGAAAAAGAAAATGTTTCCAACAGAAAATTCAGAAAATCATTTACTTTAAAAGTTTTAATTTTTCTAAGTATCACTATACTGTTCCAGACAGAAAAACTTTCTAAAGCTCATTTAGCATGAGAAGATAACTGAAATTGGATTCAAATAAAATAAATTGCAAGTTTATACGTGTAAATCAAGAAATGATGTCTAAGACATTAAATATGTTAAATTGTGACACTCTTGTGAAACCTAGAATGCAGAGGTGCAAATAAAAGCTGAGAATCTCTCATGACTGAAAATATAGGTGATGAGGAAAGGGAAAATTCACCACCTGTGACAGCATTAGCTCAGCTGTCCATGTGCCCGGGTTTTTATATTTCAAGATGACAATATTATCACCTCAGATTTCATCCTAGACTCTGAAATATAAAAACCCAAACACATAGATTAGACTTGAGTACGTATATATCTAAGAAATTAGAAATGATCTAGTTCTCTGCAAGTAGCCTAAAAATTATTTTTTCAAAGTCAAACCAAAATTTGTCCAAGAGTATAGTTATTTGAAATGGGGATGCTAGAAGTATTTGGTCCACATTCCAGTTCTGTTATTTTCTAGTTGCCTCCTCTGTTTGTGTTTTTACTTAAAAATGAGAATAGTACTAGTAACTGCACCTAATGTTTTTGTGACAATTAAACTTTAAAATGTGTAGAAAGTTCTTTTATTGGTGGTTGGCTCATAGAATTTATTAATGAATGTTAGAAATTAATTTTTAAATGGAAGGAATAAAGGAATTGATCAATCGTGAACAAATAATGGAAGAGAAATCATATAATCTCTTGTCTAAGTGCTATTGCCATTTGGCTTAGAACTTTGGAAAGGAGAAGCCAGTGTTCTGACGCAACATGGGTTCTACCAGATTCTTCCCCACTTCTGGACCATAGGTCTTGCACAAAGAATGCAAGGTGTCAGAATTTCAATTTCACAATCTGTCAAATAACAATGTTTGAGGAGATATTATTTGAGACCACTTTTAATGCTATAACTGGTTTAATTATTTATAAGAAAGGTTTTTTAAATTTCTTCATATGAAGTACCAGAAAATTCTTCATATTCATTTATGTTATTCTATTTTTCATAATAATTCATCTGTGAGTAGCTTATCTATAAAATTTTTGCTCCTCCCTACATCAACATATTGAACAATTCTGTGTAATTAAGATTATTACCAAAAAACCAAACACCGCATATTCTCACTCATAGGTGGGAATTGAACAATGAGAACACATGGACACAGGAAGGGGAACATTGCACTCTGGGGACTGTTGTGGGGTGGGGGGAGGGGGGAGGGATAGCATTGGGAGATATACCTAATGCTAGATGACGAGTTAGTGGGTGCAGCACACCAGCATGGCACATGTATACATATGTAACTAACCTGCACATTGTGCACATGTACCCTAAAACTTAAAGTATAATAATAATAATAATAATAATAAAAGATTATTACCATTAGAATCTATGCTTTCATTATTTTGAATTATTCATTCCAAACTGGAATCATTCATTGGAGTTCACTGTTGATTTCAGTGAGATTTTCATTTCCCATGGAATAGTTGTCAATATATCATCTCTGGGCCATATGAAATCTTGGCCTATCATTTCAGATTTTGTTTAATTTAAAAAAAGATACTCATATATTCATTTAAGTTTAGTCCTATACTTATAATTTATGCCTTGCTTTTTCCTCTAACATATTATGATTCTCTCAACTTTTAAACAGTTTATATTCTGCACAATCAGAATTATATATGGAATGAAATATGCCAAAATGTTAACAGTGACTGCCTCTGGGTATTGTCATTCTAAGTGACATTTTCTTCCTGCTTCTTTTATGTTCTCTGTACTATTCAGATTTTTTTTTACAATGAGTATTATTTTTATAATTAGAAAAATAAAAAGCTTTTAAATATATACATGTTTTAATTTTAGGCTGGGCACGGTGGCTCATGACCGCAATCCCAGCACTTTGGGAGGTTGAGGCAGGTGGATCACGTAGGCCAGGAGTTTGAGACCAGCCTGGCCAATATGGTGAAACACTTTCTCTACTAAAAATAAAAAAATTAGCTGGGCGTGACGGCGCATGCCTGTGGTCCTAGCTACTTGGGAGGCTGAGGTATAATTGGTTGAACCTGCAAGGTAGAATTTAGAGTGAGCTGAGATCGCACCACTGCATTCTAGAGTGAGACCCTCACTCAAAATATGCTGAGACCAGCTCGGTGGGGGAGACCCTAACCTAGAGGTGCTAGAGGATTTCAAGACACACACACAGAAATACAGAGGTGTGAAGTGGGAAATCAGGGGTCTCACAGCCTTCAGAGCTGAGAGCCTCGAACAGAGATTTACCCATGTATTTATTAACAGCAAGCCAGTGATGAGCATTGTTTCTATAGATTATAGATTAACTAAAAGTATTCCTTATGGGAAACAAAGGGATGGGCTGAAATAAAGGGATGGGCTTAGGCTAGTTATCTGCAGCAGGAGCATGTCCTTAAGGCACAAGAATGCCTTTAAGTGGTTTTCCGCCCTGAGTGGGCCAGGTGCTTCTTACCCTCATTCTGGTAAACACACAACCTTCAGCATGTGTGTCACGGTCATCACAAACAAGTCACAGTGCTTCAGAGATTTTGTTTATGGCCAGTTTTGGCGCAAGTTTATGGCCAGATTTTGGGGGGCCTGTTCCCAACAAAAATATATTTTTTTCTTTAAATTTAAAAATTATTGTCCATAATTCAAAGTCAGGCATCATATATTTATTGAGATTAAACACACTATAAAATTAAATATTTGGCCGGGCGCGGTGGCTCACGCCTGTGATGCCAGCACTTCGGGAGGCCGAGGCGGGCGGATCACGAGGTCAGGAGATCGAGACCATCCCGGCTAAAACGGTGAAACCCCGTCTCTACTAAAAATACAAAAAATTAGCCGGGCGTAGTGGCGGGCGCCTGTAGTCCCAGCTACTTGGGAGGCTGAGGCAGGAGAATGGCGTGAACCCGGGAGGCGGAGCTTGCAGTGAGCCGAGATCCCGCCACTGCACTCCAGCCTGGGCGACAGAGCGAGACTCTGTCTCAAAAAAAAAAAAAAAAAAAAAAAAAAAAAAAAAAAAAAAAAAAAAAAAATTAAATATTTGAAATTATATAGTAGCTATCTTGGAAAGAATATGGAAAAAAAGCAATTGTATATCTCCTTTGTCTTAGTTTCTAAAAAGCTATGAAAGCCTAAGAAACAATTACACATTAGATATAAATCACACTTTCTCATATTCCAAAAGAAGTTCAAGAGTTGTAAAGAATTTGGCCAGTTGAATAAAAAAATTATTATTGTATATGGTGCTGGTCATTGTGAATAATGAAGCAATGATTCAGACAAATCCTCCCTGCTTAAGAATTGAAG
The DNA here is from genome assembly GCF_000001405.40 of Homo sapiens. Lineage (NCBI taxonomy): Eukaryota > Metazoa > Chordata > Mammalia > Primates > Hominidae > Homo > Homo sapiens. Next base: position 101,839,663 of record NC_000004.12, on the reverse strand, counting down.
GGATGATAGAGCATTTATTAGGGGATAGGGTAGCATAATAACGGGGCTGAAAAATATAGGTTCTCAATTTCCATAATGTTAGTCAAATTGAATTCCTGCAAAAGTACTTGAATAAAAAGTAATGTTGAATAAGAGTAAGCTTCCTCATATGGGAAGCTATTAAATGGATTGACGAGCATTACTTACCTCCCTAGAAATACATTTTGTAGCATTATGATGCTACTAACAGTCAAAAAAATACAAGTATGAGATGAGCTTTAGAGGAGCACTTGTGATGATTTCCACATATCTTAATATTTCTCTTACTGTCAAAAGGAAATCATAATTGCCTAGTAAAGAGTACAACCATAAACATTTAATGAATATAGTTCCTGAAAAAAACCATGTAATTTCAACCCTTCTATTATGCAACTTATAAAATGGGATACTAAAAATTTCAGCTCTCTCAACATATGAGAATATTAAGACACTAGTAAAAGTAATTTGAAATCACTCATGAAAACTCAAGGTTAAAAATACATATCCTCAATAAATGAATGTAAGTGAATTCTCATTTGGTGATATCATAAAATGTCTGACTTTTAAAATCTTTATTTTTTAATTTAGTTTAAACTACCTATTGTGTTTCTCAGTCAAGAATAAAGTTAAAATATATAAGTTTCTCACTCTATTCCTGTGTGAAATATAAAAATATGGCAAAACAGTGTCAGATACATCATCTTGAATCAAGCTGTTAACTAATCTCACATGATCCTATACCTTAACTTCCAGCATAAATACGTGTGAACAAGAAAATGTTACTGATGTTAAGAAAATAAAGTTTAAAGTGTCTGTCTTGAAAAATAATTACTGAGGTTACCAAGTGGCTGGTCACCAGCTAAGGGAGAGCATGTTCAAGTCAAACACAGCTCAAAGGTATGATCTCCCTCCAATGGCTCAATCATCACATAAGGGTAGATTTCTTTGGACCTTGGATTACAGGTAGACTTCAGGATACCAACTGTCTTGGCATAGATTTCAGAACTAGATATTTTATAATAAGAGACAGTAAAATTTTGTTTTTTCCTGGGCTCTGTACATAGTTTCTGCCCTTTAACACTAGAGTTAATTTTCAGAAAAGCCTTGGAATCATGCTGTTTATGCAGCAGATGATCATTTCCCATGTGGAATTGAAATGTTAAAAAAAAATCAGCTTTTAGCAAAAATAAAGAGGAAATCATCTAAAGAAAGGTAAGATTTTTGGAAAGCAAAGAATAATATAAGCTAACTTCTAAGTTGTTAATAACACAATGATCCTGAGTAATAAAACAGTGTACCTTAGTTTTTGATTCAAAAAAGGAGGCAGTAGAACTCAGAAATAGGGTGTATACATTCATAATAAGAATATGTTTAAAAGCTACCCAGAGGCTGGGCATGATGGTTCATGCCTGTAATCCCACCACTTTGGAAGGCCGAGGTGGGTGGATCACTTGAAGCCAGGAGTTCAAAACCAGTCTGTGCAACATGGTGAAACCCCGTGTCTACTAAAAATCCAAAAGAATTAGCCGGGCGTAGCACACACCTGTAATCCCAGCTACTCAGGAGGCTGAGGCACAAGAATCATTTGAACTCTGGAGGTGGAGGTTGCAGTGAGCCCAGGTCCCACCACTGCACTCCAGCCTGGGTGACAGAGCAAGACCCTGTCTCAAAAAAGAAGAGAAAGAGAAGAGAGAGGGGAGGGAGAGGGAGAGAGAAGAGGGAAAGGGGGAGAGAGAAGGGGGAGAGGGAGAGGGAGAGGGAGAGGAGAAAAGCTATCCAGAGTCGTATACAGAATGCTTTTACAAACACAGCTAAAAATATCCTGATCAAATGTCTTTATCTTATTTTATTAGCAATAAATAAATCATAATTACAGTCTGCTGCCTAGGACTAATAAATGTTTACTAACCATTTTGTTGTTTGAGTTTCATTCTTCAATATACATGAGAATGACCAAACATGATATTTTAAAAAACAAAATGAAAGAATTAAAAATAGAATTTAAAAAGATAAATTGATTAATATATAAAAAGCTTCTTTAAAGAGAAATTGAATATGTACCATACATTGAGGGAAAAATCCTTGAAACCTTAGTCCTTACAGTCTCAGAAATAATTTGAGTGACATTATTAAATCATGCAAGCCAGAGAAACTCTTTGGGACAAAATAAAACCCTTGTGTAAAGTATCAGATACCTGAACTCAATTTATAATTCAGACTTTTTGAGTAATATTCTTTTCAAACAATCCATCACTTTAATTGGAATTCTGAAGTTATAATGAACTATTAGTTTCTTAGAGAAAGAAAAAAAGTCAGTATTCAATCCCTGAATCTTAAAGTTGGCAGCTAACAATTTTTCAAACCTTAATAAATTCTAGAAGCACAAAAACAGTTGTACCGGTCTTAGTCCTAAATATACTAAATTATCATTACACATTTACTGATAGAATTGATTATTGTCTAAATTTGTGAACAATCAAAGTAAGTGTTTTAAATCCTGCTAATTTAAAAAAAATTGTACATAATATTTGATTATGAGAGGCCTTGCCTGCTACTTTAAGGTATTTTGACTTTATTCCATAGGTGACGTAGAGCCCCATAATTTAGTATGTGTTTTAGAAAAATTGGGAGGAAAAAGGCCACCAGCTGGGAGGTTCTAGTAGTAGACTGTGAAATGGAAGATGAAGATCTAGGCCAATGGATGAGAAATGGGCACGGAGATACAGTTCTAAGCCACAGAAATTAATTGAATGTAGAAGATGGGGAAAGCTCTGGGATAGTGCCGAGCCGATGGCTTTGGATTAGTTTATTGTGAAATAATAATTCACCCTTTCTTTTAACCTCTTGATTTTAATACTGTTGAAGAGTACAGAGCAATTATTTTGTAGAATCTTCCTTGATTCCACAAAAATCTCCCAGTTTGATTTGTCTGATATTTCCTCATGATTAGATTGAGGTTATGTATTCTTGACAAGAATCCCACAGTAAACCTTTCATCAAGAGGTTTCAATAAAGAGAAAAACCAAACTGTACCAGAAACATTTATAAATCTGTACTTAAAAACACAATTTGTCCTTTCTAGGTTTGTGGGGTTTTTTTGAGGTTGAGAATGCTGAAATATTTTTAAAATGAAATTTTTTTGTTTTTGTTTCTGTTTGTTTTGTTTGAGACAGAGTCTCGCTCTGTCGCCCAGGTTGGAGTGCAGTGGCACCATCTGGGCTCACGGCAGCCTCTGCCTCCCAGGTTTAAGTGATTCACCTACCTCAGCCTCCTGAGTAACTGGGATTACAGGTGTGCACCACCATGCCCAGCTAATTTTTGTATTTTCAGTAGAGACTGGGTTTCACCATGTTGGCCAGCCTGGTCTCGACTCCTGACCTCAAGTGATCTGCCTGCCTCAGCCTCCCAAAGTGCTTGGATTACAGGCGTGAGCCACCGCGCCAGGCATAAAAGAAAGTTAACAACATTCCATTTGTAAAACAGCAATAAGGAGAAGAAAAGAAATGGTTAAAAAAATAGTTACGGAGAATATAGAATGTAACGAGAGTCATAAGTATGCAATAATCAAAATTAATAGAATTAGATGAGGAAAATATTTTTCAAGCAGAAACGATATGACATGAATTTATTAATAAAGCAACTTGTCAACTGACTTTGAAGGATGGTTGAGATTTCAACTGAAAATATGTGGAAGGATACTCCAGATGAAGAGAAAAGTGAAAAAACAATGGAGTGAACGCAAAAATGGAAAGGCTGTGTTTGTTCAATGGTGAATGATACAATTACCCTAGTATACAGTATGTCTACACTAATGCTGGTGACAGAAATGGCCTGGACACCCATGCTGGAGCCATACCTTCAAAGAGCTGAAAGACCATGCAAAAAGGAAGGACTTCATTTGAAAGGCTACAACATCTCACTGACTAGTTCTAGGAAGGTCCAGTGAGTCAGAGTTCTTAAGCAATACACAGCACAGACAGAAAGAAAGGAAAACAATGCTTCTGCATAGTTTGTTTCTGTTCTGTTGTTTGTTTTGTTTTGCCTTTCCAATAATTCTACTGTTACATTACTATTCATTTTGTCCTTCTTTTAAAAAGTGTAAAATAAAGCTAAAAATTTGAAATCCTTGGTTTGGTAACAGAAAAACAAAATGGAAATGTTAAGGTTCTTCAAGAAAGAGAAGTTTTTCCTGTTAATGGACAATGAAGAAAATATGAGAAAATAAGCCATGGAGAGAGCTGTTGGTAAAGGGTAGCTCAGGGGTTGCAAGCAAACCAGCATGCCTGGTCCAGAAGTGACGGGGGCAGAGTTGAGAACAAAGAACAAGGGAGGACAGAGGCCTTGGAGAGGTGCCAGGATCCTGAAAACCAGAAGGATTCAAGTACATGTTGGTGATATTCAGAAACGGCAGTTGATTTTATAACAATTTCAGATCAGCTTATTTATATCACATATAAACAATGCTGTATGAAGCCTATAAATGTGGAAAGACTAGAAAAGCAAGTTAGGTAAAACACCAAAACTAACAAATAGAAGACAGAAAAAGGAAGGAATGTCATACAAACGATTATAAAACACACAGAAAAGAGTAAATACAGCTGGATTTGTGTTACTCCCAATTTGGGAATTAAGAAGACAGGAAATTTGGTTTTCTTAATTCCTTTAAAGGAAATAAAATACTAGGAGAAAATATAAATTACTGTGTCTTTTAAAAAAATTTTAATGTTAAAAACTTTTCTCTGGAGCCTTGATTAATTATAAAATAGCTTTCTCTTTCTTAAAATTTCCTCTGATTTTTCTTTGTGTTATATTAATATATTAGAACATTTAATTATTTCCATGACTTTCCTGGCATTGTTATCATTCTCTTTTTCATAGCCTGTTTCTGAATAATAAGTTTCCCTTATTCTTTGTATAATTTCTTTATGGAATGAGGAAAAATAGAAAAGGGACAGTAAAATCTGAATTCCACATTCTTTGTCCTATTTCACCCATTTTTTTTTGTACTGATCTCAATTTAAATACAAGACTTTATGTCTTCAACATGATTGGCAACATAAACATAAAATAATTTAGCAGAGCACTTAAGCAAATTTATCACTGCATAGACTACAGCAAATAGAACCAATTTCTTCAAAGGACACAACCCACATATAAAAGTTATTTTATGCAGTTTGGAGATTGCTACCATTTGTAGACTTGGAAATACAACTATATGCTTCTGGTTGCATTCTTGTACCTCAGACAAAAATGCACTATATTTGAACACCCTTTTCCAAATAAGATGGTTATATTTTCCAATTGGCACATCTAAGTTACTCTAAGAAATCAGAGTCCAAAATCAATGTGGGCAGATGAGAGATAATAGTGTCTCCAAAATAGTGCTGTGTTGTCTATAAGGTGTGAGTTTTTCCTCTTACCGAGCATGAATAGAAATATAATTTGAAGACATAGCAGAATACCACTTTCATATCCACCTAAAAATACTCATCATAAAACAAAACAACTGAAACAACAAAAAGGTATATATCAAATATTTTTACATAATAGTGACATTATAGCTCAAGTGGCCAAAACAACATGAGTTCTTTGAATAAATAGAAATTATGGGTGTGGAGAGCCATCTAAAATTTTACTAACAATCTTCAGGGAGAAGAGTAGCATAAACTTACTTGTGCTTTACTGTGATTTAAAAAAATAATTTTCCTATTGTAACACTTTTTTCTTTTCAGTCAAAAAAGTTTAATATACTTGAGGAATACTAAAAAGAGAGAGAGAAAAAGAGATCATAAGAAACTTGAAAACTTCCAGTTTGAACATTATGGTGTACTGTGAATATTTCCCCTTTTTATTCTTGGAAATCATCCCAACACATAGACAATGAGGAAATATTATGCAAATGTCCTACTTAGAGGAAATAGGAAACAGTGAAATCCTAGACCCAAATTCAATGAACTGTTTCCTAAAACAGTGATGATACAGCATGAGGGTGTACAGGAGGAAACAGAGAAAAGACACTTTGAAGAAACAGTCCAGAAGCTGCAGATTTTAAAAAAGAGCCGGCAAACTTACTTCCTATAAGGCTAAGGGTACCTTGTAGATATGAGGCAACAATTTGAGGGAGAAGCATCTATGGAAGCAGTTTGGTTCTAAAAAGCAGACAAAGTGAGGCTAAATTAAGAGCTATACAGAAAAATCATATTACAGAAAGCAGTCTACATCTGTGGAAGCAGAGAAGTACAGTCTTTTATTGTAAAATAACAACAACAATAACAAAACAGAACAAACAACAAAACCCACTCTGTCTATCTCCATTGGCTGGACCAAAAAAAACTCACTTTTCTCAGTGACACATAAGAAAACTTGAGGCCAGGTGCAGTGGCTCACGCCTGTAGTCCCCGCACTTTGGGCGGTTGAGGTGGGTGGGTCACCTGAGGTCGGGAGTTCAAGACCAGCCAGACCAACATGGAGAAACCGAATCTCTACTAAAAATACAAAATTAGCCGGGTATGGTGGCACACACCTGTAATCCCAGCTACTCAGGAGGCTGAGGCAGGAGAATTGCTTGAACCTGGGAGGTGGAGGTTGCAGTGAGCTGAGATTGTGCCATTGCACTCCAGCCTGGGCAACAAGAGCAAAACTCCGTCTCAAAAAAAAAAGAAAGAAACCTGAACAAGCATAGAATCTATATAAAGATACTAAAAGAGAAAAAGTGAGAAAGGGAAGGAGAGAGGGAGGGAAGGAAGGGAGGAAGGGAGGGAAAAAGAAAGCAAAGAAGGAAGGGAGGGAGGGAGGAAAAGAGGAAAGGAGAAAACCAATGGAGATGGGGAGCAAAAACTAAACACGTTACCATAAACAAAGTTGAAAATTGTAACCAAACATTTCACCGTGAATTTTTAAAATGTAATGAATAGAAATCACCTTTTGAAAGCAATTATATAGTGCAGATATGCAAGAAGTTAGAGAGAGGTGAGTGAATTAAGAACAAGAGATGAATTTTAAGTTATAAGTGCTCAACCAAAAGGTACAATGAGAAAAAGTAAAAGTACTATGAAAACGAAAGAGATTGGAAGTAATACAGAGAAAGAGAAACTCATGAAAGTATAAAATGGTAGCAAAAGTTAAAGTGAAAATGCAAACTAAGTTAATTAGATATTAATAGACTCAAAGGGATTAGAGAGAAATTGTAGAGTGCAGTGCAGACTAAAGAAATCCAAAATACATAAAAAAGGAGTCCCTGAAAAATAAACCGTAAACTTAGATATAAGTTAAGAAATTCTTCATGAAATAAAAGAAGACTTGACTCTACATTTTGGGAAAAAGATACAAACAAAAATAAGAAAGCATGTCCCTGGGAAAAATAATCCAGAATAGTCAGCACTAAAATATTCTAGTAAAGTCACTAAACTTCAACTATAAATGAAGAATCCTTTAGTCAGCTAGGCAAATAAAAATTCTGTAAATTCTGCAGTGCTAGAGACAGAAGAGCAAGAGCAATACTGTCCTCAGACAAACTCTACCTTCAGTGTAAGACAAGAGACAAACTCTTAAACATTCAGCAATTCAGAAACATTGCTTCCAAGGCACCTTCCTCAGGAATGATTAGAAGTGACCTTCAGCCAACCAAGGGATTATTAAAATCACAATAACAAAGGAAACTGTCAACAATGTAAGCCCTGTTAGCAGATCTTCACTTAGTGGAGGCTTCAGAGGATCTTAGCTCTGGACAGCTTGACTGCATCCTCATGACAAATCCTGCTCCAGAACCTCCCAGCTAAACCCCTCTAGATTCCTGAATCATAGAAACTGATATAACCATTATGTATAAGTTGCTAAAATTTAGAGAAACTTGTTATGCAACAATAGACAACTAAGACAATGCTTTAATCACACCTGTAATCCCAACACTTTAGGAGGCCAAGGTGGGCTGATCACTTGAGGTTAGGAGTTTGAGACCAGCCTGGCCAACATGGTAAAACCTCATCTCCTCTAAAAATACAAAAATTAGCCAGGCATGGTGGTGCGTGTCTGTAATATCAGCTACTCAGGAGGCTGAGGCACGAGAATTGCTTTAGCCTGGGAGGCAGAGGTTGCCATGAACCAAGTTCATGCCACTGCACTCCACCCTGGATGACAGAGCGAGACTCTGTCTCAAAACAAAACAAAACAAACAAAAAAACCATTGAATTTGAAGAGGTTACAATACTGGAAAATAAGAAGGAATTTTGGTAAGAAGAAAGTTGTTTTCCACCAGGGAAGAAGTATAGTGAGAAAAGCTTCCAGCGAACCATTTGGGGTTGATATAGGTTCCCTGGATTTACAGAACTCCAACACTTATGCTGGATCCAGGTTTGGAAATTACTAAAGGCAAGAGACTGTGGCTGTACTGCTGCTCTGAGGGCAGGATGGTGATAGCTACTCTGGGAATGGCTTGTATGCCCAGAGTTTGTCCGGAAAAAGATAAATGAAGATAAAGGAAGGTTTATCTTCAGATAGATGTGGACAAGGTAGGAGAAACACCCAGCCAGGAGGTATCTCAGTGCCATTTTCATCATGAGAGACACATGAAGGAGCCATAGAACTCAACAGTAAGAATCTATATGCATTAGACAACCACAGCTATGATCTTAGAGAAGAGGGACTATTTGACTTATTAAGAAACTGCAAGAGAGACATTCCCAGCGAATAAGGAATTTCCCAAAACTCAGAAATTTGCTCCAAAAAAAATAGCCAACTTTTAATCTGGTGTGGCCAAGATAAAATGATAGCTTCACTCCTTCCCTTTAAGCCATGAAACCATAGTTAGAAGACTGGGAGTTGAGAGCAAAGGGCAGACTAAGGAAACCAGGGAAGCAGCTGACCACAGCACCCCTTTCACACCTAGCAGAATAAAACTGTGGAAGGGAGAAGCTTTAACATTGTAAGCTGCAGCATTTTTATTATTACATGGAAATGTAATTAATTAATTAATGGGACCTGGTATTTTCTTTTATCTAAAGGTTACATGCTTAAAATTTTAAAAGCTCTGTAATTGTAACCCAGACCTTCAAACCTTGAACTGCTACTGACTGGTAACACCACTAGAGTATATTAACTCATGCCTCACCAGTTACATAAGAAACCAGCTTCCAGAACCAAACTGTCATATGACTTGAGCATACCATACTTGTTCTGCCATGATCTCATCCAGGCTGCCCTAAAGAATATATTTATAAGCCATGTTTAGAACAAGGAATAAGCCTTGATTGGAATAGAGCTAAAAATTAAGAAACTTAATGTATTTTGTGGACAGTACAACATACTGTTGAATAAAATCAGCTCTCATTTTTCTTATTCCTATCCTGACACCAGTTATTGGTTCTAAAACAACTTGCAATTCTTTAATTACAAAAAAAAAAAAACAAATAAAAATAAAACAAACAAGGTTTGGCAACACTACCTTTGAATATGATACTCTGGATTACAGAGATGTAGTCTTCAGGTTCCTGTTCAGTTGAGATCTCCCATCTGCTTTGAGAGATATTTAGTAATTCATAGAGCTGATCTGAACTCTTCACTCCACAAAGCAAAGTAACTACACTTTTTGGTGAATGAAGTATCTTTTCCAGAAACTGACATTTCTTTGGAGTTAGGTCTCTAAGCAGGCTATTTGATAATATCAAAAGTTTACATTTGTAAGACGTTAAGTTCAGCAACTCCAAATGCCGAAAAGAGAAATTCTCCAAGCGATATAACAGGATGGCTTCCCTTTTCACAACATGTAAAAATACTTCTGTCAAGTACAGAGCCCATTCCTCAGCATCTTCTTCATATATCATTATTATATCTTTTGTATTTCCTGGAAAAAGAAAAAATATTTTCTTATATTTGCAATGCTATCAGCAGGTTAAATTATTATTTCTCAAAAATTTTAATATGCTCACTAGGCAATATATTAATTTGCTTATACCAGAGAAAAACTCTATGAAAGTCCTTCATAGTATAAAAAATCATAGATTAAATAAAACTAGAATTCAAAGACAAGTTGATTTAAATTTTAAAAAGAATGATATGAAAGAGTATAATAAATAAGGAAACGAGCCAAAACAATACCATTACCCAGATAATAAATAAATTAGAAAAAGAAATAAGTAGATTAGACATAGATAATGTTATAGATAATATTTTAATTTCTGGCCCAAAAGAAAAGCTTGATATTTTCATAGTAAATCAAAAAAAAACAAAGGAGGAGAAACAGAACAAGGCTAACACAATTGTTGAAAATACGATATATTTAGTTGAGAGTCAAAAACAGAAAAGATTCAGTATAAGGATGATCCAAAAGCCTGACGTAGAAGAGAATAATATACACATTAAAACACTGTAAAACATGTAATTTTTAATAATTTTTAAAATCCTTGAAATAAGAAAGATAAAGGAACCAGCTCTATGGATCAATGTGAAACAATCAGGCTCCAGCTAAAACTGTTAAAGAAAACAGATCTTGCCCGGCGCGGTGGCTCACACCTGTAATCCCAGCACTTTGGGAGGCTGAGGCGGGCTGATCACGAGGTCAGGAGATCGAGACCATTCTAGCTAACACAGTGAAACCCCATCTCTACTAAAAATACAAAAAATTAGCTGGGTGTGGTGGTGGGTGCCTGTAGTCCCAGGCACTTGGGAGGCTGAGTCAGGAGAATGGCTTGAACCCAGGAGGCGGAGTTTGCAGTGAGCGGAGATTATGCCACTGCACTCCAGCCTGGGCAACAGAGTGAGACTCTGTCTCAAAAAAAAAAGAAGAGAAAACAGATCTTGATTAAATTGTCCTTAACTTAATGATAATTATAAAATTTCTTCACATATCCAGGAAAGAAAACAAAGTCACCACAATAAGAGAAATGTGAGGTTGGTCTTGATTTCTTTAGAGCATTTTCAAGGCCAGATGAATTATAAGAAAATTTTTACAAAACTAATTTTCACAGTATATTCATACTATAAAATATTGCATAACAATGAAAAAGAATGTAACAATGCTACATGCAACATGGATGAATCGAAAGACATAATATTGAGTGAAAGAAGAAAGAGTATATATTGCATAATTGTATTTATGTAAAGTTCCAAAGCAGAAAACTTGATTCACAGTGATACAGATCTGAATATTTTAGGGTAGAATTAACAAAATAGGTATGAGAGAGCCTGCTGGAGTTCTGGATATGGTCTATATCTTGATCTAGGTGGTAGATATATATGGAGATATATATATATATATATATATATATAAATTCACTCATCTACATATCTTAGATTGTGTTTGTAAGTTATACTGCAATACACCTGCAAAAGCTATATGACTTGGGGAGGGAAAGACATAGGAAATAAATAAAGCATTTGTAACATTATCACATGTATTTGAAAATTAGAGAAAATATGCTAATAATGGAGGTTGGACAGGTCTAATAGGGCATTTACAAAAAGAATTAAAGATAGGTACATTTCAATATTTTGCATAAAAAACAAAAATGAAGTAAATATTAATTCTGGAAAAAAGCCCCAAAATTTATGAAAGAAAGCAGGATAATTATAGACTATTTGGAACAATAGTGTGCATGTGTTTATAGTTATAATAATATAAAAATTGATTAATTAATGACAAGTTGAGATTTAAATATCCTGGAGAATAAGAGAAGAGTCAGACTAACAAAAGTATACAAATACTTATCTTATGTTTTATAGGAAGACAATAGATAATAGCTAAAATTAGTAAATCAAGAAATCATAATATAAATGTATCTTTTTGAAATATGCAAAGGAATAAAAAAAGAAACTTTGAAAAAACTATGGCTTTTAAGGTTCTTAGAAGTGTGGAATAGTATTTGGGGAAAGGGAAAGTGAAGAACTGTTGATTTTCACTATGTTTTATCATTGTTTTATATGAAAGTGTAACTGTAATCAAAATTTAAATAATAGAGGAAAATCCAGCCAAAAAATAGCAGAACCAAAGTAAAGTAAACAGAAATTAAAAAAACTTTGGAAAAAGAATAGGGTGAGTTGAATACACGTACATATAGAACAACAACCAAATGCTGAGGGCATTATGATTGCACTACAAAACGCACATTTTAACTTGATGAAATAAAAGTGATTACACAGTGGGAAAAACTGAGCATTTGGGGAGGAGAAAGTAAAACATTCTAACCTCATCTTTAATAGAATTTAATCCTTTAACACTGCCTAAATTTGAAACATTAATTTAAAATAATGACTTCATTCAATATTTTTTGTATCATTTTTCCCTAAACAATAATAAATAATCTAAAAAGTAGTCAAAGAAATTTTTATCTTAAAATATATCATTAGTTTTACTTTAAATTAACTTTATATTTAAAGATAGCATGTAAACCCAAATCTCATTTTTAATAAAATAGTACCTCCATGCCTATCTACCTAAAATAATTCTATCATTAGCAACAATTGTTTATGTGAGAGAGAGGACTTTGAGAGATATATGGCTTTCTTTTTCTTCACTCTTCCATATTGCTTATATTTTTATAATAAACTTATATTATTTTACAAAACATAATCATTTTTAAAGATCAGTTTGTACAGTATTATCATGAGTACAAAGAGTGAAACGCCAAACTCTTGTCATCTTCTTCCTCTGAAAACAGAGCATGTATTTTCTACACCACTGATGTGGTGAAGAAAACCATAATGATTCTGAGAGCTTTTGTATTTTATTGAATTATTGGGTTTATGTATTTCTGTCTTTTCTCGTGATATAAATATTATCTCTGAGGGCAGATGCTTTATTTTTCAATCCAAATTCCTACACAATGCCAAGCACAATTTCTTGAACAGATATTCAACAACTTTTTTTTACATATTTATGTATGTAGAATGAGAAAAAAACATCTGGCAGAAAACATATGGGAATCACACGTAAGTTGTATATGAATCATCAATATAGTTCTGTTATTCTGTGTATAGTAGTGTAGTATCTCATCTAGCCTGGATGCTAAATAACTTGTTTAACAAACAGAAATATTATGCCATAATTCAGTATTTTTATGTTTGAGGAACGGTAGGAGGAGGGTTTTCTTCATATTGCATATAGCCAGAATAAGCTGGTCTACAGTTATAAAAATAGTAGGAGTATAAATAAAATTAATAATAATTAAAATTATCAAGCATTTAAAATAAATTAGGTCTCTATGTGTTTCACACATGCTGTTTCATTTAATTCTCACAATTACACTCTTAAGTAAGTACTAATGTTTTCCTCATTTTACAGATGGGAAAACTGAAGTGGTATTAGAATCAGGACTCCAATGCGGGCAGTCTGCCCTATACCCTATACTTTTAACTTCTAACAGCAAAGGACACAATAATATTATTTAAAAGATTACAGTAGATTATTTGCAGGGATATGAGTTAGATTAGTCAATATCAAGCAGCCTATGGGGTAGTCTTAACTATGCACAGTATGTGAAGGCTTACTGGGAGTCTGGGTTCCTACCAAGGAGAAAGAGGAAACAGAACATATCATGTACTCTAACAGTAGAGTAATCTATGAAGAATTTACAGAATTGACTTTTTGACTCTATAATTTAAATCAAGAAAATTGTAGAATAAGCTATGAGTAGATGTTAATGTAAAGAATAAATACTCCCACGTTATTTGGCTTGGTATCACAATTGGCAGACAACTATATGAAATCAAAAATAGAGACAATCATAACCTGTCTTTCAAAGCCCAAGAAAATTACACAGGTAGTCTTTCTCAATACTCTAGATGCATTTTTACTTATGTTGAAAATTGAGCCTTTTTATTTGACTTATATTTTGTCAATAACCTCATATGACAATTCTCAAAAACCTGAATTTGACATCAAATATCATTCCTTTCTTCTCTACAGATGAAATCATTTCAGTATTTTAATCTTTAGTTTTCTCAATTATTATTTACTGAGACTTTCTATGTACCAGGCATGTTGCTAAGCAGTTGACATGTATTACCTCATTTAATCCTCACCAAACTGCAGGAAGTTGGTCCTGTTAGTCTTATTTTACTGATGTTCTCATCGAGGCTCAGAGGGGTTAAGTTACTTATCAGAGCCACAAAGATAGTTGTTGATCTTTATGCTGACTTTCTTTCTTTTCATATGAAGCTAAGTTGTGTTGAAATATAAAAGTTAATAAAAACTCTTTTAATAAGCCATGGTTTTCTTTTCCCTTTTTCTAGAAAATAGAAGTTTGTAACTGAATAATATCTAGGACCACAGACCCCAAAATAGTTCTTGATAAATTCTCAAAAGTAGCCCAGTGGCCTTGAACTGCACTTCATTTTATACATTTGAATTAAATCAACCCTAAGTAATTCTCCCCATTTAAGGAGGGTTACTGTCATTATAGGCTTTGCAATGAAACAATAAATGATAAACTTGAAGCACAGAAATATAAAATTTCCATTCCTGGAAAGTTGCATCATAATAAAAAGACATTACTATTGAAGATGGAATCAAGATCTGCAAATAAATTATTTTAAATGTACATCTTCAGTCTTGCATCATAAAGTGACAGCATTATACAATGGTTCTGTAGGAACAAAATACAGCCATATTAATTTTTATAAATTTACTATATTCTTTCAGATTCAATAATGCCTTATTTGTCTTAAATACACTATAACAAATGTTTAAACCTGAAAGAAATATTTATCAATAATTTATATCAACAATTGCTTTTCCACCAAAACCAGACTACATTACATATTACCAAAAGAATGAGACTAAACATATATTAAAATTCTTCTTATTCCATATGCACAGCTTCAAATGGCAGATTTTCTTCTTTTTGAATAAAATCCAATCTCATACCCATGTTTTGATTGTGCATAATGGAAAAAGATTGCATAATGCATCCTTCCAGTATTACATTTTTCTAACTGGTAACCAAAAGGCAGAAGAAAAGAAAGCCAAAAATTACAAAAAAAAAAAAATGAGTTACAGCCATAATGGATTCAGCAATAACAACAAGAACATTAATCTTAATATAATCACACACACATATATCATTACTTACATTACACAGTAAGTATAACTCAATTGAGTTTACATTCCAACTTTGTACTGTTATTTCTAGTACAACATGAGAACAAAACTGGGGATTTTTCAAAGGTTTGAATGTAGTGAAACATCATAACTCATATTTCTCCTCTGGGAAAGTGGCTAATTCCACTTATTCATAGTGGGACATTCATATATGAAGTGTTTCCTGTATAATCTGTATATATCTGTGTAGTGGATGCTGTGGATGTACATCCCACATCTTCCTGGACACCAGCTACTGCTTAGTGGTCAGTTATTATTGACCACTTCTGACCTCTGCTTTACTGACTGAGGACTTTCGCTGGTGCTAAGAGTACTTCCTCAGTCTGTGCACCTGCCCAGCAGCTCATTAGCTCCAGGGATTTAGTGTACCAAGAATAGGGAGACAACCTCAGGCAGTGAGGAACAGAAGTAAATGTGTAAATAACTCAGCTTATCCAACCTGCAATGGGGCAATTCTGAGGTTTGTTCTACACAGTAACCAGAGAGTCCCAATGGTATTGAATTGTAACTCCTCGCTGTGTTATTCTACTTATTAATACACACATTGTCTTTTCTCCCTTTCTTATCTTTCTCCATTTCCTCACTAGAGCTTCATGGGCTCATGATCAAATACCTGTACTCAAGTCCATTTTTACAAATCTTCTACAGGACTCTTCTATGCATATACATTATTTAACTTAGTTCTTTCTTTCAAATGCAGGAAGGTACCAACACATAATTTTAAGATTATGCTTTTCAGCTATGGTGAAGAACAACCAGCAAAAATTTTTATGCAAATTCAGAATTTTCCACTTTCTTCTTTTAAGATGCAAACAGATACTTTTATGTCTCATAGAGCAACCATGGAAGGGATTTTTTTCTATATAAAAAAGCTTGGCATTAATTGTTACAGTATTATTTTGTGAAGTCTTCCTAACCCTGGATATATAAACTGAAAATGTTCTAATCCCACCTCTAATCACTTTTTATGTCTAGTTGGCCCATTCATAAAATTGAATAAAACACAAGTACCTAAATAGGGTTGTTGAAAGTACCAACTGAAAAAATTCATACAATGTGCTTATCACACGCATGGCCAATAGGAGTCAGGAAATATTAGATCTTACCAGTAAGACTGTCTACATCTGAGAGCAGGAAGGCCATACTCAAAAGTTTCTCAAAATATTACCACAATAATAAGGTATACAAAGGTAAGTATATATATTCATAAAATACGTGATTATTTCTTAAGTCTCTATATTGTCTACATGATTTATATACATTGGAATGGGAATTAAAAGAAAATTTTTTGAAAATATATTTTTTATCAAGTCATAGATATCATGGTTGAGAACATCTTGCACCTTTCCAAGTTTACCAATAATTTGTATTAAGGGAAGAAAAAATGTGAATGATGATTTGGGAAAGGTATTGTGTTAGAAATGGGTTTTAGGAAGCAATTGCAGCAAATACAAAAAATGACAAATAGGGTCTAATTAAACTAAACAGCTTCTGCACTGCAAAATAAACTATCAACAGAGTACAAAGACAACCATAAAGACACATGCACATAAATGTTCACTGCAGCACAATTCACAATAGCAAAGACATGCAATCAACCTAAATACCATCAATGATAGGCTGGATAAAGAAAATGTGGTGGCCAGACGCGGTGGCTCATATGTGTAATCCCAGCACTCTGGGAGGCCGAGGCGGGCGGATCACGAGGTCAGGAGATTGAGACCAGCCTGGCTAACGTGGCGAAACCCCGCCTCTACTAAAAATACAAAAAATTAGTGGGGCGTGGTGGCGGACACCTGTAGTCCCAGCTACTCGGGAGGCTGAGGCAGGAGAATGACATGAACTTGGGAGGTGGAGCTTGAAGTGAAGGGAGATTGCACCACCGCACTCCAGCCTGGGCAACAGAGCGAGACTCTGTCTCAAAAAAAAAAAAAAAAGTATTGATTCCAAGACAACACTGACCATAAGACCACCCATTATTTTGTTTCTTTAAGAAGAGAATGCTGTGATCAAAAAACTATAATGTACTACAAATTTAAAGATAAATTTTAACTTTAGAGCATTTGAATAATAAATTGTCAGAATCAATGAAATATGGTAACTTTAGAGAATTTGAATAATAAAATAAATTGTCAGAATCAGTAACATTACTATCTCATACAGTCTCTTAAGTGCCTTTTTTTTTTCTTTTTTTCTGAGGTCTCACTAAGGCTGGAGTGCAGTGGCGTGATCTTGGGGCTCAGTTCAACCTCCGCCTCCCAGGCTTAAGCGATCGTCCCATCTCAGCCTCCCGAGTAGCTGGGACCACAGGTATGCACCACCATGCCAAGTTAATTTTTTGTATTTTTTGTATTTTTTTAATGGTAGAGACAGGGTTTCCCCATGTTGACCAGACTGGTCTCAAACTGCTGGGCTCAAGTGATCCACCCACCTAGGCCTCCCAAAGTGCTAGGATTACAGGCATGAGCCACCACGCCTTGCCAAGTGCTTCTCATTTCTCCAATTCAACATCAAGAATGATCTCCTCAGAATCTTATTATTTTCTATGATTCCCCCCAGACTGATTTCTTTCCCGGAGGATGGCCCTTATGGATTACATCACCTAGGCTCCCATGCCTACCTTGATTGAAAGCACCATCAGAATATCAGATGAGAAGAAAGAATGATAGGGTTTTTTATTGGCCCTCCACCCACTCCTCCATTTTAGTTTGGACAGTGGCTGCTTTCCTGTATGGCCATTTTTCTACGACTTTTCTTTCATGGGTCCAGTTTTCATGCAATTCCAATAACCATCTTCCTTTCCCTTATCTCACTAGTGTAGTAAAGAATTTTTGTTGTTAGTTTGAATGCTTCACTATCCCTCCTCGATTCAAAAAATCAAGCAAACAAACAAACAAACAAAAAAACCCAAACCAAACATATACCATATACAAAAATCAGCTCATGATGGATTAAAGACTTAAATGCAAAACCCAAAACTACAAAAACCCTGGAAGACAACCTAGGCAATACCATCCTAGACATAGAAATGGGCAAAGACTTCATGACAAAGACACCAAAAGCAATCGCAACAAAAGTGAAAATTGACAAATGGGATCTAATTAAACAAGAGTTTCTGAACAGCAAAAGAAAGTATCAACAGTGAACAGACAACGTACAGAATGGGAGAAAAATTTTGCAAACTACGCATCTGACAAAGGTCAAATATCGAGCACCTATAAGGAACTTAAACACATTTCCAAGAGAAAAAAGCAAACAACTCCATTAAAAAGTGGGCAAAGGACATGAATAGACACTTTTCAAAAGAAGACATACATGTGGCCAACAATCATATGGAAAAAACCTCAATATCACTGATCATTAGAGAAATGAAAATCAAAAGCCCAATGAGATATCGTCTCACATCAGTTAGAAGGGCTATTAATAAAAAGTCAAAAAATAACAGATGCTGGCGAGGCTGTCGAGAAAACGGAAAACTTATACAGTGTTGGTGGGAATGTAAATTAGTTCAACCACTGTGGAATGCAGTATGGCAATTCCTCAAAGACCTAAAGACAGTAATGGCATTCGACCCACCCAGAGGAATATAAATCATTCTACCATAAAGACACATGCACGTGAATGTTCACTGCAGCACAATTCACAATAGCAAAGACATGGTATCAACCTAAGAGCCCATCAATGACAGATTGGATAAAAAGAATGTGGTACATACACACCATGGAATACTATGCACCCATAAAAAAGAATGAGATAACGTCTTGTGGGAACATGAATGAAGCTGGAGGCTATTATTCTCAGCAAACTAATTCAGGAACAGAAAACCAAATACCACATGTTCTCACTTATAAGTGGGAGCTAAATGATAAGAATTTATGAACACAAAAAAGGAAACAACAGTCACTGGGGTATGCTTGAAGGTGGAGGGTGGGAGGAGGGAGAGGAGCAGAAAAGATAACTATTGGGTACTGGCCTTAATTCCTGGGTGATGAAATAATCTGTACAACAGACCCCCATGACATGAGTTTACCTATGTAACAAACCATCACATGTAGGCCCTAAACTAAAATAAAAGTTTTTAAAAAAGGAACATTTTTAAAAACTTCACTTGAGGCAATTGCCTTACAAGTAATGTCAACTTTTCTTAGTACAGATGCCAACATCCCTCACTGGTTGCCTCTTGAATCAGTAACTAGAGTTAGATCCCACAAGGGAAGGGAGAAAATTCCACAAAAAACGATTTAATACTCAGAAATTGTTCATGGATATTGCCAATATGTATCAGCATGAGTTTGGAAAGTATGTATGGAATGAATTTTAAGGGTTATTAGACTGAGAAAGATGAATCAGAAGATTGGATCTGACTGAATTTATCAATATGGTTGTATTTTAACAGCATTCAGGATTTAATGTGTTATCTCAAGTACCTGTGGTAGTATTAACAGCCTATTAGAATGGTTAATTAAAGCTTGGATTCCATGGTGGCCTACAGTCAATGAGGCTGCAATGCCAGAATTTCCCTGCTATGACATAGAGCAGGAGTCAGTAGACAAACTTTCTGTAAATACTTTAGGCTTTGTGGCACTCTTGGAATCTCCTTCTCCTTCTTCTCCTCCTTATCCTTCTCCTCTTCTTTTCTACAACTTTAAATGTGTAAAAACCATTCTTAGCTCACAGATGATACACAAATAGGACACCAGCTGGATTTCGTCTACTGACTATCATTTGCTGACCTCTACTCTAGAGTGTTCTGATGTTCCCTTCGCTAGCATTAAGAAATGTATTCATGAAAAGTGCTGTGATGTCTGTCTTCTGCAGCATAGACACAATGATTAGGTTTAGACCTTTGAACTGAACTTTTGATGTCGATGGAGAATAATGAAGTCTGAGTTGGTAGAGAACAAATGGTAACACTCAATCATTAGAGACAATATAAATAATCAAAGTGTTTTTCACTGCAGGTATTGTGGTGGTATCTAATTGATCTGAGGGTCCTTAGGAATGAAATATATAGGGTATATATTTGTAATACAGATTACAAATGTAATGTAAACCTGAAATGTATAGCCTATGAAGGTTCTATATCATCTTTATAAACAAAACAATTCTTGTTTGGGGTGCAAAAACTTACTTAAGTTGCTATAATGGAAATTCATAGACTGCACCCTAATTTATAGACTTAGAGGACTTTGACTGAGGGGAGCTCAGGTCCCTTTGAAAAAGGGGTTTTCTATGCTGCTAAGCATGGGTACCATAAATCTTCCTCCAAGCCTTTGTCAGAGTGACCTAAAGGCACGTGTACTAGGGAAAAAATAATACTCAGAATACTCAGGAATATCTTCTAGCAATTATTAGTTACTAGTCTTAACTGATAAAAAATTCCCAAAGACTGAAAATACCACCATGGTATTTTTTGGGAATTTATAGAAGTCAGGTGTAATAATAAATGACATCTTGCCTTGAGTATATATATGATAATGATTCCAGTGGGCCCATGTGAGTACCACAGAGGTATCCTGTGGGTATTTTTTATGCCAGAAATGTTTGGTGATAATGCATATACATAGCAAATGTCAGAA
Organism: Homo sapiens; assembly: GCF_000001405.40. NCBI lineage: Eukaryota > Metazoa > Chordata > Mammalia > Primates > Hominidae > Homo > Homo sapiens. The sequence goes on along the minus strand of NC_000004.12, from coordinate 101,818,975 downwards.
TCCTACCAGAGAATGAGGACTATTATTGTAGGAAAGGCAAAATATATGTATCTGAAACTGTCGAATCCCATTCTCACAGTAAACTAAAAAAAAAAAAAAAAAATACAGTAATCTTTCTTTATTCGTGGAGAATACCTTCCAAGACCCCCAGCGGATCCCTGAAACTACAGATAGCATAGAACTCTATATATACTAAGCTTTTTTGCTATAAATGTATGTCTATGATAAAGTTTAATTTATAAAGTAGGCACGGTAGGAGCATAGCAACAATAATTATTAATAAAATAGAACAACTGTAACAGTATATTATAGTAAAAGTTATGTGAAAATGTGGTTTCTCTTTCTCTTCCTTTCAAAATATATTACTATTTTTGGACCATGGCTGACCACGGATAACTAAAACCACAGGAAGCAAAACCACAGAGAAGGGGGACTACTGTACTACATTCCTGAAGGAATTACAGATTATTGCCATCAACAAAGACTTGGGAGATGAAGATATAATGGTGGTTATTTCTTCACAACTCTGCTTTACTCTCTAGTTTGCCAGTACAAAAGCCAAAGGGTCTTGTAAAATAACTGCTGATTTTCATAAACATAACCAGGTATTCATATTAACTGCTATTCCACAGATGATATATTTACTGGAGCAAATCAACTAGCCTATGTAAACTATAAACGGATATTGATCAAGTCATTATTTTCTTTATAATTGCAATGAATAAAGATAATAATCAGTTTGCAGTCACTTGGTAGAAACAGCAGTAACCTTTCCCTGACTTACCTCAAGGCTATGCCCCATGTCATAATAACATCTGTATAAATACTGACCATATCTATATGCCATACAGTATATAATTTTATATGTAAAATATAAAATTGATTAAATAAACTTGCTCATAGCAAAAGAGCAAATGCTCTAGTTGTCATAATATGATACATTTGTGCCAGAGTGTGAAGGATAAACCATATTGAAGTTCAGGAACCTGAAATATCATCCGTCTTTCTAGACAGCCAATGGTATAGCAGGGGTATCCAATCTTTTGACTTCCCTGGACCACATTGGAAGAAGAATTGTCTCGGGCCACATATAAAATACACTAATGACAGCTGATGAGCTAAAAAAAAATTGCAAAAAAAAAAAATCTCATAATGTTTTAAGAAAGTTTACAAATCTATGTTGGGCTACATTCAAAGCCATCCTGGGTCTCAGGTTGCACAAGCTTCCTTTAAGGCATATCAGGATAGCCCTGTATACCGAAAGACAATTTTTTTTATTTCCAACTTTTAAGTTCAGGGGCACGTGTGCGAGATGTGCAGGTTTGTTACATAGGTAAACGTGTGCCATGATGGTTTGCTGCATAGATCATCCAATCACCCAGGCATTAATCACCCAGCATCCATTAGTTATTCTTCCTGATCCTCTCCCTCCTCCCACCCCTCACCCTCCAACAGGCCCGGTGTGTGTTGCTCACCTCTATGTGTCCATGTTTTCTCATCATTTAGCTCCCACTTATAAGTAAGAACATTCGGTATTTGGTTTTCTGCTCATGCATTAGTTTGCTAAGGATGATGGCCTTCAGCACCATCCATTTCTCTGCAAAGGACATAATCGCATTCCTTTTTATGGCTGCATAGAATTCCATGGTGTACATGTACCACACTTTCTTTATCCAGTCTATCATTGATGGGCATTTGGGTTGATTTCATAAATTTACTATTGTGAATAATGCTGCGATGAACATAAAATATGCATGTGTCTTTATAATAGAACAATTTACACTCCTTTGGGTATATAAATTATTGAATCTCACCATTAGATGGGCCTCTTTGCATTTTGAAGGAAACAAACATATTTGGGCCCATTTACCGGGTAGCCAGTAACAATACCAGTTTTGAGTAGGAGCAAAAAAGGGCTCTACTACACAGTCAGGCTGCAATGCACACTACACTGTCCTTTGAGCTTTATAACAAAGCTTTATTAAATTTCTGGCAACTCTCAATAGGAGATCCACAACACATACCCCTGAGATTTTGGAGGAATACCATTCCTTATTCTTCCGTTGACTCCTTTCTATTTGAAAATTAACTTGTGAGTTATTATTGGATCCAGACTGAGATTAATGTCTGCTTATATTATACCAAGTGTTTATGTAGTCTAACTGGCCATTAATAAACTGGGTGTTATGTGATCTAGCAAATTATAATTTGGTTGTAAGAAATAATATTCCATTAGAAAAAAGTATGATATATACAAAACCAGACTCAGGCAATTCTGGATGGGACAAGTAAGTGCCATGAGCCTGTAGCTTAAGCTTCTGTGACACCAAATCTTACCGCTTTACCACTCCTCCCTCAACATACATCTGTAACCTCATGAGGAATTACTAAACCTGTTAACAGAAAAAAAAAAAAAAAGAAGCATGGCATTAGTTTCCAGATCATTCTGAAAAATATGCCAGCACCAGTCCAAAGTGAATGGTTGCTACATCACAGCCCCACTCATGGTGAAAGGAAATTCTTCCAGTTGATGGAAGTTCATGTAATATATTTGAGAGACCACTTTGATTTAGAGAAAAGATGGCTTGAGCTATGGATGGAACTACATTGAACAAACTAAGAAGAAATAGGAAAGGACATGTTCATTTCATTTCAGAATTAAATATACAAACTAAATTACTAAACAAGAAAAGATAGCTAGGAAACATGAGCCTATGCCTTTTGTGACATACAAAGGAAAATTAGACTTGAACTCATGTTTCTCAGTTTTCCTTTGCGAGCAATTATACCTGCATAACAAGCCTTTGACCACATCGGTGATCAACAAATGCCCACTGAAAACTTTTAGAGCTACAGATGAGGCTGCAATAGGATCAAAGTTTCATAGGTTTTATATGGTTGTAAGAAAACTCATCTTGGAAATTCCTTGTCCTCTGGCAAAGCACTTTCCACAAACACATAAAAGTTCATTTCAAGGAAAAAACATATAATTACATAAAAGTTAGGGTAGTTAGGGTAGATATTTTGAATACATGGAACAGAGACATTATTATGCTAATGGACTAATTTTAAATACTTGTAATAGTTTGTAAAGTGTATAAATTTCTAAAAATCCTTTAGAAGTACACTTTTAAAAGTGAAGTTTATTTATGTAGATTATACCTTAATATTCTTGACTATAAAAAACAAGAGTGTGACAAAAATTAGTAAAAATCATAAAATTGGATTTAAAAAAACATGTCTAGAGCTCTGGTGGCAACTCCTTAACAGAGTACTTAAAGTATTTAAAATACATTTTAAAACCTATTAATTTTTAAATATCTTTTGTAAACCTAAAAATGTATAAAGTCAGAACTTGATCCAAATCTATTATATCTATCAATAATAATTTCAGTACATCTCTGATTTGAAAATAGAATCTTCTTTAAATTACTTAGTGGATGTTGGTGTAATTTAAAAGTGAAAATTATTTCTTGAAGAAATAATTGACATTTTAACCAATAATAAATGTAGATTATAGTACTCAGACCTCAAAATGACATATGTTTAAAAATCCCAGGTGCAATACTTACAATTTTATTTTGTGATAAATTAGTAGTAGTTTCTACTTACTCCTCAATTTTTATATTTCCAGTTTTATTACATCCATATAAAAGATGGCAAATACCCTGGAGGGGCAGGATTCAGAATATGCTTGTAGTCAGTCCCCCAATTTTACCTGTAATTGTTTTGTTAAGCTCCTGTAGCATGAGGGCATATGTTCTGACAGTTCCTGACCTATGGTCCGGGGTCTCCTGTGGCTGGGTGGGTATATCTCTCTAATTCTAGGATTTCACATTATAAACTCCACTTTCTCACAGATATAAGCCATTTGAGCCAATTATCAACTTCATCAGTAACAAAGGCAATATTTGATTTCCCCCTTCCCTTATTCTTTGTCATATTTCTTAATACTGCTTAACAACTCAAACATTGAAGAGGGTTATTTATTGCTCAATCCTCACCCCTATACCCAATACATGTCCCTGAACTCTTATGCTGAAAAGTGTCTTTACATTCTATTATATAATAAATGTGCCACATTTCAAAGTACACTGAATTCCATTCAATAGTAATAATATACAAAGTACATTCACATGAATATTATGGTGTGTTTTTATACCATTCTTAGTATTACAGTTTTAAGGAAAGAATTTTAACTCAAGTTAATGAAAAAACAAAAATGTTAAACAAAAACGTTAAAGCCACAGCTAGAAAGTTTAAGAGACTTGCCCAAGGTCACACCAATAGTAAGTCATTAAGCTGGACTTAAATTCACATCATCTATTGCCAACTCTACTTCAAGTATCAAACCATACCACAGGCAGTATTATTGACAAAATGAAATAAAACTCCAGTCCGTTTCTTGAGGTTCTCAACGGATAAAGCATATGACCAGCTGATCAGATTAAAAAGAGAATAACTTTAGTTTCACCAGCAAATCTAATTTTGCTTTCCTAGTTCCGAGAAAAAGAAAACTCTGTTGGCATTTCCCTTGTTTCCTTGTTCTTTCTCTCTACTTAATTCAACAGCTTCTTTCCAGAACACAAGATGGTGGCAGTGGTGGAAAAAAGACAGTAAGCATAATCATGACTTGAGAGCAATGACCCAAACAGAGTACTTAAAAGATCTAAAATTTGTTTTACCTGCCTGAATACTTTTCATGGGCTTTAGGCAGATTTAACTGTAAAATGAATGCTTTTTAGCCTGTATTACTAAAGCATGTAAGTTAGGGATGTAATAAATACACTCCTAACTAACTGCAATGAGATCTTGCAATTAATTACATTGGCAAGTATTTGTGTACAGTGACACTAATATCTTTCAAGGGCTTTTTTATGTACAGAGTTACATGGGATGTCACACTTTGGAAACATAACTGATTAAAACATAACTTTAGCAAACCCCTCTAAAGAAATATCATCTCAAAATTTATATCATACGTATCAATGGTAAAATATCTTAGAAATAGCTATATACTAGAAGATATATACATACCAAAACAAAGAATAGGCTGAATTTCTACTCATCAGATGCAAGCAAAACCAGCAAGCAAGTAGTCCCCCACCCTCTTCCTGATGTGTGCATCCTCTGCAGCCCTTGTTGGCCAGAAGGGAAATTGCAGACCTAGCAAAGTGTGTCTCCTACCACCCGCAGAAGCTCCCCAAGGCCTCCTGCGGCCTATGTTCACAGTAAACATAACTTCTGCATGGAGTTTACAAGATAGCAAGGGCTAAAAATTCTAGGTAACTCTAAAACAATCCTCAGTTCTGCTGCAGCACTTGGTCACGACTACATTTCTCCTAGAGTGACATTGTCTTTACATAATGCGGTCAAGGACGCACACCCATCAGAACCACTTTTGGGCACTTGATCAAATCAGAATTTCCAGAATTGGGGTTCAGGAAAGGATTATCAAGTAACTAAGCACTTTGGTAATTCTTAAGTCCACTCAAGTTTGAGAATCACCATAGTGGCTTTTTTATACTGACAGTATTTCCAGTATCATAGTAGATGATTACAGTCACAATTTTTTTTATTTCTCAAGTTTTGCTAATGTGAAAAAAGAAAATAAATATTTTAGGATTTTTTCTTTGAGGAAAATAAATTGAAATAGCTCAAATGTTATTTATTAAGGAACCAAATACATGTGACTTATTAAATTCACTAAAATCATTAACTTGCCCAAAATCTACCTTAATTCACCAAAGTGATTTTTGTTAGATGAGGGCCAAATCATCTATTTACGGACAAAGAACACAATATTTAACATTATGTATCTAAAACTTAGATTGCAATTCTGAAGTGAATATTGTATATAAATACAAATATGATGTTTATCCAAAACTATAAAAAATAATATCAATGGTGATTCAGGGGGGTGTTTATAATACAGTATGTGATTAAATAAAAGCAATTTTTAAAGAGTATTTAAATTCATACTAACTTTAACAAAGATTACTTTTTTACTATTATTAATTCCCACATTCCAGGTGTCATATTAGGAAAATTCACAGTTCAGAATTTAGGCACTAACCTGTTTACAAAAGCCAAAGTTAAAAAAATTAATGTTCAATTATTTTTGTCCCTGGGTAACATTTTGTACAAGATTGAATACCAAACTCTTTTCTGAACTGAAATAATGAAGCATTGGAAATTCCTGGTGGGGTTGCTTTGATTAATATTTGACACTTAGAAGTATGCAATATAATAATATCTAGGCATAATTTTAATAAAAAATGTGAACCTCTAAAAAATGATTTTAGAATATGAAGAACCAGGGAGAAATATTCCAATCATTTATATTTTCTTCTCTCCTATTAAAATGCATAGAATAGTATCATCAAAAACCGAAGCTCTACATCATATAAATGTCTTAAAGATAGAGCTATGTCAAGAATATATAAAAATAAACGTTTTACATTTATTCTTAAATTTTAGTAATTCATTTTATTTAATGAATCTCACTGCTTAATTATTTACCTTTAAATATAGTGTAGAGAAATAGCAATCCAAATATTAAATGTTTCCCTAGATTTTTTAATCTGAGTTTGTAAAAATAAGATACTATTATTTTAACATTTCACCACTTGAACTTGAAGATATTCCTTTATGTTAATGTACTTTATAATTGTAATCAAAGTTGAAAATCAGCAACAGACACTTAAAAATATATATAATTAAAGATACAGTTTATTCTTTGGAACTTCTTACTAATTCCAGTTATATTTCACAGAATAATCTTCTTTACCCATCTATGACTCTAATCTTCATTACCTTAACATTTTTTAGTTCTCACACATCACTGGAATTTTCAGACCAGGTATTTTAAAATTCAACAAGATAACTTACCATAATCATTCATAAGTATTATAATGTTGATAAAAAACCTCAATATTAATTCTCTAATCACTTAAACTTTTGTTTATATGTTTATGTAATAGTTATTTAATGATTATTATAAAGAACAATTTTTCAGACTTTAAGAGATAAAAGATTATAAAGCCCAATTCCTGCCCTTAAAAAAACTTGCATATTATAAAAAGGAAATGGACTTCTATAAATTACTTTAACACAAAGTAGTTTATTCTAATATCTCATTAAGACCTGTGGTGAAGGAATCTTCTTATCTTATTTATCCCAGGGTTCATGTAAAAGTATTGTCTTGGAAGGAAAGTGTCAATAAATCTTTAAGTATCACAAAGTGCAGAACTGAAAAATTTACAAATCAAAAAGATCTGAATTTTATAAAATGTCCCTGTTTGACAAATGGCCCTGATTTTTCACGGTTTGGCATTTTTAAAATGTATCATGAATGAATGGGTACACAATATTGAGAATTACAAAACCATAAACACAATATGAGCTTCTTTATGTATATACACAAAAACTAATACAATTCAAGACAAATATTATCAATATTTCTGAGTGGAGGGCTGCAGTATATTATAATATTATTCTTACATTTTTTATTCCTCAAATATTCTAGAATGTGTAAACATTATTTTTATAAGAGAGTAGCTTTTAAATTATGCCTTATGGTTCCATATGATCCTATCCCAACTGAAATTTTACCACTAGGAGAAAATGGTCTCAAAAAAATTCCCTACCAGGGTTAAAAATGGTTCATGTTCTAAGATATTAAAATAAAGTGAGACCATAAAATAATATTGCTGACCTTTTAAAAAGATTAGAATAATACTTGTACATCTAACAAGTTGTCTGTCTTAGAAATTTTGTTTGGGGGCTTGGGTTGGAATGGGGCCTTATTTAATGGAAGCACACAGCAGCTAGCACAAAGACTCATAGAAGTTTCACAAAACATTTCAGGAACAGTCCTGACCCTGTCATTTAAAAGCTCTTTAATTTTAGTTAGGTGACTTCCTATACTCTGAGCTTCAGTTGCTTGAGCTGAAGAAATGGAGATACTGATCCCTCATTCGTAGAGATAAAATATGAAGCCCGCATGCCTGGTTTAAGACCTGGTGACCAGCAATCATTGATACGTACAGCAGTAATAATGATGATAATGATCATGATACCTATAATAAAGGCTACCAAAATGCAGTAAATGCCTAATATATGCTAATGAATGTTCTGATGCTTTATAAGCATTAATTTACTTTAACTTCATAGCAATCCTGTGCTCTTTGTATCCCCTTTGGCACTTGTGGAAAATGAACCACTGATAAAATAAATACATATTTGTACTAGTAAGAATTATAACAGCAGCAGTAGCCAACAGTATTATTGATGAGAATAATTAAATTGATAAAACCACTGATTGTAAATAAACAATAATGGGACATTCTTATTTATTTTGTTTGGTCAATAAAATATAACAGTGAATTCCTGAAAGATGTTCCAATAATGTATAAATATATATCTTGCCAAAGATGACTACCTAAGGGTAACATTGATATGTTCTTCACACTTTATAAAAGCTTATTTCTTCATGGTTACATCTATTTTTCTTTTTAACTAGACTGATGGTGTATAAATGCCTGATGCGGAAGGTCCTATCTGCAGTATTTATGGTACTCTTGCTTTTGCATAGCCCACATGTGTTTAGATATCTGTATGTTTCCTAATGCTCCTGTAAAAAAATTAATCACAAATTTAGTGGGTTTAAAGCAACACAAGCTATTATCTTACAGTTCTGAAAGTTAGGAGTTTGAAATGGGTCTCAACTTGACAATAATCCAGATATTTGCAGGGCTACATTATTTCTATAGGCCTTAGGAATCAATATATTTACTTGCATTTTTCAGCTTCTGAAGGCTACCCACAGTTCTTGACCAATGGTCCCATTCCTCCAGCTTCAAGCCAGTGATACTGGGCCAAGTCCTTCTCATGCTGCCATTTCTCTGGTGCTCACTCTTCTGCCTCCCTTTTCACTCTTAGGATCATTGTGATTATATTGGGCCCAACTGGACAATCCATGATAATCTCCCTATCTCAAAGTCAGCTGATTAGCAATCTTAATTCTATCTGCAACCTTAATTCTTCTCTGCCATAAAACATAACATATTCACAGGTCTGGGGCTTAGGACACAGACACTTTTGAGGTACCATTGTTCTGTCTACCACACCATCCGAACACTGCTTTCAGCTATAGTTCCTTCTCTTCCTTTCCTAAAGCCTTTTGAAGTAAAATGGATATATGTGCAGTATACTTTCTGCTTCACTTCACACAGTATTTGTAGCATAGCCCTGATTAAGTGGCTTATATGATCATTGTTTAGATTTCTCCATGAGTCAAAGCAAATAACACATTAGAAAAATTTTCTAGGAGTCAATTAGTGGGAGCTTGAAAGTTCCTTTGAGAATGCGAAGCATTAGGGAAATGCAAATTATTATCTTTCCATTTTTAAAGTACTCTTTATTACTGGCATTTTATAATATGTATTTGTAACAGTATCCACTATTTTTTATTTTTTATATATATTTATTTCAGTAGTTTTGGGGGGAACAGGTAGTTTTTGGTTACATGGAGAAGTTCTTTAGTGGTTTTGGTGCATCCATCACCTAAGCAGTGTACACTGTACCTAATATGTAGTCTTTTATCCCTCATCCCCCTCCAACCCTTCTGCCCGAGTTGCCAAAGTCCATCATATCATTCTTATGCCTTTGCATCCTCATAGCTTAGCCCCCATTTATAACTGAGAACAAACAATATTTGTTTTTCCATTCCCGAGTTACTTCACTTAGAATAATGGCCTCCAGCTCCATCGAGTTTGCTGGAAAGGCCATTATTTCATTCTGTTTTATGAGCAAGCAGTATTCCATGGTGTATATATACCAGTTTTCTTTACCCACTCATTGATTGATGGGCATTTATGTTGGTTACCTATTTTTGCAATTGCAAATTGTGCTGCTATAAACAGATGTGTCCATGTGTCTTTTTCATATAATGACTTCTTTTCCTTTGGGTAGATACCCAGTAGTGGGATTGCTGGATCAAATGGTAGATCTACTTTTAGTTCTTTAAGGACTCTCCATACTGTTTTCCATAGTGGTTATACTAGTTTACATTCCCACTACCAGTGTAAAAGTGTTCACTTTTCACATGGACTCCAACATCTATTTTTTTAACTTTTTAATTATGGCCATTCTTGAAGGAATAAGGTGGTATCTCATTGTGGTTTTAATTTGCATTTCCCTGATAATTAGTGATGTTGAGCATTTTTCATATGTTTGTTGGCTATTTATATATCTTCTTTTGGTAACTGTCTATTCATGTCCTTTGCCCCCTTTTTGATGGGATTTTTTTTTTTCTTGCTGATTTGAGTTCCTTGTGCATTCTGGATATTAGTCCTTTGTCAGACGCATAGTTTGCAAATATTTTCTCCCACGCTGTGGATTGTTTGTTTACTCTAGTGATTAATCACAACTGTATTACAGCTTTGATGATTTTTAAATAACCTAATGGTGATCATTAAAGACACAATTTTTCTAGCTTACATTGTAGATATTTTGCTTCCTGTTCACCTCCAAGGACCTTGAAAGTAGCAAAACTCTATAAATTTTTACTTTTATCAACTGGAAATTGTGCTTCTCTGTTCTATCCCTTGGAAAGAATGTCTCTATGTTGATCTATTAGTAGGTGACAATATCAATATTTTATATTACATATTTTTCTATTAAAAAACTAGAACCTTATTTATCTAAAAAACAGAAATGTCTACACGGGAGGAAAACCTTTCTGGTATGAGCACAAATATATATTTGCAAGAGAATTAAATAAGTTTATTTCAGATAAACATATAGTGGTTAAGAGGCCAGGCTTTCAAGTCAGGCTGTCTTGGATTTTATTTTTTATTTTTTTAAATTTCATTTCTTTTTTTTTTTTTTGAGAGTCTTGCTCTGTCACCCCGGCTGGAGTGCAGTGGCGTGTGATCTCCACTCACTGCAACCTCCACATCCCGGGTTCAAGCGATTCTCCTGCCTCACTCTCCCGAGTAGCTGGGACTACAGGTGTGCGCCACCACAGCCAGCTAATTTTTTTTTTTATTTTTAGTAGAGACGGGGTTTCACCATGTTGGCCAGGCTGGTCTTGAACTCCTGACCTCAGGTGATCCACCCACCTCAGTCTCCCAAACTGCTGGGATTACAGGCGTGAGCCACCACGCCCGGCCCTGAATTTTAAAAATCCAGGTCTATCACTGACTAACTATATGGCCTGAAGCAAATAATGAACCTTGTTGTGCCTAGATTTCCTGCTTGTAACACGTGGATAACACCACCTATGGAATCAGTGTGAGAATTAAGGAAGATAAAGCATGTAGAGCATTTATCATAGTGCCTGACACCTGCTGCTAACAAAACTTTGTTTCAACTTTCTGGAAAGTGAAACCTCCTTTTGGAGAACAGTGGAAGGGATCCAATCTCCAGGAGACATAGTGGCAGGCAGTCACAGAGGGAGAAAGTCAGTTTCTTTTTAGAATACTTATCCAATCCTGATGACTTCCAGGACAATGTCTCGGTTTGGAGCTCTGGTTCCTCATGAATTCCAACACTATCAAAGAGAGTGAACTTTATGCCCAGAGCCTGTCCTTAGCTATAATTTTTTCAACCATTTTATTTTCAATCTGTATGTTTGTATGTTTACCTTCTACTTATGGCAGTAGTGATTTTCTTATCTACGGCAGTGATATAAAGTGCTCCTTTAAAATATCTGACATTTAAGCTAAAAAAGAAAGTCAGTCTAAGAAAAATTTTTCTTGTACAAGAGGACAGGTAGAATAACAAAAATTGAGGAAGGTCTTATGAGAATAACTGAAATTTGCAAAGCACTGTCCCAGGGGACTGTACTCATGACTGCCTTCTGAAATGACTGGTGATTTTCTGGAACAGCAGTTATGCATCAGTAGTCACCCCCGGTTGCTAAAGAAAACACTCTTAGCTGTTGCTTCTCCTTGCTAACTAGTTCTCATGGCTGAATTATTCAGACTTTTGTGAACTTAGGGTATTTGAGTCATCTGATATTGGGTTAGGGTAAAGATAAAATGAAATAGAGCTGTTCAACTTGTTCTATTCCTATTTCACTTAAATACAGTCCCTGATGGGAGTAGCCACCTTTTGTGTATCCCCTGAATTGAGCACAGGAGTACAAGAATAAATGGTTGAAGAATAAATGAATGATGGATAATTATCCCTGCATAAGATTATGGGGCCTTTAGTCTACTCTTTCTCAATGAATATACTAAATTCCAAGTGCTGAGCAAAAGCTATTTTCATCTCTGCAGTGTTTTTGTTCAGATCAGAGATATTAATTGCATTACTATTATGCACCATGTATTATGAACCAAGTATTCTCATGGATAATTAATGTGAGTATCAATATACATAATATTGCCTCTCCTAGGCATCAGAGAGGTTGCATAGCTGGCAAAAAGTGAAGTTCTGTTAGTGACAGAGCCAAGGCTTCATCCTGTACTTATTCAACTTCAAATCCAGTGCAACGTATTTCTATGTTATTAAGAACTACTCAGTCTTTCTGTAGATTAATTAATAGTCGTCTTATATGGAGGATGATCTATCCTATTATTCAATAAGTCATCAAGGATCTTAATTTTTTATTTTTTTTTAAACATTGTATAATAGATTTATATGGAGCGAGAGCAAAACTAAAATATTGAAAAATGACACCTCACCAAATAGCCATGAAAATGTAACATTAAAGCATGTACAAATATTAAATATATTAAAGCTACAAAACTGAACAAGTAAAACTAATAAAAGTAATGTATAAAAAACCTAGAAGTACATATATGACAGTTTTTTCCAGTTTTTTGTTTTTATTACATATTTTCAATTATGTTCATGTATTATTTTAGAAAAAGAAAAATAAAAGAAAATATATTAATATTCTAGGCACACATAGAGGATATTAAGTTTTATTTGCTTTTAGACCCTAATCACACTTTTTCTCTCTACTTGCCCTAGAAGATATTATAGTTCACTAAATATTCAAAGTTATATTAAAAGGCTGTAGGAATCTTAGCCAAAATATACTACTTGTTATCAGATTAAAAGTTAATTTCATATTGGAAAATACCTTAAGATTATCTTTGTGTAAAAGGCTTCATGAATTTTAAAGATTTTTTTTCATAATCAAATGAAGCTCTTCCACAAACCAAAGAGTTTGAAAAAGATTGCCAAAACCAGGGTGTTAGTTTAAGATTGGACATAAGAACTCTGAGGCTGTTCATGTGGCATTCAGAAATGGCTACGACTTTATTTGTATATTTATCTGAGGCTGTACATATAAATAATATACAAACTTATTTGTATATTATTTATATGTATATAATACATAATGTATATAATGTATTATTATACAAATAATAAATATTTGTATATTTATTATTTATTTATCTGAGGCTGTTCATGTGGCATTCAGAAACGGCTACAGCTTTATTTGTCCTTTTTCAGATACTTAATTAGCTACTCTAATGTCACTCTTGGTACTAACTAGTCAGCCAGCATCTATTAACATGCTTATGTCTACTGAACTGATGCCAGAGGTTACCCTTTTCTTTAAAGAGCATCCCACCTGAGTACTAAAGCTACTGTCATATTAATGTTGTTTTCTATATGTCCTGTTAAGTTAGTTAACCTCAAAGACATAAAATTCATTCTTGTCTAAATTACTTGCATTTATGTAAGTTAATGTCATTTTAGATAGAAAAATATTTCAACAATAATTTGCTTAGATGACTCTTAACAGCCCATATGTTTGCTTTAAATATGTTTCATTGACAAACATTTCTAACATGAAAAAAATCTGTTTATAGCCACTGCAGTCAAATAGTTCTTAATTTTAGAACATTTTGATGTATGAAATCCCAATATTTAAATGAGATGTCACTTACATAGTTCACATGATTATTGACATAGTGGCAGATTTATATAGTCTAACATGTGAAATACCTTCAAAATAATTTGATTAGTTGAGATGCACACATGCTATTTAACTGCATAAACACACACATTCAAAATATTCTTACACAATTGATGCTTGAACGATGCAGGGGTTGGGACAATGACCCCTGAGCAGTTGAAAATCCCCATATAACTTTGATTCCTCAAAAACTCAACTACTGCTGACTAGAAGCTTTACCAATAACATAAACGATTTATCAACACATACTTTGTATCTTATATGTCTGATATACTATATTCTTACAATAAAGTAAGCTAGAGAAAAGAAAGTGTTATTAAGAAAATCATAAGGAAGATAAAACACATTTACAATACTGTACTGTATTTATCAATACTGTAAGTTTACATCATCTGTTTACAGGATGAATTGCCCACCATTTGAAATGGTGGGCAACTGCAGCTGCAGACCTCAATCTACAGTATGTATCAAGCAAATCACCTTTTGCTTGTAATGTCATGACTTTTCTCTTCTTCTTGGGAGTACTACCAGCATCACTAGTGGTACTTCCCATGAGTCCCATGGCATTATTCAAGGTTTACAAGATGAAGAACATACAAGAACCATGAGACATCTCTTTGTACTGTAATATGTAATTTCCTAGACAGACAAACTACTCACTCAGAGATGACTGTCATCATACACCATTTTAGCAGATACTCCCAACACTTGATCTCACTGCAGTAGCAACAGGAGGTGGCCACAAAATTATTACAGCAGGACAGTATTTACTACAGTTAATTTTATGCAGTTATGATTTAATACTGCATCTTTATAGTTGTCTACATTCTTCTTAAATGTGAATAACAACATGTATGGTCTGTATTTTTGTGACTATGTTTTGATAAATGTTAGCTTTTTCAGATTTGTATGTATTTTAAGGTAGTAAATAATAAAACAGACTAGTATCGACATAATTTTATGCATTCATGACATGTCTAATTTTTTCTTTTTTTTATATATTTCTTTTTTTTTTTTTTTTTTTTTTTTTTTTGAGACGGAGTCTCGCTCTGTCGCCCAGGCTGGAGTGCAGTGGCGGGATCTCGGCTCACTGCAAGCTCCGCTTCCCGGGTTCACGCCATTCTCCTGCCTCAGCCTCCCAAGTAGCTGGGACTACAGGCGCCCGCCACTACGCCCGGCTAATTTTTTTGTATTTTTAGTAGAGACGGGGTTTCACCGTTTTAGCCGGGATGGTCTCGATCTCCTGACCTCGTGATCCGCCCGCCTCGGCCTCCCAAAGTGCTGGGATTACAGGCGTGAGCCACCGCGCCCGGCCTTTTTATATATTTCTAGGCTACCCAGTTCATCAGCAAGTTTTTTCAAATTGTTGCAAATATCCAAAAAATTTCCAATATATTTATTGAAAAAAATCCACATATAAGTAGACCCATGAAGTTCAAATCTGTGTTTTCAAGAGTCAACTGTATTTACAATTCTCTGTGTGCTTTCCTACTTCTATTTCATTCACACACACTTTACTTTCCCTAATAGATAACCACTTTCTCATTTTCCTCTCATTTTCGCTAGCACAACCCTAACTTACCCCAACTAAATAGCTGGAATTAATCTAAAGGAATTTAAGAAATAGAAAAATTGTGTGTGCCCCACTACTCAGCCTACCAATGCCAATTTCCCTATACTATAGCCCCTTAATTTTCTGTTCCTGTTAATTCCCTCCCTCTCACTCAATGAAAATATGGCCACCAAGACTGGATCATAACTTTATTTACACTATGGCATGCATAACACTAAAGAAAATATAACTGAAAGCAGTACTACCAATTTCTGCCTGAAACAATCATTCTCTCAAGAACTAGTTGCCATTTAATAGAGATGACAAATTTGTTCAAAAGAACTTATTTCTCTATCAATGTTGAGACAACAATGCATCCCATAGTTAAATAAATATTTGTGAAACAATGTCTTAGAGGAAATTGAAGAGACATTGTTGCAGAATCTCTCACACATTTAAATATCCTAATATGCATATTCAGAACATTTCACCACAGAAATTTTTTTTCCAAAGAACACACAGTATATGCTA
Source organism: Homo sapiens (assembly GCF_000001405.40). Taxonomy (NCBI): domain Eukaryota; kingdom Metazoa; phylum Chordata; class Mammalia; order Primates; family Hominidae; genus Homo; species Homo sapiens. The sequence goes on along the minus strand of NC_000004.12, from coordinate 101,802,947 downwards.
CAGAACACGGTTTGGGCAACAGAGTACTAAAGGAATAAAGCCATGGAAGTCTGTGTCCACATATTTCAGGAATTGACTATCAGGTAACAAAAGTACAAGTCAACTTTCGTAATGTCCCACATGGTAACTCACCTACTCACCCAGCAACAGCCATAACTGTCAATTACAGAGCACCAATTTTATTCCAAGTATACTATTTGTTTTTTCATCTTTTCCAAAAGAAAAAAACGTGAGGTATAGAGAGGTCTTATAATGAAGTTACATACGGTCCTACAACCACTAAGTAAAGCAGCCATTAGATCATTTCTGCAACAGATCAGAATATGACTCTAAGAGGTCATTACTACATACAAACACAAAATACATCCTTAGTGAAAGCAGAAATGTAATGTGTGCTAATTGCTAACTTCTTAGCAGACTAGTCCTCATAAAAGATATATAAAAAAGCAGCCCGTTTTCTTTCCATAATTATAAATGCTTCCTAATTACCCATATGTTGCTCAGAAATAGAAATTTGCTTAATGGAAGCTTTCTACTATTCTGTTGACCTTCACAGATCTAGGTGAGACATTGTATATATTTATAACCTGTAGGGAATAAATTACTTCAGGCATCAATTAGGCAATTCTGATTATGTCACTAAAGCTTTATTCATAGAACTATATCAACTATTACTCTTTTACCTGTATGATGATGTTAGAAATGCCTTCATCACAAAAATCATTAAGACACTGATACAGAAGGGAAGTACTGGGAAGGGCGTGGTCCTTTAAATGATACTGAAAGTGGGAAGGGAAGTACTGGGTAGAGGAGGGTGTGGTCCCTGGCTAGGGCTCTATCCCCGGGCCTATGCCCACAGACCTAAGTAAGGACAGGCATTTTTGTTTTCCTGCCCAAATATTGCATTTTCCAAGACCACCCTGGCTTGCCACGCCCCCATCCTGTGCCTATAAAAGACCCTTAGACCCTAGCAGGCAGGTGGCTGGACTTCAAGAGGAACGCACTGGTGTCTTCAGCCAAGACAAGAAACAGAAGCTATGAAAGAAAAGTATATTTGACACAATGAGTGTTAAAAAGTGTTCAACAGCAGCAAATATTACAATCAAAATTATTTAACAAATAAGTGATAAAAGAAAAATATTTGTGATGCATAAGACAAAGTTTACATTTTAAATATGTAATGTGGTCTTATAAGTTTTTAAGACAAAAAGCACAAGAGAAATATGAATAAATCATGTGAATATATAACACACAGATGAAATCAAAATGCCAAAGAAATATATGAAAAACACTCAATTTCAAGAGACAAATGCTAATTAAAATAGTAGCAAAATATCACTATGAAAATGCCTTGTGTGGTGAGCATGAATAGACAGAGGTTCTCTCTCAACTGCTGGAGGAACTGTGAATTTTGCTCACATTTTTATGAGAGTAATCTCATAATACATATTCAACAATATGTCATGAGAGAGAAATAAAATTTCTAATTTATTTCATTGGAATTTTTTTTCTGAAAGCTGAGTGCATTGCTATCTAACAGAAAATTTAATTCAAATCACAAATGCACGGCACATATGTCATTTTAATGTTTTTAGCAACCATATTGCAACAAATAAAAAGTAAGTTAATTACAATAATACTAATTTTATTTCATCAAATAAATTCAAAATAGTATCATCTTAACATGCAATTAATATAAACATTCTTGAGAGATTTTACATTCTATTTTTTGTGCTCAGTCTTTGAAAACTGGTGTGCATTTTACATTTACAGCACATCACAATTTGAACCAGACATATTTTAAGTCCTCAACAGCCACATGTCTAGAGGGTACAGTGTTAGGTAGCAAAGCATACAGTTTTTTGCCCATCAGAATATAGAAAACATGTAAGATTATAGCAATCTGACATGACAGAAACATCCGCACCTTGGGAGGCCAAGGCAGGTGGATCATCTAAGGTCAGGAGTTCAAGACCAGCCTGGCCAAAATGGTGAAACCCCGTCTCTACTAAAAATACAAAAGTTAGCCAGGTGTGTTGGCAGCCGCCTGTAATCCCAGCTATCTGAGAGGCTGAAGCAGGAGAATCGCTTGAACCCAGGAGGTGGAGTTTGCAGTGAGCTGAGATTGTACCATTGCACTCCAGGCTGGGTGACAAGAGCGAGAAACCATCTCAAAAAATTTGAAAAATTTAAAAACAAATCTTGTCTGAAACAAGTAACGTGTAACAAGAATTGCCTAAATTTATATTACCAACCTGTTTGAATGTGTTTTTATCTAGCAATAGTCAGTCTCTTAGATTCACACAGGAAGAATAGAGCCAGAAAGATTTATTCAGGAGTAGAGCTTTATCAAGTAGTTGTGACAGTAACTACTAAGCAAATGCAAAAACAGGATTTTAACGAGAATGAATGGATTCCAATATGGATAAAAAGGAAGGGATGATATATAGAAAGTAAAGCTAAGGAATAATTCAACACTGTACCAAGGCTTTCACAGAAAGAAGTGTCAACTATTTATTCTCCATTAAGATCAATACCAAAAAAACAAAAAAAGAAAAAAGGAAAGAGGAGAGGAATGGGAAGAAGAGAAGGAGGAGCTCCAGAAACATAGAAGAAGGAATGAAAAATACGAGACAGAAATTCTTTTTCTTTTCTTTTTTTTTTTAAATTATACTTCAAGTTCTAGGGTACATGTGCACAACATGCAGGTTTGTTACATATGTATACATGTGCCATGTTGGTGTGCTGCACCCATTAACTTGTCATTTACATTAGATATATCTCCTAATGCTATCCCTCCCCCCTCCCCCCACCCAACAACAAACCCTGGTGTGTGATGTTCCGCATCCTGCGTCCAAGTATTCTCATTGCTCAATTCCCACCTATGAGTGAGGACATGCAGTGTTTAGTTTTCTGTCCTTGTGATAGTTTGCTCAGAATGATTGTTTCCAGCTTCATCCATGTCCCTACAAAGGACATGAACTCATCCTTTTCATGGCTGCATAGTATTATTCCATGGTGTATACGTGCAACATTTTCCTTATTTTATTTTATTTATTTATTTACTTATTTTTGAGATGGAATCTCACTCTGTCACCCAGGCTGGAGTGCAGTGGTGCGATCTCAGCTCACTGCAAGCTCCGCCTCCCAGGTTCATGCCATTCTCCTGCCTCAGCCTCCCAAGTAGCTGGGACTACAGGCACCCACCAGCACGCCCGGCTAATTTTTTGTGTTTTTAGTAGAGATGGGGTTTCACCGTGTTAGCCAGGATGGCCTCGATCTCCTGACCTCGTGATCCGCCCACCTTGGCCTCCCAAAGTGCTGGGATTACAGGCATGAGCCACCAGGCCCGGCCACCAAATTTTCTTAATCCGGTCTGTCATTAATGGACATTTGGGTTGGTTCCAAGTCTTTGCTATTGTGAATAGTGCCACAATAAACATACGTGTGCATGTGTCTTTATAGCAGCATGATTTATAATCCTTTGGGTATATACCCAGAGCCTGCATTGCCAAGACAATCCTAAGCCAAAAGAACAAAATTGGAGGCATCATGCTACCTGACTTCAAACTATACTACAAGGCTACAGTAACCAAAACAGTATGGTACTGGTACCAAAACAGAGATATAGACCAATGGAACAGAACAGAGCCCTCAGAAATAATACCACACATCTATAACCATCTCATCTTTGACAAACCTGACAAAAACAAGAAATGGGGAAAGGATTCCCTATTTAATAAATGGTGCTGGGAAAACTGGCTAGCCATATATAGAGAGCTGAAACTGGATCCCTTCCTTACACCTTACACAAAAATTAATTCAAGATGGATTAAAGACTTAAATGTTAGACCTAAAACCGTAAAAACCTGAGAAGAAAACCTAGGCAATACCATTCAGGACATAGGCATGGGCAAGGACTTCATGACTAAAACACCAAAAGCAATGGCAACAAAAGCCAAAATTGACAAATGGGATCTAATTAAACTAAAGAGCTTCTGCACAGCAAAAGAAACTACCATCAGAGTGAACAGGCAACCTACAGAATGGGAGAAAAGTTTTACAATCTACCCATCTGACAAAGGGCTAATATCCAGAATCTACAAAGAACTTACACAAATTTACAAGAAAAAATCAAACAACCCCATCAAAAAGTGGGCAAAGGATATGAACACACACTTCTCAAAAGAATACATTTATGCAGCCAACAGACACATGAAAAAATGCTCATCATCATTGGCCATCAGAGAAATACAAATCAAAACCACAGTGAGATACCATCTCACACCAGTTAGAATAGCAATCACTAAAAAGTCAGGAAACAACAGATGCTGGAGAGGATATGGAGAAATAGGAACACTTTTACACTGTTGGTGGGACTGTAAACTAGTCCAACCATTGTGGAAGATAGTATGGCGATTCCTCAAGGATCTAGAACTAGAAATACCATTTGAAGAGACAGAAATTCTTAAACACATAAGAAAATCTACACATTAAAATGTATTACTAATGGAATTCATGGAGCTGTTCTCTATAAGTTTTCATAGCAGAAAACCCCCCTTTGGTGTGACGCCATCGGCTTTTGAGAACAATTAAATTGCTGCCGTGACACTGATCTTAAAGCAACAATGAAAGTAAAATCCTTTCCTTGATGCCACATCTTCAGCTGCTTATCAGACAGCCATATTTCTAAAGGGCGTCTCCATGGCCTCCATCACCTTACCTTCTTCCACTCATTCCCATTCAGCTCTCATCCTCTTTACTAAAGCTACTTACTTCTCTAAGGTCATCTGTAAGTTTCATGATGCCAAATCCATTGGCTAAATTTCAGGCTTCAATTTGCCTGACCTATCAAAAGAATTTGGGCCAGTTCACCATTCTTACCTTCCTGAAACATTCTATTTTTGAATTCTTCTCACTGTATCTTCGTTTTCCTTCTTTTTAGCCTCTCCTCAGTCATATTGAGCAACTCCTCCTTCTCTACCAACACTGAAATGTTTGTTTTCCACAGGTCTCTATCCTGAGTCACCTTATCTATGTTATCCTATTCATTGTTGTAGTTTTAAATACAATGTTTTTCTTAATTTTATATCTCCAGTCTGAACTGCCTTTCTGATATCCAGATCCTAAAATCGAACTGCTTACTTGACATCTTAATGTGACTATTTCTCATGCTCCTCAAATGTAACAGATCTGAAATTGAAATGACATTCTCTCATGCCCTCCCGGTGTCCTCTTGTTCCTTCACTCCTTTCCAATGGAGTAAATGACACATTCTTGATTCTCTTAGGTTTACAGACCACAACCCTTGGTGTCATTCTTCACATTTTTGTCCCCTTCAGACTCCAAATCTACTATATCACAAAAGGTATGTAAGTAATAGTTCTTAATAAATCTGTCCACTTCTCCCTGTATTTTTACTCATTGCAAACCCCTAATTGTTCACTAACTTCCATTGCTGCCCTTTTCCAATTAATTGTATCAAGAGCAGCTCATGTGATCTTCTAACACAAAATCTAATCATGTGCCATCCCTCATTAAAAACTCTTCAAGAGCTCCTCATTATACTTGGGGAATTTTTTACACAAATTTATGCAATTAGGTTTTGGTTTACTTTTCAGATTCTTCTCCTCACTCATTATAATAACATTGTGAGTGTAACCTTGTCACATCTTGAAAAAATTTTGTCTTTCTGTGTCTCATTTCTTCACTGACATCATTGGACTTAATTGATCACATCTGAACTTTATTAATTTGTTCCTGTCACTGAAGTTTAGCAAGAACACATTGAATTCTTGTTTTCTAAGGTGAACATTAATAACACACTATGTATAACTTAATGGAGATACTATACTTTCTACTCCATTGCAGAAAAATAGGCTGGTAAAAGACTAATCTCTAAAACACAGTATTGTATTGCTTCATACTGATATTAATCCACTGAGATTGTATATAAAGTTTTATTAATGGCCTGTTAATGGTGCCATATTTCTTCATATACCAGAGGAGTTGAAGATAATCCCTAGTTTTATATCTCATCTTACTCTTTTACTTCCTGTTTTACTAAGTAAATATGTTTTGTGACATTTACTAAGATAAATGCCCCAACCATTCTCTCACTAATGTATGCCTCAATTGAAATGTATATTAAAAACTTGCCAGAAACAGTATGCTATAAAATTTTCAGATAAGTAAAAATATCCTGTTAACAAAACATGGGAAAACGTTGTTGTTATAAATCTATAGCTACATAATTCAAAGCTCTAAACCTTTTAACAGTGCTTAATTCTTATAATACTAACCTTTGGGTGAATTATTTTCTCTCCAGCTCTAAGGATTTAAGTTTGAAAACCTAAAAATAAATGCATGGACTTTCTTCAAATTTCACTAATAAAGGCAGGACTCTCGAAATATGCTCATCTGCAGGACCACCAGACTTACTCATACTCTATTCCTAGTGCATGAAAGGAACAGATTTCATTCTCAGATTGTTTAATTTTCAATGGAAGATACGTAGAAGACATCATTTTAACAATAACAACTTTTGAAAAGAGAAGCTGATAGCTGGCAGTTTTTGATAAATAAAGGTATGCTAGCCCAAACTTTTTTTTTCCTCCCAAAAAGAGAAATTCACTCAAAGTAGTTCATGTAAGGAGAAATTCATGTAAGGATACTATAAACAATTTCATGGGCAAATAAGATCAGAAAAACAAGTGCAGCTGCTCCGTCACTAGAAATCAGAAATTGAGACTACTCTCTTTGTCTTTCGGTCTCCTCAGTTTTTTCATCACAGTTTCTTTCTACTTATGCATCTTAAACATGAGGCAACTAACTGTCATCTTAAACTGTATACTGGATCTTCCACTGACAATAATCTCATCTTTCATCAATCTTCTACTGATAAGAATCTTTATTCTTTCATTTAATAAGACAAAAGGACTTTGTGGCTTATACAGATGATATATGTGGCTTATACTTACACAGATTCAACAACTCTGTATAAGCCTGACAACACAGGGCACTGGCCATTAAGCAACCAGTTGGCTGGCTTGCATCATGTGCCTATTCTTGGCCCAGGTGACTGTTTCTGGGAATCTGAATAATTGTCCTCATTCTACTTGATTTACATGGCTGTGGATCTATAGGAAGTGATAAAGGAAAGGTCTCTGACCTACAAATAAGTACTTAAAGTAGTGAAAGTTCTACATTTTTACTGAGAAATCATGAGAGAATTAAAGAAATTATCCCATTAATTGAAACCAGAGTAGATTTTGCCTCAATTTTATGTCACTCACTTTTTTACAATAGTGACCTAATAATTTACTAACTGTACTAAAAACACACTCCTCTCCCAATATTTTAAACTGTATCAATATATTAAATCTAAATAAAATGCAATCAATAGAAAATGTGTAACCTTAGAGATTCTTCAGACAGTAACAATAAATATTCTACAATTGCCATTTCAATGATTTTATAGAATCATGCCCTTTTGTGTTTCTCCACTCCCCATCCTAGAAAAAAAAACATGGTGACTTAAAAGTTTCACCTTTAACAGTTTAGAAAAGCCTCCATAGATAAAAGAACACAGTGAATTATTAAATATTTTCATATGACTATACTGAACAATATGACTTGTTGTCCAGAGTAGACACTACTCTTCTGACACCCTTACTTATCAACTAGTATGATTCCCATTTCATATGAATTCAAAGTAGAAACACAATAAACGGAAGCTATTACAAGAAGGCTAAAATTTCAAGTGGTCTTGACACTATATTATTCCTCTGAAAATTAGACATGATCCTGTAACAAAAAAGGAATGAGAATATTGTTCCCGACCAAAGGAGGCTTTATTCTCAGCATGTATCAGATGAAAAAAAAAATGAGGCATATAGTAAATGGAATTCCAAGTCAGAGACTGTTCTTATACTTTTCAGTGTGTCTCTATAATGTAGAACACATGTGAAAACAAGGCAATGGGAATTAATAATATGGGAAAATGGCAGAGACACTTAGAAGAAACAAAGATATGACACATAGTATGATGAAACATAAAAACATATTTTAATGAACCAGATATAAAGGAAATCTTGTAAAAGATCAAAAGCATTGATTAATTACTCTTCATGATTAAAGAGGGAAGTCATCTTTCTGGATTATTTCAGTGCAGAACACTTAGAAACAACAAAGAGATTTCAATTCAGGGGTAAATGCCTAAAAGGCTCATTGTTTTTCTCTGACTAAAAACTAATTACTGCAGGGGTATAATTCCATATGATATCTGATATTTCCACCACTGGGACTATTTCAATGTCTGCACTAAAACTTAGATACCATTCTTTATATTTAAAACAGGAAAGGAAAGGATTACAAGGCCAAATAATAACTTACTTTTTAAATGATGACTTATGAAATGTTTGCCTTTTCTATTCTTATTTCATAGCTATCTCCAAAATTACTGCAAGATACTCTATATTCTATGAAGAAAGCAGTAAATTAATAAGTGTAACTTAGGTGATTAAGCAACAACCATTTAAACTCTTAAAACATGTCATTTATTTTTGTCAGGAATGATGTTCCTCATTTTATATTGTAATTTTGTTTTAACCCAGTAGTAAATATTTTGGTAAAATAGATTCTCATCTTCTTGTAAGTTGAAATACTCCACAGTTTTTCTGTTTGATGCTTATTTTTTTCAAATATATTTATATATTATGTAAACTGAGTCACAACTGGTACTCTGAGATATGAGAAAACAGAGCACGCTCTCATTTTGTCCTATTAAATTCCTTCTTTATTCTTTCCTGCAACTGCTATAGTTTAATTCCCTTTTAATCAACCTATCCTTAGTTCTTCTCATTATGAATTCTTTTCTCCTTTCAGAACTATTAACCACAATATATCCCCAAGGATATTGCAGTATCTTTATACAAGAGGCCATATCTCCTATTTTTTTTGATACGAGAGCTTGATTCCTTCACCCATCAAGTTGTCCTTCAAGTCAGTATGAGGCAATCAGTATGAGGCAGTTTTTCACTAAGAACTCCCACTCTTATATAAGCTAATATGACACTACTGATCAATGACCTAAGAATTAATATAACAACTAGCATGTATAAAGCAGTTACTATTTGTTATAAGACCCTGAAAAGGACTTCACCTGCATTTACCCATTTAATCCCCTAAACAACTTTCATATACAGGATTTCTTCTCTTGGATTTTGCTTTTTAATAAACAAAATAAAAAACTAAGACAGTGACAGATTTCATTATTTATTCAAGGTCACAGATGAGACAGGCAATGAAGCTGGGACTAGATCTGAGGCAGTATGAGTCAAAAGACCATCATAAGTAGGGCATAACCACCTACAATACATCCTCAGATAGATATTGCAGAAAAGGTTCCTCTACTGTCCCAAGTGTAACTTTGAATATGCTGATATTTAACCTTGAAATCTTCAGCAATTGCATTTTTCAGAATTATTCCTTATTATGGTGAAGATATCCTGAAAGCACTCCTTGTCTTTAAAATCCTAGCAAAAGTGACCTTATCAGAACATTTCCAGATTGGTCTGAAGAAAGCAAGTTTTTCCAGCCACCAGCATGGAACCAGGTTATTTCCTTAGTGGAACAAGTGTAGGACGTTGGCTATGTTGGAAGATTGCAGTCAAAGCAAAAAGCTTCAAATCTTTAAGAACTTCAAGCTAGAGAGCAGAGACCTAGACAAACCATGTTCCTTACAAGTATAAGCATCCAGCGTAAGGTGAAACAGTCTAAATGCTAATTCCACCCTTTCATGCTTTCTGTTCTTAAGCAAATCATTTATTAAAGTTTCATCAGATGCATCCAATAATATCAATAAAAATTTAAAAAAAACTATGGTGTGGAGAAAAATCTGTGATTTAATAAATAATCACTCCCTAATTAAAACAGCAGTTAAAATTAAATTTTTAAAATCATTAGTTTTGGAATACAACAGGAAGAATCTCTCTTTTGGACATTGATAGTAATATATAGTTAAATACAAACCAGAAAATACATTCTAACTAGAACTTTCACCCATTGTGCATCATTTTTACCTTGTTTTAGAGAACTGGGTATTCTATTTTTCTTGCTTCCATTAAAGAACAAGTCGATACTCAACAGTTAATAAATCTCTGATGGCAGTATACACTAATGTTGTCTAGCAGTACATTCTATCTCCTGCTAGAAATATACCTTCCTGGGCATGAAACTGTGTTTACCATTTTACATTCTTATTACTACTACATGACTCTTGGCAGGGAATAAAAGTTTGTTAAGTTAATGAATGGGTGACCTTCAAATAATTACTAGTTATGAAACCATGAGCAACTCACACTCTGGATCTCAGTGCTCTCTTCTCTAAATGAGGCAGTTGGACCAATTGACCCCCAATGTGCCATATTAAGATAGTTGTTGGAGAGAGAGGGAGCTCTTCATTAAAAAAAAAAAAACACACACACACACACACACACACACACAAACCACTGGATTTATAAAAGCTAGAAGATTACTCATATCAAGAATATGGGCATGGGATAATGTCAAAAGACAATTCGTTTTTAGAAAAGTTTCATTATGTTGGCCAGAAAAGGAAGTAACTGAAGCAAGTGATAAATACTGCATGGAGAAGGACCCAAGGAGTTGGGAGGGGCGGGGCGGGGGGGGAGCGGAATGCATGGGAGGAACAAGAATAATTGGAATGCTATAAATATTGATTCACATTACTCTTGCATTATTCACAATAGCAAGTGCCTCAAAGTATTGCTTAGTATCAAGTGAAATAAAAGGCATTTTCTGCCTAAACTGTTTAATCTAGAAGTTTGAAACAAACTGTACCCCATTCTCTAACAAAATTGTTAAACTGAAATTACAAAAGAGGTAACCTGCTCAAAGTTTGAAAGACATGGTTGGTTTATTTATAGATGCTAGCAAAGTCTGCTCTGCTGAAGACCATCAGAGCCACAGTTTTCAAGAATGTCAATATGCAATAGTTAAAATATTAATAATATTAAGTTATGGGCTCTAAGTCCTTTCTTGTCACTTTTCATTGACACAAATATACTTCTTATTTAACTGAAAGCAATCCCTAAAGCTTATTTATGTAAAAATGCACTAGCCAACAGAAATAGCTACAACCAAAATTACATTACCTAAAAAATTCTAGAAAGGTATGAGAAATTTATTTCTATTCAGCAAATTAAGAAACTTTCACTCAGAATATACTTTCTTGTTGCATTTCTCACCACGAACACTCCAGTAATATTAATACCTAAGTGAAGTTTTTTAATTTAAAAAACATTTTTATATCACTGAGTAATTTGCAAATGCATTTGAAATGCTTCAAAAAGAACTAAATAAAACTGCCTTAACGTCCATTTGAAAATATAAATCTACTTCTGCATTCAACCAAGTTGACCGTTTTCCTTTGACCAAGTTAGTAAAGCCAGTGGAGTAGGGAGGTGGTGTTGGTAGAGTTTCTCTGCAAAGCCACCTGCCAAGAAGCAGGGCTACCAATTCACCAGGCTGGGATTTGTCAGGCCGGGCAGGTAAATGCGTGACGCTACACATGAGCGGTTTTTCTGTGCTTACCGACTGTTGAAAATAATTACGTATAATTTTAAACGCGCATTGCTTTAAAACAGGTTGCAAAGTGATTTTAGAAACTACAGGACCCTGACCCGGGTGCTGGGGAAAGTTCCAGCTCCTCAGAAGTTGCAGACACTGAGGGTAGCCCGCTGGCCAGAACTCCCAGCGCGCTCCCTCCTCGTGGCGTCCAGATGCCCCTCAGAGAAGTCAGGGACAGAAGAACCCTCTGGGCTGCCTGGCGGCAGGATAAAAAGGAGAAGCCCTGTCTCAGGGACGCCCTGGCCTCAGTGCCCGAGTGCAGTTGTCTAACGATGGCCCGTGGTCTCCGCAGAGCCCCGTAGCCCGGCCTCGGCGTCAAGCCCCTCCGAATGCGCGACTACCCACCTGGGGGCGCTGGGCCGCAGGGGGCGGGGTCCGGGCTCCCAAGCCCCTTGCCTGGCGCTGCTGGCAGCATTGTGGCGGTTGAAGCCGAGGGGCCTGCGCACTGCTGCCCGCCGAGCGCTACCTGGACTCTCCCGGCCAGAGACTCCCCGCGATTTTCTCTTCCTTTGGCCCTCGGCTCTCCCCAGCCCGCTTGCCACCCGCGGAGGCTGCGGCCAGGTCTCAGGAAACGCAGCCCCGGGGCTCATGCCCGCAAGGCCAGGGCTCCGCTCTGCTGGGCGCCCAGAGGAAGTGAAACTGCTCAGGGGCCTGCTCTTACATCCCTTCTCAAAAGGCCGCTTTGGTTTCTTATAACACTTCTGCGCCTGTTTCCTTCCTCACCTTTTCATCCTAGGATATATTTAGACCGCTGTTATTGTAGCTCTCCTTGTCCCTTTCTAGGTCTTCCATACTGCCATACTGCCCCCACTTCCAGGCAGACGTAGGGAAACCAGAAGTGAACATTTGCTGGAAAGAAAGAATAATTAGATAGATAGATGAGTAGGTACACAGATGATAGATACATACATATAGAAATGAAGATACAGATAATACTGTAACTTTTAAAATATTTCATTTTACACAGACTTTCTAGGCTAGGTTCATAAATTGAAAAGTGATTTAAAATTCCATATAAAATGTATTTCTTACTCCTGCTCCAACTCAAAAATAGACCCAGTAAAAAATTATTTATGGCTCTAAATACCCTCTCCAAACAAGAGTTTGTTTGCTTGTTTTTAAGATGGAGATATATCAAAGGAGTTGTCCCAGAACCTTAAAGTGAATGTCTCTCTCTCAAGCATGTCTAAACTAGTCATTTGCCTTTTGAAGTTGAATATATTTTTTGAATATCAATTTGGTAATAATACATAGTTTAAATGTTCCTCTCCTCTTCCTATAAAAGGAAGGCTTTCTTTGAAACTTTCTCTCGGATGAAGTGCTTTTTAGTAATAATATAAATATCAAGTATCAAAAAAAGTTAATTTTTTCACATAAATGAACTTATTAGAACTTTATAACATAATGTAGAAAACTTGGAGAAGTATGCGAAATGTCCAAAAAACTTGAAAACAATTATAGATTGTATTGTATTTATCTGGTTTCCAGTAGTTTCTTTAACATCATTATTAATTTTATGTTGATTTTCTGAACTTTATATAATGGAACAAAAGATTTCATCTAACTTATGAAATATTATATTGAAAAAAATGGTTGTCTTCTATATATGCCTGTTAACAGAGAGACTTCAGTGTAATAGGCAAAAACAAATTTGGATTGCAGGGTTTGGGTGTTGTTCAGTGTTTCAGAAACTCAATTCTTAGGAAAGTATGTCTTAAACCCATTGGAGAAAAGAATATTCTAACTGATGCATCTGCTGGTATACGTATTCCTGACAAGAGCTACTTTAGCCAACATGAACACTCCAGATGATGCTCCCCAATTAAGTATCCAGATCTTCAAAGGCACCCATTTATGCACACGAAAACTTGTTAATAAAGACAGTGTTCAGATAGGAACTTGTATCTGTCACATATACAGGACAGCCTTCTTGTATGAAGAGCCCTGGATTGGAAGTCAGAAGGTTGCAGCTGCCATCCTGACTCTGCTCCACAATATCTGGGTGTTTGGAGCAATTCTTAATATTTCTGAGCCTTGCGTATCTCATCTAATTTATTCATTATTAATGAATAAATTAAAATTACTGTATTCGAGTTTCTGCCAGATATAAAATGTTATAACACTGTCTCCTAATAAAACTATAGAAAATAAGATTTATAATATGAAAATTAAGTATATTTTCAGAAGCTCATTTCCACTACTTATGTCAAATGATGCTAGTAAATAGAAAAAAGAAAGTAAAAACTGCTGAAAATTGTGGGCTGTTTTTTTTTTAAAAAAAATAAGATTATGTGTTAGAAAATCTTTAAAATCTCCCATTAAAATTATTCTAGCTTCACTTTTCTTTTGAATAAGAAAATAGCCATTGACTACCCCATTGACTGACTTATTTATTCTTTTGTTTTACTGTTTGCAGTCAACAACTACTCTTTTTTTAAGTATTCTATATCCTATGTTCTATGTAAGAGTTTCACAATATTCATGTCATTTGGTTCTCAAAACAAGGAAGGTTTAACCATATTTTACAAATGAAGAATCTGGGCGTTGAAAACTGTAAGTGGCAGAGCTGGAATTCAATCCTAGATCTGATTTCATAGCCTGCCCTCTTAATTATAACTGCCCCCCTCCCCACCGCTTCCTTTTAAGGTCACATAAGGCCCTTGCTAAAGATTACATGAACATAATAGGATAGGTTATACATATATGTGTTGAAAACGTTTTTTGTTTCCCTATCCACTTTTCCACAGAACTATAAGCCCATACAATTAAATACTAATATCCTTAAAAATAGGTATGAACTGTACTTATAATTTATTACAATTTTGGTGCTATTTGGTTGAGGATATATAGATGTTCACACACGCGCACACACACACATACACGTGATAACTTAAGTCTACATGTTTTCATACTTTGCTGATGCATTTATAAAAATATATTTTAAAAGATTTTTTACTCATTTTGGTCTTGTTTCTGTGTCAAGTACGTCTTTAATCACAGTTGACTTTATTTTTCCCCTGCTTTCTCCCTTAAGGAGATGATACCATCTGGAATGTTGGGTTATCTCTTGGTTCATACTTGTTCTCAGGAAAGAGGCACTTAGCAATTCTCACACCGAGAGGCTTTTTCAGGCAAAATACCACCAGCAGTGTGTAATCGCAGGTTTCTGATTTTACCTCTGTTACAGAATGACAAGAAAATGCTAGTCACAGTAGGTTTCTCATTTCTCAATATATCAAACTCTTGGATCCATTGACTTCTTCCCTTGCATTATTTTTTTTAGCGGCATATTGACAGCCTCAATATTATTACCCCACTCTGTGAAGATTATAAAAGCCTCACACTGGCCCTGTGTTCCAATAAATGGACAGCTAAAGCTGTTTGGTGTTGCCCTGCAGTTGCCATGGCTGATTTCTTGTGTCCTTTGCAGACCAGATGCTGTTGTGCATGCTAATGGCTTTATTTCTGCCTTTAGATTCTGGATATGTTTAAAGAACAAAACTGGTTCTTTTCTAAAGCAGTAATCTATTGTAAAAGTGAAATAGTTGCTTCTTCATGGCTATTTGTTAATTGGGGAATATTCCTCTTGACAATCATGTCTGGATTTTTAGACATTGAATTATATTATTCCCCCAGGGTGTTAACTACACTTCTTATTTACTCCCTCAAAACTAAACCAAATACCAGGGATGTCTGAAGGAATTTTTAGCAATTTTTTTTTGTCATTACTGGGAGGCTTTATTTTCTTTTGCTTCCTCACATTTAATTGAATTCTTTAATACTAATCTGTGTAGCAACCCCCCAAAGAGGTCCACATTCTCATCTGCAGAACCTGTGTATATATGTATTTACCTGGAAGGTGGAATTAAATTAAGGATCTTGAGATGGGAAGATTATCTTGGATTATCCAGGTGGGCCCAGTGTAATCACAAGAGTCTTTATAAGATGGGGGCAGAAAAGTGAAAGTTAGAGAGGAGGTGTGATGAGAAAACAGAGATTGGAGGAATATGCTTAGAATATGGAGGAAGGGGCCACAAGCCAAGGAATACAGGTAGCCTAAAGGCAAAGAAATGAATTCTCCTGCAGAGCCTACAGAAGGAACCAGCCCTGTTGACATCTTGGCTTTTAGCCAAGTGAGACTGATTTTGGACTTATTACATCTATAATTCTAATATAATAAATTTAGTTTGCTTTAAGCCACTAAATTGTAGTAATGCGTTGCAGCAGTAGCTAGCTAATACGTTAATTTATGGTGATAGGAAGCTAACACATAATTCACAGTGATGAGTTTGGAGGAAGATTCATTAATAGGGTAAATCTTTGTGCATTCTTCTAACTAAACATACATTAAAGAACATTTAATTCCCTTCACCATTCATGTTCTAAGTCCCCATGGAGCAATATCTCATTGTTAATTGGTGATTGTGGTAGCTATTTGATATTCCTTCCTGCATGGCTGTTTGCATTATATACTTGCTTTTGTTCTCTAGTGATTGTATAAATGTGCTGATTCTTCTCTTTTCAAGTATATTGAGTCTGACTTGTAGAAGTAAGCAGGTTTTCTGCTTATACCATAGCACACACCACCACCACTGCCCCTCCAGTTAGACTCCTGGCTGTGCTAACAAGCAACAGTGAGTTTGCTGGAAGGAACCTTGCTCCGTAGATCTGACTTTTTTTTTTTTTTTTTTTTTTTTTTTTGAGGCGGAGTCTCGCTCTGTAGCCCAGGCTGGAGTGCAGTGGCGCAATCTCGGCTCACTGCAAGCTCTGCCTCCCGGGTTCAGGTCATTCTCGTGCTTCAGCCTCCCAAGTAGCTGGGACTACAGGCGCCCGCCACCATGCCCGGCTAATTTTTTGTATGTTTAGTAGAGACGGGGTTTCACCGTGTTAGCCAGGATGGTCTCGATCTGCTGATCTCGTGATCCACCCGCCTCGGCCTCCCAAAGTGCTAGGATTACAAGCGTGAGCCACCGCGCCCGGCCTAGATCTGACTTTTAACAGACAATACTATAAAACACTTGAATGTCAAGAAAGCTAAAATCTCCATTTCTCTTTTTAGTTGTTTTTTGTAAGCTATGGTAAGTTACTTCCATTTTTACCCTATAATTATTGATTTTATTAGAGTTTCAGCCCCACTCTTTACCTAACATATAATAACACAGAGCTCTCTATTCCAAACTTATTAGCTTCATTCATCAACAGGATTGATAAAACAGCATTGCTCTTCATATTTTTATTATTCATTAATTCATTCAAAAAGAGTTTAGTAAATACCTACTATATGTTGGGCACTGAGCATACAATGATAATAAGATATAGCCCTTGCTTCCAAAAGTATCTTCCTTCTAGAAATTCTGCTTCAGTTTTTGTGGAAAATTGTGTAGGGTAAAATAATACTAAATAGTTCTATGATAAATGAAAAATACTTTTGGACCATTAGAAGGATCAAGAATATTCTTGTAAGTAATGTGATTGTTAGGGCAGGTTCCATTATAAATAATTCATACTAAAGAAACATTGAAAGTGGGAGTGTTTGGAACCAGAAGATAGCAACAGGAAGCGGTTGGAGAAAAATTTCAACAGGAAGAGAAACAAAGATAATGTGTTTCAGTCAGTGATGTAACTAGCTACTATTGTGCTTAGGGCAGGTTCCAAGAACTGTACCTCTTGACATGATCTAAGAATTGGAAGAGAATATAGAATATCTACCTCATAATTTCATAGGGTAGTGAGTAGCCTGTTAATAGTTTAGGAGAAAAAAAATGCAGACATTTACTTGAGGCAAGTGAAGTTAGTTTCTTTTCAAATCATAGTGAACTATGACCTGAAAAACAAAAGCTATTGTAGTCACTATCTGAAACACCCATTCAGAGAAGAAAATGCAGTTAGCATAATGAACACTTTTCCAAAGCACTAAGAAAGGAAATACAAGCAGAAAGCGACATTTTTATGGTGAAAATTCTCACTGAAAACAAATTACAGAAATGTTTGAAACAAAAAACCAATGCCAAGAAAATAGCATCTCCTGCAGATCTTCTGAATGCTTCTCTTGCTCCTTTCCTGTGGCTAGTTTACAGTGCATTCCCCACCCTCTGAGGGACCAGCTGTGTGGTAACAATTAGTCTTTTGAAGAGGACACCTATGGAAAGCTCCTGCTGCCCTAGTAAGCCATCATAAGATTTCAGGATAGAGGGCTCTCAGTGGCTCAGGCTCTATACCCTGTTTCAAGACATTGTTTAGAGTTCATGGATGCTGAGCCATTGAGGAATGCTCAGGCCATCTTTATTGGGACCAATGAAAAGTACTTCTTCATAAAGATCTTGGTACCAGAAACATCATGTATGTGCTTGAAGGAAAGAGAAGACATTACTTAGGGGTGATGTCTTTCTGAGTCTAGGTCAAATGTGCATAGGAGAAGGATGTTTAAAATTACATTGAAGGATAAATAAGAGTTTAGCTTATAAGTCTAGCTACCTCTTAGGTGATAGCTTGAATAGGTAAAAATACAGAGAAATTGAGGGGTATGGTGAATTTGTCTAATGGCACAAAGGTGAGTGGAAGAGTACTTTGAAAAATTCTGCTGAGGGATCTAGAAAACATTTAATTTCATGAGTGGCATTGAATATACTTTGTATAAATTGTGTTACATTTGTTTCCTGTTGAAAAAATGTTGGAACAAACTAAAAATAATACTTAAAAGTAATAGAAAAGAAATTTAGAAATGTAAGATTAAAAACAAAAGTTTTTACTCTGTAAATATTTACCGAGCATCTTCTATGTGTATAATATTCTAATAATGGCATTTAAAAGATGGACATTTTATGCACTAAAAGACATAATTTATAATGAAACCTTAATGGTATAATCATTAGACACAGTAAAAATTCCACTTGAAAATAAATGAATCTCAATATATAGACTCAGTGAATACTTGCCATGAAATTGTACTACAATATTTTTAAAAAGTAAATATTTAAAAAAAATTATGAGAGATTATTATGTAGCCATTCTGGAATGAAATATTATTTACTATGTACCACAGTTTTTATCCTTAGAGTTTTTAAAAAAAGACAAAAAAGAGCAATTGTAATAAAGTAATTGTAATAGAGTATTCCAATATTATAATAGAGAAGGGATAATATAATAGAGAAAGTACTGGACTATATACAATACTTTGCAGGTTAGGGCAGGACAAATGGAAGTTAGCCTGGCCTTAGAATAAGAGAAATGTTCCCTGTTCCTTACTGAGGAACAATTTAAATTAATTAAAATATAGTCACTCAAATAGTCTCAATTCAGGAAAAGACAAGTGCCCCTTCATGCATCAAAACTCTTTTTACAAGTGAACTTTAACCTACACTAGTGTGTTTGTGTGTGTGTGTGAGTGTGTGTGTGATAAATCGGTAAAGGTATTGTGTAGAACACTTTTAAGGCACGTTATTTTTAAAATATTTGCTATATTTTGTCAATATTGTAGTACAATTAGCAAGGGGTAATTATTTCTTCAGCCTTCTCTTCAAACTCTGAAGTAGAATGGACGAATACCAACTATGTTGGGAGTTTTCTTCTTTTATACCTTTCATGCTTTGTAAAAATGGCTCTGTTTTCAGTCACTGATAGATTGCAATTTCTATCTTGTCTGCCACTTTTTAAAATAATCAGAAATAGTACCTTAAAGGAGACAGGAAAAACCGACATGTGAGATAAGCTTGTCATTTTTTTACCCTTTGCATAAGTACCTATTACTCAAGGATCGGGGTAATTCCTCCTACACAAATATAACCAGTAAGCCTGCTCTTCCCAGGAGGAGGCCTAGCTACCTGATTCTCATACAGACACAAAAGAGATCTCATTCTCTGATAGGTGTCCAGATTAACTAGAATCATACTATAGATAAGTTTGAGACTTGTGGACACTTTGTGAATCTGAAATGAACTAGTAAGATTAATCCTGATTTAAGCATTGTATTTTTATTATATTACATTTGTCAGAAACTTAAAGGCTTACCTCCATGGGCTTAACAGTGGATTTGCCTCTAAATCCAAGATTCTATGAACTGATCCCCTATTCTGGTGACTTTCCTATCCCCTGTAATTATTGATGTTTTTATAGTAGCACCACTTACATAGTTTATTTTTACTTGTTTAATATAGTCTTCTTGTAATAAACTGTAAGCCCCTTGTGATGGTTGATTTTAGAGGTCAACTTGACTGGATTAAGGAGTACCTAGATAATTTGTGAAGCATTACTTCTAGGTATGTGTGTGAGAGTTTTCCAGAGGAGATTGGCATGTGAGTCCATGGACTGAGTGCGGAAGGTCTACTTTCAATGTGGACAGGCACCATTCATTCAGCTGGGTACCCAGATAGAACAAAAAAAAAAAGAAAAGGAGAAAAAAAGGGTTTTTTCTTTCCTCTCCTGGACGTAGGACACTCTCCTCCTCCTGCCCTTGGACATCAGAGCCCCAGGCTTTCTGGCCCTAGGACTCCAGGACTCACACCAGCTGCCCCTTCCCCCACCAGGTTCTCAGGGCTTTGGTCTCAGCCTGAGAATTACACTATCAGCTTCATCAGCTTCTCTAGTTCTGAGACTTTCAGATTTGGATTGAGTCATACTACCAGAATTCCTGGTTCTGCAGCTTACAGATAGTCTGTTGTGGGACTTCTCAGCTTTTATGATCACAAGAACCTATTCCCCGAATAAATCTCCTCTCATTTATCTATGTATCTATCTATCTATCTATCTATCTATCTATCTATCTATCTATCTATCTATTGTCTATCATCTATCTATATATCTTATTCTGTTTGTTCTATCTCTGTGAAGAACCCTGGCTAATACAGATTTTGGTACCAAAAGTGATCTAGAGGAACAGAATTTAAGAATGAGTTTCCTTTATTGGTTTCAGGGATTCTGGAGTTGGCTCTGTAGTCTGATTAGACCTAAAAATGCTAAGGACTCTACTGTTAACAGTACAGAGAGCACTCATAGCCCATGGTATGAATTGTTTATGGAAATATAAAATATCTATCTGCCTGTGATACTCCTAATCAGTCACTTATAAGAGGCAAGGACTTGGTAACTATATACGATACTTTTGAATATTTGTGGAAAACCAAGGAATACAATGATGTTGGTTGGTTGCTTCTAATGTTACTGGAAAAAATGATGGAAAAAAAAGATGAGCTCAGGTATTCAAATTTCTGGCTCCAGTCCCACATAAATAGCCTAAGAGCTTATTAAGTGTGCCCTGATCCAGAATCTTCTCTCCTGTAGTCATAGGGCTGAAATTGCTGAAAGTCAAATGCAAGCCCTGGTCATTTGATTGGCTGAATTAAAATGAAAGACGGGCTCTCAGCTTCTCAGTGTCTACTGTTAATGTGAGGGCATTCGTTAGGGAAGAATGGGATCCTGTATGCTGGGGTGAGGATATGTGGGAAGACCTTGATGAGACGGAGGGCATTGAGCTCCTATATTCTGATAAGTCTACTTTGCCAGCAGAAGTGGCTTCCCTACTTCAAGTGCCAGTAGCATATCTACCCACAGTGGTATTGGCCATTCCACCTCTGAAGGGTTAACCCTGCATTGCCTGAGGAAACAGTAATGCCTCCCCTGAGTCAGTTGCCAAGAAAGACAATGCTGATTCTCCTCAGGACCCACCCCCACCACCCTTCTTTGCTTCTAGACTTGTAACTGGAGTCAAGTCCTAGCA
Organism: Homo sapiens; assembly: GCF_000001405.40. Taxonomy (NCBI): domain Eukaryota; kingdom Metazoa; phylum Chordata; class Mammalia; order Primates; family Hominidae; genus Homo; species Homo sapiens. The sequence goes on along the minus strand of NC_000004.12, from coordinate 101,781,583 downwards.
GGACCCTAAGGTGAGGTACAAAGTGTGGCCCATGAGGAGCTGCACCATGCTCCAAAAGAGCTACCTGAGTTTTTCAATTTATACAAGCAGAAATCCAGGGAATATGTGTGTATAATAAAGTCATGGAGTAATAGTAGAAGGAACATAAAGTTGAATCAGGCCAAATTTGTTGATATGGGCCCACTAAGCACATAATTTGCATTCAGTGTTGCAGCTTGGGAAATTAGGAAAGGTGCTAACAGTTTCTTTGGTTGGCTAAGACATGGATCAAGATGGCCCACTGTGCACTATTTGGAAATGTCCAATCTCTCTTGATTTAATGTACACGAAAGGATTCAAAGGCTTAGGAAGATTGGAATGCTAGAGTGGACATGTCACTTACAACCTACTCACCCACACTGGGAGAGTCCTTTCAACAGCACTTTGAGAAATAGATTTGTGAGGGGAACCACAGTATCCCTGAAGAGCTCTGTGATTGCTCTTCTCTGTAAGCCAGATCTTACAGTGGGAACCACAGTCACTCAATTGGAAAACTTAGTAATTGAATCCCAGAGTGACAGGGGCCAAATAGTAACACTCAACCCAAAGGCAAGGGGGGTATTGTTACCATAATGGAAAGCAGAGGCAAAGCAACAATTAGAATAGTCTGACTCTCACTGTGGAGTTGGCTAGTTAGCCATGGTGCTCCTAGAAGTGAAATAGATAGAAAGCCTATTGAATTATTACTTAATCTGTATGAGCAGAAAACTTTCAGGTCAAGTGAACACAAGGCAAACTTGAATCATAAAAACAGAGAATTACAGCCCCTCAATCAGTTCCAAGAATCAAGCCAGTTTACTGACCCCGAACCCTTTGAATGGAGAGGTTGCCAGCTCACCTCCAGGAAGGACCCAGTAATTACCAAAACATTTATATTGTTAATCTTTCTTCTACCCTTCCCCAGAGGGATCTACAGCTTTTTACCATGGTAACTGTATTGGGGAAATGAAAATAATCAGACCTTTTGAGGACTGCTGGACACTGGCTCCGAATTGACATTGATTCAGGAGACCTGACATGTCACTGTGGCCCTCTAGTTAGAGTAGGCGTATGTGGAGGTCACGTGATCAGTGGAGTTTTAGCTCAGCTTCATCTCACAGTGGGTCCCCAAAACCATCCTATGGTTATTTCCCCAGTTCCAGGCGCATAATTGAAATAGACACACTTAGCAGCTGGCGGAATCCCCACATTGATTCTCTGACCTGTTTGGTGAGGGCTATTGTGCTGGAAAAGGCCAAATAGAAGACATGATAGCTGCCTCTACCTAGGAAAACAGCAAATCAAAAATGATACCATGTCCCTGGATGGATGGCAGAGAATTGTGACACCATCAAAAAGTTGAAAGATGCAGGGTTGGTGATTGAACCACATCCCCGTTAAACTATCCTATTTGTTTGTGCAGAAGAAAGATGCGTCCTGGAGAACGACAGTGGTTTATTGTAAGCTTAATCAGTGGTGACTCCAAGTTGCAGCTGAACCAGATATGGTTTCTTTGCCTGAGCAAATTAACACACCGCCTGGTGCATGGAACACAGCTATTGATCAGGCAAATGCCTTTTTCCCCGTACTTGTCCATAACTCCCCACCAGAAACAATTTGCTTTCAGTTGTCAGGGTCAGAAATATACCTTTGCTGTCCTACCTCAGGACTATATCAACTCTGTAGTCCTAAATCACAGTTTAGTTTGCAGGGATCCTGATTGCCTTCCCCTTCCACAGATATCACACTGGTCCAATGCATTGATGACATTATGCTGATTGGGCCCAGTGAGCACGAAGTAGCAACTACTCTGGATTTATTGATGACATTTCTGTGTTTAGTTGGAATATAAATCCAACTAAAATTTATAGGTTTCCTGCCTCAGTGAAATTTCTAGTGGTCCAATGGTGTGGCACATGTTGAGTTATCCCTTCTAAGGTGAAAGATGAGTTGTAGCATCAGACACCTCCAACAAGCAAGAAAGAGGCACAGTACCCAGCAGGCCGATTTAGATTTTTTTTTAGGCAACACATTCCCCATTTCACTTTGTTACTCCTGCCCACCTACCCAGTGACTCAAAAAGTTGCTAGATCTGAGTAGGGTCTACAATAAGAGAATGCTCTTCCACAGGTTCAGGCTGCTGTGCAAGCTTCTCTGCCACTTGGGCCATATAATTCATCAGTTTTAATGGTACTTGAGGTGTGAGTGGCAGATAGGGATGCTGGCTGGAACACTTGGCAGACTCTCAGAGGTGAATCACAGGCAAGGTCCTTAGGATTTTGGGCACAAGGCCCTGACATCATCTGCAGATTGCTACTTTCTTTTTGAGAAACAGTTCTTGGCCTGCTACAAGTCCTTAGTAGAAACTGAACACTTGAACATGGGTCACCAAGCTACCATGCAGTTTGAGCTGCCTATCATAAACTGGGTGTTATCTGACCCATCAATCCATAAAGTTCGCCATGCACAGCAGCACTACATCATCAAGTGGAAGTGGTATATATACGATTGGTACCAAGCGTAAGTCACGTGAAGAAGTGGCCCAGAGGCTCATGGTTTCTTCTGCTACGCTGACTTCTCTCTCCCAGACAGCATCTATAGCCTTATGGAAAGCACTCTATGATCATCTGGCAGAGAAAAAGACTAGGGCCTGATTTACACATGGCTTTACAGAATATTCAGGCACCACTTGAAGGTGGAGAGCTGCAGCACTACAGCCCCTTTCTAGAACATCCCTGAAGGAGCATGGTAAAATGATATCTTCTCAGTGGACAGAACTTCAGGCAGTACACATGCTTGTGCACTTTGTGTGGAAGGAGAAATGGCCAGACATGCAATTATATCCTGATTCGTGGGCAATAGCCAATGGTTTAGCCATATGATCAGGGATTTGGAAGGAACATGTTTGGAAATTTGGTATCAAAGAAATTTGGGGAATAGTATGTAGATAGACCTCTCTGAATTGGCAAAAGATGCTAAGATATTTCTGTCCCATGTGAACCCTAGAGGAGGACTTTAATAACCAGGTGGATAGGATAACCTGTTCTGTGGACACCAATCAGCCTCTTTCCCCAGCCACTCCTGTCATTGCCCAGTGGGCTCATGAACAAACTGGTCATTGTGGCAGGGATGGAAGTTATGCATGGGTTCAGCCACATGGACTTTCATGCACCAAGGCCAGTCTGGCTATGGCCACCGCTGAGTGCTTGATCTGCGAGCAGCAGAGACCAACACTACATTTCCTATTTGGCATCATTCACTGGGGTGATCACCCAGCTATCTGGTGGCAGATTGATTACGTTGAACCACTTCCATCAAGGAAGGGGTAGCAGTTTGTCGTTACTGGAATAGGCACTTACAAAATACGGATTTTTCTTCCCTGTATGCTTCTGGAAAAACTACCATCCATGGACCTAGAGAATGCCTTCTCTACCATTGTATTCTGCACAACATTACTTCTAACAAAGGGACTCACTTCACAGCCAAAAAAAAAAAAAAAAAGTGTGGCATGAGCTCATATGCATAGAATTCACTAGTCTTAGCAAGTTTCCTGTAACCCTGAAGCAGCTGGCTTTATAGAATGGTGGGATAGCCTTTTGAACTCACATTTAAAGTACCAGCTAGGTAAAATTACTTTGCAGGACTGGGACAACATCCTCCAGAAAGCTGTATATTCTCTAATAAGCATCTTATGTATGGCACTGTTTGTTTCATATCCAGGATTTATGGGTCCAGAAATCAAGGGGTGGAAATGGGAATAGTACCACTTACCCTTACCCTTAGTGACCCAAAAGCAAAATTTATGCTTTTTGTTTCTACAACTCTGTGCTCTGCTGGCCTAGAAAGCTTAGTTCCAGAGACCAGAAGACACAACAATGAATCTATTATCTGAAAGTTAAGGCTGACACCTGGTCACAGAGTTCCTCATGCATCTGAGTCAACAGGCCAAGGGGGTTACCGTATTTGTTAGGGTGATTGATACAGATTACCCAGGGGAAATTGGACTACTACTGCAGAATGGTAAGAAAGAATATGTTTAGAATACAGATGATCCCTTAGGGCATCTCTTAGTGTTACCATGCCCCATGATTAAGGTTAATAGGAAATTAAAACAACCCAATCCAGGCAGGACTACAAATGATCCAGACACTTCAGGGATGAAGATCTGGGTTGCCCTACCATGTAAAGAACTATGACCAGCTGAGAAGTTTGCTGAAGGCAAAGGAATACAGAATGGGTAGTAAGAAAAGGTACTTATAAATACCAACCATGACCATGTGATCCATTACAGAAATAATAACTGTGTCATGAGTAATTTCTTCCACATTTTGTTAAAAATACATTTGTGTGTATATACACGTATATTAAGTGTATCAGTCAGGGTTCTCTAGAGGGACAGAACTAATAAGGGAGTTTACTAAGGAGTATTGACTCACACAATCACAAGGTGAGGTCTCATAATAGGCCATCTGCAAGCTGAGGAGCAAGGAAGCCAGTCCAAGTCCCAAAACCTCAGGTAGGGAAGCCAACAATGCAGCCTTCAGTCTGTGGTCAAAGGTCCAAGAGTCCTAAAGCTGAAGAACTTGGAGTGTAATGTTTGAGGGCAGGAAACATCCAGCACAGAGGACGATGTGGGCCAGAAGACTCAGCCACTCTAGTCTACTGCCTGCTTTTATTCTGGCCACACTGGCAGCTGATTAGATTGTGCCCACTCAGATTGAGGGTGGGTCTGCTTCTCCCAGTCCACTGATTCAAATGTTAATCTCCTTTGGCAGATTAACACCCTCACAGACACACACCAGGAATACCCAGTAACCATACTTTGCATCCTCCAATCCAATCAAGTTGACATTCAATATTAACCATCACATTAAGCAAATATGTTGGTTTTGTTCCTCTCATTTCTTTATCACGTAACATAAAATAAGTTGACTTAGTATCAGTATTTATCTATAGTCATATGTTGCTTAACAACTGGCATATGCTCTGAGAAATGCATCCTTGCATGATTTTGTAATGGTGTGAACATAACAAAGGTACTTACACAAACCTAGACGGCATAGCCTACTACATACCTAGGCTATATGACATAACCTATTACTCCTAGGCTACAAACTTATACAGCATGTTACTGTACTGAATAGCGTGGGCAATTGTAACAAAATGATAAATATTTGTGTATCCAAACATATATAATTATAGAAATGGTATTATAATCTTACAGGACCACCATCATATATATGGTTCATTGTTGGCCAGTCTCATTTCCTATACATGAGTGTACTGTTAATTTTTTATCATAGTATTTATGTTATTGCATATCAGGAGAAGAGTAAACATTACCCAGAGACCTAACCTTCTCTTCGGGGGAAGGGATTAATGTGTTTTTGGTTGTACACAAGAGAGTTGTTTCATATTACCTTGTTTTTGTCTTTATTTGGAGATTAAGTATGGTTTAAAGAGATTCATGGGTGCTAAGTTGACAAGTGGTGGACTTGTAATGATGAATTTTAGATGTCAACTTGAATGGATTAATGGAAACCTAGAAAACTGGTAAAGCATTACTTGTGGGTGTGTCTGTGAAGGTGTTTCTAGAGGAGATGATTTGTGACTCAGTGAACGGAGTTGGGGAAGATCCACCCTCAATGTAGTGGGGGATCTTCCCCCACTCCATTCACTGACTCACACATCTATCTCCTTTAGAGACTGATGTGGGTTCATTCAGCTGGGGGTCAAGGCAGAATAAAAAGACAGAGAACAGGATTTCCATTTTCTTTCTCTCTCTCTCTGTCTCAGATCTTGGACATCAGAATCCCAGACTGTCTGCCTTTAGGACTCTGGGACTTATACCAGTGACCCAAAAGTTCTCAAGCCTTCTGCCTCAGACTGAGCATATACCATTGGCTTCCCTGGTTCTGAAACTTTCAGACTCAAACTCAGTCATGCTACCAGCATCCCAGCTTGCAGATGATCTGTTGTGGGACTTCTGAGCCTCCATAATCACATGCCAATTCCCCTAATAAACCTCCTCTTAGCTATCTATTTATCTATCCTCTATTTGTTCTGTCTCTCTGGAGAACCCTGACTAATATACCCACCAAAGGATCTTTTTCCTTATTCCCAGGTCTATCATAATTTCTAGTACAGAATTTATATATATAGTATATATATAAATATATATATATTATATTTATATATATGCATATATATATATATGCATACACACACACACACACACATGCACACACACACATAAACTGAAACCCAAAATTGGACAAGAAAAATCCCAGGTCTCAAAAAATCTTCCAGTCTAATAAAGAAGGCATATATGTAAATGAATAATTCAAATGGAAATAAGTTCCAAATAAAGGTGCAAAGCAAATTGTTTAAGCTTAAAAACAGAAGAGGTGATTAAATATCATCAGGGAGCCTTCTGAGAGCAAAGTAGGTTTTGGAGTTGCTGCTTTATGTTGGGGATTATTTCCATAAAGAGGCAGATTCCATAGGGAGGCAATAATAGGCAGATTATTTCCATAGAGAGATAATGGTGAGTAGAATGAGGAAACAGCTGTGAGTCACTTCTAAACTTTGGACTTTTATTATTTAAGTAGCTTCAGATGTGCGGTTGTTTAAGGTTTCATCAGAAGTCATGTTTTAGTCTGAATTTTTGTATGTACATAATAGAAAGCTGTTTTGAAGTAGCTTATGTAAAGTGGGGTATTTTAATAGATTTAATAGTAGGGTATGTAACTAATCTATGGGAAGGGGAGTGATGTACCTGGACCTTGGGGAAATAGAAATAAAAATTCTCTCTCCACTTTTTTTTTTATTCTTCTATAACAGTTCCCTCAAAAAGTTAAAAATGTGCTCAAACTGAGGCAAACTGAGTAAGATTAAGAGTTGTTTTCTCTGGTATCAAATTTTAAAAACATAGGCAGAAATATTTATAGCAGCATTATTTTTATGGTCAAAAAGTGGGAACAACTCAAATGTCCATCAATTGATGAATGGATAGACAAATGTGGTATAACCATACAATAAAATATTATTCATCAATGAAAAAGAATGAAGTACTGATACCTGCTACAACATGAAAACATTACACCAAGTAAAAGAAGCTACTTATATCACATATTGTATGATTCCATTCATAAGAAATATTGAGAATAGCAAATTTTTAGAAACAGAAAGTAGATTAGTGATTGCCAAAGGTTGTGGGTTTGAGACAAATGGAGAGTGACTGCTAATAACTATGGAGTAATTTTGGAGGTGATTAAATATTCTAAAATTAGATAGTAGTGGTGGCTGTGGTACTAGGTGACTATACTAATAAGCTAAATTGCACATCTTACTGAATTGCACACCTGAAAGGGATGAATTTATGGTATGCATATTATATCTCAATAAAACTGTTAAAAAAGATTCATAGTAGTCTTGGCCAAGACGGCTGACTAGAATCAGCTAGTGTGAACTGCTGTGATAGAGAGGAGAGAGACTGGCAACTAAATACTAGTTCTCCAAGTGGATTAACTGAGAGGCTACGTTGGGATTCATCAAGGAAGCCACAGCAACTCATGGAGAGCAGAGAGGAGCAAGGAAGGACAGCCACCCACCCGGGCTTGGTGTGGAGCCAGAGGAGGCTCCCTACTGCAAGGAAAGGGTGAATGAGTGAGTGTTCCCTGGTACCCACACTTCTGCCATGGACCTTTGCAATCCTGGGCATGGGAGATTCCCCTGACCCCTCAGACCCTCCAGATTGACACAGAGAACTTCTGGGAGACTGCACAGAGCCACTGCTCAGGCCCACATGGAGCTCCAGGGGCCTTGGATCCCTGAGCACCTCAGCACCACCTGCCATAGCCCAACGAACAAGGGAGGCCAGGCTTTCTCATACACCCCCAGAATGGAGCCATATCCATGGTGCTGAGCAGCAGACAGACCACAGACCCCACCTGCATTGCACTTTGCCAGGCAAAGCTCACTGACCTGGGACCCCAGTGCAACCATCCCACCCCTGCCTAAGCACTATGGTTGGTCATGGCTCTCCATTTCTCTGAGTGGGAGCTCCCAGAGGTAACCTACAAACCTGCTGCAATTGCTGATTGCTGCTTCTGTGCTCCCTGCCCCTACTACTCTCAGGCTGGGGAGGAAGTGAAGAGCCTTAGAACCATTCTGGGCCTCCAGTGTACCCAGCTGCCATGTGGAAATGCAGCCAGACTGTTTTCCACCTGAGTCCCTGCTCCTGCTACTCCTAACTGGGTAGGGCCACCTGGCTTGAGCCACCAGCACAACTGCCCTACCCCCACCTGATCACTTCAGTTGGCACCAGCTCCGTGTTTCTCTGTGGTGAAGTTCTCAGAGAAAACCAACAGGCCCTGTGCCACTGCCATGTCTGTGATACCCACTCTTGCTCTCCACAAGCTGGGGAAGAAACAAAGACCCTGATTCCTTTGCTTTTATTTCCAGCACACCACAGTTGTCCTATGGAGAGATGACAGACTGTCTTCCCTGTAAGCCCTCTGTTTCCCCTGCTCTGCACCAGGCAAGACCCCTGGCTTGAGCCTACAGTGCAGCCACCCAACCCCCAACTCATTAACCTGAGGCAGTATCTCTGTGTCTCTCTGGGGTGGAGTTCCCAGAGGCAACTATTAATAGATTTAATAGTAGGGTATGTAACTAATCTATGGGAAGGGGAATGATATAACTGGACATTGGGGAAATAGAAATAAAAATTCTCCCTCCACTTTTTTTTTCTTCTTCTATAACAGTTCCCTCAAAAAGTCAAAAATGTGTTCAAACTGAGGCAAACTGAGTAAGATTAAGAGTTGTTTTCTCTGGTATCAAATAAAAAAAGGCAGAAAAATTTATAGCAGCATTATTTTTATGGTCAAAAAGTGGGAACAACTCAAATGTCCATCAATTGATGAATGGACAGACAAATGTGGTATAACCACACAATAAAATATTATTCACCAATGAAAAAGGATCAGAGCAGGAACTCTGGCATTCAAAAAGCCAAAGTGTCCCCTTACCTACAAATGAGTTCACTAACTCCCCAGCAATGGTTCTTAATGAGTCAGAAATGACTAAAATAAGAGACAGAATTCAGAATCTGGATGGCAAGGAAACTCATTGAGATTTAGGAGAAAGTTAAAACCTAATCAAGTCTATTAGTCTGTTTTCACACTGCTGATAAAGACATACCTGAGACTGGGAAGAAAAAGAGGTTTAATGGACTTACAATTCCACATGGCTAGGGAGGCCTTATGATCATGGTGGAAGGCAAGAAGGAGTGAGTCACATCTTATATAGATGGCAGTATGCAAAGAGAGCTTGTGCAGGGAAAACTCCCCCCATTAAAACCATCATATCTCATGATACCCACTCACCACCATGGGAACAGCACAGGAAAAAAACACCCCCATGATTCAACCACCTCCCACCAGTTTTTTCTCACAACACATGGGAAACCAAGATGAGATTTGGGTGGGAACACAGCCAAACCGTATCATCAAGCAATCTAAGGACTCCAGTAAAATGATCCAATAACTGAAGGACAAAGGAGCCATTTTAAGAAAGGACCAACTGATCTCCTAGAGCTAAAAACCTCAATACAAGAATGTCATCATACAATTGAAAGTATTAACAGCATAATAGACCAAGCTGAGAAAATAATCTCTGAGCTTGGAGACCAGTTCTTCAAATAAATTTAAACAAGCATGCATAAAAAATAATTTTAAAAAGTGAACAAAACCTTGGAGAAATATGAGATTATGAAGAGACCAAATCTATGACTCAATGGCATTCCTGAGAGAGAAAATGAGAGAACAAACAACTCAGAAAAATATATTTGAAAATATAGTCCATGAAAATTTCCTTAATTTTGCAAGAGAGGTAGACGTGCAAATCAAAAAAATACAGAGAACACTGGCAAGATCCTATATAAGATGACCATCCCCAAGGCACATAGTCATCAGATTCATCAAAGGTCAATGCAAAAGAAAAAAAAATCTTAAATGCAGCTAGAGAGAAGGGTCAAGTCACATCCAAAGGGAACCTCATCAGGATAGTGGCAAAACTTTCAGCAGAAACCTTACAAGCCAAAAGAAATTGGGGGTCTATCCTCAGCACCTTAAAGAGAAGAAATTCCAAGCAAGAATTTCATATCCCACCAAACCAAGCTTCATAAGTGATGGAGAAATAAAATTCTTCTCAGGCAAACAAATGCTGAGGGAATACATTTTATCTAGACCAGCCTTACAAGAGGTCTTTAAGGAAGTATTAAACATGGAACTGAAAAAATGACACCTGCTACCACAAAAACACACCAAAGCACATAATCCACAAGCATTATAAAGCAGTCACATAATCAAGTCTACACAATAGCCAGATAACAAAAAGATGACAGGATCAAAACCTTACCTATCTATATTAACCCTGAATGTAAATGGGCTAAACAGCCCACTTAAAAGACTTAGAGTAGCAATCTGGATAGAAAGTCAAGACCCAACCATCTGCTCTTTTAAAGAGACCCATCTCACATGTAATGACACCCATACACTCAAAGTAAAAGGATGAAGTTAGATGTATCATGTAAATGAAAAACAACAAAGAGCAGGGGTCACTATTCTTATAAGATGACTTATTATAAACAAACAAAAATTAAGATAGTACATAATGATAAAGTTTACAATGCAACAAATACATGTAGTTAAGTGTAATTGTATATGAACTAAATATATATGCACTCCTAAATATATACACATGCAACATTGGAACACCTAGATTCATAAAACAAGTTCTTGGCCTATGAAAAGACTTATACAAGTTCACAATAACAGTGGGAGACTCCGACATCCCACTAAGTGTAAAATAAATTGAGGCAGAAAACTAATAAAGAAATTTGGCACTTAAACTTGATACTTGATCAATTGGACCTAAAAGACATCTACAGAACACTCCACCCAACAACCCTAAAATATACATTTTTCTCATCTGCACATGTAATATATTCTAATATCAAGCACATGCTTGGTCATAAAGCAAGTCTCAATAAATTCAAAAAATTGAAATCATCCCAAGCACACTCTCAGGCCACAATGCAATAAAAATCAAAATCAATATCAAGAAAATCTCTCAAAACTATATAAATTCATGGAAATCAAATGACTTACTCCAGAATAACTCATGCATGAACATTGAAATTATGGCGAAAATTATTTTAAAATGCTTTCAAATTAATGAAAGTAGGGACAGAAACTACCAAAATCTTCTTGTGGGAGACAGCTAAAGCAGTGTTAAGGGGAAAGTTTATAGCACTAAATGCCTTCATCAAGAACTTAGAAAGATCTCAAATTAACAATCTAATTTTGCACCTAAAGGAACCAGTTAAAAAGAACAAATCTACCCCAACGCTAGCAGAAAAAAGGAAATAACTAAAATTAGAAATGAACTGAATGAAATTGAGCTGCAAAAATCTACATGAAAGATAAGTGAAGCCAAGAGTCAGTTCTTCAGAAAATATAAGCAGCATTGATAGACCACTAGTTAGATTAACAAACAAAAAGAAAAGAAAGACATGATTCAAATAAGTATAATCAGAAATGACAAAGATGGCATTAAAACCGATCCCACGGAAATACAAAAGATCCTCAGAGAATACTATGAACAACTCTATGCACACAAATTAGAAAATCCAGAGGAAATGGATAAATTACCGGACACACACAATCTCCCATGATTGAGTCAGGAAGGGATTGAATCTCTGAACAGACAAATATCAAGTCCTGAAATTCAATCAGTAATAAAAAATCTACCAGACAAATACAGCCCTGGACCAAATGGACTCAGCTGAATTTTACCAGATGTGCAAGGATGAACTGGTACCTATCCTACTGAAACTATTATAAAAACTTGAGGAGGAGGGGCTCCTCCCTAACTCATTATATGAAGCCTGCATCAGCCTAATACCAAAATCTGGCAGAGACACAATAAAAAAAGAAAACTACAGGCTAATATCTCTGATAAACATAGATGAAAAAATCCTCATTGATGTACTAGCAAGCCAAATCCAGCAGCATACCAAAAAGATAATACACCACAATCAAGTAGGCTTTATTCCTGGGGTGCAAGGTTGTTTCAACATATGTAAATTAATAAAAGCAATCCATGGCATAAATAGAATTAAAAAGTACAACTATATAATTACCTCAATAAATGTGGAAAATTTTTTCAATAAAATCCAACAACCCTTCATAATAAAAAACCCTCAACAAACTAGGTATCAAAGGAATCTCAAAATACCTCAGAATAATAAGAGCCATCTATGACACAGTGATAGCCAACACCATACTGAACAGGTGAAAGCTGGAAGCATTTTCCTTGAGAACTGGAATAGGACAAGGATGCTCACTCTCACCACTCCTATTCAACATAGTACTGGTAGTCCTAGCAGAGAAATAAATAAGCAAGAGAAAGAAATAAAAGATATCTAAATAGGAAGAGAGGAAATCAAACTATCTGTCTTTGCTGATGTATGATTTTATACCTGGAAAACCCTAAAGAATTTGGTAAAAGACCATTAGAAGTGATAAATGACTTTAGTAAGGTTTCAGGGTACAAAGTCAATGTACAAAATCCAGTAGCACTTCTATACACCAATAATGTCCAGGCTGAGAATCAAATCAAGAACACAATCCCATTTACAATAGCCACAAAGAAAATGAAATATCTAGGAATACAGCTAACCAAGGAGGTGAAAGATCTCTTCAAGGAGAACTACAAAACACTGATGAAAGAAATTAGAGATGACACAAATAAATGGGAAAATATGCTCTGCTTGTAGATTTGAAGAACCAATATTATTAAAATGGTCATACTGAGATTTATCCCAGACACCCAAGGATAGTTCAGCATATACAAATTAATCAATGTGACACAACATATCAACAGAACGAAGGATAAAAACCATATGGTTATTTCAATTGATGATGAAAGGCATTTGATAAGATTCATCATTTCATCATGATAAAAACACTCAAAAAACTAGGGTTAGAAAGAACATATCTCAATATAATAAAAGCCATAAATGACAGACCCACAGCTAGTATCATAATAAATGGGGAAAACCTGAAAGACTTTCCTTTAAGATCCAGAACATGACAAGGATGGCCACTTTTACCACTACTATTCAGCATAGTACTGGAAGTCCTAGCTAGAGCAATCACACAAGGGAAAGAAATAAAGGGCATCAATATTGGAAAGGGAGAAGTCAAATTATCCTTATTTGCAGATGATAAGATCTTATGTTTGGAAAAACCTAAAGACTCCACCAAAAAACTATTAGAAATGATAAATAAATTCAGTAAAGTTGCAGGATACAAAATCAACATGCAGAAATCAGTAGCATTCCTATATGCCAACAGTGAACAATCTGAAAAAGAAATTTAAAAAGTAATCCCATTTACAATAGGCACAAATAAATACCTAGGAATTAACCAAAGAAGTGAAAGATTTTTACAATGAAAACTATAAAACATTGATGAAATAAATTGAATAGGATGCCAAAAAATGGAAAGATATTCCATGTTCATGAACTGGAAGAACCAATGAAGTTAAAATGTTTGTATTACCCAAAGCAATCTACAGATTCAATGTATCCCTTTCAAAATACCAATGACATTCTTTACAGAAATAAAAAAAAAAATCCTAAAATTTATATGAAACCACAAAAGACCTAGAATATCCAGAGTTGTTCTAGGCAAAAAGAAAAACACTGGAAGAATCACATTAACTGACTTCAAAATATACTACAGAGCTATAGTAAGCAAAACTGCATAGCACTAGCATAAACACAGATGCATAGAACAGTGGAATAGAATAGAGAACCCAAAAACAAATCCACACACCTGCAGTGAACTCATTTTTGACAAAGGTGCCAAGAATATACACTGGGAAAAAGACAGCCTCTTCAAAATGGTGCTGGAAAAACAAGATATTCATATGCAGAAGATTGAAATGAAACTCCTGTCTCTCACCATGTTAAAAAATCAAATGAAAGTGGATTAAAAAATTAAATCTAAGACCTGAAACTTTGGAAATACTAGAAGAAAACATCCAGGAAACTCCCCAGAACATTGGTCTGGGCAATAATTTATTGAGTAATACACCACAAGCACAGACAACCAAGGCAAAATGGACAGATGGGATTACATCAAGTTAAAAAGCTTCTGCACAACAAAGGAAAAAACAACGTGAAGAGACAGCCCACAGGATGAAAGAAAATATTTGCAAACTACCTATCTGACAAGGGATTAATAACCAGAATATATAAGGAGCTCAAACAACACTATGGGAATAAGTCTAATAATCCAGTAAGAAAATGGGCAAAAGATTTGAATGGACATTTCTCATAAGAAGACATACAAATGGAAAACAGGCATATGAAATGTACTCAACATCACTGATCATCAGAGAAATGCAAATCAAAACTACAATGAGATATCATCTCACCCCAGTTAAAATGGCTTATATCAAAAAGACAGGCAATAACAAATGCTGGTGAGGATGTGGAGAAAAAGGAACCCTTGCTCACTGTTGTTGGGAATGTAAATTAGTACAATTACCTTGGGTAACAGGTTGGACGTTCCTCAGAAAACTACAGATAGAGCTACTATATGATCTAGCAATCCCATTTCTAGGTATATATCCAAAATAAAGGAAATCAGTATATCAAAGAGATATCTGCCCTCCCATGTTTGTTGCAGCACTCATCACAATAGCCAAGATTTAGAAATAATCTAAGTGTCCATTAACAGATGAATAGATAAAGAAAGTGTAGTGTGCTTATACATAGTGGAGTACTATTCAGCCATAAAAAAGAATGATATCCTGTCATCTTCAACAACATAAGTGGAACTAGAGGTCATTATGTTAAGTAAAATAAGTCAGGCACAGAAAGGCAAAGGCAAAGAAATTGTATGTTCTCATTTATTTGTGGGAGCTAAAAATCAAAACAATTGAACTCATGGAGACAGAAAGCAAAAGGATGGTTACCAGAGGCTGAGAAGGGTAGCAGAGAGGATTGAGGGGAGATGGGGATAGTTAATGGGTACAAATACATAGAAGGAATGAATAAGACTTAGTATTTGATAGCCCAATAGCATGGCTATAGTCAATAATAATGTAATTGTACATATTAAAATAACTAAAGAGTATAATTGGATTGTTTGTAATACGAAGGATAAATACTTGAGGGAATGGATACCCCATTTTACATGATGTGAATATTACACATTGCATTCCTGTATCAAAATACCTCATGTATCCCATAAATATATACACCTATTATGTACCCCTCAAAATTAAAAAAATTAAAAAGTTGAAAGCTAACATAGAAAAAAATGGCCATATTGCCCAAAGAAATGTACAGATTCAACACTATTTCTACCAAACTACCAACATCGTTCTTCACAGAATTAGGAAAAACTATTCTAAAATTCATATGGTACCAACAAAGAGCCCAAACAAGCAAAGCAATCCTAAGAAAAAAAGACCAAAGCTGGAGGCATCACATTATCTGACTTCAAACTAAGCTATAAGGCTATACCAACCAAAACAGCATGGTATTGGTACAAAAACAGACACATATACCAAAGGAACAGAGTAAAAACTCAGAAATAAAGCATCACATTTATAACACACTTATCTGATCTTTGACACAGTTGACAATAAGAAGCAATGGGAAAAGGACTTTATTCAATAAATGGTGCTAGGATAAATGGATAGGTAAGCGCAGAAGGTTGAAACTGTGCCCTTATCTTTCACCATATACAAAAGTTAACTTAAGATGGATTAGAGATTTAAATGTAAGTAAACCTAGGAAATACTCTTCTTGACACCATCCTTGGCAAATAATTTTTGGTGGAGTTCCCAAAAGCAATTGGAACAAAAACAAAAATTGACAAGTGGTACTAATTAAACTAAAGAGCTTCTGCACAGCAAGAAAGAATATCAATAAACAGACAATCTATTTACAGAACAGAATAAAATATATGCATCTGGCAAACATCTACTATCCAGAATCTATAAGTAGCTTAAACTAGTCAACAAGCAAAAAACAACCCCATAAAAATGGGCAAAGGACTTGAACAGACACTTCTCAAAAGAAGACATACAACTGGCCAAAAAACATATGAAAAAATGCTCATCACCACTAGTCATTAGAGAAGAGCAAATCAAAATCATAATGAGGTACCATCTCACACCAGTCAGAATGCTTATTATTGAAAAGTCAAAAATCAACAGATGCCAGTGAGGTTGCAGAGAAAAGGGAATGCTTATACACTGTTAGTGGGAATGAAATTAGCTCAGCCACTGTGGAAAGCAGTTTGGAAATTTTTCAAAGAACTTAGACCAGAGCTATCATTCAATTCAGCAATCCCATTACTGAGTATGTATCAAAAGGAAAATATATTATGATACCAAAAACACACATGCACTTGTATGTTCATTGCCATGCTAGTCACAGTAGCAAAGTCATGGAGTCAAGAGCCCATGACTGGTGGATTGGATAAAGAAACTGTGGTACATATACACCATGGAATACTACCCAGCCATAAAAAAAGAATGTAATCTTGTCCTTTGCAGCAACATAGATAGATCTGGAGGCCATAATCCCAAGTGAATTAACACAGGAACAGAAAATGAAATATTGGATGTTATCTCTTACAAATGGGAGCTAAACATTGAGAACCCATGGGCATAGCATGAGAATAATAGACACCGTGGACTACTATAGAGGGAGAGAGGGAAGGGGAAATGGGTTGAAATAGTACCTATTAGGTAGTATGCTCACTACCTGAGTGCAATATACCCGTGTAACAAACCTGCACATGTACCCTTTGAATCTAAAAGTTGCAAAAAAAATTCATGAGGAAAGGCTTTAATTGATATAGATGGATTCAAAAACCAATCTTTTCAGTTGGAAGAGGAGATGTGAAGCATGCTGATTTATCTTGCTGGGTCGAAGTGTTCATCTTTGGGTCCATAAACAATGATTGTGTTGGAGGGATAAGATATATAGGAACATGGCCTCACAAACCCAGATCACATAGTTAAATTAGGAGAAAAACATTTTTCCAGGAAAAAAACATGGTGGTTATAAACAGAAAAAAGAGAGAAGTGTGGGTAGATTGAAAAATACATGTGCACTATAAGAGACCAACTAGAAAAGTCCACATATGACTCCAGCAGTGGGTTCAAGGAATTCATACTGTGGTATACTGCATAGACACCTCTTCAGTTCTATTATTCAACTCTAGCCAAGCTCCTGGGAATCTTGGCTAGTGACAACTCCCAACTGCATTCTCTTCAGGAACTGCCCTTCATCAAAAGAAACTGCCTTGCTCAGGGTTACTTACTTTCCAATGAGGCAATCTGCATCCAATAAGTTGTTAATATGGGAAGACAACTGCTAGGTCCCTTACCCAGTTGAGACAATTCTGAAAGGTCATCTAGCTCAAGGACCCTCCAAAGTATGGCCTGCGGTTTCTACTGCAACTGCTTCTTTGTCTGACTTTTCCCTTTGCCCAATATTACTTCCTTTACCCTTTACATGTTTTGTTCCTGAGAATATTTCTCAAAAAATTTACTGCATGTAAATATCAGGATTTGTTTCCCAAGGAACTTGCAACAGTTGGTAGCAGGTGTAGTATCAGGAAGCAGACTCTATAATAAGATCTGGAGCTGCATCCCACTCCAGTCAGTTGGACTTCAGGACATCATTGCTGGCACTGATAGTTCCTGGCATATGGTTTTCAGTGTCATTGATATAACTGTTTACAGTGGCGAACTAGGATGGGATGCCAAATAGAAAGAAATGAATTGACAGATCCAGTAACTCAGGCATATGAGAGGTTTGGGAAAAATAGTAATTATAAGGAGTATGGGACTGAATGACAATGGCAAGGGCCATTGCTTCATGGAGGAATACAACAAATGGCTAAGGGTGAGTAATCACCAATGTAAAACAAATGTGAAAGAGAGCCTCCTGGCAGCATATAAAAAATAAAGGGATTCTCTCTTCCTGTAGCTGGAGTTCAGAAAAGGCTAAAGATCAGGGCCAAGACTTAATTTTATGGGTATCAGAGCTCTAGAGAAGTTCAAATTCTCAACCCCAATGAGCCTGCTATGCCAAGATCAGGGCCCTGATTGGAAGAGAACAGATCCTGAAACATGGGGTGGTGATGATATCTGGGTCTCTGGGTCTATGCACCTGAAAATTTTTTGTGCCCAGATTTCTCCAAATTCTGTGCCTGGAGAAGGACACCTCTTCTCCGTGTGAAATGCCAGCACTTGCTCCTTGCTTAACACCAATGCACAAGCTTATGCCTTACAAGACTCAATATACCTTCCCCCTCAGTTCTTTTCCTCTCTCCCCTCTTGGGCATCAGATTAATAATTCACTACCAACTACAATATGACCAGGTAAAGAAACAGTTGGATCTCCTAAAGGAAAAAAGATTCTATAAATCATAAAAGTAGAAATATCTAGTCAACATGTCCTACAAGATTTAGAAAAGTATAAATAGGACTGGATCATGAAGGAGACGAATCAAGTCAAGTAAAACATAAAGTTGGATAACATAGGGTTTATCAAATGGGATCACTTTCCTGTGATGTATATAGGATTTAACATTCTGGCAACGTCTCAGGAGAGAGACACAGTGCTAATATACTTAGTTGGCACTTAGAAGCTTGGAAAAATTTATGACCTCTACTCCATAAAGTAAAACTGCTAAGGCAAATGGCAGAGTAAAGAGATTAAAATTTCAGATAGGATTGCTAGAGAAGAGCTATTACAGAAAACAGAAAACTCAAGAGATGACTACATTTTGTGAGGATACCCAGAGTATGCTCTGCTTATCAAAGTGATAAAAAATGCCCTACTGAGAAGGAAACCAGAATTCTTAAGCAGCTTTGTAGCTACAGTTAACTGTATACCAGGGCTTTTGCATAACAAGAATCCCGGACATCAAAGGGGATTATACAACCCCAAAATAATCAATCCAGCACGTTAGCCATCAGAAACTAAATGGACACAATAATTACAATTAGCAGAAAGGTTAGAGCTTAATCTGCAGATAATCATGGAGATTGTTAAAAGAACACAGATTTTTTGAAACAAGATAGCCATGTAGCTGACAAAGGTATTGCTCAGTCTATTGATTGCTCCAACTATATTAAAGAAAAAATAATATTTAGAACTGAGCCATTTAACAACTTTGGAACCATCTGACTGAAAGAGATCCCCAAGAGAGCAGTGTGTGGAGACTCACAACATGAACTTTTGCTCCAAGAACTACCACAGCAACATACCAGGAAAGCCAAGAGAATCCACAGAATTTTTGAAAGAAGCAACTTGCCACTGCAGGCTCCAGGAAATGGCTGAAAAACTGTGAGTGCCCAAAGCGTGAAAGGGGGAACGTCCACTTCTGAACACACATCCTCACTGGGGAACCTGAAGGTCCAGATCACAAAAGAAGGAATTGATTTTTTTTGAAGCTGAGATGAATTTGGGGCGCCGGGTGAAGTATAGGAGTAGAGGAAGCACCAGGAAGAACTCTGTCGGCACTCTCCGTCCCCAGGGAAGCCATTTCTGACTTCATCTCGCAGGGGTCCTTGGGGAGGGCTGACAGTGGAATTGGGAAAGATCACAGGAAGAAGGAAACTTCCAGCTGAACCTTGTAACAATTTCAACCAAATGTGAAGTTTCCTGGGCAGAATCTGGGGAAGGGGTGAACAGGGAGTGCAGATACAAACACAGAAGTCACAGCAGGCAGGAAGGCACAAAACCTGAAAGCCCTGCTTGCTTTCTCCCCAGGGAGGCTTGTAGCCTGGAGAAAATTCTCACCCTGCTCACCGGCTGCCTGGAAAAGGAAGTTGGTGCTGTTGCAGGAGGCATGGTCCAAGTAAGACCAGCCTTTTGGGCTGGGTGGGAACTGGGTGAGGCCTGAAGCAAAATAACTCTGTGTGAGCATTCTGAGAGCAGGTTAGTTGTGCAAGAATTAAAACTCCATTAACAAGATGATAAGATTTTATTAGCCAAAGAAGTAGGATAAGGAGAAATAACTCTGACTCTATTATAAATAGGGTATAGTTACAGATAAAAATAAGATGGAACATCAAAAAAGAAATAATTCAGCCAGGCGCGGTGGCTCACGCCTGTAATCCCAGCACTTTGGGAGGCCGAGGCGGGCAGATTATGAGGTCAGGAGATTGAGTCCATCCTGGCTAACACGATGAAACCCCATCTCTACTGAAAATACAAAAAAATTAGCTGGGCGTAGTGGCAGGCACCTGTAGTCTCAGCTACTCGGGAGGCTGAGGCAGGAGAATGGCGTGAACCCCGGAGGCGGAGCTTGCAGTGAGCAGAGATCACACCACTGCACTCCAGCCTGGGTGACAGAGCGAGACTCTGTCTCAAAAAAAAAAGAAAAAGAAAAACAAATAATTCATTTTTATATTCTAATAATTTAACACACATAAGCATATGCAGTCATTAAAAAAGAGTAAAAATTTTATTTGGGGGTAGAAACAAAAAGAAAGTTACCTATGTAGTTTTTACTATAAAATAAAGTTACTGATGTTTATGTCCTTGAGTGGAGGGACTCAAGGACATAAATTGTGGCTGTTTTTCTTTTCTTTTTTTAAATTTTTATGGCCTTAGTACCTTAGTGTTATGTATTAATGTTAATTACCTTAGTGTTATTGAAGTACACACAGCAAGATGTGTTAGCTCTGACATATACCTCTTCTTGTTCAACTAGAAACTAGTCTAGGGCAATGTGGTTGTCCGAGATCACTTTTACTAGGAATTTCAATGAGTCCTGTTGTTTTTGCATTGCAACAGGTGTAGTGTTAGCCACAGCTGTCATACTTAGAGATAGATACTGCACCACAGTCTCCAAGGTATAGGCACCCATCCTGGGTATGAAAATGCAGTGGAATGTAAAAAGCTATTTGTTTGGCCCTGAGGGAGGTGGAACCTGCAGGATACCCAGTGGGCAAGTAGGGTGGGCCTCGTTCACCAATAGATGTTATTGTGTAGAACACCTTGGGTACCCAAACCTCTACAAAACAGGCTTCCTCCTCTGGGGGCAAGCACTCTGTGGTCAATGTATCCTGCAAAGAAACACGTAGCAAAAGGAGCTCACATTACCCTGATAAAAGAGCAGTTGTTATAAGTAATACTAATCCAGTTGTAGAGGCATTCATGCATACATAGGTGGGCATTAAAAATTCTGAAGAGTGTTGGTCTTCCCAAAGTGTCAACAATGTTTAAAGTCTTCTTTAGCATTATGTCCTACCTCAAAAAGGTATTAATGCATAGGATACTGGGTGGTCATTAAATGTGGATGCAAAGCAGGAGCATCACACATCGCTCAAAGACGTGGACGGCAGGGGGACACCAATGATGTTGATGATTGGCTATTCCAGCACAGTGGGAAGTTTGGCAGCACCCACTGGATCCAAAGGTGACAAACCCAATACCTCATCAGAATGCCTCCTGGGCTACTGCCTGGCTAATGTTAACCATTGCTTTGTCCCACCATGACTAATCCAAGGGAACCTGGAGGTAAAAGGATGTGGAAGGTTAGTTATT
The DNA here is from genome assembly GCF_000001405.40 of Homo sapiens. Classification (NCBI taxonomy): domain Eukaryota; kingdom Metazoa; phylum Chordata; class Mammalia; order Primates; family Hominidae; genus Homo; species Homo sapiens. The sequence goes on along the minus strand of NC_000004.12, from coordinate 101,759,901 downwards.
CCCCCTGCATGTGCGTGTGCACACACACACACACACACACACACACACACACGCTTCTCGAGGTCTCAGGTGTCTCAGTCCAACAATATGGAGATTTCCCAGCTGTTCTGCACAATCTAGTTTATTTGGCTCTATCTGGGAGTGACGATTTCACTGGGTACCCAGCATTTGACCATGAATACCCGTACCTTACATCCATGATCCTGGAGGCCCACCAGGTGGTTAACATTGAGGCTAATCACCCCAATGTAACTCGTAACTGCACCTATAGTGTCATTCCCTTCAGTGGGCCTGGTTAGGAATGCCTTCCTCCCTGTGACATTTCATAGATCCCTCCTTGGGGTGTGGAGGGTACAGAGCAAAGAAGTGCCCTCAGGTAGCATGAATTCTAGGTTGGCTGTGACTTGACTATCTGGCAGGGTTGCCACTAGGACCACCTATTACCCATCTGTTTCTATTCAATTTCAAAGGGTAAAAGGAAAAAGTAGGGATACTGAGTGTAGGTGACAGGACTCACATACAGACAGGACTTGGCCTCTCCTGCCTACTCCTACTCTCATTACCAAGCAAGTCATTTATTGCTGTGGTTTTCTTCTGCTGTATGGTTGTAGAGAGTACACTCTGGTGTTTCCTATCACAGCTGCTGTTCTATCAGGCAGGTGGCTTGAGGGTGTTGTGGGGTGTGCAGAATCCACCTAGTGATGTGGGATGCTGTCCACTGTTGCATGGCCTTCACTGTGAAGGCTGTTTCTTGGTCTGTTTACATAATGTCAGGATAGCTTACATGGCAAAAAGGTTCTTGATGGCCAATATCGTGGTTCCTGAGTCTACGAAGTACACCAAGATTGCAGCACAAAGCTTGAAATAGATACTTACAATTATCAGACCACTGAAAGCCCCAATTAAAGGGCATCAGTTGGGCATGGTCCATTTGCTAGACTTGTATTGGGGCTAGTCTACAACAAATGTGACCCAGTTCACTTTCTTTCCTTTATTGAACTTTCTTGCATGAATACGATGTGACTATAGACTGTTCAGCTTCCTCTAGGGGAAGGAAATGGGTATGTGCCCAGTTCACTGGTAAATCCAGTGGTTATTGTGGCTATCATTCTGGTGTAGGCTGTGACTACTTGCTCATCCAAGTCATTCCCTGTTTGGTAAAAGCCTTTCTTATGCCTATCCACATATGTGATGAATATTGTAACTTCCCATTAAGCTAATATCTCATTGCTCTTGTACACACACTGGGTTGCTGTTGGCTATAGCCTAGGAGTCTGTGAAGACATAACACAATGAAGTTTGGGAGTAGCCTACATGCCTAACCATATAGGTGCCAGTTCTGCCCATTGAGCCAACCTGCCTCAACCTTGGTCAATGATGATGTATTCATCCTAGGGGCAGATGGTAGCTACTTCCCAGTGGAATCTATTGGCTTTCCATTTGGCAAACCCATATGTGAACAAAGTCACAATACCTCTAGGGGTACTTTCTAAAGACAGCATCCCTGGTGTACTATCAGGGACACTGGGGCCTCTGCAGCATCCAGTGGGGGTACTTTTTGGGGTGTCAGCCATGAGTTTTTCTAACCAGGTGACTCCCTTGGGGTCCTGGTCAGTCTCTATGTTGAATATACCTTTTCTGTTTGATGATGGAGTTTCATTGTGCTTGCCATACTTTATTTGTTGGGAGGGTGCTAACTCAGTTCAAAATTAATAGATAAGTCCTCAGCAACACAGTAGATTCAAGGATAATTTGTTCCATCTTTATTAGTGCCTACTAGTGTGGCAGCAGCTGCTATTCAGAGACACTGAAGGGAGACTGCAAAATTCCCAGATGTCAAGTGTGCTGTCTTCAGTACCTAAACAGCCCCATTAATCATTGAGATTGTTTCTTTGAATTCAGGGGTGTTGAAGTCAGAAATTTCTCCTTAATCTTGGTGGTAATGTCCCATTGGGCCTTGGCCCAAATCACACCTAGAAAGGTGATGTATTGGGCCATCCCTAGATTTTATCAGTGTCAGTAATCCAGTCATCTGAGATCATTGCCTGGATTGCATTGTCCAGGGCCCTTTTAATTATGCTCTTATCTGGTCCAACCAGAATAATGTCATCAATGTAATATAGGCAGAAAACTGAGGCTTGGAGATCAGACTTTTGTAAATCCAGCCCTATCTACAGATGGCAAATAGCAGTAGAACTGACATATCCCTAAGGAAGGACAGTAAACATATATCGCATCCCCAGCTATGTAAAGGCAACTTGGTCTGGTTCTCTTCCCTCATCAAAACGGAGAAAAACATTTTGACCAGGTTAACAATAGCATACCAAATGCTGTCATGTTTTGCCAGTTGCTCCTTGACTGAAATAACGTCCAGTACAGATAGGGCAAATGATGCTAACTGGCAGTTGAACTGGTGGTAGTATATCTTGGGCCACTATATGTTGAATGTCTTCTTTATAGGCCAAACTGGCCTATTGTATTGGGAAATGGTAGATCTCAAAACCCCAGCATCCATTAATTCTTGAATCAGGGCAGTTATTTCCTTTTCTCCACCCTGGATGAAATATTATTTAGACCACTCTTTACGATGTGCACAGCTTAAGGGAGTCTCAGGAGGCAATGTGCTCCACTGTAATTGTCTGAATTAGGTGGAGTGTAACTTCAAAGTCAGTGATAGATGCCTTGTACACAGCAGTTATACATATATACCTATTATTCATTCAGTAGTGAAAACCACCATCACTGTCATGCAAAAAGGGCCAAAGAAGTCAATAGCTAAGCACATGGTCACTTCCTTTCCATATGTGACAATATTAGTTTTTAAAGTCCCTAGGGACATCTGCTGTTTCCACCCATGGTAGGGGCCAGGAATGATGGTTACCTGAGCCCTGTCTCTAAGATACCCATTAAAGTATTCATGCCACCCTTTTCTTCTTCTACTTTTACTGAGGAATAGGGTTGTTTTCCCTTGTGGGGCCCAGAAACTTTGGCTCCATGCCAATCTGTTTTATTGAAGGGGGTCAAGTCAAGGTAGAATGGTAGTAAGGTATAGGTCCCTTTTTCCACTAGGGACTCTTCTTTGACAGTGCCCCTCATTTCTGCCTTAATATCTCTTATTTCATCAGCAGGGATGTGCAGAGTGGAATACAACTAGATAAAGTTGTCTCAATCAAATACACCTTCCTCTGCCTCTTCCAGTGCAAGACTAGAGATTGCTGAGAACAGAAAACTTGCATACCAGGCTCAAGGAGTACAGAGTTTACTTACAGAAAGAGGAGAGAGTACATAGGTCCAGCCCCTTGCAATGCATCAATAACCCATGGCTAGCAGATCAGATCCATAGCCAATGTGTGGGTGGTGTGGTTATATGCATTCCACTTTGTGCTGCAGTAGAAGGACTTACCCCACGAGATCTGAAATACAGAAAGCTGGGTGTGTGTCTGAGGGTCATGAATGCACACATAACTAGGCAGTTCTGAAAAGAGTTTACCTGTGCAGCTTGCAGAGGGAACAAGAATGTACTGGCTGTGCTTTGAGCTCTTTGCATACAATACAATTTATTAGCTTGACAGAATGTTTTGTGTTGAGCACAGGGTTTTTCTTGTTAATACAGGAAAGGCATTGAGTTGTGCTTGGAACACTTCCTTACGCTATTAATCCATAACAACAGTCACAATTCTAGAATGATCAATCATATATGCCATCTGTGTGTGGGCATACACACACACACACACACACACACACACACACACAATACTCCTTTTTATGTATTATCCTTCCATTTAAAACTGATTCCTCATGGCTCCCTTGGTGAAACAAAGGCCTAGAGTTAAGTCACATGGAATCTTTTATCTTATTCTGTCATTATATATAGTTCTCTCTTCTTGGAAATTTAGTTACTTGTATTTTATTTATTTATTTTGCCATATAATGTAGAATAGTGCTTCACTTAGAGCTCTGGGCAGTGGTATCTCTGAGAAATATCTTGAAAGAGCACAGGTATAAAGACTTCTTAGTTTATCTGCCTCCTTTTAGATATCCCCATTCCAATTACCAAGAAACTAATCTTTGTAAATCAGTACATTAATTTAAAGCATAGAAATGTGGCCATCAGGGAATTCAACCTAGCATACTCTACTGACAGGCTCAGTATTAGTTTTTGAAATCATCTTATAACAGAAAATAATATGTAGGTACAATATATAGTTTAGACAATATTAATACAGAGTTTTAAAATGTTAACTAATAGTTTCAAAACATTGAAGGATGGCTTATAAGATGTTTTATTTCAAATAAAATGGCAGAATGACTCAATAAATACTACTAAGGAATTATATGTTTAAAAACCACATGATTATAGTTCTGTATATCTATAACATGAGGTGATATGAAAGAGTTAAAAAAGAGTTAAATAATTTTTATTTCAGATTATACTTCTTGTACTTTATGGTAGAAAAAATAATTACATGTTTGTAATATTTTCTATTATTTAATAATTGGGAATTGTCATTATAAGTCACAAGAGTTTTAAGATGGTTTTAAATTAACATGAGGAGAACATACACAGAAGAACGAAATTGGCAGCTAGACAAACAGATAATTATTCTACCACTATAGATCATCTCATTGAAATCATAAAACATTTATGATAGACTATTAAAAGGTAATGTTGCTTATATATTCATTAATTGTGGCTAAAGTTCAAAGCTGAGACATAGCAAAAGTAACAAGTTCAAAGAGCTTTGAACAGTTGAGGGCAACTCCATCACCCAGCTGGGCTTTCTGAGATGTACTTGGGCAGAGTCTGGTCCCACCACTCTCAATCATCCTTATCCCCACCCCACTCCCACTCTAAACAATAAAGGAGAACTGAGAGGGAGAACAGTATTTCCTCCCCTTACTTTTTCCCGTGGGGCTCTTTCTTACCCGAAATTACGTGAAAACCTCAATCACTTCCATCCTCTACTAGGTCAAGGAGAGTGGTTATCTTCCCTCTGAAATGTGGCACATCAGTCAACCTGCAGAGTGACTAATGCTTCTGGGATAAGGCATCAGAAGAGGCAGAGTCAAAAAGAGGTGACAAGGAAGCATCCTGAGTTCCATCTGTTTATTATACAAGCAAAATTTTGCAAAAGTTGAGAGGATGTCAAGGATCTGAGTGGAGCTCAAACCATTGTTTCATTACCCTTCAAGAAAGTTGCCCACTAGGTGATAGAACTCAATAATGAATGACTATAGGTGGACCATCTGTAACTGAAGCTGGGGGTGAGAGCTTGTGGAAGAGTTGAAGCCAAAGCCAAATATCTCTCATCAAGGAACTGTACTGTTGGGAGACCTCACATAAGGGTTTCCAAAGTGTCCACACAAGTACCCCAGTAGAAAGCCAGTAATTGAATGCTGGCCACCTTGGCAACCAGACCGTTTGGGCCAGAAAGAACAGCAATAATCAAAAGAAACTTACCATGCTATCCAGTCAAAGAAACATTTTTCCTTATGTCTCTCCATTATTTTTTGATCTGCACATTTGAAATTTGAACACTTCTACATTGTGACAGTTTATGTATTTTTTTATATTTTGCACTGTTCTTGAATTTTAATAAGCTTATGTGTATCAATGTGTTTTGTATTTTTCAATTTCCAATACATCAAAACCACATAAAGATGTTAATCCCTTTTTTGTCATCCTGTTACCATGTTCAAAAGAAAACTCTGTATTAGCCCCCAACAAAATGTTGTTTCCTTGTTTCTCGTTCAGAATTTTCTATCTTAGAGAATTAAACTATCATGAACATAGTTCCTTGGGGTAACTCACATTACACATCTGATCCATCAGCATATCTTGTGGTCCTTCTGTCAACATTCAGCATGTCTGAGGAAGCCAAAAACACATAGAAGGATTGATTTTAATAACATATTAGATAGATTTTCCAGTAGTATGTTGAGTAGTGTTTCCTTCAACTTCTAGGGAATTGCGCAAGTGGAAAACTTCTGAATTTATAGTCACTCCTCAAGTGAAATTCTTCAAATATTTAAACGGGAAAAATCATGTCATGTGAAGCTGAGTAAGTACAAAATATTAAGAGAAAAAAAGGAGGAAAGAACCAGAAAGCAAGACAGATGGCAAACACTCATTAGAAAAATATTGCCATGGAAAAAATGAAAATTGAAACCAGATATCTTGTCATTAATATTCCAGACACCTAATATCTCCCTTATATATTAAGAGTACAATGAATGGATACAGAACCCCAGAAAAGAGATATTAAGATATGAGGGAAAGATAAAATGAGGTTGTTCATGCTAAGAAAAGAGGTAGGAGGAGAATGACAAATCATAATGGAAATAAAAGTAAAATTGAAAGCAATAAAAGGAAAGAGAATCTGGGCTGGGTGCGGTGGCTCACGCCTATAATCCCAACACTTTGGAAGGCCAAGGCAGGAGGATCACTTGAAGCCAGGAGTTCAAGACCAGCCTGGGCAGCAAAGCCAGACCCTGTCTCTACCAAAAAATAAAAAATAAAAATAAAAATAAAAATAAATTAACTTAGCCAGGCATGGTGGCATGTGCATTTAGTCCCAGCTAATTGGAGGTTGAGGAGGGAGGATTGCTTGAGCCAAGGAGTTCGAGGCTGCAAAGGAGCTATGATCATACCACTGTACTCCAGCCTTGGCAACAGTGGGACAGCAAGACCTTGTCTTAAAAATAAAAGAAAACGAAAAGAGAAACTGTTGAAGATATATAAGAAACATCTAGGACTGAATTAAGAAAAGTAAAATAAACAGAATGGAAATAAAGAGTCAAAATGTAATAGAAAATATTTAGTTAGGGAAGCTTCAAGAAAAATATTCAAATACAGGCATGAGAGGAGTTCCAAAGGAATAAAATCAAAGTAAATTAAAGAACAAAGCTGGAGGCATCATGCTACCGGACTTCAAACTATACTACAAGGCTACAGTAACCAAAACAGCATGATACTGGTACCAAAACAGAGATATAGACCAATAGAACAGAACAGAGCCCTCAGAAATAATACCACACATCTACAACTCTCTGATCTTTGACAAACCTGACAAAAACAAGAAATGGGGAAAGGATTCCTTATTCAACAAATGGTGCTGGGAAAACTGGCTAACCATATGTAGAAAGCTGAAACTGGATGCCTTCCTTATACCTTACACAAAAATTAATTCAAGATGGATTAAAGACTTAAATCTTAGACATAAAACCATAAAAATGCTAGAAGAAGACCTAGGCAATACTATTCAGGACATAGGCATGGGTAAGGACTTCATGTCTAAAACACCAAAAGCAATGGCAACAAAAGCCAAAATTGACAAATGGGATCTAATTAAACTAAAGAGCTTCTGCACAGCAAAAGAAACTACCATCAGAGTGAACAGGCAACCTACAGAATGGGAGAAAATTTTTGCAATCTACTCTTCTGACAAAGGGCTAATATCCAGAATCTACAATGAACTCAAACAAATTTACAAGAAAAAACAAACAACCCCATCAAAAAGTGGACGAAGGACAAGAACAGATACTTCTCAAAAGAAGACATTTATGCAGCCAACAGACACATGAAAAAATGCTCATCATCACCGGCCATCAGAGAAATGCAAATCAAAACCACAGTGAGATACCATCTCACACCAGTTAGAATGGCGATCATTAAAAAGTCAGGAAACAACAGGTACTGGACAGGATGTGGAGAAATAGGAACACTTTTACACTATTGGTGGGACTGTAAACTAGTTCAACCATTGTGGAAGACAGTGTGGTGATTCCTCAAGGATCTAGAACTAGAAAAACCATTTGACCCAGCCATCCCATTACTGGGTATATACCCAAAGGATTATAAATCATGCTGCTCTAAAGACACATGCACACGTATGTTTATTGAGGCACTATTCACAATAGTAAAGACTTGGACCAACCCAAATGTCCAACATTGATAGACTGGATTAAGAAAATGTGGCACATATACACCATGGAATACAATGCAGCCATAAAAAATGATGAGTTCATGTCCTCTGTAGGGACATGGATGAAGCTGGAAACCATCATTCTCAGCCAACTATCGCAAGGACAAAAAAAACCAAACACCACATGTTCTCACTCATAGGTGGGAATTGAACAATGAGAGCACTTGGACACAGGAAGGGGAACATCACACACCGGGGCTTGTTGTGGGGTGGGGGGAGGGGGAAGGGATAGCATTAGGAGAAATACCTAATGTAAATGACGAGTTAATGGGTGCAGCACACCAACATGGCACATGTATACATACGTAACAAACCTGCATGTTGTGCGCATGTACCCTAGAACTTAAAGTATAATAAAAATATATATCTATATATAAAATAAATAAATAAATTTAAATTAACCAAAAAAAACCCAAATAAGTACTTATAAAAAATTTCTGGGCCAGGTTCAGGGTTCACGCCTGTAATCCCAGTACTTTGGGAGGCCCAGGCAGCTGGATCACTTGAGGCCAAGAGTTCGAGACCAGCCTGGCCAAAATGGTGAAACCCTGTCTCTACTAAAAGTACAAAAATTAGCTGGGCATGGTGGTGCATGCCTGTAATCCCAACTTCTCAGGAGGCTGAGGCACAAGAATTGCTTGAGCCTGGGAGGCAGCGGTTGTGGTGAGCCGAGATCGGGCCACTGCATTCCAGCCTGGACAACAGAGCAGGACTCTGGACTCTGTCTCAAAAAATAAATAAATAAATAATTCTGTCTTTCAAAGAAGTGTTGAAGCTACATGTTTAAATAGCATATCATGTCTTAGACTGATAAAAATTAATTGTTTTGTAATAAAATTTTAAAATTTTTAAACTTCAAGGATAAGTTTCTTTAAAGACTAATACACATAAAAAGGGATGGAGAATATCAGGCTGCCCTCATACCTTTCCTCAGCAATATTAAACACAAGACCATGGAGCTATGCATTTAATTTTGACTCAAAAATGTCAACACAGCCAAACCATTCTTAATATAAAGGCAACAAATACATATTTATCCAAATGAAAGCACTTAGGTAGTATTGCTGCACTGATACCTGCTTGAAGAAACTAGTTGCATGTTAACTCTGGCCAACTAAGAGATAAATGAAATATTAAAGTGGTAAGCATTGCCTCTGTTTATAGCTGTCAGTCTAAGACTAAAATAAAAGTGAGTAACATGCCCAACAATGCAGAAATGATATAGCTAACAGAAGTTTAGAGATACAGGAAGAGAGAAAGTAAATCTTAAATTGAATTACTCAAAAAGCAGACTCTCAGATAAAGATTTGATAATCTTTGTCTTCATTCGATAAAGGTTTGAGTGTCTTAAATCCTTAAGAAAAATGTTTAAATTTTCTACAGATATTTTTATTTATTTCAAAGTATTTTTATACTTATGGAAAAATCTAAATGCCATAAATGGAAGAATACTTACTGATGCAGGAAAATATTTGAGATAGCTAAGTAAAGAGGGAAAAAGAAGGCAAGCTCTGGAAGCAGTTTGAAATTCTACATGGTATTTAATATATATATTTTTAAAAAATTGTATACCCAAAAAGAGTGATAGAAAAAAAGAAAACATGTCAAAACTCTAACAATGCATATGAAAGGCATTACAGAGTTTTCTCTTAATCTTTGTGCTTTTCATTGTATTTGAAATTTTCTGATTTGAGTACATATTACTTCAGTGATTAAGAGGAAATATATATATAATTATATATATTATATATACATATATAATATATATATTATATATACACATATATGTATATTATATATACACATATATGTATATTATATATACATATATAATATATAATATATATACACATATATGTATATTATATATACATATATTATACGTATATTATATATACATATATTATACGTATATTATATATACATATATTATACGTATATTATATATACATATATTATACGTATATTATATATACATATATTATACGTATATTATATATACATATATTATACGTATATTATATATACATATATTATACGTATATTATATATACATATATTATACGTATATTATATATACATATATTATACGTATATTATATATACATATATTATACGTATATTATATATACATATATTATACGTATATTATATATACATATATTATACGTATATTATATATACATATATTATACGTATATTATATATACATATATTATACGTATATTATATATACATATATTATACGTATATTATATATACATATATTATACGTATATTATATATACATATATTGTACGTATATTATATATACATATATTGTACGTATATTATATATACATATATTGTACGTATATTATATATACATATATTGTACGTATATTATATATACATATATTGTACGTATATTATATATACATATATTGTACGTATATTATATATACATATATTGTACGTATATTATATATACATATATTGTACGTATATTATATATACATATATTGTACGTATATTATATATACATATATTGTACGTATATTATATATACATATATTGTACGTATATTATATATACATATATTATACGTATATTATATATACATATATTATATATATTATATACTATATTGTATATAATATATACAATATAATATATAATACATATATACTATATAATATATAGTATATATACACATATATAATATACATATTTATATATTATATATACACATATATAATATACATATTTATATATAAATATTATATATATTATTATATTATATTTACTTTATATATTATATATTATTATATTATATTTATATATTATTTATATTATATATATATTTATATATTATTTATATATATATAAATAATATATAAAAATATAATGATATATATATGTAAATATATATTACATATGTGTGTATATATAATATATATTATATATGTGTATATATGTATATATGTGTATATATGTATATATGTGTGTATATATGTACACATATGTGTACCTATGCGTACATATATGTGTATATATACATATATACATATATGTGTATATATACATATATACACATATGTGTATATATGTATATATGTGTGTATATGTATACATGTGTATATATGTATATATGTCTATATATGTATACATATGTGTATATATGTATATATGTGTATATATGTATATATGTGTATATATGTATATATTTGTGTATATATATATACACAGACACCTATATACACATAGTCATACACACATACACATTCGTACATACAATTAATCACTAATTTATGTGAATTAAAACTGCCAAATATTTCTTTACTTGAACCACTTATCTAACTTGCTCTTGCCACATTCTAGGCCAATTCAACACCACCTCTTACCCCTCTTACCTGGGTAATTGTAATAAGCCACTATTCTTTACCAAAGAATGGGAGTACTTCTACGAAGCCACAGGAACATGAAATTGACTGAACATCATGATTAATGGTCACAGCACACTTTGCTGTTAGAAATGAAAGAAGCTTCCTTCCTGATACAGAAATATGTCACCCTTGACCTCTTATGAACTGCATGATCACTTTCTTAGCAGCTCACTCTCCTCCATCCATGAGCATTGCAAACACTCTCTAAGTTTCCTTCATCAGAAATTTCAGAAAAAATCTCTCCTAGCACAAATTCAAGTTTGCCTTTTTAAAGCTACATGCTTCAATTTTCTTGTCTCAGTTACAAACTCCGCATTTCTCTTCTTGACTCCTTGCATATTTTTAGACATGAATTTTTGTTTCAATCCCCCTTTCTTCCACATCTTTCAGGTGCAAATTAATCCTATTACAAATATATCTTATTATAGATTCACAGATAAGCTTATTTCTCAGAATCCAGCCACAAAAAATGGGGTAGGAGTCCCTATTACTTGGAGGTTGCTCTTTAAAATGTCCTCCCTATGTGCCAGATCAGTGACTCTATCCCTATGCTATTTAGCAAACAATAACATCCAAAATTTAATACAGTAGGGCAATAAATAATTGTATAAATTTCATTATTGCAATGAGTCTATTTATATATTTAATTTTTGAAAATTTTGAATGAGCCATTTAGATGTATATATGAAATCACTAATAACATATGATAGTACAGGACTAGTAGACCTAAAAATGCTCTAAAATTTTCCTTTGAGAATAAAATTACAAATTAATTACATCAAGTTATAATAGAGATATGTAAGCAAAAAAAATTTGATGTGATATCAGAAAACCAATAATAAAACTCTACACACAGAAATATTAGAACATGATGGAGATGATGGAGACACTACTTCAACCTGAGTGACGCTTGAACTAGACCTTGAAAGATGGCTAGGATTTGAAGAGGGAGCAGTGATGGTGGCGAGAATATTCCAGACAGAAGGATGGCCATGTTCAAAAGCACAAAGATATGAGAGTGTATACTCAGAAGGTGATTTGGTTATAGTATAATGATATGTGTGGGGTAGGACATTATGTTTAGCACTGGATTGTGAGGAAACTCAGTTGTTACAGAGAATTTAGATTTTATCCTGCAAGTATGAAACCATTGGAGGTTTCAATGCAGGAAATATGTGATTTAAAAAGTAAATGCAAGAAATGTGATTTAGAAAGGTAATACAAGAGTAGCAGAGGGTAACACTAAATAGGAAGTCACGTTCTAAATAAGAGGTGAGCCAGTATCCGCCCAGTTCCCCAAACCAGAAACCTGTGTCATCCTCAACTTCTTCCTCTCCCTCATTGAAACCATCACCAAGTTCTGTCAAGGTAACGTCCTAAACAGAAATTGAATCCATCCTTTCTTTTTCACACCTGCTATCACTTCACTGGAATATAGTGAAAAGTCAGAGTCACCTCCTGCCTCTTGAGCATGTTGGAAAGCCAAAACAGTTACAATTTTAAATCCTATTTTCTCTTTATCTGAAGCCTGGTATTCTCTCATGGTCATAGGCTAAATCCAGTGTGATCTAAAGGCGCTACTATGTGCATTGCCAATAGATGGGAAGGGAGTTGTAATAGAATTAGTGTATTAGTCCGTTTTCACATTGTTATAAAGAGCTATGTGAGACTGGATAATTTATAAATAAAAGAGCTTTAATTAACTCACAGTTCTTCATGGCTGGGGAGACCTCAGGAAACTTACAATCATGGCAGAAGGGGAAGGGGAAGCAAGCACTTCTTCAAGAGCCAGCAGGAGAGAATGAGGGAGGAAGTACCACACTTTTTAACCATCAGATCTCCTGAGAACTCACTATCATGAGAAGAGCATGGGGGAAGCCACCCACAATCACCTCCCACCAGGTCCCTCCCTAACATGTAGGGATTACAATTTGAGGTGAGATTTGGGTGGGGACACAGAGTCAAACCATATCATTTAGAGATAATCGTGAGGAGGGGAATATTTGCAGAGTCTGGGTGGAGATAATGGGCAATTACCTAAGGAGTAAGGGGGGCGAGGACATAGAGGACATATGACAACAAAAAGAAGGCTCAGGGAGAGCCTGGAGAAAGCAAGATAGGACCAAATTTCGAAAATAAAAGGATATAAGCAGGTTATAAAGGTCCAGAATCATGTACAAGGGGAATAAGGTAGAAAGTCAATCCATACACCTGGGATTTTTTTTTAAGCCTGTGATCACAGAATTAAGGTATTATGGAAACCCTATTGTTGAATTGGAGGATAAGTTTATAAAAAGAAATAGTAAAATTGTCTTAATACTGACTCACTGGACTATTGATAAAGGCACTTTAAGTGCCTACTAAGGAAGATTAGAGCTGGTACAAGCATTGGATATTTAGACAAAAAGTATAGAAAAAAAAATTGAAACCTCCCAATATTTAAGAAAACAATGTAATAATGGAACAACTTTATTAGGAGCACATGCAGACTTTAGAAGAATAAATCTTTATGCTTTATAGAAAGCAAGAGATGATAAATGGAAGTAATTTTGTAGGTATTGTTTTTAGCCATCTGATATGTGTAAAATGTCACCAACATTATATTGATTTTGTGTGCTATCTTTTTAATGATTATAAATAATACTTTAATACTCTAAAAGCTTTCATTTATGATGTCTACTCCCTTACTGTTATTTTTTTCATCATAAATTCTTACATTTATCAACTATGTTTTCCTACCTTAAGGTATGTCCAGGAATCTGACCATTCCAATTGGGAAAGAAATAACTATAATTTCAGGCAGCATCATTGTCATCCAAAGTCTGAATTTCATTTATGAAAACAAGAAATTTCATTTATCTACGATAACTGTTATTTTTCAACCCGTCATTTTCCAATTTAATCTTTTGCTAGGATTTGTACAAAAATGTAATATTTAAGACCAAAGAGACAATGAATGAACCCAGTCAGTAATGGCAAAGGAAGCAGCCAAGCAAGGACATTGGCAGAAAAGTTTGGTACAACTGGAAGTCCAGTGATCAAAACAGAAACGACCATCCTGGCTAACACAGTGAAACCCCATCTCTAGTAAAACTACAAAAAATTAGCTGGGCATGGTGGCAGGTGCCTGTAGTCCCAGCTACTCAGGAGGCTAAGGCAGGAGAATGAAATGAATCCAGGAGGTGGAGCTTGCAGTGAGCTGAGATCGCGCCACTGCACTCCAGGCTGGGTGACAGAGCAAGACTCCATCTCAAAAAACAAAACAAAACAAAAAAACAACGAAGGTCCAGCATTTGGATAAACACTATGAGGCAGAGTAGTTTGGAAGGTCTGAATCATCTATGTGTTCTATAGCCATGAAGACTCAGCAGAAAAAGGAAAAGCAAGGAAGAAAGTCAGTCAAGTTGTAGCCATTTGTGAAAGAGGAGTCAAAAGGAAGAGAAAGTCCAGGCTGGTGCCACCAGATGTCAGAACAAAGACACTGAGTCCGGTAGAGAAAAGCAAAGAGTGTTGATGATGAGACTTTAGTTAAAATGATATACTTCTCTAAGGAGTTCACCCACATCAGAACAGGTTAAGTGACTAGACATGCCTAGGAAATGCAATGCGATGCAATGCCTAAGAAAATGAAAATCTTGTAAAAAGTGGATGGATTTGGGTTTCACTGCATTTATTTGTTTGTGGACAGAGGTCAGTAAAGAAAAGAGAGGAAGTTAGGGCAGACTCTTAAGAATCTAGAAACCTAACAGTTCCCAAATGATTCAAATGACAGTTTTAATTTGCCTGGTTTTTCTGATACCTTGTTTATCACAGTTTTTCATACATCTTATTTAATGAGAAATACAAAATTTCTTTTAAAACATGATTAAAAGTAGTAAAAGTTGAGGGAAAAGTAATTTTTAGAAAAGAAATACACCATTTTTTAAATAAAAGAATTCTTTTAGTGATGCACTTCATTAGATCTGAACTAAAAGGTTTATTAAAATTGTTACACTTTTTCTAATAAAAAAAGACTGAGTAAAATATCTTAATAGAGGTTCTAAGATGGCCGAATAGGAATGGCTCCAGTCTACAGCTCCCAGTATGAGCGATGCAGAAGACAGGTGATTTCGGCATTTCCAACTGAGGTACCGGGTTCATCTCACTGGGGCTTGTCGGACAGTGGGGGCAGGACAGTGGATGCAGCCCACTGAGCGTGAGCTGAAGCAGGGTGAGGCATTGCCTCACCCGGGAAGCGCAAGGGGTCAGGGAATTCCCTTTCCTAGACAAGGAAAGGGGTGACAGACGGCACCTGGAAAATCAAGTCACTCCCACCCTAATACTGCATTTTTCCGATGGTCTTAGCAAACTCCAACAGACCTGCAGCTAAGGGTCCTGACTGCTAGAAGGAAAACTGACAAACAGAAAGGACATCCACACCAAAACCCCATCTGTAGGTCACCATCATCAAAGACCAAAGGTAGATAAAACCACAAAGATGCGGAAAAAACAGAGCAGAAAAGTTGAAAATTCTAAAAATCGGAGCGCCTCTCCCCCTCCAAAGGAAAGCAGCTCCTCGCCAGCAATGGAACAAGGCTGGATGGAGAATGACTTTGACGAGTTGAGAGAAGAAGGTTTTAGATGATCAAACTTCTCCGAGCTAAAGGAGGAAGTTCGAACCCATTGCAAAGAAGCTAAAAACCTTGAAAAAAGATTAGATGAATGGCTAACTAGAATAATCAATATGGAGAAGTCCTTAAATGACCTGATGGAGCTGAAAAACATGGCACAAGGACTACGTGACAAATGCACAAGCTTCAGTAGCTCATTCGATAAACTGGAAGAAAGGGTATCAGCGATTGAAGATCAAATGAATGAAATGAAGTGAGAGGAGAAGTTTACAGAAAAAAGAGTGAAAAGAAATGAACAAAGCCTCCAAGAAATATGGGACTATATGAAAAGACCAAATCTACATCTGATTGGTGTACCTGAAAGTGACGGGGAGAATGGAACCAAGTTGGAAAACACTCTGCAGGATATTATCCAGGAGAACTTCCCCAACCTAGCAAGGCAGGCCAACATTCAAATTCAGGAAATACAGAGAACGCCACAAAGATACTCCTCGAGAAGAGCAACTCCAAGACACATAATTGTCAGATTCACCAAAGTTGAAATGAAAGAAAAAATGTCAAGAGCAGCCAGAGAGATAGGTTGGGTTACCCACAAAGGGAAGCCCATCAGACTAACAGCAGATCTCTCGGCAGAAACCCTACAAGCCAGAAGAGAGGGGGGCCAATATTCAACATTCCTAAAGGAAAGAATTTTCAACCCAGCATTTCATATCCAGCCAAACTAAGCTACATAAGTGAAGGAGAAATAAAATCCTTTACAGACTAGCCAATGCTGAGAGATTTTGTCACCACCAGGCCTGCCCTAAAAGAGCTCCTGAAGGAAGCACTAAACATGGAAAGGAAAAACCAGTACCAGCCACTGCAAAAACATGCCAAATTGTAAAGACCATTGAGGCTAGGAAGAAACTGCATCGACTAATGAGCAAAATAACCAGCTAACATTATAATGACAGGATCAAATTCACACATAACAATATTAACCTTAAATGTAAATGGGCTAAATGCTCCAATTAAAAGACACAGACTGGCAAATTGGATAGAGAGTCAAGACCCATCAGTGTGCTGTATTCAGGAAACCTGTCTCACATGCAAAGACACACATAGGCTCAAAATAAAAGGATGGAGGAAGATCTACCAAGCAAATGGAAAACAAAAAAGGCAGGGATTGCAATCCTAGTCTCTGATAAAACAGACTTTAAACCAACAAAGATCAAAAGAGACAAAGAAGGTCACTACATAATGGTAAAGGGATCAATTTAACAAGAAGAGCTAACTATCCTAAACATATATGCACCCAATACAGGAGCAACCAGATTCATAAAGCAAGACCTTAGAGACTACAAAGAGACTTAGACTCCCACACAATAATAATGGGAGACTTTAACACCCTACTGTCAACATTAGACAGATCAACGAGACAGAAAGTGAACAAGGATATCCAGGAATTGAACTCAGCTCTGCACCAAGTGGACCTAATAGACATCTACAGAACTCTCCACCCCAAATCAACAGAATATACATTCTTCTCAGCACCACATCACACTTATTCGAAAATTGACCACATAGTTGGAAGTATAGCACTCCTCAGCAAATGTAAAAGAAAAGAAATTATAACAAACTGTCTCTCAGACCACAGTGCACTCAAACAAGAACTCAGGATTAAGAATCTCACTCAAAACCGCTCAACTACATGGAAACTGAACAACTTGCTCCTGAATGACTACTGGGTACATAACGAAATGAAGGCAGAAATAAAGATGTTCTTTGAAACCAATGAGAACAAAGACACAACATAACAGAATCTTTGGGATACATTTAAAGCAGTGTGTAGAGGGAAATTTATAGTGCTAAATGCCCACAAGAGAAAGCAGGAAAGATCTAAAATTGACACCCTAACATCACAATTAAAAGAACTAGAGAAGCAAGAGCAAACACATTCAAAAGCTAGCAGAAGGTAAGAAATAACTAAGATCAGAGTAGAATTGAAGGAGATAGAGACACAAAAAACCCCTCAAAAAATCAATGAATCCAGGAGCTGGTTTTATGAAAAGATCAACAAAAGTGACAGACTGCTAGCAAAACTAATAAAGAATAAAAGAGAGAAGGATCAAATAGACGCAATAAAAAATGATAAAGGGGATATCACTACCGATCCCACAGAAATACAAACTACATCAGAGAATACTATAAACACCTCTATGCAAATAAAGTAGAAAACCTAGAAGAAATGGATAAATTCCTGGACACATACACCCTCCCAAGACTAAACCAGGAAGAAGTTGAATCCCTGAATACACCAATAACAGGCTCTGAAATTGAGGCAATAATTAATAGCCTACCAACCAAAAAAAGTCCAGGACCAGATGAATTCACAGCGGAATTCTACCATAGGGACAAGGAAGAGCTGGTACCATTCCTTCTGAAACTACTGCAATCAATACAAAAAGAGGGAATCCTCCCTAAATCATTTTATGAGGCCAGCATCATCCTGATGCCAAAGCCTGGCAGAGACGCAACAAAAAAAAAAGAGTATTTAAGACCAATATCCCTGATGAACATCGATGCAAAAATCCTCAATAAAATACTGGAAAAGTGAATCCAGCAGCACATCAAAAAGTTTATCCACCATGATCAAGTGGGCTTCATCCCTGGGATGCAAGGCTGGTTCAACATATGCAAATCAATACACGTAATCCATCATATAAACAGAACCAAAGACAAAAACCACATGATTGTCTCAATATATGCAGAAAAGGCCTTTGACAAAATTCAACAGCTCTTTATGCTAAAAACTCTCAATATATTAGGTATTCATGGGACGTATGTCAAAATAATAAGAGCTGTTTATGACAAACCCACAGCCAATATCATACTGAATGGGCAAAAACTGGAAGCATTCCCTTTGAAAACTGACTCAAGACAGGGATGCCCTCTCTCACCACTCCTATTCAACATAGTGTTGGAAGTTCTGGCCAGGGCAGTCAGGCAGGAGAAAGAAATAAAGGGTATTCAATTAGGAAAAGAGGAAGTCAAATTGTCCCTGTTTACAGATGACATGATTGTATATTTAGAAAACCCCACTGTCTCAGCCCCAAATCTCCTTAAGCTGATAAGCAACTTCAGCAAAGTCTCAGGATACAAAATCAATGTGCAAAAATCACAAGCATTCTTATACACCAATTAGAGACAAGCAGAGAGCCAAATCATGAGTGAACTCACATTCACAATTGCTTCAAAGAGAATAAAATATCTAGGAATCCAACTTACAAGGGACGTGAAGGACCTCTTCAAGGAGAACTACAAACCACTGCTCAATGAAATAAAAGAGGACACAAACAAATGGAAGAACGTCCCATGCTCACGGATAGGAAGAATCAATATCGTGAAAATGGCCATACTGCCCAAGGTAATTTATAGTTTCAATGCCATCCCCATCAAGCTACCAATGACTTTCTTCACAAAATCGGGAAAAACTACTTTAAAGTCCATATGGAACCAAAAAAGGGCCCACATTGCCAAGACAATCCTAAGCCAAAAGAACAAAGCTGGAGGCATCACACTACCTGACTTCAAACTATACTAAAAGGCTACAGTAACCAAAACAGCATGGTACTGGTACCAAAACAGAGATATAGACCAATAGAACAGAACAGAGCCCTCAGAAATAATACCACAAATCTACAACCTTGACAGAAACAAGAAATGGGGAAGGGATTCCCTATTTAATAAATGGTGCTGGGAAAACTGGCTAGCCATATGTAGAAAGCTGAAACTGGATCCCTTCTTTACACCTTACACAAAAATTAATTCAAGATGGATTAAAGACTTAAATGTGAGACCTAAAACCATAAAAATGCCAGAAGAAAACCTAGGCAATACCATTCAGGACATAGGCATGGGTAAGGACTTCATGTCTAAAACACCAAAAGCAATGGCAACAAAAGCCAAAATTGACAAATGGGATCTAATTAAACTAAAGAGCTTCTGCACAGCAAAAGAAACTACCATCAGAGTGAATAGGCAACCTACAGAATGGGAGAAAATTTTTGCTATCTACTCTTCTGACAAAGGGCTAATATCCAGAATCTACAATGAACTCAAACAAATTTACAAGACAAAAACAACCCCATCACAAAGTGGGCAAACGATATGAACAGATACTTCTCAAAAGAAGACATTTATGCAGCCAACAGACACATGAAAAAATGCTCATCATCACCGGCCATCAGAGAAATGCAAATCAAATCCACAATGAGATACCATCTCACACCAGTTAGAATGGCAATCATTAAAAAGTCAGGAAACAACAGATGCTGGAGAGGATGTGGAGAAATAGGAACACTTTTACACTATTGGTGGGACTGTAAACTAGTTCAACCATTGTGGAAGACAGTGTGGTGATTCCTCAAGGATCTAGAACTAGAAATACCATTTGACCCAGCCATCCCATTACTGGGTATATACCCAAAGGATTATAAATCATGCTGTTATAAAGACACATGCATACGTATATTTATTGTGGCACTATTCACAATAGCAAAGACTTGGAACCAACCCAAATGTCCATCAGTGATAGACTGGATTAAGAAAATGTGGCACATATACACCATGGAATACAATGCAGCCATAAAAAATGATGAGTTCATGTCCTCTGTAGGGACATGGATGAAGCTGGAAACCATCATTCTCAGCAAACTATCGCAAGGACCAAAAAGCACACACCGCATGTTCTCACTCATAGGTGGGAATTGAACAATAGGATTTGGACACAGGAAGGGGAACATCACACACCGGGGCCTGTTGTGGGGTGGCGGGAGAGGGGAGTGATAGCATTAGGAGATATACCTAATGTAAATGATGAGATAATGGGTGCAGCACACCAACATGGCATATGTATACATATGTAACAAACCTGCATGTTGCGCACATGTACCCTAGAAATTAAAGTATAATAATACAAAAGAAGTCTTAATAGATTAAATATTGTACAAGTCTAAGTGAGGTAATCAGTGTTTCAAAGTCTCTGATATAATTTAATTATTTGTTAAGCACTGCATAACAAAATAATTTAAAAATTTTCTCTCAACTTCCAAGTCTCTTGCCTATTATCAATATATTTGGTATTCTACTTTTTAATACCAGTTTAGAGAAAAGTATATAAATATGTTAAATCTTCATAACTAGCAAAATAAATTTTCTCTACTTTGGGACTCTTTGGTTTTTGGATTATAAAAAACCATAAAAATTATGGATAATGGAAATATTATAAAGCCAGAAAATCCAAAACAGTTGAAATAGACCTTGAATGAAGTGTACCTAATTTGAATATAACTCAAATTGGAAATTCAATACAAATTTTATTTTAGTAATCTAATAAAGATTATTAGTTTTATGCCTTTAGAGATAGGGTTTCATCTGGAAGTATCAGTTAAGATTTTTAATCAGTGTCAATTTAGAGGAAACACTGGGACAAGAACATAAAGAAGGAAAACTAAATGCAATCGTAAACACAATTCCCCAAAACAGTTAATGTGGCTTTATCATATTAGTTCCCATATTAAATTCTAGAGATATAAATATGGCCTTACTAGAAGTACACGACTTACAGAAACTGTTTTCCCTAACATCAATAATCATTAATTCATCATTGAATTATTTCACCTCTCCTCTCAAGTCGGCATGTCTGATCATTTAAGATGAGAAATTATAGCAATGAGCCATCATCTTAGGGGCAGTGGCTTTAGGCTTAAACATCCTAGCTTTGAATGACAGCTCTACCACTTGTATAAGTGTGATTTCTTAGACTTGTTATAGAATTTAGTTGAGCTTCTACTTCTCATGCATAAAATAGGTATGTATAAGAATATAGTGAGTATTTTTTAGAGCTGTGAAAGTTGAGTGAGATAAAAATGCATTTAAATCAATGTGTGGTGCCTGTTTCAAGTAATCACTCTATACATGTTAGCTGTTACTCTTTATGAAAAGTCAGAGCTCAGGTGAAAAAGGATGACCCAATAATAGGTCATTAATTCCCTACATCTACATCTATATCTTCAGAAATCATCTTACTTTCTAATAGCTGGAGCACTCCAAATTTCAAAGCTGAAGCTTCATGTGCTGGTTCTGTTTTCATTCAGCCACTACTTTCTATGTACAAGACTATTCCTAACTTTTTAAAAATATCCCTATTAGATTAAAATATCTTTTAGAGCTATAACTGTAAATTTCATTCTTGTATATACAAAGTTCATACAAAGTATATCTGAAACTTCATTATCTGTTCTTAGAATAAAATGAAGACTGAGCTAACTTGATAGATATTGCTAAATAGTCCTCCATACAACAATCTGCATTAATGTGTTAAAGTGTTTGTTTTCCCATATTATGATATTGCTATTTATTGTTAAACCTTTTATTACCAATCTAAGATGTAAATAATACTGTTAATTGCCTATGTCAAATTAAATGTATTAAGGTCTAATTAGCATGCAATTAAATGAACTCAGCGTAAGTGCAAAGTTTGACAAGTTTTAACAAAGAATACACTTGTGTAACTCTCACCAAAACCATCCTAAAAGATTTTATGTGCCCCTTGCCAATCAATCCCTTCTTCTGGACTCAGTTAACCACTAATATGTTCTTTATTATGAAAAATAGTTTTGCCTTCCTGTAAGTTTCATGTAAATTGAACTATATGTATTCTTTTGTGTCTGGCTCAGCATTCAGTTTTTGAGATTTATCTATGTTACTGTATATGTTAATAATTTCTCCTTGTTATGGATGATTAAAATTTTATTATGGTTTATTTATTCACTTGTTGATGAACATTTGAGTCACTTCCAGCACTTGACTATGATGAAAAAGGTAGCACAAATATTCATGGAAAACCTTTGTATGGACTTATGCTGTAATTTCTATTGGGAAGAATCTAGGAGTAGAATTGTGGAGTCATATGGTAACTTGCAAGAAACTGCCAACTGTGTCTAGAGACTGTGTCATTATATATTACCATATAAAATGTATGAATATTACAATTGTTGAACATCTTCATCAAAACTTGGTGTTGTCAAGTTTAATTTTAGCTGTTCTAATGGGCACGCAGTGGCCTCTCACTTTTGGCTTTAATTTTAATTGATGTGAGTAATGATGTTAGTGCTTTTTCATGCTTTTTGGCCTCTTGTGTATTTTTTTAAAGTATTTGTTTAAATTTTCGTCCATTTTTTAAAAATCTGGGTTGTTTGTACTTTTTTATATATTCTGGAAACAAGTTATTTAATACAAAAAGTTGTATTAAATAACTTTGTCTGTGGCTTGACTCATTTTCTTTATGGTGGGCTTCCAAAGAGGAGGAGTTTTTTTGTATTGTTTTTTAGAAGAAGTGTAGATTACCAAAAATTTCTATTTGTAATGGAAAATTTTAATAGATCAATGATTGTTAAAGATCTTCTATCTATAATCAAAATATATATAAGAAATAGCACTCAAGTGGATTTATGAAAAAGTTTTACTAAATTCTAAAGGAAGTCATAATCCTTACCTTCCTATTAGCACAGTGAACCTATAACTTCCACTCTCATTTATTTTTTTAATTCTTTAATTTAAAAGCAGACTGTTCAGAGTTACCATATACACCCTTACCCCAAACATACATAGTTTGTCCTAATGGTAATATCTTATATTAGTGAGGTACATTTATTATAATTAACAAACCAATATTGATATATTATCACTAACTAAAGCCAATAGGTAATATTAAGGTTTGCTCTTTGTGTTGTACAGTTCTACATTGTTTGACAAATGCATAATATTATTTATCTATCAGTACTGTATCACACAGATTAATTTTACCACTCTATGCATTCCCTGGGATTCTTTAATACTCATCCCTAGCCCACCACCACTGCCCTGACAACCATATATCTTTTTACTCTTCCTATAGTTTTGCCTTTTCCAGAATATTAGATATATAGATGGAGTGATACAGTGTGTAGCCTTTTCAGGTTGATTTGATGTCATTTAGCAATATGCATTTAAGGTTCCTGCATGTTCTTTCATGGCTTGATAATGCATTTCTGTTTTTTATCACTGAATAATATTCCATTCTATGTATACACCACAGTTTGTTGATTGGTTCATTTATTGAAGAATATCTCAGTGGCTACCAGGTTTGGGAAACTATCAATAAAGCTGCTATAAACATTTGTGAGATTTTTATGTGGAGATAAATTTTCCACAAAAAATTTACAAGTATTTTGGGAGGCCGAGGCGAGTGAATCACTTGATGTCAGGAGTTCAAGACCAGCCTGACCAACATGGTAAAACTCCTTCTCTACTAAAAATACAAAAATTAGCTGAGCGTGGTGGCACACGCCTGTAATCCCAGCTACTTGGTAGGCTGAGGCACGAGAATCGCTTGAACCCAGGAGGCGGAGTTTGCAGTAAAACGAGATCGCGCCTCTGCACTCCAGCCTGGGCCAAGAGCGAGACTCCGTCTAAAAGAAAAGAAAACAAACAAACAAACAAAAAATCTACAAGTACAATTTCTGGATTAATGGTAAGACTATATTATACTTTGTAAGAACTGCAGGAAATAGAATTATAGGTTAACAATATCTTTCAGTGCTTTAATGATAGATATTATGCCTTCTGGCTTGCATGTTTTATGATGTGAAGTCTATGATTGTTATTTTGTTTGTAATGTAGTTTTTTTTTCTCTGAATGCTTTTAATATTTTCTTTTTATGACTAAGAGGTTGTCATAAATTTGATTACATTATATTCGGGTATGCTATTTATTCTGTTTGTTCTTGTTGATATTTATTCTACTTCTTGGATCTGAGGGCTTACAGTTTTAATAAAAATTGGAAGTTTTTCAGCTGTTCATTGTTTCTACAAATGAAACAATGTAGAAACAATTGTAGAAACAATGTAGAAACAATGTAGAAAGAAACTCCCTTTCTCCCACTCTTTATTTCATACATGGAACTTAAATTTCATACATGGTAGACCACTTGAGACTCCATTCTCAATTTTTGTTATATTTCTCTTTGTGCTTGATTTTTGATAGTTTGTACAAGTTTTCAAAAGTCCCATTGTTCCACTTCCTCTGGGTAGTACCCAGGACAAGACAACCACTATGAATTGAGATCTGGAGCTTTTCCATATCTACCTACCTTATCTACCTCTTTTAGCTCAAAAAACAAACAAACAAACAAACAAACAAAAATATCTAACTCAAGTTAAATGTAGGAAAGACAAATAGAAGGAGGGAAAGCTAATTCTTACATTACAGAGAAAACTGGACAAGATTTTTATTTTAGTAACAGAGAAAAAACATTTACATGTGACACATGGTCCCTGTGCTGCCCTGATTGACTACATTATGATTTATTACTTGTTTATAACTTTTGTACTGTGTTTGTTGGTGATAGAGGAAGAAAAACCCTTTCATTCTACCTTATTTCTGATACTTTGTCTTTACCGGAAAAGAAGAAAGCTGGTCATTTGCTTCAATAATTGAGATTTTTTTAAATTTTATATCATTAAAGGAATGCATTTTACAGACTTCAAATAAAAGGGTAATAAGAAATTTTTAAGCTTTTTTTTGAAGGACAGTTTCATAATCTTTTCTTCCTTCATCAACATCGGCGTAATCATCACAAATTTGAGGTATTAAGGTTATTGTCAATGAAGTTTGTTTAAACCAAAAAATGAAATTTCCTAAAGAATAATATTTCAAAGTATGAAGACAGCATATCATGCTTTTATATTGGTAAACACAATTTTTAAAATATTTCATAAGTACTAGATCCCACTGTAACTCTTTTAACCATATCATAGCAGAGAAAGAAATCCAGAACAACTTTCCTTTAGTAAAGAAGCAAATAATTTGAAAATTAAGACTTGTGAAGCTTAAGAAAAAATGAATATAGAAAATTTGATAAGACCAGCTCAGTTTAAGATAATGAGTTACATGCTTTTTAAAAAAAGCATTATCTTTATTTCCTCTACCACAAAATTAGTAAGCTATTTAGTGATTTCAGGAACACTCGATGTACTCTCTACATCTTTTATCTAAAGCTGATAAAATTCCCGTTTTCAATATTGCAACATGAATCACAAGTAATTGAACATAACATAAATCAGGTTAGTCCAAAGTTTCCTGGAAAAATGACAGAAATTAGAAAAGAATTGGTCATTATTCAGTACCAAAGTGGGAAGGAGGGTAGTTCCTCGTGAGTGAGAAGAATTACATCTTGGGGAATGTGAACATTGGCTCCCAAGGGCTATCCTTGTCACACTCCCACAGCAGGGAAGTGCATAAAATTTCAACACACACACAAGCTTCAGTGAATTGCCAATTATTACTTATTCTGAATAGCATGCCCTGATCAATAATATGTGTCTAACACCCACTTGGAAAATAAAATTATGGTCTAAGAACAGGCAGTGTAATACCATATAATCTTTATTAAAAGTCATCTCTTCAGCATTTACATATAATTTCTCTTAAATAAACAGCATATCAGTATTTTATATTATTACTTGGTGTTTTCTATGTTCTGGGAAACTTAAAAGTTTGTGTCATATGTATATTTATGTTTTTAAGAATTTAAACTCTTGGCCAGGCGCGGTGGCTCACACTTGTAATCCCAGCACTTTGGGAGGCCAAGGTGGGCAGATCACCTGAGGTCGGGAGTTCAAGACCAGCCTGACCAATATGGAGAAACCCTGTCTCTACTAAAAATACAAAATTAGCTGGGCTTGGTGGTGCATGCCTGTAATCCCAGCTACTCGGGAGGCTGAGGCAGGAGAATTGCTTGAACCTGAGAGGTGAAGGTTGCGGTGAGCCAAGTCGTGCCATTGCACTCCAGCCTGGGCAACAAGAGCGAAACTCCATTTCAAAAATAATAATAATAAATAAATAAATAATAAATAAATAATTTAAACTCTCAGTACATAATATCTTCCTCTAAATTATTCTGTTTAAGACAGGGGTACACAGTGTCATGGTAAAAGTATGCTGCTGATTGTCCAAAGCTCTGCTAATTATGAAGATTAAATTTGGATAATAAACTATTAATGGATTTCAAAAGGCTATGATCACGGGCATAAAATGGTAAATAATCTTTAATATTGTATAACTTATAAGATAGTTTATCTGAGGAACATTGAAAAGAGCCAATGCCTCTAGAGTACCTTGTAAGAGCTAAGCACTTTATATATATTGTCAGTTAGACACCCCCCCAGTTGTTGAGGATTTAGACATTTTAATGACATTTACAGGTAAAGAAATTTAGATTCACAGAGACTACTCCATCCAGGATTATTTAGATAGAACATGGTAATGTGGTAAAGCTGATCATAAGCCCAAGTATATCTGAATCCAAAGCCCCAATACCAGTATGGTTTCCATTCCCTCATGACTTCTCACTAAAAAAAGAAGAAACAAGTCACATTATAAGATAATGTGCTCCTAGCTAATATATTTGAGGAAGAGGATTAAGGAGTCTTTGTTTCTAATATTTACTTAGACATCAGATGCATCCTATGCCTATTTCTATTTTGTGCTATTTTGTCTGTTTTCTCACCTCCACAAGATCGAGAGTTATTTTAATTCAGAGATTGTGACTCATTTTTCTGTCACCACAGGATACAGTACATTCATTCACCCATTCACAAATATTTGTAAAGTACCTACTATGTGCCAGGAATTATATCAGGTCTTCAGGAAAAAGCAAGAAAGATTAGTTTCCTATGGAGTAGAATAAATTCTACTTGAATAAATACACTAAGAATATTTTCAAAGGAACACATATTCAAAGTGCAATCATTCTCTCATCTATTTACCTTATTTCTAGTTGCCTCTTTATAAGAAAGGTGATGACGAAGGTTAATTAAAAACAAAACATGCGTCAGAACACCTAGCATAGAGTCATGATTTTGCAGCATATATGTTAGACATGTCAATTAACCTCTTTAAACCTTACTTTCTTTTATGTAAGTCAAAGATGAAATCTGTGATATGCAAAACGCAAAGATTTTATTATTCTTAAAATATACAGAACTACAGTAAACTAATCAAACCAAATGAATTTATAGAAATAAAAAAGCTAAAGAAATTTGGGAATATTAGGAAATTAATTTTAAAAGTAAGTATAAATTGCCTATGAAAAAGAAATAATATTCAGAATTACTAATAGTAAACATTCACAGTAAAAAAGAAGTATTATTATCTTCTAACAATTGCCAAGTATTAAAATGATTAATAATTTCTAGTATTAGAAATGGAATAAGGAAATATAGCAAACATTGTTAGAACTTTTGACTCATGCCTTTTTACAGAACAATTTGGCAATGTACATCACAGCTGTAAACATGCCATTTGACCGTACAATTTTGTGATAGCGTAAAGAAACAATAAGTAGATAAGCTAATAAAGATGTATGTATACAAATGTTTGTGATTACATTTTTAGGATACTAAGCATTCCAATGATGGAATAGAATATTAATATTGAAAAAAATGTATTGTTAAGTAAAAGTACACATAGAATTAATTACATGCATTTGGCTTCACTTTATTAAAAATGTATGGTCAAACATTTGCATGCTATCTGATGATAGCATATCTATCTCTCTGACTGGTGATATGCTTTTATGTAGATTTCTGAGTTATTTAAACATGTATTATAATGAACACATATTAAAATATAGATGTTAATTCATGCCTATCTCAGAGGGTTATGGTATACATCAAATAAAATAGAATTTATGAAATGTAAGAGTAATATACAAATGTAAGGCATTTAAATTGTAAGCTAGAATACAAGCAAACAATCTTGAAACTTGAGTTCCACTAAAATATAACACATAATAAGCTTAGGTAAGAAATTTGTATGCAATAGAGAAAGCTAAACAACTTTAATCAACAAAACTATTTTGTTAGCTAAAAGAAAGGAAAAAAAAATGTACAGTATTTCTTTTTTGTCACAGTCCCCAGATCGGCGGTAGAGGTTCCCAGTCTGTGGCAGCTCTGCTTAATGATAGATGTACCATTTTCAACAAGTAGTTTTCAAATTCACCCTGGGATTTTTCTCTATCCAGGTTAACCAGAAGAGAGAAAGAGGACAAGTGCATGTAGGAAGTTATTATAGGTCAGGCCAGCAGGTGGCATGCCTAACCTCTGTTCATATCCCATGGGGTGGGAACTTAGTCACAAGGCCACATGGCCAGGGATGCTGGGAAGGGCCAATTTACTGCATGCTCAAGAAGATAAGTGAGAGATTTTAGTGGACAGCTAGCAGTCTTTGCCAGAGCTCTAACCAACAGAATCTATGCATGCTTTTCTTGCTTCATTTAGAACATATTCACTCTGTCCTGAAGAGCCACCCCATCCAGCCAAATGTTCAGATATCTTCGAAACCATCACTGTTCTGCATCAGGTACAGGAACAGGAACAGATCCTTACGGTCTGATAATGAGGGAGTATGGGAAGAATAAACACAATGAAGGTTCCCCAAGGGAAGAATGAACCTTACCCATTGGTCACATCCATCTGCTGAGTAGGTATTGTGAAGACTCCCTGCTCTGTCCCAACATGATCACTTGTCAGGAAAGTGGAAATGGAGCCTTTGTTATCTATATTTAATGGCTTTTAAGGTCATCTTGTTATTGGTATCAGTGTCTGCTAGAGGAAGAAAGAACATGGAGGAGGGC
The DNA here is from genome assembly GCF_000001405.40 of Homo sapiens. Taxonomy (NCBI): domain Eukaryota; kingdom Metazoa; phylum Chordata; class Mammalia; order Primates; family Hominidae; genus Homo; species Homo sapiens. The sequence continues at coordinate 101,730,164 of NC_000004.12, read as the reverse complement.
ATATGGAAGGCCCAGAGGTTGTATAAATTGCTTCTGCTCACGTTATAGGGGCTAGAACTTAGTCACAAGGCCATAACTAACTACTAGGGGGACGGCTGGCAACTTCAGTCTAGCTATGGACAGAAGAAAAACAGGGAAAAAATGATTTTGATTTAAGTAGTCTTTCTTAACATCCAAAAACCATTAAGAAAAACCAAGAGAGAAAAGTTACCTCATATCCTTGTGCTTTTTATTATTATTTTTTTTTGTTTTGAGCTCACAGTTATTTGTTCTTAATCTATGGAAATCTCTAGAGTTGAAATTGGAAATGCTTTTCTGCAAGATTACTTGAATTTGCTTTTATTTATAGCCAGAGGACATGGCTCTTCTGGGACCACTTTTCTTTCTGTGAAAATCCAGGCTCAATGAGAGTCTGAGGCTGAGTTCCTTACCTTGCTTTTACTGAAGTGCTTAGCTAAGGTCAACCCTGCCTTTTCTGTCGGCTCATTGGTCTGAGATCACAGCTCTGGTTTCTACTCATAAATATTTTGGGGGTGAGCTTAGAGATTTCCCTTTCTTTTTATAACCTTAACAATGTACTAAGAAGTATATTTTACTCAGAATGTAGGGGTTTGTAGTGAGAGGGACTTATAGTTAAACTAATCTACCATATAGCTGAAAGTGTAGCTCTAAGGGAAGAATTTTGTTTTAATATCCCTAATTAAAGACTTAAAAATTGACAAATAAAAATTGTATGCATTTATGGTATATAATGTGATGTTTTTATATATGTATACCTTGCAGAATGGCTAAATAAGGCTATTTAACGTATGCATTACCTCACCTGCTTGTCATTTTTTGTGATGAAAACACTTAAAATTTTCAAGTATACAATTTTCAAGTATACAATATATTGTTTTTAACCTTGATGTAAAATAGATCTATTGAACTTATTCCTCCTATGAATTTTGTGTCTTTGACCAACATCCCCCAACTCCAAGCCTCTGGTAACCATAATTTTACTCTGTTTCTTTTTTTGTTGTTGTTTTTGAGACGGAGTCTCGCTCTGTCGCCCAGGCTGGAGTGCAGTAGCGCAATCTCGGCTCACTGCAAGCTCCGCTTCCCGGATTCAGGCCATTCTCCTGCCTCAGCCTCCCGAGTAGGTGGGACTACAGGCGCCCGCCACCATGCCCGGCTAATTTTTTATATTTTTTTTTAGTAGAGACGGGGTTTCACCGTGTTAGCCAGGATGGTCTTGAACTCCTGCCCTCGTCATCCGCCCACCTCGGCCTCCCAAAGTGCTGGAATTACAGGCGTAAGCCACCGCGCCCAGCCAATTTTACTCTGTTTCTATGCATTTGATGACGTTTTTAGATTCCAAATATAAGTGAGACTATGCAGTAATGTCTTTCTGTTTCTGGCTTATTATAGCCAAGATATGGAATCAATCTAAATGTCCATCAACAGATGAATGGATGAAAAAAACGTTGTATATATACACAACGAAATACTATTCAGCCCCTGAAAAGAGGGAAATGCTGTCAATTGTAACAATGTAGATGAACCTGGAGAACATAGATTCTTTTTGACCTACCTCTTCCTTACCTTGTCAAATAATTCTAAAATTGTTGTTTTCTCAACTAATTTTTTTTTTTTTTTTTTTGAGACAAAGTTTCGTGGTCGCCCAGGCTGGAGTGCAATCTCGGCTCACTGTAACCTCCGCCTCCTGAGTTCAAGCGTTTCTCCTGTCTCAGCCTCCCAGGTAGCTAGGATTACAGGCGCCTGCCACCATGGCCAGCTAATTATTGTATTTTTAGTAGAGACGGGGTTTCACCATGTTGGCCAGGCTGGTCTTGAACTCCTGATCTCAGGTGATCCGCCTGCCTCAGCCTCCCAAAGTGCTGGAGATGATTTTTTTAAAAGCATATTTTCAGCTCTTAAATGGAAATAAAAACTATAATCTTTACAGTTTAGGTCATTAAATATATTTTTGTAAAACTTAGCACTTGATATAGAAATGAACTCAAATTTGAAAACTGATATCGACAAAATACTCAATTCACCAGCCACCTCTGTGTTTGATAAAACTTACAGAAGTTCCTGATGATGTATGTTTTAAAGTCATTTTAAAATAAACTAGTTAATTATTTTATGGCTGAATATTATTCCATTGTATATATATACCACGTTTTCTTTATCAATTTTACCTACTGTTGGACTCTTAGATTGATTTCTTATCTTGATTATTTTAAATAGTGTTGCAATAAACATAGGAGTGCAAATATCTCTTCAATATACTGATTTCATTTCCTTAACACATTTACCCAGTAGTAGGATTGCTGTATCATATAGTTCTATTTTTAATTTTTTGAGGGACCTTTGTAGTGTTTTCCATGAGTGTAATAATTTACATCCTACCAACGGTGTGTAAAGGTTCCCTTGTCTTCACATTCTCACTGACGTTTGTTATTATTTAACATTTGTTAACTATTGCATTGCTTTTAATGGCAAAAACCGCAGTTACTTTTGCACCAACCTTCTTTTCCTCTTTTTAATAAAAGCCATTCTATGTGGAGTAAGGTGGTATCTCATTGTGGTTTTGATTTTAATTTCCATGATGATTAGAATGAAATCTTGTCATCTGGAACAACATGAATGAACCTAGAGGCATTATGTTAAGCAAAATGGGCCAGGCACAAAAAGACAAATACTACATGTTCTCACTCATATGCAAAATCCTAAAAAGGTGATCTCATAGAAATAGTAAATAGAACAGTGGTTACCAAAGACTGAAGAGGGTGGGTGGAAGGGAGCTTGGGGAGTATAGTCAAGGAACACAAAGTTACAATTAAAAAAGAAGGATAGATGCTGGTGTCCTATTGCATAGTAGAGTGACCATAGTCAACAATAAGATATAGCATATCTCAAAATACCTAGAAGAGAAGATTGTGTATGTTCTCACCACAAAGAAATGGTAAATGTTTGAATATGCTAATTACCCTGATTTCTTCATTGCATAATGTATACATATATCAAAGTATCACATTTTACCCCATAAATATGTACAATTATTATGTGTCAATTAAAATTTAAAAAATAGAATGAAATAAAGTACTGAAAGTTCTGGAGATTATGACTTTTCTTAGCTTACAAATGTTTTGAAATTTTTCTAGTCTATTCAAGATGGAACAATATTCTACAAGGTAGTAATGGGACTATTTCAGGATTTTTCAATAGTAATAGGACTATTTCAGGATTTTTTCATTTCTCATCAAAAATTTTCAAATTGTCTAATGGAGATCATCGTGTCTCACTGAAAATATTAATAAGTATCCAATGGTGAAATGATTCTATGGTCAAATAAACCTGGAAAAATTCTTTCTAATATGCCTGTTTTTCAGAGATTAATAATGTGTGTTAGCATACTAAAGTCTTACTGTATTTTTCTGTACTCTCAGGGGAAATATAAATGTTGAAATCTTTTTGAGAGCAATTTGGTATAATCCTTTGACTCACTAACAAAATTTTATAAATTTTGGTGAAAATTATCATATCACTTTTTGCCACAATTTAAAAATAATGATGTTTAAAAAGAAGGCAATCAAAATTGAGCATAGCAGCAATATTAGATAACTAGAGCAGAAAAGTACATTTGTCCACCAAACAATGATGTAAAGCTGGATAGGTCGCAATATGAGCCAACAAAATTTGCAGTCTGGAGGGGAAAACACCAGCATGGTATAGATTACATGGATGAAATGTCCTAGGTTGAATGTTGTTAAAGTGTTCTTTGTTTTGTTTTTTTCCATCCTGATGAAAAAACATGGCTTAAATTACATAGTACATGTAGCTGATTTCAGTATTTGTAGCTGATTTTAATAGTTTTAGTATTTGAGTTGCAAATAAATTTAGGAGGGAAATGGAGGGGGCACAGTATTGCTTATATATGTCTAATAAGATAAATTATTGACAATAATGGGAGTTAACAAGTTTGAAACATGAAAAAACAAGTCAAAGATAAATTGAGTGCACATTCAAATACTACACAAATAACAGGGCACTATAGCCCAAGAACTCAACAAGCAAGCCCTAATGGGAAATGAAACCCTACTGTGCAGGGGGATGCAGCTCTTGCTGCCTTGTACCAGGGTTTGTTAGCTTCAGCACTATTGACATTTCAGATGGGATTTTTTGTTGTTGTTGGGGGCTGTCCTATGTGCTGCAGAATACTTAATAGCATTCCAGGCGTCTACCTGCTATGTCAGTAGCAATCCCCTCTTCCAGTTGTATCAATCTAAACTGCCTTTAGACATTGTCAAATGTTCCCTTGGGGGCAAATTCTCTCCGGCTTGAGAACCATTGCCTTATACCAGTCACTAAGGAGTTGAACCAATGATCTAAACAATGGTTCTGTTTTTGTGCTTACTGAGCCATCTACTAAATTACCATTGAAGAGTGGGTAAAAGCAGATTACTTGGGTTCACAATCTAACTGTGCCATTTATTAGTTATATGGCCATGGTCAAGTTTCTTGACTTCTCTGTGCTTCGGCTATTCTTATTTATAATGTGGTGAGAATGACATCTACTTTATAGGTGTTTGTTGAGAAGATTCAATGACAACTTTTATAAAGCTCAGCAATAAAGACCTGGTACATAATGTTTTATTAAAATTTGGAATTAACAATGATATGATTACTAATTTCACTTACCTCATACTGTCTGACAGACCAATGATTCTTTACACTTGACTTGACATTTGTGTTTCTGTTTATTAATTAATACATTGACATTCAACTTTCTACTTGAGTCTTCTGTGATTTTGGCAGGTGTAACCCAGAAGCCCTGAATTTAGTCAACTCTTTGACCCTTGCAGCACTGAGATTCTGCAAAGCTAAGAAGACTCTGTATTGCCATTAATTAATTAAAGGCTGGGCGCGGTGGCTGACGTCTGTAATTCCAGCACTTTGGGAGGCCGAGGCGGGCGGATCACGAGGTCATGAGATCGAGACCATCCTGGCTAACACTGTGAAACCCCGTCTCTACTAAAAATACAAAAAATTAGCCTGGCGAGGTGGCGGGCGCCTGTAGTCCCAGCTACTCAGGAGGCTGAGGCAGGAGAATGGCGTGAACTCTGGGGGGCAGAGCCTCCAGTGAGCCGAGATAGCGCCACTGCACTCCAGCCTGGGCGACAGAGCGAGACTCCATCTCAAAAAAAAAAAAAATATATATATATATATATAGATATATATATATATATATCTCGGGTATGAGAGAGGTCTCTGGTTAGCCATTCCGTCAACCTTCCCTGATAACACCTAATTTTGTCTCTGCTTTCTTTCAATTTCAACAAGTTATTGTTTAACTACATATGCCTTATGATGTTGCTGCTACTAATAATAATAACCATTCCCCTCCCCTCTCATGTAACCATGTGGTCATATGCATACCAATTCACCTTATCTGTAAAATGAGAGTGTGGAGCTAAAGAGTATCTAAATTCCCTCCAGCAGTAATAGAACTGTGAATGCTAATATTTATTAATAATTATCTTGACAGATTAGTGTATGTGAAAGACACAGGGGCTCTGGGAATTGAGAAATGGTAGAGGTCAGTTGATGGGTGAGAAATAAGCTTGAATGTGACTTTGCAAGAGAGAACATTGGAACACAGAGCCTTAAGAACGTGAGAACATTGCACTGAAAATAAACCTGTAATTCACAACTTTGTGCAGGGCTCTCTGTTCACAGCCATCTCTTCACAGCTGTCTCATAGCCATTCAGAGTAAAGAAAGAGCCAAGCCCTCATTACTGACATCACACCTTACTGACATTTAGAATGTGAAGAAATCACTTCCTGAAAGACAGGTGGGAGTTAAGCTTTCATTTTCTAAGGCAGGTGATAGCGTTGGAGACAACTCCTCAACTGACAGCTCAGTTTTACCGACAAGGCTGCATCCATGATCCTCCCTCTACCCTGTGAACAATGCTTTGACTTTGACAGCCCTGTTGCCACTCTGCACAACTTCAGAAAAAGGAAGAGGAATTGATGTGCACTGTCCCAGTCCAGTTATAGTTCTGCTACCACCTAGCATACTCCCTCCATTACCTTTGATGTCTGCAGCCTAGATTATATCACTTCATCCATGGCCCCAGTTACATGGCTGCAATGCACTCTGTTTTTTTATATAATTTTATATTTTACTTAAAAAATATGGAGCACTTCACAAATTTGCATGTCCTCCTTGTACAGGGGCCATGCTAATCTTTTCTGTATTGTTCCAATTTTCATTGCTCTCTTAATAATACCAAGCTACAATAAAACTTCTCAGAAAAAGGTAACAGATAAACGACTAACACTGTTATGAAGAGAAATTTTTTTCTGCAGAGCTATGGACACTTTCCTTTATTAAATTAATTCTTACATATGGGGAAACTTAGGGGGCAAAGGGCATTTATAAATGTAAATAGGAAACAGAAATTGTTTGAAGCACTGATTCCATCTAGGCATTACAAAGTTAGCATTAAAGGAATAATTATCTTCTACCTATACTATCTGCTTTCAGCAAAGGATGGAAGGAATCATGAGCTGCCTCTGATATGAGTAACAAAATCAATTTTAGTTCTTGGACCAGCAGGCCTTGTTTGATCTGGGATTAAAGTGGCACTCAAAGGATTTGGTATTTTCAAATTTTAACTATGGATAACTTTTAAATTTGTTCCTACAAGCTACTTTAAGATAAAACATTGGACTTTAAGTTTCTGAAATTCAATGTTAGACTCATTTGAGAATAATTATGTTACATATTTCCTTTATTTCTAAATGAAAGTAGGAGGTTTACATTTCCATGGATGTCTTCAACTTTACTGGTAAAAAAGTATTAATTATTACTGTTAGTCTGATATAGGGAAAGCTTTTCTTTTTCTTTTTTTTAACCTCTGGACTCCGAAGAAACAAGTAGTAGTACATGCAGTATACAGTATCAGGGAGGGCTTATGAAAAATGTGTTCAACATTTTGTTTTACTCTCCTGTATTTAAATAGGGAAAATCATGAAAGAAGTAAAGCAATGAAGTCTAACCTGCTTTCAAATGGAAAATAGATTGTTTTATAAATTGTAACATATTCCTGGTACGTAGTATCTGCTCATATATCCATAACATTTGTGATCAATAACTTATTGAACAACCTGGAATTTGCTCTTTATTAAATTATTCCTCATTTTATTTAGGAAGAAAAACAATGATTCCATACTCTGATAAGCTAAGTTCAGAAAACAATTGTAAACAAAAATAGAAAAATCTTAATGATTAACTTCATAAATTTTAAAATTGCTTTATTATGAATCTCCTTTGGTTGCCCAATGATGGCAAATCTCTCAACACTATTTCTCTCTGCTGCTGCCCCCAAATTCTGTATATAATTTTGCATAAAGAAAATTAGTTATAAACTGTATTTCTTGAAAACAGAGTTTAATTAATGGCTGACCTTTTGTTAAGATAGAACTTCAACCTGGGCTAATAAGGATGACAAGGCAGCAGGTGCAGGAGTATGTTGGAGAGGTTAGTTTAAAGTACAGTGAGATTATGAAGTGACAGTGGACTTATGGGCTGTGGTAAAGGATACACACACACACACACACACACACACACATACATACACTCTCTCAAGGGGATAGATTAATAGAGTTCAAATTGTGGAAAACTTTGAAAGTTGGGCTGAGGATCATTAACTTTGTTTTGTGTGGAATAGACTGCTATTGTCATATATGAGCAGAAAATGTTATATACAGGTTCCTATAATCTCCACAAATCCATTCACCATTACTGCAGCCTACATAATTAGCATTTTTTTACAGTGGTGTAAATGGCAAGGAATGGTCTTACCATTACCCTTCAGTTTAAAATTTTTCTCTTAAAATGGAAGTGTTCATGTGAAATCTGCCTGAGTGATTTTGCCTAATGGAATATGCAACTCTGATTATCTGGTGTAGCCCTTAACCTCAAGTAAGACTTCAGGAAATCCCTAAAACCCATCATGACCCAGAAAAAGCCCATGTGCATTCCAATGTTCTTGGAGAAAAAGAAAAGTCCTAATTACAATATTAAATGTATCTAGACATACCCAAATATTTCAAGACTGTGAATTTTAAAAAATAATCCCCAATATTTTGCTGCCATTAAGTTTTAAAGGAAATCTTTCTTAAAAATGTAATAAGCAAAAAAATCTTCCTCTTTCTTTGTTTGATATTTTATTTCCTACATTAAATGCTTTAATTTAATATTTATTAAAAATGTTTTTAAGAATTATGACTGTATCAGTATGCCAGATGCAATAAGTTCCTAAGTAAATAGCTTATGCAAATTTTCAAAACCTGTCACGTATCTGACTTGGTCAGGCCTTGCATTTCATTTTTCCCTACATATAGTATAAAACACAGAGTTATTTTGTTATTTTTGTGTTATTTAGAATGCAATTGACTTCAAAAAGCAAAAGACCCAAAAAAATATGATAGTGCCCGCCTTATGCCAGGTGGATACTGTTCAAGACCTCCAATGGATGCCTGAAACCATGGATAGTCCTGAACTCTATACATGCAGACATATGATGAAGTTTAATTTTAACTCAGGCACAGCAAGATATTAACAACAATAACTAGTAGTAAAATGGAACAATTGTAACAATATACTCTAAATAAGTTATGTAAAGGTGGTCGCTCTATCTTTCTCAAAATATGTTACTGTATAGCACTCACCTATTTTCAGATGGCAGTTGACCATGGGTAACTAAATCAGCAGAAAGTGAAGCTGGATAAGCAGAGACTACTGTACATAAACAAAAAAAGCATAACATAACATAAACATAACAAGAAGTCCAGAAGGTAAGACAATTAAAAAATTCAATAATGTAATGACTCCACAATGTCATCATTTGACCTCTCTGCTCTGCTGTCTGAAATTAAATAGCTAATTCCTACATGGTTGCAAGAAGGCTGCAGCAATTTAAGGCATTAGTTCACTGCACAGTAATTTCTGAAGGCCAGAAGACAGTGAATATTTTGCTTTAGTCTCTTTTTAAGAGTAAAGAAAACCTCCTAGAAGCCTCTCACCAAACTTCTCTTTACATTCCAGTGGGCATAATTGCATTCCATTCACTTTCCTCCACCTAAACCAGACACTGGAAAAAAGGATTATTGTGGAATTGTTTTGATTGTTAGACTAATGTAGATCCACATCCTAAGGAGTGATCCATATCCCAATTTTGTTCCTGTATTGGAACAAAATTGGGATTTTGTGAGCAAAGATGGGGTTTTAAGGAATAAAAGGACATTCCGTACAATACAAGAGTTGAAAAGTGACAAGATATTCATCCATACATGCACATTTTAAAATCTACTGGAGTATTTGCCACAAAGATTAAGATTCTTCTATTAAAACCTGATCAATTTTGGCTCCAGAGTTAAGGATCTCAAGTTCAGACTGTTTGAAGGAATTTAACATTATATATGTTTATAAGAAATCGGGTTTTATATTAACTCCCATATTCCCAGTTTTTATAAAATCTGGTTTTCAGACAAAGTTGTCATCTGTTTCCCCAGCAGTTCAGAGATATATAATATCTCATGTAAGCCCTAAATGTCACTGAAAACAGCACTCTCACTTTCCTAGGTCCTGGTTTGAAAAGGTTTCTTGAGTCATTTAAAGCAAAAGCACAAGCAAACAAAAACTTCAGTATGGTTCCATTTGAAACAAAAATCAGTAATAATTGCTTCAGACTTTATAGATTTTAATTGTAAATTTATCTATTTCTCAAAAGAGAAACAAAAACTTTAATATTCTTGTATCATGTGGTTATATGGCAGCAACCAAATAATTAGGCAATAAAAGCAGATTTGGGGTCATAGTGACACAAAACGCAAATCTAGTGAGTGAAATGGTAGTCTGCGGCCACTGATATCTGGTAGGCTTAGCAATCCAGCCTCTGTAGACCAAAGCAATCAGGCACCATTTTTGTAAAGTTCCATCTGCTTTTCATAAGAGTTCCTCATGCTATGCAACTGATATTTAAAGATTTTTCCTCTCCAGACTAATTTAGTATCATTTTAAATATTAGAATCTACTGAATGCTAATACATGTTTCTGATTACTTTTTAGGCATGGATCCACCTTACTGGACCCAAAGCATAATTAATTACAAAAAAATCTTTAGGTATCATCATATAGAATCTAGTAAGTAAAATGTTCACAGTAGTCAGAATTCATTAAAAATTTCTCCAGAAAAATACAGGGATACATACTTATACTTACAATGTGCTATCTATGAACAGATCATGCAGTTCCTAAATATTTAGTCACTTTATTTTTACAATAATTTTCTGAGGTGTGAACTACTATTCTTTTTCTTAAAATACTATTTTTAATCAACACATAATAATTGTACATAATTATAGGGCACAGTGTGATATTTTGATACATGTGTACAATATGTGATAATCAAATGAAGGTCATTAGAAAATCCATCACCTCAAACATTTATCACTTCTTTGTGTTGGGAGCATTCAAAATCTTGGCTTCTAGCTATTTGAAAATATACAATAAATTGTTATTAACTATAATCACTCACGGTGCTATAGAACACTAGAACTTATTCCCCCTATTTAGCTATAATCATGTATCTTTTAACCAACCTCTCCTTATATCTCCTTTAACCCTACCCTTCCTAGCCTCTAGTAACCACTTGTCTCTCTACTTATATGAGATCAACTTTTTAAACTACCACATATAAGTGAGAACATACAGTATTTATTTTTCTGTGCCAGAGTTATTTCACTTAATGTGCTCCAGGATCATTGATGTTGCTGCAAATAACTGGATTTCATTCTATTTTATGGCTAAGTAGTATTCCATTGTGTACATATACCGAATTTTATTTTTCTATTCGTCTGCTGATGGACACATAGGTTGATCCCATATCTTAGCTATTGTAAATAGTCCTGCAATAAACGTGGAAGTACAGTTGTCTCTTTAACACACTGATTTTCTTTTTTAAGATATATATCAAATATTGGGATTCGTGGATCAAATGATAGTTCTAATTTTAGGTTTTTGAGGAACCATCATACTGTTTTCTGTGATGGCTACACTAATTTGCATTCTCATCAACAGTGTATGAGTTCCCCTTTCTCTGCTTCCTTGACAGCATTTGTTATTTTTTTTTGTCTTTTTGATAATAGCCATTCTAACCAGAGTGAGATGATATCTCCTTGTTGTTTTGGTTTGCATTTCTCTGACAATTAGTGATGCTGAGTATTTTTTAATATGCTTATTGGTCATTTGTATATCTTCTTTTAAGAAATGTCTATTCAATCGTGCTATGGTTGATGTTTGTCGTCAGCAAAACTCAGGTTGGAATTTGATTTCCAATGTGACAGCATTGGAATGTGGGGCCTAATGGGAGGTTTTTGAGTTATAGGAGTGAATACCTCATGAATGGCTTGTGATATTCTTGTGGGAGTGAGTGAATTCTCTCTCGCGCTCACTCTCTCTCAATTCAATTCATTCTCTTGGGAATGTTTCTATGAGAGTTGGTTGTAATAAAGTCAAAATGCCCCTTGGGTTTTTTTTCTTCATAAGTGTCTGTTTCCCCTTTGATCTTCTCTACCGTATTATGACACAGCATGAAAGCCCTCTCTAGAAGCCAAGGACATGCCTTTGAATTTCCCAGCCAGTAGAACCATGAGCTAAATAAACCTCTTTTCTTTATAAATTACCTAGTCTCAAGTATTCTTTATAGCAACACAAAATATACTAAGATAATTTTCCCATTTTTTAATTGGATTGTTTTTATGTTTGTTTGTTTGTTGCTGCTGAGTTGTTTGAGTACTTTGTATATTCTGGGTATTAATTTATTGCCAGATGAACAGGTTACAGTATTTTCTCCCATTCTGAAGGTTATCTCTTCACTCTGTTGATCGTTCTCTTTGCTATGCAGTATGATTTTGGTTTTATAAGGTCCAATTTGTCTATTTTTGATTAAGTTGCCTGTGTTTTTGAAGTCTTTTCTATAAAATATTTGCCCAGACCAATATCCTGAAGCATTTCCTCTATGTTTTTTTGTCTAGTCATTTCATAGTTTCTGGTATTACCTTTAAGTCTGTATCCATTTTGGGTTGATTTTTGTATATGGTGAGACATGGGGGCTCTAGTTTCATTCTTCTGCATTTGGATATCCAGTTTTCCCAGCATTAGTTATTGAAGAAACGGTCCTTTCCTCAATTAATGCTCTTAGTACATTTGTCAAAAATTAGTTGGCTGTAAATATGTGATTTATTTCTGAGTTATCTATTCCATTACATTGGTCTATGTGTCTGATTTTATGCCAACACCATTCAGTTTTGGTTACTACAGCTTTGTAGTATATTTTAAGGTCAGGTAGAGTGATGTGTCCAGCTCTGCTCTTTTTCTCAGAATGGCTTTGACTATTTGAGTCTTTCGTGGTTCTATGCAGATTTTAAGATTGTTTTTTCTATTTCTGTGAAAAACGTTATTGGTATATTATTAGGGATTGCCTTGAATCTGTAGATCTCTTTGGGTAGTATGTTCATTTTAACAGTATTATTCCTTCCAATTTATGAACCATAGAATATCTTTCTATTTGCGGGGCTTGGGTTGTTCTTGCTTTTATACTCCCCTCTTAGCACTGCTTTTGCTGTATTCCATAGGTTTTGGTATGTCATGTTATATTTCCATTTGTTTCAATACATTTTTGTATTTCCTTCCTAGTTTCTTTGTCATTCAGGACTGTGTTGTCTAAATTCCATTATTTATATAATTTAAAAATTCCTTTTATATTAATTTCTAGTTTTAGAATATTCTAACTGTGAAGGATACTTGATATGGTTTGAATTTTTGAAAATTTGTTGAGATTTGTTTTGTGGCTTAACATGCAGTCAATCCTGCAGAATATTTCATGTGCTGATAAAAATAATCTATATCTGCAGCTGTTGGATCAAATGTTCTTTAAAGTCTGTTAAATCCATTTTTTCTATGGTGCAGTTTAAACTAATGTATCTTTATTCAGTTTCTGGCTAGATGATCTGTCCAAAGCTTAAAGTAGGATGTCGAAGTCCCCACCTAAAGTTGTATAGAAATCTCTCTCTCCCTTTAGATCTAATGACATTTGCTTTATTTATCTGGTGTTCCATTGCCGAGTGCATATATATTTACAATTGTCATATCCTCTTGCTTAATTGATTCCTTTATCATTATATAATGATCTTATTTGTCAGTTTTTACAGTTTTGACTTAAAGTTTGCTTTATCTGATATAAGTATAGCTACTCCTGCTTGCTTTTGGTTTCTGTTTGTGTGGAATATCTTTTCTATCCCTTCACTTTCAGACTGTTTGTTTCTTTTCAGGTGAAGTGAGTTTCTTATAGACAGCATATAGTTGGGTCCTGCTTTTTTATCTAGGTGATATTTTTTACTTAGGAATTTAATCTATTTATATTCAAGTTTTAGGTTTTGTTGTTGTTTGTTGTTGACGAGAGACAGCACGTCACCTCGTTGCCCAGGCTGGAGTGCAGTGGTACAATCAATGCTCTCTGCAGCCTTGATGATCTCATCAGCTCAAGCAATTCTCCCACCTTGGCCTCCTGAGTAGCTGGGACTATAAACAAGTACCACCACATCTGGCTAATTTTTTTTGTATTTTTTGATGAGGTCTCATTATGCTGCACAGGCTGGTCTTGAAATCCTTGGCTCAGCAATCCTGTCACCTGAGCCTCCCAAAGTGTTTGATAGGAGTAAGTCCTTACCTATCAAATAAAATCTTGAATCTGGCTCATAGCCACAATGTCTGGCCACATTCAAGTTTATTTTTGATAGGTGAGGACTTACTCCTATCATATCTGGTTGTGTTATATATCCTTTGTTTCTTTCTTCCTTTTTTATTGTTTATCGTTGTGGTTTGGAGGTTTTCGGTAGTGACAGTGCACAATTCCTTTCTCTTTTTCATTTGTGCATCTGCTCTACCATTGAATTTTATAGTTTTTGTGTGTTTTCATGGTGGTAGTTACAGTCCTTTTTCTTCAATATGTAAGACTCCCTTAAGCATTTCTTGTCAGGCAAATCTATTGGTGATAAATATCTTCAATTTTTGCTGATCTGGGAAAGATTTTATTTCTCCTTCATTTTTGAAAGATAGCTTGGCTGGGTATGGTATCCTTGCCTAGCAGGTTTTTTCCTTTTATCATTTTGAATATATCATCCCAATTATTGGCCTGTAAATTTTCTGCTGTGAAATCTGCTCTAAGTTGAAAGGGGATTCCCCTATATGTGACTGGACACTTTTCTCTTCCTATTGTGCACATTTCTCTTTGTCTTTGACTTTTGACAATTTGACTATAATGTTCCTCAGAGGGAACATTTTTAGGTTGATTCTATTTGGGGTTCCTGGATCTGGGTATCCATATCTCTCCCAAAACATAGGGAGTTTTCAGCTATTATTTTATCAAGTAGGTTTTCTACATTTTTTTCCTGCTATTCTTCTGGAACTTTCATAATAATGCAAACATTTGTTCATTTAATGGTGTCCCACAATCCCTGTAGGCTTCTTTCTTTGGGTTTGCTAAAAATTCTTTTTTCTTTCTTTTTTTTTTTTTTTTTTTTTTTGAGATGGAGTTTCACTATTGTTGCCCAGGCTGGAGTGCAATGGCATGATCTCAGCTCACTGCAACCTCTGCCTCCTGGGTTCAAGCAATTCTCCTGCCTCAGCCTCCCAAGTAGCTGGGATTAAAGGCTTTTACCACCATGTCCGGCCAATTTTGTATTTTTAGTAGAGACAGGGTTTCTCCATGTTGGTCAGGCTGGTCTCAAACTCCTGACCTCAGGTCATCCGCCTGCCTTGGCCTCCCAAAGTGCTGGGATTATAGGCATGAGCCACCGTGCCCAGCCTGCCTGAGTTATTTTAAAAGACCTCTCTTCAAATTCAGAAATTCTTTTTTCCACTTGAGGCTCTTGACTTTATTTTTCATTTCATTTATTGAATTCTTCAGCTCCATGATTTCTGGAGTTTTTTTAATGATACGTCATTCAGATCATGAATTGCTTTACTAATTTTGTTGAATTATCTATATCTATTGTATTGTATCTTACTGAGTTTCCTTAATATCATTATTTTGAATTCCTTTTTGTCATTTTGTAAATTTCCTTTGGGGGTGTTACTAACTCTGTTACTAAAGAATTGTTGTGTTCTGTTACTAAATAATTATTGTTTCTTGCTTTTTCATGTCTCTTGTGCCCCTACATTGATATCTGTGCATGTGGTGGAACACTCACCTCTTCCAGTTTTATGGAGTAGCTTTCATAGAGAAAGACTTATTCCTGTAGATGTGTCCTGTGATCTAGTCGGGTAGGGTGGATTGGCTATGTTTCTAGATGCACATAGTAATATGCTCTGTGTAGTTTCTGCAGCTCTAAACTATACTAGCTATATTTATGAGTGCCTCAGTGGCCAAGGCTTTGGGAGTTTGGGCAATGGTGACACATCTTTGCCAGGGGTGGGCTTGTCATGCTGATTCTCAGGCCAGTGATACATACATGCATATGGTGAGTCTTTGGAGACTGGCTTACAGAGTGAGGCCACTAGGCTCTTTCTGTGGCTTGGGGCATGGGCACATAGCTATTTGGCTACTTATGAGTGGGTCTGCTGGGGCATCTCTATTGACCTGTTTCTCTGGCCATGGATGTGGTCTCATAGTGGATTGGCAGACTGGGAATTCACAAAAATGTTATTCATAACAGCTAGAAACTAGAAATAATTCAAATATCTATTGTCATAAAAATGAAAAAAATTTTTGTGATATATTCTTATTGTGAAACATTGCTCATTAACAATAAATTATTGATACATGCAATAAGACAGATGAATCTCACAGGATTATACTGAATTAAAGAGGCCATATGCTATATTTATAAAGTCTTATTGTATGCACCTTTTGTATGGATAATAGGACACATTGGCCATAAGGGATTTGTATTTTTACATTCAGCAAAACTAACTTATAGTAAATGTCACCTAGCATTGTGTACTCAGTAACTAACTGTCCTTGAGAATGAGAATGATACAAGGACATTTTTAGACAAAGGATATAAATCTGTGTATTTAGGGAGAATTAATGAAAATTTGAAAGTTAAAGTGTGTGGCACATGCTAGCCATCATTATCAATTTCATTTTCATTATAATCTTATGTATAAATATCTTTTTTAGCAACTTCTATTCCCTAAAAGTTTATATTAATTTCATTCTTTACTCCTTAGCAAAATAAGTAACAAATCTCAAAGTTAAGAAAAATATGCAACTATAATAAGGATAAAACTTAAATTACCCAAACATCTTTCATCTAATATGTCTGACTATATTTGTATACACACTAACTGTGTAGAGCCCATCAAGTGAGAAAATATAAAATGTCTTTGGGAAGCCAATATTGATGCACAAATCTCATGTTGTTGTTACAAGAGAGCCTCTTCCATAGTCTTTTAGATCCTCTTAATCTGTTTTGTATGGTTTTTAAAAGATTGCCATTGATTTCCCAGCTAACAAGGGCTAAAGGGTGACTCATATGACAGTAGTAAAAAATGGGACAACAGCCTTGCAGTAGACAAAGGACACTAAATTTCAGCTTTATGGGACAACAAAGGCAGTGGCTTTGGGGTATCTGTGGGTGGTAGATGCATAGATATACATTGACATGTATAGGCATATGTGCATACACATATAGATAAATATAGTATTCAAAATCACAGTATTGTCCTGTATGTCCCCAGCACAGTACTTGGATTATAGTAGGGGCTCAAACTTTTGTTACATAAAAAGAACAAGCAACAGAGTAGCTCCTCATTTTGAATTTTCTAAAAATTACAATTTTAAGTTCACTGCCCTTTTATATTTGTTCAAAATTTATCTGTGAAAGAAACAAATTCATGATAAATTATATGCAGGGCACAAGCCATTCACTCTTTCAGATATCCTAAAATATGTCTTTATTTTAAGCCAGTTACCTAGATTGCAATTGCTTCTTTTGCCCTTTCTCAGTACCCTTCAGCAGATAAGCAAGACTTAGACTTGCCCTCGCCTTTCCATGTACAGAAGTATGTTTATTGAGTTACCCCTTGAAATAATTCAAGAAACCTATTTAGAACAATTCTATAAAGCTCTTGCTACTGCATCTATTTTAAGAATTCCATTGAGGATGCTGTTTATCATTTCCAACAATGTTCTCTTTATGAAGACCCTCAAGAGAAATCTTTTCCCGCTCTTATACCAAGAACAGATATTCCGTACTACCCCGAGTAAATAATATTGTACTGTATAACCAACAGGGTCTCCTTTTGCATGTAAGCTTCAGAAAATTTGAGGCATAAATATAGGTTATTTGTAGGCTGCTAAAATTTTCATCATAGTCTTCTTCTTGCTTTCTGTTTTTCTCCATTTTCTTGTTTGTTTTTAAATATCTTTCATTAAGTTCCAATACATGCTCTTCAGTCATATTTTATGCATCACTGTAAAGTACAGTCCTATTCTGGAAAAGGTTGGTAATACATAAATATTTCCTTATTTTCATAATATAATTTAAAGAAATAGTTGATGGGTCCCCAGTTTGTTGTAGGAGGTGTGATACATACAATATTATTTCACCCACCAAAATTCTGCAGTAATTTAGGTTCCATATATTTTATAGCAAACAAATTGCCAGAGATGTAAAATTCACCTGTGGAACAGAACTTTATCTTCGGTGGGCAGAACTGCGAAGTCCCATGCTCTTGTCATTATATCCACCAACAGCTGTCTTTGGAATTAACTCAGATTAATTTTACATCTACATAGTAGAATTGAGGCTTATTACAGGAAGACTTTACTTATGTTTTGAAGATATTTTATATTATGGGTAATTTGACATCCACTACTCTGGTATCTTAGTCACAATGATCACACCCCCTGGTGCTTGACGGGTCTCCAAATGCCAAGTAGCATGACTAAAATCATATTTAATCTACATTTTAGTGTTCAGTATGCTTTTATGCCTATTCTTCCATATTTTCTTTAGATTTCCTTGAATAAAGTCAAGCAGGTGTTACCCCACCAGGGAGCCCATATGTCAAAAGGATGATAACTATACAATATCCAATTTAATCCATACCAACTGTCCCTGCATTACTAAGCTGCAATGAAGCAACTCATAATGAACTCACTAATGTAGTGAATTTAAAACTCTGCCACTCTTTTAATCACCAAACCTGTCATGTCTTTATTCATTTATGCCTATTCTGCAAATTAGAAATAGAAAATAGGGACTATCTCTAGTTTCATAAATGATGGCATTGCTGAACATGACTCATATTTAACACAAACGGCAGGTGGCCACCATCTGCTATTACTGTAAATCAAATTATTTTGTTTTATATATTTGCTGATCTTCCCCTATTATATGTACTTTGTGTGCAGTATTAAATCTTTGGAAATAATGTTAAACATAAAAATAAACTTATCTTTAAACACTTTCTTTAAAATATGAATATATTTTAAATTGCACCTTTTTTTTCTTTTTGTTCATAGAGTAAAACGATCAAGTCTGAAGAGTTTGTGTCATATTAAACTTAGAAACATAATCCTAAGCAAATTAATGCAGGAACAGAAAACCAAATACCGCATGTTCTCACTTATAAGTGGGAGCTAAATATTGAACAGACATGGACATAAACATGGGAACAATAGACACTGGGTATTACTGGACGAGGGGGCAAGAGAGAGAGAGGGGTGCGTTGATTGAAAAATTACCTATTGGGTACCATGCCCACCATCTGGGTCAAATATATCCATGTAACAATCCTATAAATGTACCTCCTGTATCTAAAATAAAAACTGAAATTAAAAAAAAAAACTTCAAAGCAGTAAATTGTGTATTTTAGGGAATTAACTCAAATGCTGAATTAGGTGCAAATCATTAAAAGCACAGGATAAAAATGTGCTCAGATTAAAGACCGCCTCTATATTGCAGGTCAGCTTTCCTAGGAGGCATATTCTGAGTTGCTAAGATTTGTGTTTTGATGTTTGTTGAAAAGTGCCATGAGGAAACAATGAAAGTAGGATTGGGCAAAGGGAGAAGTTAAGCTGAAATTCTTTTGCAACAGCAGCCTTAGTCAATGTCACACAGAGCTCTGAAGCTGAGATGACCCTTCAGAGATTGCCCTAAATTTAAACTTTCTAAACCTTAATGCTGAAGTGTTTGTTTATTCAGGAAAAGGATATAGATATTTATAGACTTTAGATTTGGGTAGATAAATATAAATTTAAATATTTCTGTTACAAAAGTTTGGGATGATACTAGAAGAATAAAAATATTATGTATAATTTCTCAACTAGAAGAGGAGAAATAAAGATAATAAAAAAAGAAGAAAAAATATGGCAAATATAAAGCATAAAATAAAATTAGAGGGATAAGCCTCAGTGTGTTAATAATAATATTAAATGCATATAGGTGAAAATTTCCGATTAAAAGATGGAACTTCTAAAGCCAAATAAAAAGATAAAATCCAGCTTTGGCTATTTGTAGGAGACAAATAAGGGAGAGGGAAATGTATACTTTGTAATGTACAAAATATATCTTTGTTGGGAAACATATATTTCCATATATATATTTATGTATAGATAAAGGGAGAAGGATATATATATTATATATATAATCTCATATATATATAATCCCATATATATATAATCCCATATACACACACACGCACACACACACACACACACATATATATATATATATATATATATATATATATATATGCAGGAACAGCATATATTTGCCTATAGTAATATATTATTCTATATATTTACTATATTAGGAAATATTGCCCATATATACATGCATACAATAACACCAACATAATAAATACAAAACAACTTCAGTTGAGTAACCTTTACAGGGAGATGGAGGGATCTTTCATAATACCAATAAAGGGGACAATCGATCAAGAATTTGTGGAAAACATGAAGGTACATGATTCCCAATTACATAATCTGGGACTATAAAATAAGAAAACAAACAGAAAGGCTGGGCGCAGTGGCTCATGCCTGTAATCCCAGCACTTTGGGAGGCTGAGGCAGGTGGATTGCCTGAGGTCAGGAGTTCAAGACCAGCCTGGGCAACATGGTGAAACCTTGTCTCTACTAAAAATACAAAAATTAGCTGGGCACAATGGTGTGTGCCTGTAATCTCAGCTACTCAGGAGGCTGAGGAAGGAGAATTGCTTGAGCCCAGGAGGCGGAGGTTGCAGAGAGCTGAGACTGAGCCGCTGCACTCCAGCTTGTGCAACAGAGCAAGACTCAGTCTCAAAAAAGAAAAAGAAAAGAAAAGAAACGAAGTATGGGCAAATGTATAATCAATCACAGTAACAATTTGATACTTTGCTTTTTTTTTTTGAGACTGAATCTCACTCTGTCACCCAGACTGGAGTGCAGTGGCGTGATCTTGGCAAACTACAACCTTCACCTCCCAGGTTCAAACAATTCTCGTGCCTCAGCCACCCAAGTAGCTGGGATTGGAGGTGTGCACCACATGCCTGGCTAATTTGTTGCATTTTTAGTAGAAATGGAGTTTTGTCATGTTGTCCAGGCTGGTCTCAATCTCCTGGCCTCAAGTGATCTGCCCACTTCAGCCTCTCAAAGTGCTGGGATTACAGGCCTGAGCCACCAGGCCTGGCCAACACTTTGTTTCTAAAAGAAATCATTTTAGCTAATGAGAAAACAAAAAATTAATAATACTGGAAGAGGAAAATGTTTGATCTAATAGCTATATAATGAATCTTCCACTGAACAAAGATACATTTTTTTCTATAATACATGAAACTTTTACAAAATTTGACCATGTATTAGGCTACAAGAGAATAAATTCCAAAGAATTAAGGTAATGTAGAATGCATTCTCTGATTGCTATACTATAAAACTAAAAATAAATCATAATAATATACTTATTAATGTATATGTCTGGAAATTTAAATAAAAAAAGAAAAGAAACAAAAAACCACTTAAATCATAGGCTAATGGGAAAATAAATAGACTCCTGAGAATAGATTTTCCAGATCATTGGCTATGCAAATATTTAGTTTTAATGTATAATATTAATGAAATTTTCCAAAGAAGTTATGCCTTTGCTCTCCCATCACAGCATATAAGAGTCTCATTTTCTCTGTATTCTCAATAACATTTGGTACTCTATTTTATCATTTTAGCCAATCTCATGAATCCATAAGTAGTATCAGATTGCAGTTTTAAATTGCATTTCCTTGATGACTAATGCAGTTGGGCATAGTTTATATGTTTATTATCCATATAGCTCTCCAAGTCTTATTTTAAGTTCTAGTGTTTTCTCTTTGTGTCTTCCCTCTCTCCTTTCCCCTATTTTGTTCAGTTTCGCTAGACTACATTCTGCATCTTTTCAAGCAGTGCACTTTGGTTTTATTTATTATCTCTGTCATATTCATAGTATCCTTCATCTACTTTATTTAGATACACTATCCCTTTTATAGTTTTTAAGTAACAGCTATATTGACAGATAGTTCACATACCATACAATTCACCCACTTTAATTACACAATTCATAGGCTTTTAATATATTTGGAATTGTGCAACAATCACCACAATCAATCTCAGAACATTCTTGTCACCACAAAAGCAAACCCCTTAACAGTCATTCTCCATTCCCTTCAACCTCCACCAGGCCTAGGTAACTGCCATCTACTTTCTGTCTCTATAGATTTCTGATTCTAGACTTCCATATAAATAGAATCATACAATATATGGTCCTTGAATATAGCTTCTGTCACTTGTCATATATTTTTAAGGTTAATTAATGTTGTAGCATGTATCAGTACTTCATTTCTTTTTATTGCCAAATAACATTGCATTATATGGATAAGCCACATTTTAATTATCTATTTATCAGTTAATGGTCATTTGGGTTTGTTCTACTTTTTGGTTACTATGAATAATACTGACCAGAACACATGTACAGTTTTTTATATGGACACATGTTTTCATTACTTTTGAGCTTATAGATTTTTAACTAAATGCTTAATTCATTTGCTTGCCTAAGAAATACTTCCTGTAAATTTTTATTTAGCTGCAATCTACAAATTATAATACGCAATGTATTCATTGTTGTTCACTCCCGAATAGTTTCTGTTTTAATTATCAAGTTTTCCATTTGGGCACAGGAATTGGATTTCCTACAACCTTGAAATTAGATGTGGACATGTGACTTGCTTAAGCTAATGGAATGTAAACAGAAGCCATATATACTACTTCCAGTTGGTAATTTGAGAGAAAACACATGACTCTCGATGGTTCTATTTCCCTCTGACACAGAGCTCAAAGCTATTCAAGATTGTGGTTACCTTTTTTACACAGGTCTCAGTGAGAATAATGCCAAGCACAGCTCCTCAAAATGGAAATGTAGCTTGAGTGAACAGTATCTTTTTGCTGTTTCAAGTCACTGAAATTTTGTAGTTATTTGTTACTGCACAGTAAACTAGGCTACTCTGTTGGTCACAAGGAATATATGCTTTGCAAAAGAGGAAGCAAAATCATTATCCATTCTCATCAATCAAATTATATAGCTAGAAAATCTAAATGACTCTAAACAACAAAAATAGAACTTTAAAGAATATGGTAATACAAATGTACATAAAATACATTTACAAGGAGCTACAGCTTTAATTTACTCTTTCAATAGCCACTCAAAAAAAAATAAAGCTGGAGATATACTTCCACAATAGCAATAAAATACTAAATATATTAAAATTAAAATATATTTATCAAGAGAAAAACCATGCAAATTAAGGACACAAAGCATGACCTGAAAAAATTCACGAAATGATATTTTTCATAAAAATATCAAAAATTAAGAAAAATAATATATACACACAACACTGTATTAAATAAAATTCTATATTTTAATTAGTCAAAGTTAACTTTTTATGTTTATAAATTATGTGAATCTCAAGAAAATCTTGAAAAATAATGTGACCTAACATATTGTAAAATACTTTATGAAGCTATCCTAATAAATGGATTACTAGAATAAGATCAAACAAGTAACTCATTGTAGCAGGAAATATATTATTTCATAAATGTGGCAAGTCAAATTACTGAAGAAATTTGGATTATTCCATATAGGTGTTACTGAAACATGAGGGGTTAGCTTTGGGTCCTGCTGCTTGCTGCACAGAAAGCCAATCACTGAGACAACAAGTATTGCCAAGGAAGAAGGCTTTAATTAGGTGCAGCAGCCAAGAAGATGAGAGATCAATCTCAAGTCTATCTCGCTGACAGACTAAATTAGGGGTTTATATAGCAGGGAAGAAATGTAACTATGTGTGGGAAAATAGGAACTATGGAGGGGTAAAGAAGCAATCATGATGATTGAGGAATCTGGCATCTCATTGTCTGGATGTGCTGATACAAAGAGTTTCATTATTTGATGGTTTTTGAAAGATCTGAAGGTTATTTCCTGAGGAAGGAACTCAGGTAAAACAAATGTGAGTTTCAAATTTTAAGACCAGAAGGGTCCATTTCTATGTTTATCCAAAAATATGTCTATAGGACTATTGGACTGGTTTCTTATGTTATTGAGACAGCTGGATAATTGATTTGAAGATTGGAAGAAGTTAAACCTCCACCTGATGCTGTTTTAAAAAAAAAATCCTTACACAATATAAAAGGTTAAATTCCAGATAAATTAAAGGTCCAAATTTTAAAAATAAAACTAAAAATATATTTGAATGAAATATAGGAGAATAGTTATAAAAGTTCTGAGAAGTGACCTCAAATAAAACAGAAAATCAAAATGCTATCAAGAGGGAAAAATAGAGAGCTTGACTATGTCAGTCAGAAGAAAGTATCTATAAACAACATAAAGAATGTTTAAGGCAACAGAAAGTCTATGAGAATCTTATTTTGCAAAAGATGGAAAAGGGTTGGTATTTGTACTTTACCAAGTGCTTCCACAAATTAATTTTTTTAATGAAAGGAGAATGCTCTGATAAAGAAACTAGAAATGCAAGAAAGAGAAGGAGTTGGAACAAGAGCATGAGCAGAAAAAATGAAAATATGGTTGGCCTGAGTTGTAAACAGGAAAATGTTAATAAAAATAAAGATGAGACTTCTTTTTCCACTTATCAGATTGGCAGGGGATAAAAAGTTTCACAACATCAAGTGCTTTCAGGGTGTTAGGCCCTCTAATATACTATTAGTAAGGATGCAAATTAATACAATATTTTGAAATATTGTAATTAAATGTTAACATTTAAAATTTACCTATTATTTCACTAAGCAGTTTTCCTTTTATAAGTCTATTCTCATTAGAGAGATATATGTTTAAGGGTGTTTACACAGTATAATAGTATATTCTGTTCATCTGTGAGAGAAAAAATAAATTATGCTGCAACTGCAATATTAGAATGCTGTGCAGTCATTAAAAGGAACTGTGGGGATCTGTTGGTGCTAAGTTTGAAAGATTATAAAATAATATCATATGAAACCACAAATAGCACAGTCATAAGTTTTCATTATAAATATGTGTATATGTTAGAGTATGTATAACTCATAGACATACTGTTATGCAAACTTGGGGAAACTAAAAAGCTACATTCCAAACTCTTGCAGTAATTACTCTGGTTGGGTAGCATTTAGCCTTTTGCCTACTTTTTTAAAAAAAGACCTCTTTATTGAGTTATGATTGACATATTAAAACCTGTATATAATTAATGTATACAACTTGACGAGTTTGGAGAGAACTACACACCTGTGGAGCCATCATAATAATCTGTGCCATAAAGCTAGCTATCACCTCCAAAAGTTTCCTCCTGCTCTCTTTTATACTATTATTATTTCTATGTTGGCCTTTTGCTTATTATTGTATTAAAATGTTGTGTAATTATGGGTGGTTTCCCCCTTATGTTTGTGGAGAGATGTTATTCATTTTATAATGTAAATGATGTTTGGATAGAAATGTAATATGCTAGTGGAAAAAAGGAAGCAATGGACAGTTTAGAATCACAGTCATGCACTACGTAACAGCATTTTGGTCAACAACATACTGCATAAACAATGGTGGCCCCATAAGATTATAATGAGGTTGGAAAATTCCTATTGCCTAATGATATTGTAGGCCATCCTAATGTTGTAGCACAAGGCATTACACACGTTACTGGTGATGCTTATGTAAACAAACCTACTGTATAAAAGTATAGCACATATATTTATGTATAATACAAAATTATTGATAATGATAATAAATGGCTATGTTACCAGTTTATGTATCTAATATACTATACTTTTATGATTATTTTAGAGCATAATCCTTCTACTTATATATCTTTAAAAGCTAACTATAAAACAACCTCAGGCAGGTCCTTCAGGAGGCATCCAGAAGAAGGCATTGTTACCACAGGAGATGACAGCTCCATGCAAGTTACTGCCCCTGAAGACCTTCCAGTGAGACAAGATGTGGAGGTGGAAGACAGTGATACTGATGATCCTGACACTGTGTAGGCCTAGGCTAATATGTGTTGGTGTCTTTGTTTTTAACCAAAAAAAAAGTGTAAAAAGAAAAAAAAATATTGAAATAGAAAAAAAGCTTGTAGAATAAGGATATAAATAAATAAAGTATTTTCATTTGTGTTTTAAGTTAAATGCTATTACAAAAGAGTCAAAAAGTTAAAAAAAATTAAATTAATAAAATACAAAATTTATAGTAAGCTCAGTAAGCTAAGGTTAATTTATTATTGAAGAAAAATTGTTATAAATTTAATGTAGTCTAAGTATCTAGTAATTATAAAGTCTACAGTAGAGTACAGTAAAGTCCTAGGCCTTCGCATTCAGTCACCACTCACTCACTGACACCCAGAGCAACTTCCAGTCCTGCAAGCTCCATTCAAGGTAAGTGCCCTATGCATGTGTATCACTTTTTTTTTTTTTTTTAGCATTTATACTGTATTTTACTGTATCTTTTCTATGTTTAGATATGGTTAGATACATAAATACCATTGTGTTACAATTGTCTACAATATTCAGTACAGAAATTTGCTGTATAGGTTTGTGGCCTAGGAGCAATAAGCTATACCATATAGCCTTGGTTAGTAGTAGGCTATTCCGTCTACGTTTGTGGAAGTATACTCTATGATGTTCTCAAGATATCATATAAATCACCTAAGGTTGCATTTCTCAGAACATATCCTTACCACTAAGTGATGCATGACAGTAGCAGTAACAATCGTAAAAACTGTTTGGATGATAGATCGAAAATTTACTATCAAATTCTCCAGGCCAGATGTCTTTTAGAACTCAGATTTTTTCAATTTTATAAAGGTAGCAGAGTGTGCTTACCTCAGAGGCTTAAGTGAAGTTTAAGTAGTCAAACATATCTGTATTTCTGCAGGAATAGTGTCTGACTATTCACGCTCAGTGAGATAAATAAGGATGAAAAATAGACACATCAGTTTAGTTTTGCTCCAAAAGCATTTTTTGGAAATTTATTTTGGTTTTCAGTTTTTCAGTTTTAGAATTTTGAAAAAGGAAGGAAATTTTTTCTAAATAAAAGGCAGTGTAATGACCATATTACATAAAAGAAAGAAAGAAAGACAAGACATAGTATAAGTGGAAATAACACAAAAAGGGAAGGGCAAGGAAAAAAAGGGAGGAGAGAAGAGGAAAGAGGAAAAGGAGTGGGAAAGATAAACAGTGAAGAAAAAGAAAGTGAACAGGGAGGAGAGGAAGAGGAGTTTAATACAAAGGTGAGCCCTTGTGTATGATGCTGTTATTCTTTGAAAGTAAATGGTGATCCTCAATTGAGAAGTAGCTCTCATAAATGTGGAATAATCTGGTAGAATCCTGCAAAATGCACTAGAAACACCAGAAATTAAAGGTCGGTATAACCACTAGGATGTCTGTAGTGATGTATATGTGGAATCACCAGAAACTAATCTAAGGTGGTAGCACTGAAAGTTGATAGAAAATTGTGAATTTACAGAAATTCATTATATGCTTCAAGATACTATTGTATTAAAGTAATATTGCCATGTTCCATAACAATTTTGATTTATGATGAAGCTAATAATATTTTCTGATCTTTCCATGGCTCTATTTCAATATGGCAGTTTCTCATCTTTAATTAGCCTCTGAGCTGAAGACAGCTCAGCAGAAACTTGCCCATGAGGCCTGTGGGCAACCCACACACACCTACGCATCCCAGCGGATGCCACTTACAGATGGCAAATTTCCTCCACTAATGTGATTATGTCAATCATCAGTGAATTAAGCCCAGAGATTTTTTTTCCCACAAAAACTTTTTCCTGAAGTAACTTGCTCAGGAACACACAGTAAATACAAGATCTGTTCATTGAAACTTCAGTTCTTGGCTTAGTTGACCCCTTTCACCAAGGACAACCCTTTTGTCCTAAATGGGAATATGAATGATGGGAAAAGTTCTCTAACATACCTCACTGAGTTCTAAGTGTTCTTTTTTTAAAATTGCCTTTCTCAGTATTTTATTTTGTCTTGGCATGTAATCTGACCTTTTTGACAAGATCTCTTCTGGGTCAACAATATCAAAGCAAATCAATACTATGCAGCTATCATTGTCTTGGAAATCACTGGCCAAAGATATGGAAGATTGCTGCATGTAAAGATAGGCACCTAGTATTCATAAGAGCAACTGAGCATAAAATATGAGCCACACACATAAAAGAAAGAAAATAAACAGAGTTGACACTTTAGTACAATGGCTCCAAACTCAGTTTTTGGCTCAATATTGGTTAGAGAGGGGACTTGGTATTTAAGAATGTTTTGGAAAAAGATTAGAGGCTGATTAAACAATTCAAATGGAAATGGCAATGTAGACAACACTTCATGTATTACTCATTCTTTTATAGTCTATGTATTTTCAGATTCCTAGAACATTCTGTGATTTTTTTTTCCTGCAGTGCAGAAAATCTGAAAAACCTTTACAGAATCATGGTTACAGATAAAGTTTGCATTCAACCCTACAAATATTATTTTGTTAGTTTAAGCCAATTTTTAAGAACCATATATTATATTATTTTTCTTTTGTTTCCAGTTTTGAGTAAACAAATGTATTGCATGCATAAGAGATGACTAGACAGAAGCCATTATGCTTTAGTTGTGCCTTGAGACAATTCCACCATTCAGACTCCTATCTATTTAATTCCACAGGGGGTCTTAAAAACCTATTAACCTATTCCTGCTTGACATGCTCTCTTTCAAAATCTTATAAAGAGTGAAGTAAAGAAACAAAATAACCACTTTGCTGAGAATTTAAATTGTGCTGTAATTTAGACTGAAGGCTCAAGGCCTTCTTTTCTCTTCAAGATTTTCCTATGCCTTTGTCAGGGAATGGCACCACAGTGTGCCATATTCACAGTGATGGTAACAAAGGCATCTTGAAGGTCTTTCTAAAGAGATAATTAGTATGAACTCTAGTTGCGAGTTACAAAACCAACTTGAGATTGCTTTAGTTTAAAAGAAAGTGGAAATGTGTGACAAAATAGAAGGATCTCACGAAAACTTATTACAGAAATGGCTAAAAATGTGAATGGGAAATCCATTAGACACTTTTTTTGTCTCTAGGTTTATCTAAACATTTTTGTCTTTTCCTTTCTGCAAATCTTTTTCTGGCTTCTCATTCCATGTGACAGAGGATTATCAAGTCACAATTCCCAAGTTTATGGCACCTCTCAGAGCAATACTGAGTTTGTTAGTCTGAATTCAAAATCTATTGGCCAGAATTTAACCAGCCTGGTTTGAGTCAGGTATCTGCCCATCATTCAATCAACTACGGTCAGAGAGGGATTAATATCAGAAACTCACCACTAACGATGGAAAGTGAGGGAGAAGAGGCCCACTTAGAACATCTTTCAATATGTACTCTAGGATGTGTCGACTAAAGCATCTTCCTAGAACTTCCATAGGCAAACACACCCTCCTTCCTGTACATGTAATTTGGATGTCTTTACCTAATGTTGTAGGCAGACTTCTAAGATAGATCTCAATGATCCCCATCTCCTGCTGTTCATGACCTTGTATAATCTGTCTCTTTGAGTGTAAGCTGAATTTAGTAATTGTTTCTAACCCATAGACTACAACAAAGGTGATGGAATGATGTTTCCATAATTAGATTACAAAAGATTATGACTTTCATCTTGCCAAGAGATTCTCTCTACTATTTTCTTGGTTTGCATGTTTCGATATAGCAAGTTGCCATATTATTAGCGAGGCCCAGATTCATAACCCACAAAAGTATGTGGTAAGAAATGTGTATTAAGTTGCTAAGTTTTGGGGCAACTTGTTATGCAGCAATAGATAACTAATGTAGAAATTAATGTAGATAACATGATTTACCATTTTCATATACTACTATAACTGTGCTCATCCTCAACTTTGTAAGGCAATTATCTAAAGTCATGAGATGATTCATCCAAAAGAAATATCTTTAAGCCCCTTTGCTACCAGCTTATAATTTCTGGGTGACATCTATTCTTCCTCTTATTTGATTTTTACTTAGTCCAAGGTGACTTCTCTCTAAATAATAACTCATTTAACAAATATGTATTGAGAACCTATTACTTGCCAAGCATTATTCTAAGCATCTGGGGTATATATTAGTGGATTAAAAAAAACGACAAAGATCTTTGCCATTATGGACTTACATTCTGGCATAGGGAAATGGAGAAAAAAAAGAGACATAATAAATATGCATTTCATTAAGTCCTAGATGAATTTTTCACATTTTAACATCTATAGAACCTAGGTTTATCTAAACATTGATGGAATATCATGGTTTCATAGGCAGTTTTTTTTCTTCCTTAGTTGTACATAAAATAAAAATGGCTTAAAATTGTTGATTCTTAAATCTGATAAAATACTACAAATAAATTATATAGTATATTAAAGATATTAATGGTACCAAAAAAAGTTGAGTAAGGTAAGGGGATGAAGGCTGAAGACAGACAGAAGGGGCAACTGGTAGTGGTAGTTTGGGTCTTTTTAAATAAATCTTACCCTGACTTTTTAAAAAACTGACATGTGAGCAAAGCCTTGAAGATGTGCAGGAGGTAGACAAGCAGATACCTGGGGAAGATAATTCAGCCAGTTAGAGCAGCTAGGGGAAAGGCACTCAGGCAAAAACCCACGTGACATTTTCGAGACAACAGCAAACTCAGCACTGTAGCTGGAGAATATTGAAGAAGAAGGAGAGAAAGGGAAGAAGGCAGAGAAGTAATGGGAAGCCAATTACGTGGGACCTGATAGGTAGATGTAAGGACTTTGGATATAGCCAGAAAAGCCACTAAGGGATTTGAGAAGAAGAGGAGGAAGAAAATCTGACTTAAATTTTTAAAGAAGCATTGTGGCCATTGTGTTGTGATTAGGCTAGACTCGAGCAAGAGATCTGCTGTTATTTTACGATTTGCATTGAAAACTAAAAATATTGTAAAATGAGTTCCTCTTTCTTTTGGTTATCTCACGCCGATGTTGGTTGGAAATTTTAAGTTATGTTTCCTATTCATGGTTGATGTAACTACACCTACGTTTTTACTTTGATTATATATGGTTTACTGAAAATGAATTAAAGATATTGAGCTTTTATGTTTTTATTATTTTACTGAAGACTTACTGGGTGTGAAAGTTAAAACCCCATATGTTTTCTTTCCTGAGCATATTTTATTGTGAATAAAAGAATTATGTAACATATTTATGTAACATGAATTGCATATTGTAACCAGCTTCTCTTTGGTTGCACACTATCTGTACATAGTATTATTCATCAATTGTTCTATATGAAAGTATACAATTTAATGAGTTCATTCTTCTTAGAGTCTGATCTTCATTTCTGCTCCCACACTTCTCATGATTCTTACAATTGAACTCAGGGTTTTTATCACCATTTATATGCTAAGCACTCATCAAACAATCTCCTAAATCCAGATTCACATTTCAAGTTCCCACTAAGGATCTCCACCAGCAAGTTTCACATGAACCACAAACACACTTCATTTAGAACTAAATTTAGCACCTTCCACTCCCAATTAGGACATCAATTATCCTTCCGTAGACAAACTTAAGTGCTCTCTCAAAGAGATCTGAACTTGATTCCCAGCTCTCCCTCATACTTATTTAAAAAAACAAAACAAACAAATTATTGGCCTGATTCCTCATCTGCAAAACAGGGATAAAATAGCAACTTTATAGAGATTTTCTGAAAGCAACTTTCATTGTGCTTTGCAACTAGTAAGAGCTCAACAAATAGTTGCTATAATAATTATTAATTATATTTTAAATAAAAGTAGATTTGAAGCAGTTGCCTTTGTATTGTAGAATTTTTTTAACTTTATAAAATACTTGTATCACATTTTTAGTCAAAATTTAAAATAATCTTTCAGAAGTTCCAATTAAATATTACTTGCCTCCATTTTTATTAAAATTAATTCTTAATCATAGCAAAAAGAATAGTTAACTAGTAAAATACTTGCTTCCTTAAATAATTGTTACATTAAGCATTCTGCTTTTAATTTTTATCACAATAATTTTCTCTTCTGCAAATATAACTATTAACATATGTTAAAAATGGTCAGCCACTTGATAAAATATTAAATAGTAAGTATCTATCACAGTCTCTGCTATCCTCTGTGGATACTATTGAATATATTGGTATTTTCTATCCTTCAAGATTTTCTCTGGTATTACTTTGGGCACTGGAGGTGACATAGGGAATAGTAGTCCTCATATTTGTGGTACATTTAGCTAAGGAAACAGAGAATACCATCCAGGGGGTCAGTATAGTGTAGTGGCTAAAAGTTTACACTACTGAGTAACCCTAGGTTAAACATCATGGCTTTACCATTTACCAACAGGGCGACCCCGGGCAAGTTAATCAACCCCTGTGCCTGTGATGACATCACCTAATGATAAAACTGCAGTGAATAGTAAATGAAATAACACTCTTAAAATCCTTAGAACAGTGCCTTCATAAACAGTCAACAAACGTTAAATAGAGAGAAACACAGAGAACACTTACCCAATAAATACTGTGATTTAAAATATATATACATGGTATTCTGATGTGTTCGTCTCAGTGTTTATCAAAATTGCTTCATTATCCTTTTTCAACAATACCTTAAACATGCCAAGTAAACGGTGTTCCTCAGATTAAAAATGTAAAAGTTGCTGTGTAAAAAATGACATTTGGAGTCCAGAAAGACTGGATAACAAATCTTAGAATGACTACTTATACTTGGACCTCTTGGCAAGTTGAACTTTTCTTCTTATCTGTTGAAACTTATTAAATAAAATAATCCACAAAACTGATGTAAATTTTAAATGATAAAATATGTACAACTTCTTGGCACACAGCTTGCTACATAGTATCTATTAATCAATGTTCTTTTCCTTCCATCTTTCCATCCTTCATTCACTCTTCATGAGGTATTCAAGGAGTAATGATAACCACCTTGCCAGAATGGAGTGAAAGGGATTCAAACATTTAATAAATTAGACTACCTTCCAGGGTCCCTTCCAACTCCAACATACTGTGAACCTATGCTTCTAATTCCAGAAGTAAGTAGGTGGAAGAGTGATCCACAGGCCCCCACACCAGATGCTAGCCAGTGCTAGAGATCTTATGCAAACTTAGCTTACGGTAAAACAAACTTGATGGCAGAAGATTTTGATAACCACTAATTGGTATCTTGCTGATCACATCTTGTACTCCAGTAGTCCTTAGGGGAGAGAGATTGAGGATCTTCCTGCTTCTTGCCCTGAGGATAATCATGGTTAGATGCCAAGAACATTTTATTGACCAAAGTACTACAGGTATAACGAAGCCTGCGTGAAGACAATTGTTTCTTTCTGGCTCTCTGAATGCTCTCCTCTCCAGCAGGGTAGCACTCCAGTGCCTTACAAAGAGGTCACACTTGAGAAGAGTCCTAGCATCTGTCCCAGCTCCTTTGCACTTCTTTGCGGTTCTTTCTTGCTACCAGTTTTTTTTTTTTTCTTTCTAGGCCAGCTTTTTCTCACAGTTGGAATGTGAAGAGTTGAGATTCAGAGTGAGCTTAAAAGAAATACAAAGTACTCCACTTGAAAAAATTTGGTTTTAGGTAAAAAGCACCTCTACCAAAGCAAAAAGGGGTTTCCACATGGTCCAGACTAGCTTTTGGGAAACTTAATTGGGACTTAAGGTAATGTCCCATCTAACAAAGAAGCATTGTGTTATTCTTGTCTTCTTTTTTGTGTGTGTACATATAGTTTGAGACTGAACAATGTGGTATGTGGCTAGTCAAGGATAGAAACCTGATATTCTGTTATTCTGTAACTGAGGCCCTGTGTTCCTCTCTCTCTAGATTTTCAATATACTTCTACTGAGGAAAAGACATTTCAGGAGTTATGTAACCTTCTCCACTAATGATGATATTGAGAATTTTGCTGTCTTGCTTCCTCAATTCAGGAAATTGAAATCTGAAATATGACAATGGAGGAAATAATAATCGAATTTCAGAGTTCTTTGGTTTCATTCTACTGCTAGATTTGCATTCTTCTGAACCTGTTTGGATGTCAGCTCTGCGGTGAGATATCCGTCTAACACAAGGCTTTAGAGAACAGATGCAAAAGAGATTAAATTTTGCCTTAAAACAACTTTCCATTTGCATTTGGTGATTGAACAGGGGAGGATTAAACTGTGGTATCAGCCTGTGTAATACCCATTCAGTTTCTCTTGAGATTTCCATTTGTTCTCTCTAGTGCAGTACTATCTTTACTGCTTCAATAAATGATTTATCTCATTGTCTATTAGGGTGAATCCTGTTTGGAGCACACTATAATACATTTGCCAATGATGATAATGCTTAAATAATGCAAACACTAGCTTTTATCTTTACAAAGCCCAACAATGAACTGATTAATTTCAGAATTGTGTTATGTGGATTCTCACTATTCTATATATGTACAGATTTATTTTGATAAGTCATGGTCCACATATTCTCCGAAAACTTAGTGGAAGTATTTTAGTTATCCAAATTCCTATATAGAAAACTGGAATAGGAATAACATAAAATAGGCTCTATGACTGATCATTATGTTATAACCAAAGCCCTGAAAACTTCAATTGAAGTATAGGAGTAATTGAAGGTGAACAAGTAAATGTGCCCCATGAATAATACCATTTATTGAAATAAATGTAAATAGAGTTTATGATTATAGTAAAATTATACTACAACTAAGTTGATAGTGTACATGTTAAATAATCCAGTATCCTCATTCTGCTTTTAGCAGGCCAACCTTGAAATTGTCACTTATTACTATTGACCCTCGTTTTCTTTATCTGTAAACTGAGTAAGTGGCTTAGTTGATCCACAAGGTCCCTTTTAGATCTAGAAGCATGATTCTCAACACACATGATCTATTCTAATTAGATACAAAGTATAAAAGTTATTATAAATATCTATATTTAGTATTACTTTTGTATAACTATTCTAGATTAAAGTTTTTTTCTAGCATCTGCAATTACTTTGAACATTAGTAATTAATCATCATTACCATCCTCACATTGACATTCTCTCATGGTAAAATGCAAAAGCCTAAGCCATAGTGAAATACCTCCAACTCCTGCCAATTTGCCCACTGACTCACCCCTCCTAGGCAGTTGTATGTGCTGTTTCACTCTTCAGGATCCTCCTGACCATGCCCCTCAATTCTCTGCCCCCTTTTCTTGCTAGCTTTAACTGATGTTCCATGACTCATATCAAGTCAGCTCCCATAGCTCTCTGAATTTATTCCTATCATTGTATAAGACATTTTAAATACCTACTTATGTGCCTGTCTTCCATTATACTGTCAATTTCATGGGGGTGGGACCAAATTTTCTTTTTTGTCCTTATAACTGCCAGTGTCAGCACAGTACCTGAAGCAAGGTCCTACTGATTAAATGCTGCTAGTTGTCTGGCACAGAAAAATGAGAAAACAAATAGTGAGTAGGTGCATATAAGAGTATACGGATTTAAAGAGACAACAGAAAGGCAAGGCCCAGTCAAAATACTCTGAGACTAGACGCTAAGATATATTCCTGTGTATCCATCAGCTCCTGGGAAAGGGGCTGTAAACAGTTACATCTGAGGTTTATCATTCCCTGAGAAGTAGTTTCTGGGTCAGGAGTAGGGAAAGGCTCAGAGAACATTACTCGCTCCTGTACAGTTTTCTAAGAAACCAAGGCAAAAATGGCCGGGCGCGGTGGCTCACGCCTGAAATCCCAGCACTTTGGGAGGCCGAGATGGGTGGATCACCTGAGGTCAGGAGTTTAAGACCAGCCTGACCAATATGGTGATGCCCTGTCTCTACTAAAAATACAAAAAAATTAGCCAGGTGTGGTGGCATGTGCCTGTAATCCCAGCAACTCAGGAGGCTGAGACAGAAGAATTGCTTGAACCCAGGAGGCGAGGTTGCAGAGAGC
The DNA here is from genome assembly GCF_000001405.40 of Homo sapiens. Taxonomy (NCBI): domain Eukaryota; kingdom Metazoa; phylum Chordata; class Mammalia; order Primates; family Hominidae; genus Homo; species Homo sapiens. The sequence continues at coordinate 101,694,610 of NC_000004.12, read as the reverse complement.
AGAGGTCGCACCATTGCACACCAGCCTGGGCAACAGAGCGGGACTTTGTCTCAAAAAAATAAATAAAAAAAGAAACCAAGGCAAAAACAATTAGAGGGTGGATTTTTCCACAAACTACCCAAATACTTAGATGTTTGAGTTTCGGAGAAAAGGGAAAGCAGGAGAAAGGAAGAAATATTCACTTGAGTGGTTCCAGTTTGCTAGCTTCTGAAAAATATTTTTAGAAGTATTATCTTTTTTAAATGGAGATAAACTATTTCCTCATCATCTCACTGATAAACAGATGTGAAAGTATCAGTGACAAAGCAGCTAGGGAAGTGAAATTTTTCTGGTACTGAAAAGTAAACATTTAAATTAAGGCGAATACCTTGGGGGTAATTGTATTGTATGGTGGGAAGGTATGACAATCAAAGTGTAATGTTCTTGTTTTATTAGGGGGAATGGATTGGCAGAAGGTAGTCAGAAAAGGGTGGGTGGGTATGCCACAGATGAGTCAAAGCAGGAAGAAAATAGATAAATATCGACTCCTTCACAGTTTTAACAAGGACCTGCTGGTTTATCTAAATAGTCATCTGTGCAAAAACAAATAGACGCTGTGAGCAAAAATATCTCCCCTGCCTGACTATTCATGCAAGCCTATTAACAGGAATAATAAAGGGAGGGAGGTGTGATGAGGATGGCAGGATGGGACTTCCGCTTTGCAAGTAGCCACTTGCCCGTGGTGAACAGCTACTCGTGTTTAGTGATAACTGAAGAAGGCTGATCTCATTTGTTTTTAATCCTGCCTGCCTCTGGCTATTTGAGGCAGATACATTAAAAATCTGGGCTGCTAAAGGCTGAAAATAGTGATTTGTTTCATGAGAAGACACCGCACTCAATAACTATCCTTTTCACGTGTGTTTGATATATCTTCTTAGATGTATCAAGTATTCTCCTAAGGATTTGACAGAAATAGCATTGTTACCATCTGGTCAGTTAACTGAACTAATTTAAAACTAAGCATGGTAAATTTTAAATTAATGAGTGTAGTATATAAATATAAATATGCAAATATATAATTACATAGCATTTTCATAATCATTTAACATTTCCTAAAATTTAGTAACAGGAAGCATGTATTTATGGGGAAAACTGTTCTGCTCTTATGCCAAAGAATGGGTTACCTTTATGGAGTATAGTTTTTTGAGACAGACCATATTGTAAAATAAAACATAAATAATATTGCAAAACTTAAATCCTTACAGGCTCATTCAGTAATCCAGTGTTAAATATGGGTTCCCCAGCTCCTATTTTAGGAATCTCACCAGCGACTGTCTCAGTTTACCACTGGTATTTCATAAACAATGTGTATATTTAAAGTTGGTGCTCAGGGAAGTTATTATTTTCCTCAGCTTCTTCTTGGAACTGAGGCCCAATTTTCTGAATTACAGAGAGAAAAAAAATAATAGAGAGACAAAGAAATTTGGCTGTGATTCTTTTAAATCTATCTCATAGTGGACTCTATGTGCTAAATAAAACTGATATACAGTAAAAGTAGTTTCCTTGGCAACGATAGCTACCAAATTAATTTTCAAACTTGGAAAACTCCGTGCTTTTTACACTGTAGTTATCAGTAGTACCAGTAACACAATCAAGAATAAAACAATGAAGGAAATAAAGGAAGATTCAAGCCCCTAAATGTGGACAGTTTGGTTAAGGTAGAACAAACTGGGAGTAGAATAACAGGTCATATGTTACAAAAAAAGTTAAAATGGGGAAGAAATTAGTCATTTTGTTTGGTTCAAGGGAATAGGGCCAGATATGAAATTCAGAAAAGAAAATATAGACTGTCAGGAGAAATATCTCAAAGAGACAAAAAATGAGTTAGTAGTTAGGTTACTAACTCCAGAATACTCTTGAACAGAAGTCAGGCAAAATTCCATCCTCCAGGACAATGGAAAAGTGATTCATTACAAAACTTTAGAGGCAATATTAGACCAAGCCATACTATTCCCAAAAACGTTTGAAGATTTACTTTCTTCCAGCTTCAAACTGTTATAATTTCTTGGCTCATATGATTTGTAATTTTTTTATAGAAAAGATTTAAAAATGCAACTGTAATATAATTTATAGGCTCTCTCTAAAAGGAAAGCAAATAAGGAACTGAGTTATCATTCTTAAAAACAAAATAAATAGGCTGGTGAAGACTTTTAAAAGTATATTTTCTGTGTTTATTAAAGTGGTAAAGAGCTTAATTACCGTTAATAGGAGTTGCTCCGAGTTAGAGTTTAACAGGGCTCTAGCACCCTGTTTGGAAACACAGCTGGGCCAGATGTGGCTTAAAGCAGAAATTGCAGGTTAAGCATCTCCATAAATCCTTAAGTACCTCTGAGAATGTCTCAGGAGTCACAGGGCCACTTACTCCAGTTAAGAGTGTCTTCATTATACTAAATTCCTGATTACACTATAGACATAGAGAGTCCCAAGGCAGGTCTCTATATACTCGCAGGGAAGAGGGATAATCTGTTTCTATGCAACTTTAGTTCAATAGTCTCTAACTTTCCAATAAATATAGAAATACAATTGCAGATAACAGGAACTATCACCTACAGATTGTTACAATAATAGCTTTTGTGTTTCAAGTGCCTGCAGTATATTTTCTTCAATCTTCCTAACAATGCTATTTGCCCAAATCTGTCAATCAGAAAACTGACTGCAGCTCAGGAAAGTTCCTCTCTCTTTCTCTCTTGTTTGTGTTGTCTAAGCTTAAACAGTGAGAGACTAAACCAGGACTCAAACTCAGCTACACATATCTCTAGTCCTCTACTTCTAAATTTTATTCCCTGTATTAAAGGCCTTTTGCAATCTGATCTCAACGTTTTTTATTCTTTCTTTTCTTATTGATTGATTAAATATGATGGAGAGTCATTAATGATATCCAGTTTTTGTCCTGGGCAACTGGCAAATGTTTCCATTCACTGAGATGGGAAAAATAGAGAAATAGTGATTACATGAATGATTCTGGAACTCAGTGAAGTTACCATCTGGAGGTAAAGGGTTGAGAATAACTAACAAGTAGATAATAGTAGAAATGGTGAAAGAAGAAGATATTTCTTCTACGGCCTTTGGCCCAGGAAGAGCTCCAAAACACATTAAATTTCCAAGGAATGGTAAAGGAAGAAGAGCTATAAGGGAAACACAGGAAGTGTCCAGATAAGAAGAATGAAAATCCAAAAATAAACTTGCTCCAGAAATAAGGAAAAAGAGCATTTCCAAAGAAGGAAAAAGTAAAAAATTAAAACACACAACAACATGATAGTAATAAGAATAGTAGCAACAGGCTGAGTGCCATGGCTCATGGCTATAATCCCAGTATTTTGAGCAGTTGAGGCAGGAGGATTGGTTGAGCCCAGGAGTTCTAGAACAACCTAGGAAACACAGTGATACCCCATCTCTATAAAAACATAAAAAAAATTTAGTTGGGCGTGGTGATGCACGCCTGTAGTCCAAACTCCTCTGGAGGCTGAGGTGGGAGGATCACTTGAGCCCTAGAGTTCAAGGTTGCAGTAAGCTATGATCACACCACTACACTCCAGCCTGGGTGACAGAGCGAGACTATTTCAATTGACAGAGTGTCCTTTGAAAACTAAGTGCATACTATTGGAAGCTCACACAGACCCTGTGAATTCAGTTCTATTATTATCTCCATGATAAGATGAGAATAATGGTAACTAACTCATAGAATTATTGTTAGTTTCTATTGCAAATGCAACCATTCCTGTAAGAATGCTTCCAGTAGACTGGGGTAGAAGCCAGGTTGCAGCAAACCAAGAAGTATAACAGAGGAGAGGAGTTGGTTAAGGCAGAAAGTAGAAGTATTCAGGGTAGTTTTAGGATTCAGGAACATCGGTTCACTGCAAAAGAGGGACTTAGGAAGGGAAAGACTTGGAGGAGAAAGGAAAGCAGGTTGGGTCGAACCAGGAAGGAGAACTGCAGAAGACAAAGGGCCTGAGAGAGGGGCAGTGATGGACAAATAAGGGTGCCCAAAGGATAAAGATGTGAGATAAAGTGTTTTAAGAACAACAGCCGGTTATCAAAAACATTAGTTTCAAGTTGGAATGAGGGTTGAGGACCACCCTGGATCACTTTACCTTTAGAGAAAGTCCCAGAACTGATAAGCCAGTCAGGATGGGATCAGCTCACTTCATCTGCAGGACTCTCCTCACTTATTGGAAAAAGTACATGAATGAATTATGTTTACCTTCATTGTATTTCTGGACCAGAAGTGCAGTGTTGTGAATTAAAACATGTCACACACTTAGGTCTCCAGTTTCTTGTCTTCAAAAAAATAGATAGAACCTTGCAACCTGCAGGCAGAAATAACTTTTACTATTGTTGTTTAGATGCTATCCAGGGGTCCACTGGCTCCCTATGGCCTGGTTAAACTTAGCTTGCCTTCTAATTAGTTGGTCTTCCTTCCATGGAAAGGTCAAGAGCTTGGCTTGTGATTTTTGTGAGTTCTCAGCCACTAACTTCCTCATGGTTCTAACTCATGTTTTCGGGTGGGTGGGGACATGATGCCTCAGATCACCAATATTAGACTAAGTGCAAGATCTATGTCTTAACCCCCAAAACTTCAAGCATTTTGTGAACTTAGTAACCCGATTCAGCAAGCAAGGGAAGGACCAAAGGCATCATGTAGAAGTTCCCCATTTTCTTATCTTACTAGCTGCACTCCCACATTTCACAAGTTTTCTCTTCTTTTTTCTAGTATAACAAGCAAAGCATTCACCTGGACTCAAGCAAAAGAGTTTAGCTCACATTAAAAGCCTAGCAGTTCAGCTTCCACCCCGAGACAGGCTTAGTAAAGCATCTTCTCAATGATGTTGTGGTTTCAACAATATTCTCTCACACTTTCCACTGGTAAAATATTTTTTCTCCATCTTCACAAGTAAGATGTTAACCATCAAATACTTAGAAGATCAAATTGTATTCAAATACAATTCTATCTTTAGAAATTCTAGATCTCCTCACATTCTCCATGAATCTGAATAATCTTTACCAATATTAACCACATCCACCCTCACAAAGGACTTACCTTCTGCACCTAATACTATTCTTCCTCTATTTCTAGGATGAGCCTGTCTTAACACCTTGACAAAGTCCATTCAACAGACTAGTTGACTGAATCAGCTCTCAGTTGCCAAATAGGAAGGTTAATTTTTAGCTCACCTAAGGAGGAAAATAAGGATATTATTTCAGCTACAGTGCCAGAGTGGAAAACCCTGAGGGTTGAAAGTACACCTAAAAATACTGGTATTCCAGGGTAAACAAGCCAAAAAGAAATAGAGATTGAAGGCGCTGGTGATAAATTAGCCTTACAGAGCTCTTACAATTGACCTTGTCCCTGATAAATACAATATCTTGGTTCTATTAAAACAAAGTAAAAATAGAAAATTGAGAAAATGCAAAATTGGTAATAAGTTATTCACTGGGCTTGCTTTCCAATTCTGATCAGAACAATATTCCAACCAAACAAAAGACTAATTCAGTCTTTTTCTACTTTCATTTTATTTAACAACATAGGCCAATTATTACTTTCATAATAATAGACACTAACATTTATGTAGTAATTTCTAAGTCAAAAAGTTCTGATATACACTACTCTGTTAAAAACAATTGCATGAGTGCTAAGTATACAGAGAAAGAAACTGAATTTCAGAGAGGGTAGGAATGTGTCTGTGGCTTTAGAGATGGTTAAGAAGGACGATGGGTCTAAAACAAAGGTCTTCTAAATGCAAATCACTTTTCTATTTGTTATTAACTGAAAAATATAACCATAGACAATGAGGTTCTTTTTCTCAGGAGAATGTACTTTTTCACTACCATGTGTATTTACCAACCAGTATCAGGCTTAAAGAAATATAAGGTTAAAACTGGTACAGAAATAAAGATTCTGTCTATCAATATTTGGTCTTTAAAGCCATGGAAATGAATCATGGAAAACAGTGCCCAAAAAAAGTGGGAGAGTAAAAAAAAAATAACATCCCAAGTACCAGAACCTTATTCTAGAGAAATTGAGACTGAGTCTATTTTTAAACAATGAACCTTCTACTTATGAGCCTGAGGAACTCCATAACCACAGTGTGAAATTCTGGAAATATATTTTATGATGAATTATTTTTTAATTTTGACAAAATGAATGCCCATATTGGTAAATTTTATATGTGGATTAGTCAAAATATTAATAATAAGACAAAGAAGGCAACAAGTTAGTTACATACCTACTATGTGTTAGAACTTTTCATTTAATTTTTGTGATGCACATGGGATTATTCCCTTATCTCCTTCTGCAGGTAAGAGAACTGTGGATCCTGGCACACACCCTCTGGCAAAGATTACAGCATGCATAATATTTTAAAACAGATCTTCTAACTACTCATTTAGTCACTCAACCCTGCCTCCCTTTGTGTAGAAGAAAAGAGAAAACTCAACATGCATATAGAAGACATTGGTAAGCTTCAGAACGCCAGGTGAAGTATGCCAATAGGTAAAGAATTTGGCTACTTGTACTAAAAAACCTCCTGCTTATTCTTCACTGGGAAATCACTGAAAACTCTGAGTCAATTACAGGCTTGCTGACTTGTAGCATGGATATTTATTATGGTCAATAAGTTGACAGGAAGATGTAAGATGCCTGACCAAACAAAAATCACACTATAATTACTATGTGTTCAATACTTCAATTTAGAAATAAAATTGAAAATGAAAAGCCACTACTAAAATATGAACTATAAATTTTGATATACAACATATATAGATACATGAAAGGAATTAAATGGAAAATAAATCCCAGAATTTCCAACAGAAGAAAAGGAGATAGAGACCAAGAAACACCATCATTCATGTGTATGGGCTGCCTAAACTGGGCATTGATGCCTGCCTGCGAGAGCAAGTGCAGTGCTGAAGGAGAGGATCTATAATAGTTTAATCATCATGTCATCCTGGAGAAAAGTGGCAAGAATCTTAGGCTCTTTCACGAGGCAGAGGACTAGCCAGGTTTGCACCTTTGCTACCAATTTCATAGCTGCAGATATTTGTCTTTTCCCAATTTTATTGAGTGAGAAGATCAGAGAAAGCAGAAGCAACCATCATTGCAGGGAGAAGCCACAGCAACTTGGCTGGGACTGACGTAGGACATTTGTTTCTACGCTGTGCTAAGATGAATGTGGGCTCTATCATGGGCATGTGAGCTCACTATCCCACCCCCGACCCTGAGTATGTGCCCAAAGTACATCCCCGGGGGTAACTGAATGTGGTATGTTCTGCGGAGTCCCATAAAATTCCAAGTATCTCACTTCCTGGCCTTTCTGCATGTTGTTTCCTTTACCTGGAAGACACGTTTATTTCCACTCCTCCCCCACTCCACTGGCTTTACCTGCCTGATTCACTACTTACTTCTCATGTGATACATCATTGATCCCTGAAGGCTGGGTTAGGTGACCATCTATGTGAATCCACAGGACCCTGTAGCATAGCATGTATTATGACTGTGTATTGCCTTTGTTTTCTGAACAAATATTGTTTGTATACTTACATGAAAGCTATTGTTTTGCTAGGGAGAGAGGATATGATGAGCAAAAGGGGAACGTGGAAGGGAATAAAAAATAATCCACATGTATACAATTGAATGTCTAAAGTGCTATGAATGAAATTTGCAGGGCACAATGAACCATTAGAAATGGTTTCTCTTAGTGCTAAGATTTGATGGATGAAATGGAGTTTACCAGTTACAAGGATAGAAATGATGTACAAAAAGCATTGTATGTCTAGGTGTAAAAATAGCAGTGGTGCACAGAGACAGTACAAGTAGAAGGTGTATCATATAAATACACTTTAAGTAAAAAAAAAGCACAGTTAAGAACCTGAAAATGTCTGTAAACTCCAGCTTGTCTATCTTGTTCATCATTTTACTCCCAACAAAAAGATATTTAGTGGACCTTTAACACATAGTCTTAAATGAACACATGTATGAATGAAGGAAAGAATGAGCTAGGAAGTAAGTGTGTGCCTGGGAAAAGAAGCGGCATGTATATCCAATGTTTCCTTTGGCAGCTGAAAAGAGATTATTTTATTGATCCTATTGTTATTGTATAGTAATTATATCTAGCAGTTAAAGATGTCCCCATAACTATGACATGTCTAGGATAATATCATCACTTTATATTATAGATTTTGGCTTATGTATTTATTTCATCTTGAAGTCTGTATGCTCTTTGAGAGATGAGATTTTTTCTCATATATATTGGTATTGCCACTAACTAGTACTTGGCAAACATATGGCTCAAGCACTTATTCAATTGAATAATACACTGCTCAAGGGCAGGGATCACTCCTCTTTTGGATTACCATAGCACTCACAACAGTAGCTTATACTTAGTAGGCAACCAATACATATTTGTTGAATTAAACTGAAGAACTAGATTTTACTACAATTTTACATTTCCTACTTTTTTCTCTCCTCACAGCATGGAATCAGAACTCCAATTAATATGAAGCACCAATAGTTCTACTCTTTCAACGTTATCTTTCTAGGGACTATTAATATTTTCTTCACTGATTTGTATCAGCTTTTACAAATAGACTGATAACTGAATCAAATCTGCTCCCAATTAGGTCTTAAGGTTTCTCCTAAGGGTAGCTATGTCCTTAGAGATTTATATGAGGTTAAAGATCATTTTCTCACTTTAAACGGAGATCCATTTAATAAAAAATTTACCATATCATGTTAATACTGAAGGTGCTACATGTAATGACCCCCCAAACACACATATTAACACGCACATATAGAATTTTTCTCCAAATTGCCACACGTGCCTCCCTTACCCACATTATAATTACATATTATGTATTATTATATAATATATATGATATTATATGCCATTCTTGTGTCCCAACAGAGCATAGTAATGTACGACAAAATAAGTGGTTAAATAAGGGAAACATAACACATGTGAAATGAGACACATAACTGTAAAAGCCAAAGCATTATTTGTTCTGCACGAAAGTGAAAAAAATCTCAATATTTTGTCAACATAGAAACTGAAAGAAATTCTGAGTGCTATCTTTTATTAGTAAGTGTGCTTAGTTAAAAAACTGAAATTGACTAAGAAGTGGAATTTATTGACAGAATAGGCTTCAAAAGCCATTTGCATGGCTAGAGAAGCAGGCTTGAAGAATAGGTGGCAGATGGAGGGGAGGCCAAAATAGTAGGAAACAATAGCTGACTTCCAGCAACAGGAACCATGTTGTCCCACTGTTTGTCACTGGAAGTTCCAGCCGGCACTGTACTATCCCTGCAAATAAATCTCTCCCAGCAAGACACTGAGGGTGAAGAAGTTCCCAACATGAACAAGAGAATTAAATGCCAAGCAGGCAAGCAAGCAAAACATAAAACAAATAAAACAAATTGAAAATAAATGTCCCCTCCACCTGTACATAATTACAAAATCACATTGTTTCCCACACACGCCCTCCAAAATTTCATTTGAGGTTTGTTCCAATGTTAACTCCAGGCTGGAAAGAATATGATATATAGTGACAGATCAGAATAATTAAATTCAATAAATAATTATTGTGCCTAACAAAGAATACTAGCATAAAAATACTTAATCCATATGCTTAGAACTCATCTGAGAATAAAATATCACAATATAGCAAAAAGCAAATGGAATGAACTAGATTTCAACTTGCTTTAATAAGCACTCTAAAAAATAAACTAATTTTATCTGAAATTTGGTGCATTTTAAGACTTGTGTAATGCCTCAGTATGAAATACTTTACCTCATTTGTTCTCAATTTGTCTACATTTCTCAATTTTTCTTTTTGTATTTGTCTAAAGTACTTCATGTTTTACTACTTAGTATTGGCCAGGGTGGTCTAGGTTATGCTGCAGTTACAAACAACTTCAAATAATTGTGCTGTTACACGACAAAAGTATAATTATTTCCCAGGCAAAGGTGCAGATCTGGGTAACTCTCAGGGTGGCTGTGCTGTGTTGGTTCAGAATTCTGGGTTGTACCCATCTCATGGTAGTTGGGTATCATCCTACATTCCTATGAGCATCATTTGATAGGGGAGAGAGAGCACAAGCAACTAAACATTTCTGCCTGGAAGTGACATAACTCATTCCTGCGCACATTCTACTGGCCAAGGCAAGTCATCCTGCCCTGTATAAATTTGAGAGGGCGAGGAAGCAAAGTCTTCCAATGCCAGGAAATAGAAGAGAAATTGACATTGGCGAATGCCTATCACACTATCAAATACTGAGTAGTCAATATAGTGTTTTTTCTAAAAATATGTACAAAATACAGATTTTTCATAAGGAGATGTCACTAAACTTGCCTGCCTTGAAAATAATTTCTAAAAATATAATATATTTTAAAATGTTCTTTGATAGTTCTTTATCACATATATTAAAGAATACTTAATGGACTTTAAGGAAGGTTTCTGCTGTTTTTCAATTGTATTTCCATAAAAATTATCCTGATTACTTCTACATTAATCAGGGTTAAAACATCCCTATCCCTCTTAAATGCTGCTATCTTGTATTATTGCTTCTATAATAAATATCCACAGATTTCCTCTCACATACACCAAATTCTACAACCAACAAACTAATCAAGGCCAAAAAAAATGAAATATTACATTTCTATATTTTAAACTATCCACTTAATTTATATAAATGTTGGAGGCACAATAATATTCCAAATATATTGTTTTTTACTGTGTACAACAAATTATTCTTAGTTCCAAAGTTAAACACATCAAATATGTACTTAATACATAACTTTTTCAATAAGTATCTAAATTTTGCACTAGGGATTTTAGGATATGAAAGCCAACTCTTCAATACCGATGCAGGTCAAAAAGTCAAGTCTATTCAGTTCTAGTAATAGAAGTACTTTTAATCAGTGAGAAAAAAATTATGCATTCACATGTGCTTGTGTTTGTGTGTCTGTGTGTGTGTTGGAAAAAAGCAATCACTTAAGCACATAGAGAGTTAAGGAGAAGGAAATCCAAAATACATCTAAAACTATTGGTAAATAGGGAGTTACTCTGTTTAAATACCTGCTTTATAGAATGATTTATTCTTTACTACATAAAAATTAAATACTCAAGCTCAAAATTAAATTTTCAAGTGTTCCTTTCAAGTTAAATATGCCACTATATATCTGAAAAACATTGTCAGTATAATAGACCTAAAATTGGTGTACAAAGTATTTTTAAAACGATATTTTAGTCTATATCAAAACTATATATCTAGCAGAAAATGAAGAAAATTAATTCTCAAAGGCCAAAAATGAAGTAGCATTATGAATCTGAGAGGAAAGCGGGCTTTAAACCCAGCAGCAGCTGCCATATGGCATCTGCCAATCTCCAGCAACACAGAATTGTAATTTCAAAAGCCACATGAGAGACAAAAGAAAAGATATTTGGAGTGTTCTATTGGGCACTCAGCCATAAGTCTAGAAGCCCTAATGTGCTACATCCTCTGTGAAAAGATAAACTAGAATAAAACTGCCTCAGGAGAGAATTCAGCAGAGAATCTTGTCTACGGTAATTTCAGCTCTGGGTATGTGAGGTGGAAAGATGGAGTAGTTGAGGAACTCTCTGAAACTTTATGAATATCAGTCAATCGTTATATAGTAATTGTAGGTCTGAAATTACAGTATCTACATGACCCCAAAAAACACCAAGGAAAGAAATTAAGGTGGCCCAAATGTGAAAGGAATCTGCGTTGCTGGCAGAGGTTAGAAGCAAATCATCTCTGCAGGAATATACACTCTATCAAAGTCTCGAAAATCCTCACAAAGCAAGTTCCAGTAACCATAGGTTTGCAATGAGATGTTTTCTTTAAGATGTAAGATGACAAGAGTACATGAGCAAGGATACTAGATTAAGTAAATAGAGGTAGATCCATAAATATTTCAGATTTTCCAAAACGTTAAATTTTGAAAGCAAAATTAGCATGCTTATCATGTCTAACAAAATAATAAGGCAATAAAAATGTAATAAGAAATGAGCACGAAAAGTTTGAAAAGGAACAAATAGAAATTATAGAAATAAAAAATATATGTGAAACTTAAAATTCACTAGATGGAGAGAACTCCAGGCTTCCAGGCTCCCGTCCACCATGCAGAAGCTTGGAAGTTGTCACTCCTCTGAACAACAAGTAAAAAGCTGAAGAAACTGAAAAATAAACTCTTCTTAGGTCCATGAGAGAAGTCATATATCACAGGGCAAGACACTACCCCAATTGGAAGGGCAGACAAGTGAATACAGAGAACCATAATTTGCAGAAGCAGAACACACTCCTCCACCCCACCACGAGCCATCATATCAACCCTCCAGCAGAAATACCCTTTGGAGCCAATGCCAGTGTAGGGATGCATGAACTGTAATCAATTGCTAGAGGTTCAATGTGGACAAGACTGAGAGATAAAAGTCATTGGATATCCCCACACTTTTGTGAGTTTTACCTCCAGGAACTCAACTAGGCTGTCGTAGTGACTAGTGAAGAAAAGTCCTCTCATGCATCTATCAGGAGGAAAGAAATGGAAACAACTTTGAAATACACCAGAAAATTCTATCCTTCATAACAAGGCCTGACTTAGCGACAAACTATTTACCAAGCTTAAACTACTGGGGTTTTATTAGAGCCTAACAAACCTGGAGGAAGGGAAATACCCAGGTTTTCTTTTTTAAAGAAAACTTTTTTTTTTTTTTTTGAGACAGTCTCACTCTGTCACACAGGCTGGAGTACGGTGGCACGATCTCAGCTCGCTGCAACCTCCACCTCCCAGGTTCAAGCAATTCTTGTGCCTCAGCTTTCTGAGTAGCTGGGACTACAGGCATGCACCACCACACCCAGCTAGTTTTTGGTATTTTTAGTAGAGACAGGGTTTTGCTATGTTGGCCAGGCTGGTCTCGAACTCCTGGCCTCAGGTGATCTGCCCACCTCAGCCTCCCAAAGTGCTGTGATTAGAGGCATAAGCCACTGCGCACGACCGACAAAACAAAACATTCTTGCCATACAATTCAGCAATTGTACTCCTTGGCATTTACCTGAACAAATTGAAAACCTTGACCATACGAAACCCAGCACACAAGTGTTTATAGAAGCTTTATTCATTCTTGCCAAAACTTGGAAGCAACCAAGATGTCTTTCAGTAGGAGAATGGATAAATAAACTTTGGACGGCAAGACAATGGAATATTGTTCAGCATGCAAAAGACATGAGCTATCAAGCCATGAAAAGACATAGAACATTAAATGCATATTACTAAGTGAAACAAGCCAATCTGAAAGGCTGCATACTGTTAGATTATATTTCTTATTACTATATGACATTCTGGAAAAGGTGAAACTATGGAGGCAGTAAAAAGATCAGTGGCTTCCAGGGATCAATAGGCAGGGCACAGAGATTTTTTTTTAATAGACTTTATTTTAGAATAATTTTAGGTTCACAGCAAAAGTAAGAGGAAGGTACAGAGATTTTCCATATACTCCCTACCCCTAAGCATGCCTAGTCTTCCCCATTATCAATATTCCCACCAGAGGCACAGAGAATTTTTAGGGCAGAGAAACTCTTTTGTTATGATACTATAATGGTGGATATATATCATGACATGTCTGTAAAAATCCATAGAATGCACACCAAGAATGAATGCCAAAGGAACTATGAACCTTCAATGATAATTATGTTTCAATGTAGTTTCATCTAACATAACAAAGGTACTACTCTGGTGGGGGATATTGACAATGGGGGAAGCTGTGCATATGTAGGCATAGAGAGTATATGGGAAATCTCTGTACCTTGTGCTCAAGTTTGTTGTGAACCTAAAACTGCTCTAAAAAATAAGGTCTATTTAAAAAAACGCCACTGGATGGGATAATTTATTGAAATGAATAATTGGTATTTTCCTTGAATATGTGTATTACTTCAATAAAATCTTAAATATCTGATTAAACATATCTGAAAAATAATAAGGAAACATGAAATTCAATTTCGAAAATAACCCAGAATTTAAAACAGCAACAATAGTAATCATGGAAGAGAGATTAAGTGATGCAGGAAAAGTATATAAAATGATGTAACAAACCTCTGCCTGGGGATCTGGAAAGTGATAATGCAGAAAATTGAAAAATGGTAACATTTGAGAAGATATTAGTAATTTTCCATAACTGATTAAAGAATAAGTGTTTAAATTTAGAGGACAGAAAATTCCTAGCAAGATATATATATTTTTAACAATCTTCACCTAGACATAACATAGCATGGATTCCAAAACACAAATAACAAGCTAAGGGTTTTATTTTTTAATTTAATTTAAATTTCTATTTTTATAGAGATGAGGTATTACTATGTTTCCCAGGCTGGTCTCGAACTCCTGAACTCAAGTGATTCTCATGGCTCGGACTCCCAAAGTGCTAGGATTACAGGCTTGAGCCACCGCACCCAGCCAGTAAATGGTTTTATAAGCAGCCAGAAGGAAAAGACAGATTACCTACAACAAATCAAAATTTGAATGACAGCTGATTTCTTAACTGCATGAAAACTAGGAAACAATGCAAACATTTCTTTAAAGTATTGGGAAAAAAATAACTGTCAACCTAAAATCATATATACAACAAAAGATATTTGTAAACAATAAGAAAAACAATATAAACCTGAGTGTTTACCACCAAAAGTGATTTAATATAATTTATAAGAAATATACTTTATGAAGAAGGAATATGATCCCAGGACATAGGTTTGTAATGCAAGAAGATATGGTGAATTTAAAAAAATATGGATATTGTTAAATCTAAAGCAACATATAAAAATAGTAAGGTCGGGGGTTCAAGACCAGCCTGACCAACATGAAGAATCCCCACCTCTACTAAAAATACAAAATTAGCCAGGCATGGTGGCACATGCCTGTAATCCCAGCTACTCGGGAGGCTGAGGCAGGAGAACTGCTTGAACTTGGGAGGCGGAGTTTGCAGTGAGCCGAGATTGCACCACTGCTCTCCAGCCTGGGCAACAAGAGTGAAATTCTGTCTCAAAAAAAAAAAAAAAAAAAAAAAAGAAAAGTAATAACAAAAAACTTATGGGTATTAAAAAATAGAACTGAATTAAAAACCTATAGCTTAGAAGTCTAGATAGGTTATTTGTACCTAAAGCACTCTAGAAAAAAAGGGCAAATACATTTATTAAATTTAGGTTCACAGAGTTATCTATGAAACATTATAATTTCTAGCATAACCCATAAAAATATTTAAGATACTGTATAACTTTCAAACAAATAGAAGGAAAAAATGTAATGATAGGAGGGCAATATTAATGCAAAATAATCTTTGCGAGAAAAAATAAAGCAGGCAAGAAAAACAGAAAGCATAAAATAAGATGATAGAAATAAGTCCAAACATATCAGAGAACACAATGAAATGTGAATATTTTGAGTAAGGATTTAAGATTCTCAGATATTTTACATCAACTGTAAGAATCACCTAAGTGATATTTATAGCACATACATGTAAAACAGGTCCCGGGGGAAATTAATGAAATAGCAAATATAAAATACATGAAATAAAATAAATTACAACATCAAATAAGTCAAAAGTTGTTTTTTTAGAGAAAAAATATTAAAGTTGTTAAACAGCCAAACAAAATTTGGTGAGTAAATTGAAGATATAATCGCAAATGCAGCAGAGATTTTTTTAAAAATCAGTTTAAGTCAATTGATTTGAAAGTTAATATAATATGAACAGATGCCTAGAAAAATAGGATTTAATAAAAAAAGTGAAAAATAAATAGAAAACCTGAATAATACTATAAACTTTAAAGATATTTCATCAATATTTTAAAATATTTCCATAAAGGAAACAGCAGGCCCAAATGTCTTTTCAAATATATTCTGCCACACATTCAAGGAAGAAATAATTCCAGTTTTACACCAATTATTCTCAGAACTAGAAAGAGAAGGGAAATAGTTCACTTATTTGGTTAGGCTAACATAACTCTGATTCAAAAACTAGAGGACAGTAAAAGAAAAAAATTATAAACCAATATTGTAAACATATGAGCAAAACAGACTGTTAAAAGAAAAACTTCAGCTGAATAAAATTTAGAAGAGTTTAATTGAGCAAAGAATGATTCACAAATTGGGCAGCCTCCGGACACAGAGTAGACTCAGAGACTCCAGCACAGCCACGTGGTGGAAGATTTATGGACAGAAAACGGAAGTGACATACAGAAACAGCTGGATTGGTTATAGCTCAGGGTTTATTTGAACATGGTTCAAACAGTTGGCCACATTGGATTGGCCAAAACTTAGTGATTGGCATGAGTAGACTAGAGTCTGTTTACACTTCCATTTAGGCTATAGTTCACTATGTACAGGAAAATCTTTAGGCTCAACTTAAAATATGTAAGAGGCAGCTTCAGGTTAAACTTGAATTAACAATTCCCCCCTTATGGTCATCCTCTCAAAATTGACTCAAGTCACTGATGTCATTATTGCCATCATAAAAGTACTTATTCAGTCTTGACACCCACTGGGAAACAGAAGAACAGTGGGTTTTTGCAAGCTGGGTGTGCTTCAGCTTATTTTTTTAAGGGTTACAGTAGAGAGTACCTCCTTATGCTGGAACGTCCTGTTTACAAGAGAAAAAACAAAACCTGGTTTGTTCTAGGATCTAGGAGTTTCCTTAAAGTCTTACTTTGATTATGTCATATTTAGCACAAGTGACTCCATTTTGGTTTGGTCTGGTCTTTTTGGACCTAGTGCATAAGCTCAGTCCAAAACAATGGCCTCCCATAATTTTGTTTAAAAATTTCCCCCTTTTTGTCAGGTTCTCATTTAGGTGAGAGTGTGACCAAAACTTAGGGTCTTAGCACCACCCTCAGTCACCATCATTTTTGGTTTCCAGTCATTCATAGGTTATGGTGCCCTCATGGTCACACATTCTTTCAGCTCTTGTCTTTCCAATTGAAGAGAGACCATTGGACATTCTAGAGACGGCTGCATACAAACATTTAAAAACTTTGAAAGAATACAGCGCACCAAGGAGACTACTATTATTACTGTTAGTTACTGTTACTATTATTACTGTTATTATTACTATTAGTACTATATACTACTATCATTGGGGAGGATAATATCACGAGTTTGGAGTATGTGTCTTACCCAGGGTCCCCATAAACCAAACCATCTAAAATCAAATGGATCAAAGAATGAGCTAAAAAGTCTACTCACTTAACAGTCTCTGCATTAATATCTTACAATTGAATCCCTATAATATATTGGATGTGATGTATTTTTCCATAGGCCACAAGGGCCAGCAGCTGAACGGATACTTCTGTGTTTAGCCAGTAAGTAATCTAGAGAAATTCTATTACTTAGCATAACTTTCACAAGAGAATTTAAAGTATCTTGCGTATCCATAGCCCTTACAGTAGAATCTGCTATGGAGCCTATCATGAGGGATACATTTCTAATCGTTGCCTCTTTTTCTCCAAATAATGGAAAAAATGACCTAATAAATGATGCCCTTCTAGAAGAGAACATTGCCTGGAGGCAATGTGCTCTTTAACCCATGACATAGGTTAAAAGGAGTGAGACAGCCAGGCGCGGTGGCTCATGCCTGTAATCCCAGCACTTTGGGAGGCCGAGGCGGGTAGATCACCTGAGGTCAGGAGTTCGAGACCAGCCTGGCCAACATGGTGAAACCCCGTCTCTACTAAAAATACAAAAATTAGCTGGGTGTAGTGGCAGGTGGCTGTAATCCCAGCTACTCAGGAGGCTGAGGCAGGAGAATCGCTTGAACCCAGGAGGCAGAGGTTACACTGAGCCGAGATCGTGCCATTGCACTCCAGCCTGGGTGAGAAGAATGAGACTTCGTCTCAAAAAAAAAAAAAAAAAATGAGGAGTGAGCCAATGCTCTGTTTTTGACTGCCTATGAGGCAACATAGGCACCATTAAAATTTCTCATCTACATTGGGCCTTCACCTTCCATCTATCGAGTTATAAGGTTATCCATGTATAAGGCTGGCTGAAAAATCCTTCACAAATAAAACTACACCCCATGAGTGCACACAACAGACCCCCTTTCCACTTTTATTGTTCATAGAGGCATAACCAAGGGAAAAAATCAAAGATAAGTGTCTCATGGTGGTAGAGAAGTCTTGATCTGTAGTCTTGGGAAAAAGCTGTTCACATCAAGGATGCCATCTTTTTCTGAAAAGAAACTCCTCTGGTTAGCTTTAGCTTAAGAGTGCCAATGGGTGTACAGTTCCAAGAATGCGGAAGGGCCCTTGTCAGTTGCGAGATTATGAACCCAAGGTTCAAGGTCCCAAAGTTTTACTGTGGTGTGGACGGCAAGGGCAGTCTTTCTCTGATGTTCTCAGAAGATCCAATCTTCGTGTTCTAGACTGTGAAGGGGTTGATTGATTATATTCAGTCAGTGAACCATAAAAAGCTTTCTTTACCTGGTGAAATACACTGTGGCATAATAATCTGTTATAACATCGGCTCTCTTGCATGGGAAAGCTTTTATACAACCAGAACATATGCTTTGAAAATGACAATTGAATGAAATCCCTCTATAAATGTTTAAGTGGCCCATCAGGTAGCAGAATCTACTTGAAGCTTTGATTGTCTTCCCAGGAATATGGGTTTGACAAACCAAACATTGGTCATAAACTATTTTAGCAATTTAGAAGCCATCACACCAATATGTATTTAATTTGGATTATTTTATCTCTTCCATGATGAGTCATGGAATGCAGAACTTTTAATAACAGAAGCTTTAAGTACTCAGGAAGGATGAGGCAGCTGTCCAGGTTCTCTATGAGTCCATCATTAACACTGGATTTGTGTCCTCTTGCAGAGAATACCAGTTGTCTCTCCAATTTAGGTGCATAGCACTGAAACCGATGGGTTATCATAGGTAATTTGCCTTAGATCATGGAGGTCTTTCAACTTGTATATATAAACCATTTCAGTACTGGCTGATTTAGCATGAAAATGTGGCAAAATATTTTCGTGGTATTCAATTAGTTTTTGTTCTACTTGGGTTAGCAGTTTTATAAAACAGTCAGTTTTTTTTCATTAAAGTTCCAGGAATTCTTACCCAGTCCAAATGATATGATCCTAAAATTGTCAGAAACCTGTATTCAAGAGTACTTTTCAGGGTCCTTTCCATCCATTCAGGAACCTCCTAAAATATACCATATTCTAGGATTTTGTGTGCTTTGAAGTTTTCAGAAACTGCATCAGAATTAAGCAATTAACTATAGAAATGACTTTAAATAGTCACAGCTAAAGACACATTTGACAAGGAAATTTGGTGATTTCTGTAGTCTACAATAACATAATAAACATAATTATGATTGATAGCATATACTCAGACATACTAGTATTTTAGAAATCTCATACAATTTTGGAACATATATTAATATCATTCACTAAAATATAACCTAGGCTGGGTGCAATGGCTCATGCCTGTAATCCCAGCACTTTGGGAGATTGAGGCAGGTGGATTGCTTGAACTCAGGAATTTGAGACCAGCCTGGCCAACACAGCAAAACCCTGTCTCTACTAAAAAAGTACAAAAATTTTCCAGGAGTGGTAGTGAGCTCCTGTAATCCCATCTACTAGGGAGGCTGAGGCATGAGAATCACTTGAATCTGGCAGGTGGAGGTTGCAGTGAGCCAAGATCATGCCACTGCACTTCAGCCTGGGTGTCAGACCAAGACTCTGTCTCAAAAAAAAAAAAATTACATATATATATAATTTATATATTATATAAATTATATATATTATATATATATATAAATTGTATATATGTTATATATATATATATCCTGAAGGTTAAGTGTTCTTTCTTTTTCTTTTTGAGATGGAGTCTTGCTCTGTTGCTCAGGTTGGAGTGCAGTGGCGCAATCTCAGCTCATTACAACTTCCGCCTCCTGGGTTCAAGCAATTCTCTGCCTCAGCCTCCTGAGTAGCTGGGATTACAGGCACCCACCATCATACCCAGCTAATTTTTGTATTTTTAGTGGAGACACGGTTTCACCATCTTGTCTAGGCTGGTCTTGAACTCCTGACCTCATGATCCACCCACTTCAGCCTCCCGAAGTGTTGGGATTACAGGCATGAGCCACCATGCTCAGCCAAGTATTATTTCTTATTTTGACAATGCTTCCCATGGAACTTAACATGTCAAATAACACTGTTTCTCTCTCTTTTGGATGCTTCAGGGGCCCTCCGCAGCATCCCAGGGTTAGAGGTCAAAAAAGACTTAATGTTGAAGCTAAAATTTGATTATGGGAAGCCTGTCAAATATGTTAAAGGCTTAAAACACTTGATAATATGAAATAGAATTCCAGGTCACCATAAGTCATTCATTTAGTCAAAATGATAACTCAAAAATTTTAAAAAGTCAAAAACCTTTGTTCATTGATAGAGGGAAGACTTCACTTTCCAAACAATGTCTCTTGTCTTTCTTTCCTTTTTCCTATAGTTTATTCAAAAGGCAAACAAAAATATTTCATTATCCTTTAATATGACATGAAAATCTTGTTCAAGAGAGAAAGTCAAATTTTACCCTTGGATTAGTATACTTTTAATTTCAACCCCAATTTTTAATAAAATCTTATAGACAAATCTATCCAATTTTAATCAGTTTGACCATGAGGTAAGATTCTCATAAACCATCTATAACTCTTTACAATTTTATGTTAAAAAGCAAAACAATGCTCTAAGAAAACCCTGTCATTCAGAAAAGTAGGCCCTGATTCAAGCCTTGCATCAGTGTGCTTTTATTTTAATGTTCAATTTATGGGAAAACTGAATAATACCTCTTTAACTTTAAGCAATCTGTTCACACACAAAACTTCTTTTACAAGAAAATCTTTCACAAATTTCTACAACCTGCTCAAACCTTCAGCTTAATTCTATCTAACTTAAAATAATCTTTTAACCCTTTAATCTAGGCAATAAAAATCCATGTTCCCAGGCCTTCTTAGTCTTTTACCAAAAGCACATTTCACTTTCCTCACATACCTTGCTTATAAAATTGTTATTTTAGTAGTCTCAATTACATATTACAATGATAATTCTTAGCAATTTTTATTTTTGTTGAAAAACCTGATAAGTAAGTAATTTTAATGTGCAGTAGGTGTGCAGCCTATGATACCAGAGAGAAATGCAGATAAGGTTTGATTCTTTCCAGCATAGCCAGGGGGCATGGCTAACTCCACATGTCCCCACGTCTTACCTAGAATCTAATGTTCCAAAGCAGGTAAAGTTGAAGTCAGAGAGGCAGTTTATGACCTTTAAGCATTTAGGAAACCTAGTATCTGACCTGCCTAATTTAGACCAAATGTCTTTATTTTACCAGTAATCTTTAAAACTCTTTATTTCCCAAAGCTTATTAAAGTCATGTGAACTTAAAGGCAGTACAGTTTTTATTTTTCTGACAAAATATTTAATTGCTTATTATTTTTAAGCCAATTAATCAGACCTTTTTCATATAAACATCACATGCATGACACATATAAATACATATACAGAAGAAGATCCAGCAGTATTTGCAAGTGTTTTTTTTTTTTTTTTTTTTTTTTTGAGAGGGAGTCTTGCCCAGGCTGAAGTACAGTGGCACTATCTCGGCTCACTGCAAACTCCACTCCCAGGTTCACACCATTCTCCTGCCTCAGCCTCCCGAGTAGCTGGGACTACAGGCGCCCACCACCATGCCCAGCTAAATTTTGTATTTTTAGTAGAGATGGGGTTTCACCGTGTTAGCCAGGATGGTCTTGATATCCTGACCTCATGATCTGCTCGCCTCGGCCTCCCAAAGTGCTGGGATTACAGGTGTGAGCCACCTCACCTGGCCAGGAGTTTTTATTTGCCAGTTTTTAAACTTCTTAATTGGATTACTGGCTTCATGGTGGGGTCCTCTGAGAAACAGAATGAGGAAAACATGCAGTTTCTAGGGCCTAATAGGCACGCATAGATGCAAGGCAAAATAGATCCCCCCAAATTCAGGGTCCTACTTTTACACCAGATCCTGGATCCCCAAAGGAGAAATGCTATGGAACAAGACAGTGCAATGATTTTAGTGTGCATTTCATTGCAAAGCATTTGAAAGCCGATCAGCGCACTCTGTGATCAGTCCATCTCCCTTTGCAGTCTTATCTCTCGGTGGGGGATGGGGATGGGGACATTTCAATAGGTGGCCAAGAGCATGCTTCTCTGACCCAAACTAGCAAAGAGCCGAGTATCCTCCTATCACTGCCATTTGCCATCCCCAAAAGTATATTTAGCTTTAGATTGTGAGAGGGATTTATCTGCTTTAATTCCTGGGGTTTCATGAGGAAAACAGAGGTTTTTCCCAAAACGGGGTCTGTGGTGCCTCCTTTGTTTTTCCCAAGGAGTCCCAGAGTGTGAGAAATTATCCTAGGTCCTCTCATGTGTGCATGAAGAGTGGCAAAAAGGCAAAATGGAGAAAAACAATTCAATTGACTGAAAAGCAATGAAACTATTTTTCCCCAGAAAAACAAGATCTAAGAAGAGAAAAAACTGTAAAGCACTTTTACATATATTTATAGCTTGAATATCTGTTTTTAATTAAGCTGAGTTTTAAACCAAATATCTTATTACCAGACTTTAGCCAGAACAAGCAGCAAATATTTCTTGCTTTTGACCTTTACCAAAGGTAACCTCCCAGGTGCTCAGAGAAAGGAAAATTCAAGACAAGAAGAGAAGTTGTTCATGGTGGGGAAGAGACTCAATAAGTGGCAAAGGTCACAAAGATATCAAACCAAAAAGACTCATTCCTTAAGCCAGGAATTGAACCTTGACTGTCACTGGGAAAAGACAAAGCCTTAGGCACTAAGCTACAGCACTGGGCAGTTTCCATTGCTCTTCCCAGAAGGAGTCTAGAGCAGTCAATTTTGATCTTGCAACGGCTTTTAACTGCTCAAGATATTTTAGAGCCAGCTATGACATGAACCCCAAAATTCCTGTTCCCTGGATGGACGAGACCAAGAGAAAGTACTGCCATGTGGTTACAAGGTCAAGCTCCCGAGGATATAAAACAAGACGTCCAGTTTTATTTTTGTTTCAGAGACTTGCCACAAAGTTTGTAACTGACCAGTTTGCCAGGATGGCTTAAACAGGGAGCTTATGGGGGTCGTAGGCCCACATTCTATCCTATGGTACCCGTTTTTTATGACAGAACAACACAGAAAGACAAATTCACAGCATAAACTACACCAGATTCACTACAACTTAAGACTAGCCTCACAAATCCTTTTTCTCATTAATTAAAGCTTTGCAGAGGAGATAGTAATTTTTACCATTCCTACAATTGCACAAAGGGAGAGAGGCCAGAAGTCTGACTATTAAGAAATTCTTACCCTTTTGTCAGCATGCCATGTTTCTGGGTTCTCTTTCCCTGAGTGGCCCTAGCGACCCCGCCTTTTGCACCATAGCTCTGGGAGCCAAGCTGCAACACAAAGGAAAATTATCCTTTTTTGTTTCGTGGAACCACAGGCAAAAGCCTCTCAATTTTGTAAGATGCTGCCTGAGGGATTGCATGGGGTAACCCAATTAACATTTTCCATTCTGGCCAGAGCAAAATGGGTGTGACAAAATAGACATTAGCCTCTGCTCTTGGTGCCCATCAAACTGGCAAGGCTCAAACTTGCCCCTGGTTGGGCTGTGTCATCTTTAATCCATTTAGAGTGGGGTGGAATGACCTGCAGCCAGGAGTTTCAACATGTAGTCTCTGGGCAAGATGGTTGCCCTGAATAACAGAAAAGACGGGAAAGGGAAAGGAGAGAAAGAAAGAAAGAAAAGCAATCTCTGTGGTGTGGTGGGGAAGGCAAAGAGCTCAGGGAGGCCAGAGAAAGGTCCACCCATTGCAGCAACACTGAAACAAAATTGCATGCAACTGCTTGTCTGTCACGAAGGGAGGGATCATTTTCAGCAGTCCCATCAGCTCTCAAGTTTCCCCGATTGGGGAGAAAAGGTTCCCCATGTCCCATGATCCTGTACTTGCCTAATCCTGTCATCCACTGCCAGCAGCAAAGAAAGCAAGGCAGATTAATCCAAAGAGAATAGTGGTTAACGTCCCATAATGTCAAATCCATTTTTAACTAACAGAGACTTTACTGAGGGGAGGGCCCTCTAATCCCAGCTATGTCTTAGGAGGGACTCTAAAACTTCCCAATTTGGGCCTCTGATCCACTCCCATCCTTTACCTGGGTAAAATATACCCCACCATTTACCCAAAGTCAGCCAATTGGTACTGCAGTCTATTTATTTGGGTTAGGATAGTAACCAAGTCAAAAGTTTAGCAGATTTAATTTTTTAAAAAATCAGTTGTTTAAGATTTTCATTTGCCTTTTGTAAATAGAAATTTAAATAGAAATTTTAAATAGAAATACTGAAATCTTTTTAGAAGTTTCTGCATATCAATAGGCATCCCTAGATAAGACTAATTTGGGAGCCCTCATTTTTAAATGCACTTCAGTTCAGTGTTGTTCAATTGGAACATTCCATTCTAAGTTATCTTTAGTAAGATTTCACCATTTCTGTAAGACTTTGCTGCTTCCAGGGCCTAACACTTATGCATGTATCAGCCAAAAGGAAATTAGTTCTTCAGAAATTAAGGATCCCATTTTTAGCTAAGATACTGGTTTTGCGCTCAGGTTCCCTTGATCAATTTAGCCAATGATTTTTTTTCCTACCTAAGTACACATGAAAAATGAAACAAAGGGATAGAACACAAAAATTCCTGTGAATTTCCAAAAGCCAAATTTTACACCCCATGCAATATTGCCATATACTACTGGTTTCTTTCTGACCCAGTCAGATGTAAGAGGCCTCTAACTGGATCCAAGTCAGTTAATCACTGGATCCAATCCAATCCTAGACCTAGTCCAGTTTCTGTCATGACTTCCAAGCCAGTTTGGATTAGAAATTTGCTCAAATAAATTCGGAGAGCTCAAAACACAAATCCATAGAGCTTTGGAATCTGAGAAAGAACTTACCACAATCCCCAGCTGCTCTGAGAGCGATGGACACAATGGGCCTGGCAGGTATGTCACTTGGTCACTCAGTGCTTCTGGGGGTCATTAGAAGCTCTACTTCTGATCTCACTTCAGAAACCATCTGTTAAAAGAAAAACTTCAGCTGAATTAACTTTAAAAGTGTTTAATTGAGCAATGAACAATTCATGAGTCAGGCAGCCTCCTGAGCCAGAGTAGGCTCAGAGATTCCAGCACAGCCACGTGGTGAAAGAAAATTTATGAACAGAAAAAGGAAAGTGATGTACAGAAAATGGAAGTGACATACAGAAACAGCTGGATTGGTTATAGCTCAGTGTTTGCCTTATTTGAATATGGTTCAAAGAGTTGGCCACATTTGATCAGCCAAAACTTGGTGATTGGCACAAGCATAGACTACCGTCTGTTTACACTTCCATTTAGGCTATATTTCACCATATACAGAGAAGCCTTTAAGCCAAACTTAAAATATAAGGAGGCAGCTTTAGGTTAAACTTGATTTAACAAGACTCAGCAATATATATAACATATAGCCAATGTCATGACCAAATTAATTTTATTCAAGGAATGAAGGGTTGAGTCAACATTATAAAAACATCTATTAATGTAATTCACCACATTTACAAATTAAAGGGGGAAACCCATGCCATCACTTGAATAGATGCAGTAAAAGCATTTAATAAAATTCATCAACTCTGCAGAGCGCCTAGAATAGAAATAGAAATATATATCAAATATTTAATTTGATATAAATAAAAACAAAAATCATACAGAAAACATACTAAATAGTGAAAGATTAAATTCACTTTCTTTAAATTAATGAATAAGAAAGAGGGTCACAATTTTACTACTGTTCAACATTGTACTGGAGGGCCCCTTGACGATAAGAAAAAAGAGAAAGAAATGAACATTATAAATATTGGAAAGGAGTTTTAAAAATCTAGTTATTAACCTTGGATGACATAAATTTCTGATCAGAAAATCTAAAAGACCATATAGATAAATTATTATAATTAATCATGAATTTTAAGAAAATTATTGGATAAAAATCAATATGAAACTTAATTGTATTTCCATATGATAACTACAAACATTTAGTAACTTTAAAAAGATACTTTGTAAAATAGAGACACAGTATAGGGTAATCAGGAAAAAATCTTTTAAAATAAAATGTGCAAGAGCTTAAGTAAATTATAAAACTTTATGAAGACGTGTTAAATAAAATATAAACAACATAAAAAGATGATTCTTCTGGATAGTATAACCATGCTACAAAATTGTCACAGATTTCCAAATACATTCATACATCCAACATGTATCTGGGTTTTTAAGGAATTTGACTTACTGTCAATTAAGCTGCATATGAAAAATGAAGGATCGAACGTAGCTAACACATCCTGAAGTAAGAAGAACAGAAGACTTGCCCTACCAGATAGAAAGACTTACTAAAAAGCTACAGGAATTATGACAATGTGGTAGTGGCACAGGTATAGATAACACATTGCGGAAATAAGATAACATTCTATGTTAGTGGGGGATGCATGAACACTTGCGCTGAGATAATTATGGTATTCATGTAAAAATATAAATAAAATTGAGTCCTATTTCACACAAACACTAAATAAATTCAATTCCATGCTGTTAGTAAACGTTAATGCATAATCTTGATTACCTTGGGACAGAAAACATGTTTGTGAACAACATGCAAAGAACATATTTATGACTTTGGAAGAATTCCAAAAACTAAATTTAAACAACACAAAAAGTGTGCAAACCCTCAGGGAAAACAATGATAAATTCAACTATATTAAATTAAGGACTTCTGTCCATTAGTTCTGACTTAGTCTGCTTTTGTTGTAATAATGCGGTGTAACAAATCACATCACAATCGGATGACTTATAACCACAAGCATTATTTTTCCTGTTCACGGGCCTGTAGCCTCAATCCATGGGTCAGGCTCCAAGTCAGCTGGGCTTGGTTCCAGACTCGGGACTGGGTTGAGGCTGCTCCATGTGTCCTCCTTGGACCAGTGGCTAACTAGGGCCTGTTGTTATGGAGAATGGTAGGAAAACAAGATGTCAAGCTGAACCTCATATGCACATTTAATGTCCATACTTGTGTCACATCTTTTAAATCTCATTAGCCAAAGCAAGATATTTGACCAAGTCAACATTCATGTGGAAGAACATCATACTCTCACTACTCTAGAGGTGGGCGCACAGTTACAAGGCAAAGGGTATGACTGTATTACAGGGGATTGATGAATTGACACCAATATTCTTATCAACCACACACACCTCAAACCATATGAAAAGCAAGCCAAAATTTGGGTGAAGATATTTGCCACATATAACTATGAATTAGTCCCTCAAATATCTTTTAAAAAACCTTATTTTTACAAATTGATAGAGAAACCAACAATATGATTTAAAATGGGCAAAACACATGCATTTTATAGAAAAGAAAATATGCCAGTGATTTTTTTTTAAAAAAGGTCAAATTTATTGCAGAGAAGCCAAAATAAGACTGCATATCACATCTTCATATTTGCAAAACTTAAAAAGTCTTACAATACTAAGTGTTAAGAATGTAGAGAAATTGAAACTCACTACATTACTGGTGGGAGTGTAAATTAGTGTATTTACACTGAGTATTAGTCTGTTTTCACACTGCTGATAAAGACATGCACGAGACTGGGAAGAAAAAGAGGTTTGATTGGACTTACAGTTCCACATGGCTGGGGAGGACTCAGAATTACGGTGCAAGGTGAAAGGAACTTCTTACATGGCAGCAGCAAGAGAAAATGAGGAAGAAGCAAAAGTGGAAACCCCTGATAAATCCATCAGAGCTTGTGAGACTTATTCACTATCATAAGAATAGCACAGAAAAGACCAGCTCCCGTGTTTCAATTACCTCCCCCTGGGTCCCTCACATACACGTGGGAATTCTGGGAGATACAAGTCAAGCTGAGATTTGGGTGGGGACACAGCCAAACCATATCACACTGGAAAACAATTGACATTATCTTGTACCCAAAAAGATGTTTACATTCTTTGACCCAGCAGTTTTACTCCAAAACCTCTTGCTCATGTGTTTCCAAAGATATATACGGTGGTTTTGTGAAAACACATGACTGGAAAAACTCCATATGTCCATCAAATTGTGAACAGATACATAAGAAGTGGTACAGTCACAAAATAAAATATTTATAGCAGTAATAATGAATGAATGACATCTCTACATACCCAAATGGATGAATGTCAAAAATATAATGTGAATTTTTAAATAAAGGCAGGTCTCAGAAAAATGCATAGAGCAGATACCATTATACAAAGTTCAAATAAAAGTACAATGAAGCAATTAAGTCACAGGTTACTAATATATTGTAAATTTATAAAGAAAAGCAACAGAATGTTAAGCACAAAATTCACTGAGGAACACATGGGGTCTTGAACTACAATGCTGTGCATTATTTTTTAAAACTGTATTATGAGGCCGGGCATGGTGGCTAATGCCTTTAATCCCAGCACTTTGGGAGGCTGAAGCGGGCAGATCACCTGAAGGTCAGGGGTTTGAGACCAGCCTGACAACATGGCAAAACTCCGTCTCTACTAAAAACAAAATTTAGCCAGGCATGGTGGGCGCCTGCAATCCCAGCTACTCAGGAGGCTGAGGCAGGAGAATAACTTAAACCTGGGAGGCGGAGGTTGCAGTGAGCAGAGATCGCACCATTGCATTCCAGCCTGGGTGACAGAGTGAGAATCTGCCTCTGAAAAAAAAAAAAAAAAAAAAAAGGAAGAAACTATTATGAGAACATGGGTGCTGCTGGTTTTATTAGTCTTTGTACCTTATATATACCATATATATATATATACCATATATATATACACGTACCATATATATATATATATTCAATTATCTAAATAAGTAGCAGAGTAATTCTTTTTTTTTCTTAAGCTTCTATTACCTCTTCACAAACTGGTATTTGGTCAAACCAAAGTTTGGTTTGTGTTCCAAACTTTAATTACTGTTGATTCGGTGACTTTTAATATTTTCTGTTTGGCCATTTTTATTTCAGGGATGTTTTCTACTCTTTTCAGTTAAGAAGAGAAACACTAAGTATATATTCGATTAGTGGAGATTGCTGGCACCTTTAGTTGTGATTAAATTTAGATAAGTATCAAGATCAGCTGGATAGTGAGAATCAAGAATTTAAATAATAGCAAAACACAAACAACATTTTAAAACATTTTCTCTATGTTATCCAGTGTTATAAGCAATTCACCCTGAAATAACTCAGGTAATGCCCACAACAGCCCTGTGGACTAGGTTTTATTAGCAGCCTCATTTTGGAGATGAAAGACTTAAGACAAAATTATATGCAATTTTCCCAGTGTCACACAGCTATTAAGTGGTGATGATACTGCTTTACACTCCACTGTTATCCACTATTCCATACATAACTGAATATTAAAACAAATTCATGGAGCAACTATCTTTCTTGTTGATGCACAGAACATGTAGTAGATTATTATTTGTAAAATATAAATGCCAACATTTTAAAAACATATGTGAATTTAACTGAATAAATTATGCACTGGGTGGTACCATTGCTAGTTTGCTGTGTGCCTCTCCATGTATCTTCTCTCATCCTTTCTATTTTTTTATGTCTCTCTTCCTTTTCTTTTTTTTTTCTTTTCTTTTTTTTTTTTTTTTCCTTTTTTGAGACGGAGTTTCACTCTATTGCCCAGGCTGGACTGCAGTGGCGCAATCTCGCCTCACAATAACCTCCGTCTCCCAGTGTCACCATTCTCCTGCCTCAGCCTCCCGAGTAGCTGGGACTACAGGCACCCACCACCACGCCCTGCCTCTTTTTCTTTTCTTATGAGATATCTCTGCTGTTTTCTATTCCCCAAATGTCTCCCTTTCGAACTTTCCACAATTATGTACAGTCAGTATAATTATGCCAGCACTCTCCACTAATAAAACATATACTTAGTGTTTCTCTTCTTAACTGAAAAGAGTAGAGGACACTACTGAAGTGAAAATTTAAACTTAAATTGCTTTCTTCTACTGAAAAAATAGATAAAATGTCATAAAAAGGGGAGGGGATCCATTGTAGTCAGAATTATTAGTTAGTTTGAAGTAAAATCCCCTCTAAATAACAGGCTCATTTAAGCTATTCAACTTATCTAATACATTGACTATTTTCACCATCAAGCTCAAGAAATTCGGACTTTTAAACTCTACCAATTCTGGTTAAGGTGTCTCAAACCCAAAACCCCAGGTCCTGCTTTAATTTTGGAAGGGCATTTTTAAAGTTCTTTAGTTCAGGTATGCCCATTTTACAGCATTTAAATAATTTACTAGGATAATTCATTAGGTACTATGACTCTTACTGATAAGTTAAACAGGCCAAATACCTCCCCTAAATGGAATTACATTATAACAATTCACTTTACATTCCCATCCAGAGTATATTTGTCCCCCTGAAATCATGATTTCAGCCTCTGCCTTTTCCCCCATTGACCCCTGCACTAGAATATTTCCTGGCTTCGACTAATACCTGGAAAATTTTCCCACACATGAGAGGGTTCATAGGTCACCTTACATGGAGTCAAGAAAGATGTGAGTCTGTGACCAGCAAGCCCCATACACTAGCCAGAGGCCTTCAGGAGGACACACCAGGCATACCTTGCCTCAAGTCACTCATGGATAACCTAGTCCAGTTTATGCTCAGGGTAATAGACTCCTGGTCAAGCCTAGTGCAATACTCTACTCATGGGCAGTTCCTCTCTCCCATGTCTATTTACTACATCAGGACAGCTCAGTGGAGGTGGTTTTATCCCCTAACACCTCCTAGGGCATATAACTTGGTTGTCACAAATTGGGCAGTGAATGCTAGTGGCACCTAGTAAGTAGAGGTCAGGGCTACTGCTAGACATCCTACAAGGCACAGGACAGTCCTCCCAATAAAGAATTATCTGGCCCAAGATGTCCACAAAGCAAGGGTTGAGAAGCCCTGTCCTATATCTTTCTACTCCTCTGTGTTATGCTGAGAATAATGGAAACTAAGCTTATGGCCTGCCACTTTTGTTAGCTGACATAGTATCCATTTCATCCCTCATTTCTGCCAAAAGAATCCTCATTTTCTTAAGTATAAGAAAAACTTCAGTGGATTCTTGGCCCTTTGACCAGTCTAAGCCAATTTTACCAATTCCTTTTCCATTGCACTGGTTTAGCACAAGGGAAAAAGTAAAATTCCATTAAATAAGATATAAGAGTGGAAATGCTGAGAGGCTTCTGGGAAAATTTCCCTCACTCCTGAAAAACAGGATGCACTTTCTTCTCTTCTGACCTGTGGATGTTGTTTTGTTGGATGTGATACCTGAGTTGGTGTAAATGCCTTGCCACCATGGAGAAGACAGATGACAAGCTGAAAATCACAAAATGTAAAAATGGAGAAAACCAGGCCAGGCACGGTAGCTCACGCCTGTAATCCCAGCACTTTGGGAGGCCGAGGTGGGCAGATCATGAGGTCAGGAGTTCGAGACCAGCCTGACCAACATGGTGAAACCCCATCTCTACTGAAAATACAAAAATTAGCTGGGCGTGGTGACATGTGCCTGTAGTCCCAGCTACTCGGGAGGCTGAGGCAGAAGAATCACTGGAACCCGGAAGGCAGAGGTTGCAGTGAGCCAAGATTGCACCATTGCACTCCAGCTGGGTGACAGAGTCAGACTCCAACTCAAAAAAAAAGAAAAAAATGGAGAAAACCTGGGTCTTTGACATTGTCACTAAGCTGCTGAATTAATCAACTTTGGAAATGCCATGTCCCTAAATTTTCTTATCATAAGAGACTTTCCTTATCATTTTCTCATTGCTACATGGATTTTCTGTTACTTGCAGCCTAAAGCAATCTAATAAATTTCCTATGAACCACTCTGTCTCTTGAAGAAAGAAACTTGGAATACTTGATATTAGTTTTCTTAGGATTGTAGAATTCAAGTGAACTATCTGACTGGGGGGAGGTTGGTACAGGCTGAAGCTCAGCCAAGATTCCAGAGACACCCAGTGTTATAACAGCAGCATCCACCCTCCCCTAACCCCTGACAAAAAAACACCTAGGAAATTTTCTTCTGTCCTAGACCGCATGGATGTCTCCCCAGTGTGTAGAGTTGTCTACTTTGGCAAATTTCTTTAAGAATCCCAACCCTATTGATGACATAAGAACCCCATAAATGGAACCCTTGAGAAAATGACAAAAATTAACAGAAATAGCTCCTAAACTTTTCTAGATCTCTGTTTCTTTTACCTCTGTTATCATCCCGCTGATTTCACTCATGGTGTGCTTCAACACATGCCTAGGAATAATGGTGAAACCATGCTACCAAATTTCCTCAAGATAAATACACCATCTAATTACCTCAACATCATCTCTTCTCCATGGCCATTCAGAAAACTCCATAATGGCACAATTGTAAGATCTCCAACAATTCTGTGATATTCTCAACCCAGGGCCGGTGTCAAATCTCAGAGAGAGGTTTCACCATATTTTGAAATTGCAGAAATCCTGTCAGACACTAGCCCCCAGTGCTAAATTCATCGTTAAAGCAATTTCATTTTGATTTATTAAGCAGATATATTTATGAAGTATGGATATGCAATACCATTAAAATTAGCTAAAAGTATTTAGTAAAAAATATTTATTCTTTTGTTTTTAGAGCAAAACTTTATTTGAAAAAGAAGTCTAAGAAGAGGATTTGGTAACCACTGTCATCTTTGCAAGTACTATTTTCTACTCTCTCAGATATAATTTTATTTTGTTTTCAACCTATGAATTATAGATGAGATTCCTGGCATTGTTATTTGTATGACCCTAAAATCACCAGTATTTCCATTCTTCAGCTCTTCAGGAAGATCATTACAGAGTAGTTATCACTGAATCTTGCTGTCTGAACCCATCTTTTTTTTTTTTTTTTGGAGATGGAATCTTACTCTGTTGCTCAGGTTAAAGTGCAGTGGCACGATCTTGGCTCTCTGCAACCTCCACCTCCCAAGTTTCTCCTGCCTAGAGTGATTCTCCTGCCTCGGCCTCCAGAGTAGCTGGGATTACAGGTGTGTGCCACCACACCCAGCTAATTGTTTGTATTTTTAGCAGAGATGGGGTTTCACCATGTTGTCTAGGCTGGTCTCAAACTCCTGACCTCAGGTGATCCAACCACTTTGGCATTCCAAAGTGCTGGCATGATCCACTGCACCTGGCCTGAACCCATCTTCTTAATCCCAGTTTACTGATATATCTAGGACATGATTAAGGTCTCAATGGGGAAAAGCAAAAGTTGAGAAATTTTACTCAGTAATTTGTTAATTTCTGAAGATATTAGAGCTGATTAAACTGCTCCTTCTCCCATTAACTAATAAAATTAGGACTTTTCT
Source organism: Homo sapiens (assembly GCF_000001405.40). Taxonomy (NCBI): domain Eukaryota; kingdom Metazoa; phylum Chordata; class Mammalia; order Primates; family Hominidae; genus Homo; species Homo sapiens. Next base: position 101,661,068 of record NC_000004.12, on the reverse strand, counting down.
TCTGTTTCTGAGGGTAGGCTCCCTAGAAAAATTCCACATTACATCTGATCTTCCTTTAAAGAAACATCATTAACCAAGTAAACATTTCCACTTTCCTGAACAATAAAATCTGTCATATTGCAACTGACATTCTGAAACATGCTGGAAGATGCTGCTCAGTTCATTCAAGGAACTCTTGGCACACATCTTTTGAGCCTTTTGAAAAGCAGAATAGAAATACCTGCAGTGCTAATGGGTCTATAATAGCAGTAATTTCAAGGAAAGGGCAGAACAGCATTACATTACTTGGCATTACATTACAGCTACAGCATCCCTTGGGATTTGTAGGAATGAATAAGAAGCTATTGCTATTGCAAACTTGACTTTTACAAGTATCTGTGCTAGTCATTTGCCCACGTACCATGTGTAGTGTAGTTAGAACATTGTGGTAATTGATATTTTTACTGTGTTGAATTCACATTTTCAGGGCATTATAAATATATGCAAGTATACTGATAGAATACAACTGCAATATCTAGAAACAAACCTTCCAATTAAATTAAATTGTATAAAAGGTCATTAAATATGTTCTAAATGGTTTTGGTCTCATATACCTGAATGAGTAAGCACAGGTAATTTTTATCCTTGACAGATGTTCAAAGATAAAGTCAATCTTTAAGACTATTAGAACATTTTTATCATTGATACTGGGATTAGAGGAGAAGGGTGGAAGGATCTCTGATTATTTATGTGCTTTTTATGTTAAGTCACTGAATGGTCAGTAACTTGAAAGGGAAATAGACATTGAAGGCAGACTTGTGGCTTTTATTTCTTCACTTTGAACACTTGAACATTAAGTTCAAAGAATATTCTGATTTGTGTGCAGAGATTGACTGATTGGCCCACTTGCAAGTTTTGTTTTGTTTTTTGTTTTGAGACAGAGTCTCGCTCAGGCTGGAGTGCAGTGGCATGATCTCAGCTCACTGCAGCCTCTGCCTCCTGGGTTCAAGTGATTCTCCTGCCTCAACCTCCTGAGTAGCTGAGACTACTGGCACATGCCACCACGCCTGGCTAATTTTTGTATTTTTAGTAGAGACGGGGTTTCACCATGTTGGCCAGGATGGTCTCAATCTCCTGACCTCGTGATCTGCCCGCCTCATCCTCCCAAAGTGCTGGGATTACAGGCGTGAGCCATCGTGCCTGGCCCCCATTTGTAAATGTTTTATGGAATTTGGGGGAGAACTAGAAAATCCCTTCTAGTATTTTCTATGCCTAGGTGTTAAAATATGGGTTAAGGGGGAAACTGTGTATACTACTTGAGTGTCCCGTTTGTATTTTTTAAAGGATATGATTTTCATAATTAGGTGGAAATGCTATTCTTTCTAGGTGCATGTTTACACTACAAGCCCATAGTGCTACATTTAGACAACCAGACATAAGTAGGATTGTCAAAAGTTAAGGACTATTTATCAGCACTTCGTGTCAGGAAACACAGCTCAACATGTATTTAGTGCAGACTCACTTGTCAGTGTTCAGAGTACCCCCCAAAACAAGACCATTGTTAGAGAATCCGAGCAAAGGGAAAACCAAGTGGAGGAGGAGGGATGTGCTCTTCATTTCTGAGGATGGGCAAGAAAATCTATGTGACCATAATGCAGGAGACAAAGGGAGACCTGTAGGAGGAATTCATAGGCTGTGGAAAAAGTATAAATTTTATTCTGAGTGGAATGGTAAGTCATCAGAGGATTTTGGGATGAGTAAGATAATCTGACTTGAAATTTATTAAATATAGCAAATGTTCAAAATGATCATCAATTATTAGCTACCTGAGTGAAAAAATTATAAGCTTTTCTGTCTCTGAAATCACTTACTTACACAATAAAAATTAAAATTTGATAGTTGAAGAATTACTGATATTCAAATGAAGAGAGGGTTTCAAGTCATACAAAAAATTATTTACAAGCACAGCTATGACAGGCTAGACCTTAGCGATCACCTGGTTTGGGGTCTTCCCATTTGCTCTTGATGAGCTTCCCATGAGCTCTTGAGGCACAGGGAGTTTCCTAGGATGTTTTTGGAAGCTTTACATATAATCAAATTTGTCTTCTGCTTTTTTATGTGTATCTTCACAGATAAACACACATGCATAAGGATCTAAAACTGTTACTCTTCCTTAATTAACTCTTGTTAATTAAGGCAAGGTGAATGTTGGGGATAAGCAATATTGTAAAGAAAATCCAAGGAAGAATCACAAAATGGAGCCAACATCATTATCTCTGCACTAAACTCTAATCTCCAAACTAACCCTCTCTTTTATGTAAAAAGAAGACTACATATGTATAATAACCAGTGTTAGAACAGAGTAGAAAGTCTTGCTTATATCTTTGTCCTAATTCTCTCTTTGTATGATATTAGACAGTTATCTCTGTCTCATACTCCCACTTGGAAAATAGGATAAAAGTTATCATCTGTTTCACTGAGGTGTTTATGGAAATGAATTAATTCATATGGATGAAGTATTTTGAAGATGAAATGTACTGAATAAATGCTATACATTAGCAGGTGAGTGTACATTTAAAAGAATTATTGTAACAAATAATAAAAAACTGTTCTATGGTACTTCACTGTCAATTACTTCCTTTTGTGTGACTTTACACGCTGGATTTAAAGTAATAATGCATGGTTATTCAAAATAGGAATAAGTTGTTAGGTACTTGCAATTATGTTAAGTTGTCAACTGTTCAAAAGGCTTATTCTTGTCAAACCAGGTAAAATGTTCAAAGTGCTGTACTTCCAATGAGCTTAAGTAGCTTCAATGAATTCTTATTGATAAAATAATAGTATTAAGTACCAGTGTTACGAATAATAGAACTTTAATCATATATACTAATATGTATCTTAATTTTTGCTTACAATTTCATATTTTTCTATTACATTTGGGAATAAAGAAAAATTGCTCTATAAGAATAGATTGCAGTGGATTTCAGAAATGGACTTTTGTTCAGGAGAATACTTGGTGGCCACTTTGTATGGTATAAAAGAAACCTTTCATGAATTTGCGCACTATTCTTGAAGACGAACACAGAACAAAAAAAAATTGAGGGCTGGGTGCAGGTGGCTCATGCCTGTACCCCAACACTTTGGGAGGCTGAGGTGGGAGGATTGCCTGAAGTCAGGAGTTCAATACCAGGCTGAGGAACATATTGAGACACTATCTCTACAAAAAAATTAAAAATTAACCAGGCATGGTGACATGCACCTGTACTCCCAGCTACTTGGGAGGCTGAGGAAGGAAGATCATCTGAGCCCAGGAGTTTGAGGCTGCAGTGAGTTAGGACCACACCACTGTACTCCAGCCTGGGCAACAGAGCGAGGCACTGTCTCTTAAAAATAAAAAGGAGGATGAACATGGGGAGAAGGGAGGCTTACCGAGTCAAGAAGAACACAGGAATAAGTCACAACAGGAGAGGCAGAAGTGAGGGGTCTATCATGAGTAGCTGTAAAGGAAATTGGCCCAGCGACATGCAGGCTGCAGTCAATGGATACCTTAGTAGTAGGAAACCCTGCAGAATATTTTAAGAAAACTCTTAAATTTAAATTTTTTCTCAGCTATGTGATGGTATTTAACCTCTCCAGTTTGTACCTGTCCCCCTTCCCCTTCCAAATAATATCCAGAAAAATCCATACTGCATACTGTTTCTCCTGTATGCTTTGTAAAAATCACAGCAGAGGGCTCACGGTCCATGTCTGTGCTGATCTGGGATGGAGAGATCAACACAAGCCACGGAAGGACATGCTGGTCAGACTGAGGTGGGGACTGGGAATTGTAATGGGGCACACAAATCCTGAAAATGTCCAGAATTTAGAGGAAAGATACTAGCCTTCCAAATGAGATATGGAATAGGACCATGAGTCAGATTTTTTTGTTGTTGTTGAGACTGAGTCTCGCTCTGTTGCCTAGGCTGGAGTGCAGTGATGCGATCTTGGCTCACTGCACGCTCCGCCTCCCAGGTTCATGCCATTCTCCTGCCTCAGCCTCCCAAGTAGCTGGGACTACAGGTGCCCACCACCACGTCCAGCTAATATTTTTGTATTTTTTTAGTAGAGACGCGTTTTCACCGTGTTAGCCAGGATGGTCTTGATCTCCTGACCTCGTGATCCACCCACCTCGGCCTCCCAAAGTGCTGGGATTACAGGCATGAGCCACCATACTTGGCCCATGAGTCATATTTTTCAAATATTTAAGAATAAATTAATCTCTGACAATGCAAAACTTAACCTAGTCACAGAACTCTATTACATATATGAGAGAGAAATTATTTTGAAGCCATTACTTTTATGGAAATTACATATAAAAATAAATGTCATTTATTCAAGTAGATTCTAAACTTAAAAAAATTTACTTGTTTATTTATAATCTAATTGACTTCTCTGAGTGTAAGAAGTTCTTTGTAGTATTCTTTTCTCTTTAATTTTTGAAATTCAAGAGTTACCAGCCGGGCACAGTGGCTCACGCCTATAATCCCAGCACTTTGGGAGGTGAAGGTGGGCAGATTGCCTGAGCTCAGGAGTTCAAGACAAGCCTGGGCAACATGGTGAAGCCCTGTCTCTACTAAAATACAAAAAATTAGCTGGGCATGGTTGCACATGCCTGTAGTCCCAACTACTCAAGAGACTGAGGCGGGAGAATCGCTTGAACCTGGGAGGCAGAGGTTGCAGTGAGCTGAGACTGTGTCACCTACACTCCAGCATGGACTCCATTTCCAAAAAAAAGAGTTACCTTATTCTTATCTTTCTGGGTCTCAATTTCTTATTTCTTCAATTCTCAATTTTCACTTCCATTATCAAACTCATAAGCCAAAAGAATAAGTAGGGCAGCCTACTTGCCCCATTAGCCCTGCAGGGTGACTCATGTATCTCCAAAACTATAGAAACCAATCCTCTGCTACAGAGGTCATTTGATGAGCAGAAAGGGCAGACATCCCAAGTAGTTAAAGGAGTAAATGTTTTATCTATGCCAATTTATAAATTATTTATTAGGTGACTAAGTGTCACAGAGTAGCATGGAGTTTGACCTCCTGACCTAGTGCTCTGTCACAGTGTAGCGTTCTTCCATGGGCTGTGCTGCATAATCAGACTTTCTCCAGGCCCATGTTTCCATAAAGTATGCTCCATCTCAGGAAGCAGTGAAGAGTTCTTTTGCTTAGATACACACCACAATATAGGTTTTCCTTCATAGTGGACATTTCTGCACATAACACTGTATCACTCTTCTGGAAACTGGTATTTTAAGGAAGCATGTGTCTCTCAGTGTAACTAAGTAATACTAAATAGATAAGATATATAACTCTTTAAAGACTTTGTTTCATCATGTTAAATGCAGAAATACACACGCAGTTGTCAAATTCATCTTTCTAAATGATCTGTGTGCACCATAATCTGGTTTAGACAAAAATACCTGTCTGCAGTAACTAGGCTCCATGATGGCTCCTGATAATCCTCGCCTCCTGGTATTCACACTGGTGTGCAGTCTCCTCTTATTCTATGCCAGGCTTGATCTATGTGACCCACAGAATAAGGCAGAGTGGTGATATGTAAATTCTAAAATTCGATTATAAAATATATTGTGGCTTCCATTTTTGTTACTTCTCTTGGTGCTTTTCCTCTCATTCATTTGTTCTGGGAGAAGTCATGTGTCAGCAGCCCTATGGAGAGGCTCACATAGCAAGGTACTGAAAGTCCTGCCAATAGACCCTTGAATGAACTTGGAAACAGATCCTCCAGTCCTGGTCAGGTCTCCAGAGACAGCAGGCAACACCAGCAGCTTGAGGGACCATAGCCACAACCACCAGGGTAAGGTACCACTAGATTCCTGGCCCTCAGAAATTGGTGACGTAATATTTGTTGTTTCCAACTGCTAAGCCTTGGGGTAATTTGTTACATATCAAAAATAACAAATATACTTTCTTATCTCCTTCCTTTGGCAAGTACATGCTAGGACAAAATAAGGCTTTGGCTGGTGTACAGCATGTTATATTCCTGGGCCAGGTGTAGAAGTATGACATTGCTAACCTGTCGCAACCAGAAGTAGTTTCAAGAAGCAGTGTCTTAAGGAAGTTGCAGGTGAAGACAAAGTAGACAATTTGAAATTAACATGCTGTTTTCAAATGGAAAAAACAGAGAGATTGGACAAAGGAGAAAATTTAAAAGTGATGTAGGTGGGGAGAATAAAGACTTGAAAACTTCTGAGAATATGGGATTATCCTATCTGGTTTATGTGTTCTTGAAGAGGGCATGCTAGAAGTATTTTAAAAGGTTGCTCTTAGCAAATATTAATCTGACTTTCAAGGGCTGCCATCTTTGGAATCAATCTTACTATTTCTCTTTACCACTAATTCCATTTCTCAGTTTCAAAGAAATGTAGAACTTTTTAATCTCTTTTTAAATAAAAGTCATTACATCCAGCAGGCATTCCCTGTCTCCTACTCATATGTCCTCTTGGACTGCACCTATCTTTCAAGTTTAATCTGATTCATTTTCCCCTTTGAAATTTCCCCTAACAACCCAATTCTTAGAGATTGCTCCCTCCTGTTATGAAGAAATAAGTATCCATGACACTCACGTAATACCTTCGATTTTCATGCTTAACTCTACAATACATAAGCAATTTCTAGAAGGCAGGAAGTTTACATAATACATTATTATTATTATTATTATTATTATTATTATTATTATTATTATTGATATGGAGTCTCGCTCTGTCGCCCAGGCTGGAGCGCAGTGGCGTGATCTCGGCTCACTACAACCTCTGCTCCCGGGTTCACGCCATTCTCCTGCCTCAGCCTCCTGAGTGGCTGAGACTACAGGCACCTGCCACTACGCCCGGCTAATTTTTTTGTATTTTTAGTAGAGACGGGGTTTCACCGTGTTAGCCAGGATGGTCTCGATCTCCTGACCTTGTGATCTGCCTGCCTCAGCCTCCCAAAGTGCTAGGATTTCAGGCATGAGCTACCGCGCTCGGCCTTTTTATTTTTTTAAACAGAATTTCACTCTTGTCGCCCGGTCTGGAGTGCAATGGCATGATCTCGGCTCACTTCAACCCCCGACTCCCGGGTTCAAGTGATTATCCTGCCTCAACCTCCTGAGTAGCTGGGATTATAGGTGCCCGTGACCATGCCCGGCCAATTTTTGTATTTTCAGTAGACACGGGGTTGTGCCACGTTGGCCAGACTGGTCTCAAACTCCTGACCTCGTGATCTGCCTGCCTCCGCCTGCCAAAGTGCTGGGATTACAGGCGTGAGCCAACTCGCCCAGCCACCACTCAGTATTTTTGATGGTGTAGTCTTTTTTATAGATACACACACACAGAGGCATACACACTCACACATACACATATGTGTATACGTGTGTGTGTTATGTGTTAAATGGAATCAAACACTATATATTTATTATGTATATGCTTGCTTGTCTGACAATAAACAACAAAACATATTCACTGAATACCACATTTACAGACTTGGAGCCAAGCCTTGGGATACAATTTCTTGATGTAGCACTACATTAATACAAGGTGTTTTTTCTTTCTTCTGAAAGCAATATTTCACTTATTTCAGTCTTATAGGATATTTCTATCAAAAGCAACATTATAATTATGGGCAACGTTCTCAGTTGATATGGATTAATGTCATGTCATAAGCAATATCATCTACCACAAAAGAAATAAAACAACTATGGAACTATTTCAGTGGCATTTAAATAAAATGGATAAGGAAGTCAACTTGGTACTCAAAAGCCATGTAGAACTTACTTAGTTTTTCAATATTGACCATGAGATGGGCTATTGCTCCTTGAAAATCTATTGCCTTTCTTTTTCTCATGACTAGAAATGGCTCCGAAAGACAGAAAATGACAGTTTCTTCTCTCTTTCCCTTCTAATTTCTCTTGTTTTTCTCTCTCCTTTTCTGTAATTAAAAAAAAATACTCATAGGACTTAACTATTCACTTTGATAATCTATGAAATGGGAATAATAATAGTAGTTAGCTATGATGATAATCTAAGAATTTAATGAGAAAAGCCCTTAAAACAACGCCTTGCAAATGATAAGCACTTAAAATGTTACTACGTATTACATCTGTCTTGTTTTCTCATCCTAATGCCCACACTTTTGAGTATGTATGTGTGTGATCACATAGACCTGAATACATGCTGACTTTCTTTAAACTAAGGAACACAACTCTTACAGGATCCTTGATGCATGAGCTCTCCCCAGGTCTCACTCTTGATTACTTCAAACAAGGGCCAGTTATATCATTAATTAAGCAGGTAAGTATGAATTTCTTTTTCTTCTTCTTTTTTTTTTTTTCTGAGACGGAATCCTGCTCTGTTGCCAGGCTGGAGTGCAGTGGTGCAATCTTGGCTCACGGCAACCTCTGCCTCCCGGGTTCAAGCAATTCTCTTGCCTCAGCCTGTCCCGAGTAGCTGGGACTACAAGCGCGCCACCACATCCAGGTAATTTTTGTGTTTTTAGTAGAGACGGGGTTTCACCATGTTGGCCAGGATGGTCTCGATCTCTTGACTTCATGATCCGCCTGCCTTGGCCTCCCGAAGTGCTGGGATTACAGGTGTGAGCCACTGTGCCTGGCCCTAAGTACGAATTTCTTTCAAGTAAACCCAACAGATTGTTTCTGTTCAACAGAAAATGTTCATTTAATTTTTTAAAATAGTACAGCTGAACAATTACTAGAAGGAAACAATTTGGATTGCTTGGAGGCTGGTTAATAACGCAGGCAAAAACTTGTAATTGATATCAAAGATTTTTTTTCTGTTATCAAGAGTGAAAGGTTGGAATCTATATATTCACAATCTACAGCAAAAGCGAGCAAACAAACAAAAAAACCATATTAAAAGCCCTGACATTTGATCTTCATATTCTCCTAGTACTCTCTTAATACCTGTTAAATGTGCCATGATCCTGGCTGTGTATTATGACTACTAAATCTCGTATGAGAATGCAAGGTCCTAATCCCTAAATAGACTCACTATTGACTCAGGAATCTCACAGACCACATGGCAGCTTGGATATGATTGCCCTCACCCACTGTCACAGCTGCAGCCAAACCTGAATTCCCGGAGCATGCTTTCAATGACTGAATATAGTGGCAGCCACTTAAGCAGTCCCAGCTGCCCCTCAGTCATGACACTCACCCTTAGACAGAAGGATCAGCTCTGGGCAGGCAAATGGCACTTTGGTCATCTCTCCTTTCTTTGCCACTTTTTCCCTTGAACAAGCCATCTCCGAAACCCACCTCCCCCTTCAGAATTCTTATGTCATCTTTCATCTCCCTGACCAAAACTTAATGTCTAGAAAGTATCCAGTAATCTTTTTTGGCTGGGCGTGGTGGCTCACTCCTGTAATCCCAGCACTTTGGGAGACCAAGGGAGGCGGATCACAAGGTCAGGAGATCAAGACCATCCTGGCCAACATGGTGAAACCCTGTCTCTACTAAAAATGCAAAAATTAGCTAGGTGTGGTGGCACATGCCTGTAAGCAAGACTCCGTCTCACAAAAAAAAAAAAAAAAAAAAAAAAATCCAGTAATCTTTTTTAAGCTCAGATACAAATAACCAAGATTCTTTGAAGTATTATTTCTCCAGGTATTTGTATTTATTGGGGACCAAACCTTAAAAATGGAATGTATCTATAGAAGTCTAAATTGAAGCATCACTATTAAATTACTGGTAGGTAGCTGGGGGACCAACAGTCTTTGAAACCACATCACCTGAATTAGGCCATCCTATTGGCCAGTGTTGGATTTGAGAAGACAGTGATAATATCTGCTATATTCTGATATAATCTGATAATATTTTGCTTTGCATCAGCTGAACAACCCTGACATTTTTAGAATGCTCAGATCTGCTTTTCTAGTACCAGAGAATGACTATAAGATCAACAGGTAGGGAAAACTTCAGATAGAGAAAAATTGGAAGTTATAAAGAAGATAGAGTGTTTTAATAACAACTGCATCTAACCAGTTTTTAGGAACTTACTCATTTTATAAATGTAATATTCAAGAGAAAACTGAATAATTTTATCAAATCCAGTAATTGTTATTTATGTACATTGAGAATTCACTCATCAATATTTATTGGCAACCTTCAATGTCCCAGGTGACCTGTCATGCTTTCTTCTAATCCTTGTCCTTATCCATGCAGAATTTTAAATAGTTGTAATCATGGCATATAATTTTATTTTTCTTGCACTTACTATATCATAAGCATTTTTATGTGCTGTTATTTAGATATGTGACTTACATTCAATATATTTTCAGAAAAAAATATCTTTTTAAAATTAGTCAAATGAGAGGTGGCTATGAAATGAGAAGCTCCCAGAATTAATGGGAGGCATTATTAATGCCATGAGAGCCCTTTCCATAATTCCAAACTATTTTACCTGGAAAATTTCCAAGGAACATCATCATTTGTGCCCAGTGCAAGAATCAGGCAGCTTTGATTGGATTAGAGAGAAGCTAACAGCCCTCTGAGAATTTATTAGGTATAATTTATTTACATACTAGACATTATTAGTATGTACTCATAAGGCATTTTGCAGAATGCTCTTCATAAAACAGCAACAGCTCTAGTGAAAAACTGTTTTGTTTCCAGTATAGCTTCTAGAGGCTTTAAGTCTTCTCTGTCAAGGTTCCAGTGACTTTTGGAAACCAAATGAGAGTGATGGATTTGCCAGACCAAAGGCTTCCTCTGTATAGTCATGAGCTGCTAAAGGCTGAGCTTCAGTGTTTTTTTTGCCTTCAAATGAAAGCAAGCTGCATAGAGACTAGGACTTGGCAGGGCTGTGAAGTGAGCAGAGGAAGGGCGAGTATGAACAAGCAGGGAATGCTGGACTCCTACTAGGCTGTCTATCTAGCTAAGATGATTATGATTCAAGGAGGAAGTACAAAATGGTATTAAGGCTCTCTTCCTCCACCCTTAAAAATGTGGGTGAAGATAAGCTACATTTTCCCAGAATCTGCTCAAAACAAGACAAAAGCAATGTACTGAGCCAGGTGAGGAAGAAAGGCAGTGCACCCCACAGACAAGACTGCCCTGGTTGTACGGTGCTACAACATGATCTCAGTTGCTGTTAAATAAGTTTCGCAAGAAACTGAAGAATGGAAAGACAAGAGGTATGTGGATTCTGTGAATATGATATAAATAGAAGAAAAGAGTGTATTAATGTGAAAGGGTTTTTTCCTCTTTTTGCTCTTTTTTTAAAAAAAAATTTTTGACAGAGGGAAGTTGTTGCAATAAAAATCCATCAATGATCAATTCTACTCTCTTTGTCATTTTGCCTTGTGCTACATAGAACCCCAAATCAGTCACTACTAAAAACAGACAAACAACATCCACCCACCTTTCTCTTCCCACAGCTTTGACTAATGCCTCTGCCTCTGCCTCTTATAATAGGGGGGATCAGCCCCTGATATGTCATGAGTGGCACCCAGGATACTAACTATAGAACCCTCACTTCCTAGTCCTCTTCTTGGCCTCAACTCCTGCTATACAAGAGCTGGCCTTAGAAAAGCCAGCTTGACAAACTGTTATAAATTAGCAACAATAGTTGTTTATTGAAAGCCTATTATGTGCCTGCCTCAGGTCCACCCAATTCCAAAAGCTCTTCTCTTGCTTTGGAACCACATGTACTATTTTTGGTCAATATCTCTTTGTAGGCTATAGGTATTTTTTTAAGGCAGGGCAGCAGAAAATTGAAAAGGTTCCTTTACCCAAGGACTCCTCAGACATTTCAACTGTCTCATGCTTATGTGTATATACAAGAGGACAGTTGTGAGGAGGATGCCTCAAACTCCTGGGCCACGCTACTTCTCTTTTTCCTTTCCTTCCTTTTATTTCCTTCTCCTCCCTGCTCCTCTCCTCCTCTCCTTTTCCCTTCTCTTCCCTTCCATTTCTCCCCAGGTCCTCACAGTACTGCTCACAAAGATAACATGGCAAATATATTTAAAAGATAAATGTGGTCTATATAAATTTATTACATACCAAAGCTAATAACACTATATGAAATATTCCTAAGGCCTGTATCTTATGATTTTTCAATGAATTAAAACAGATAATTTGGTTGCAAAGTTCTTGTAGAACAAAAAAGTATATTTAAAAAGAAAAATTAAAGTGACCCAATAGTTTTCTTGTGTTACAAAAACAGGTCAAATTTCTGCTATTAGAATAAGACAAAAGTTGAATACAGAACTAAAGAGACGAATAGCTACCTTGGCATATTATAAATTCATGTTATCTTATTTCAAAGGTGCTTTCACTGGTGCTTGGCAAACTTTCCTTCCTTGTTCATTTCATAACCCATTTTGTAGAGCAGCTGTTCTGATCTTTCTGTTTTCCTTAGATCCCAATCCTGCTTGTGCCAGCCCCCTTCTTCCCACCTCACCCCAGTTTTCAGCAGATGACCTGACTCCTGCCCCACCAGAGAAGCAGGGCGCAAGCAGCACGGATTCCCTCATTGACCCCCACACTCCGTTCTCACACCCCTCTATTTCCTACTCCACCTGCTCCTCCCTCATTTGGGGCACTTTGTGCCCTCATTTTACCCTTCCCCACTAGCATCTCCAGTCTTCCCTTATACATGTGCTTTCTACCTTTAACAGAATCACACTTTCTTCCACAACCCCCACCCTCTTTTCTCACTTCTGGGAAAAAAATATCAAAGCCTAAATTATAATCTATGAAATCTCTGCCTGAAGCATCCACCCAGTTTTGTTTGTTTATTTTTAGTAGTGGCTGGTTTGGGGTTCTATGTAGTAAATGTGAATAGTTAGGAAAAAGATATTTTCTATTTCCGTATTTATTAGTCCTGAGGGTTAAAATGCAATTGAGTTCTACAAATGTATCACAAATTTAAGTCTGAATTCAAAAATTGAATTATATAAGAAATTCTGTGTCTAGGTGAAGTCCTTTTACCTGAGAATAGAGGGGGAAATCTGACACTCTTCCCAGCTCCATGGGATTCCTTTTTTCGGGGGAAAGTGGGGCAGGGCAGACAGGCCAGGGCAGAGGGAGGAGGAGGATCTATGTTCTGGGAGATGGGAGACATCAGACCCTTAATTACCACTTTCTGAGATGCCCACCATCCCTGACTTCAGTGATTGTCCCACAAAGTCACAGATGCATTCTTTCTTTTCTCTATCCAGGAGGCAGAGCAGGGCTCAGAGCTCAGCAGGCCTCTACTCACAATCTCTCCCTCTCCCTCTGAGTTCCTCTCTCACTACCCTCCTCACTCCCTCTCTGTCCCTCTCCCTTTCTCACTCTCCTTCCCTTCTCCTCTCTTCCTTCCTTCCTTCCTTCCTTCCTTCCTTCCTTCCTTCCTTCCTTCCTTCCTTCTTTCCTTCCTTCCTTTTGGTCTCTGTCTCTCCCTTTCTCTGGGTCTCTCCCTATTCCCACCCCCAGTCAGCCCAAACACACTGCTCAAGCCTTTCCTCTCAGGGGTCTTCTAATCTCCCTGGGCTCTATCTGGCAAAAGAGACACACCTTCTGCTATCACATTCCTCCCCAAATTTCTCTAGGGTTTGGTCATGCCTGTTAAATCTCAGCACACTCCTGTGGAGCAGGGAACAGGTCTCCCCTTTCTCAGATACCCACACTGTGGCCCCTCTTGCTTCACCTTTGCCTCTTCTCACTTCCGCGGCCACCACACACACCACACACACACACACACACACACACACACACACACAATCCTCAGGGAGTTGCAAGACTTGTTCTGACTTACCAAACACTGTCTCTGCCCTGAGGTCTCCTGGGGTACAGGGCTTTTGAAATTCCACTGAGCTTCTGCTATAACATTCCTTCCCTAAGGCAACTGATGCTGCACATTCTAGATACCCAAATTACTTGTTAAAACTACAAAATACCATCCTGCCACAATGTCTGTTTCCATTTACTCTAAAACTAACCACACTGATACATCCAAACAGGATGGTGATCCGAGCTTCACCCACAGCCTGGGCCAGACGGTGCACAGCCCATGGCTGCAGTCACACTGCAGGCTCTGCTTTCCCACAAAGTCACCACTACCCACCTGTTCCACTGCTTGCTCTCTAAGACTGCTTCAGTGGCTGTTTAGCACTGAGGCATTGCAACCACTGTTGCTCAGCATGGTCCTCCAGGACTCCAAACATCATGATCCTCAAGAATCTAATTTTAATTCTCAATGTTTCCTGTAAGTCACAGCCCTTTTGCTCAGGCAGAATAGATTTTCTACTGACATCAAATGGTCTGACCTATAATACAATATCAAGATACCTTGGCTATTGTGGGTGGACAATTTCTTCTATAGAAGAAACAGTATCTTTCTAAGAGATCTTCCTACTTCTGCTCTTCATCCCATTATGCATCCTCCCCTAAGTCTGTTTCCATACAGTAGTTAGTGGAAGACTTAAACAAATGAAGTCAAAGCATAATGCCCATCTGCTCCTTTCAATGGCTCCCCACATGATTGAGAGGAACAGCCAAATCCTTATGAGGGTCCACAATGTCCTATGTGATCTGGTTTCCTATCATCTCTTCCAACAATCTTCCTTTATGCTTACCCTACTTATCAGATTTAATATACCTCATATATTATTATATTTATTGTTACTAATTATCATTGAAACAGGATCTCACTCTGTTGCCCAGGGTGAAGTGCAGTGGGGTGATCTTGGCTCACTGCAGCCTCTGCCTCCCCAAGCTCAAGTAATTCTCCCACCTCAGCCGCCCAATTAGCTGAGACCACAGGCCCCACCACAATGTCCGGCTAATTTTTTTATATTTTTGGTAGAGAGAGGGGTTTCGCTATGTTGCCCAGGCTGATTTCAAACTCCTGTGCTGAAGTGATCCACTGCCTCAGCCTCCCAAAGTGCTGGGATTACAGGTGTGAGCCACGGTGCTCAGCTTCATACATTATTATTTATTTACCATGTTTATTTCTCCCTTCACTACAGTGTAAGTTTCATGAGGACCGTGATTTTTATCAATTGCCTTTTTACTTCTTTATTCTCAGCACCAGGAACCATGCCTAGTAGGTAGCATTCATACAACAAAGATTTGTGGACTGAATGAATGATGCATGAGTCCCTAGGAGCTGGACCAGGGGCAAAAGCTGTGTCACTCTTCCATATGCTATCAGTAGCACTCCTTCACTTGATTTTCCCAAAGGGAAACGTATCTTTTTGTATCTCCTGTACTCAGGAGGAATCTCTGTTATCTCCGTTTCTTTTTGTGAGGGATTTGGGTTGGTGTCAGGGTCCTTTATGCCCCACAGATTTTTCAAATCTGAGTTAATAAGCCCGAAGAGTTCCACACAAATCAAAATCTTGATGCTGTATTAAAAACATCCTACAGTTTCTAGAAAAGCATGTTCCTCTCAAAAACCAGAGTAACAATGGAAATAAATGCCTTCCACTGAGCATTTTCTCTGTCAGTTATGGCACTGGGTGCTTTATATACATTAAATTTAATCTTAAGAAGCACCATGTAATATAAGTATTATCTCCATTTTACAAAGAAACATGAGGCCACGAGAAAGGAAATAATATTCCATAGTTTACAAAACTAAGGATCCTGTAGCTCAAACATATTTCAGAGATTTTGTGTGCCCCTGCAACTCCTAGGAAGACATCTATTTTAAAGACAAAAAGCCTCTCATTCTCACTCACTCCTATGCTCTAGTGTGCTCACAATACTGAAACCTAGGTTGCCAGTACCTGGCAAATACCTGGTGTGTATATATTTTAAATAAATATTAAATTCAATTAAAAAATCAAAGTCCAAACTATGGAGGAACATTATATTTTGACCGGATGTAATCCTCAAAGATAATACATTAGATGCTTTAATGTGTCTTGGAATGACAAGTGATTATGGAAAATTTAGACATGAATTAGTCTCTGGCTAGCATACGAGGAAGAAAGATTTAAATTACTATAATTTTAGATGTGCAGCTGTGTTATCATGGATTTCCAGTGAACAAGGGCCACAAAAATCCATCTATTTTCATCATCCCCAGAGCACCAGGACTACAACAATAAGAACAGCTCTATGGAAATGGTCAGTATGTCAATCTTTTGTTGTTGTTTTTGCCAGCAGTCCCTGATAGAATGAGTTCACCCAAGGAACACAAATGGAGACTATATTACATTGCCATAGATCCACTTGCTTTATGAGTGACCAGGCATTGATGTAGCTGTTTTTGTCATAGTATAGCCACATCGTGCCTAGGTACTATATCCCTGCACCACATCCACACATATTAGAGATCCTAAAACATTCAGTATTTCCAGAATACAACAAAATCCTGGCAAAGGCCCAGCTGTATATTTTAGTTTTACCTCTTGATTGAGTTGAATGATTTCCATCATGGCCATCTGGAACTATGACTAGGCTTAAAATGGTTTCTAAGTAGAAACACCACACTAGCTAAAATATATTTCTAAGACCAATTTTCCATTTGTTTAGAAAACAAATGTACTCAACCTAAAAGGAAAGAGATTATTTGAGCCTCCATTTAATCCCCAACAATTTCATTGTATTATTTGCTCTTTTTCCTGTCCAACTGGAGATACTGCCTTTCTCTAGGAGAATTCTTTCTGCCAGTTGTGAGACTTGGGAGGTCAGGATTCTAGGGCTACTACTGCCCCAGCATCATTAAGGAAACACAGTTTTTATGCTGGTCTCCAATTTTGTATTCCAAACTTATTTATTTCTTTGGAGGACATCACATCCTACTCTCAAAGAGAATCTCTTCACTCACATTTACTTTCTTATAGATAGAATTCTCAAATATCTATATGCTGATGACCTGTTTCCTTACCAAAAACTCTATTGAGATAATAATACACATTCTTAGAGAAACATCATAGTGAATTACCATACTCTGATAAACTGTCAAATTGGGAAGCAAAATACCTTATTCATCAGTTCCAAAAAACCTGACAGAGTTTGTTATTCTTTATTATGCAATCATAAGAATCAAAATGATGGAACGAAATATCTGAGCAAAACGGAGCAATTCTAGGTTAATATAGCTAGATGTGATATTCCCAGAGATCAAATTACTTATTTTTCAACTTGTTTTTTTAATTGGATGCTTCTAGAATTGATTTCAGATGTCTAAATTTGCAGACCAAGATTAATTAGGAAAGAGATAACTACTATCTTGATCCAAAACTTCTTGGAAAGTTCAAAGAATGAATGACAAATATTGCCAAGAGAATAAATTCAAAACATAATAAATTCTCCTTAAGATGCAAAACCATTAATATTATACCTCCTTATTTGTACTTGTTTACTTTTAAAAAGCCAGAGTCAATATGAACAAATTCATTCCCAATCAAGTCTGTTTTGCTTGACAGTGACAGTGATGCAAACATGTTCAGACCTCACTCCAGTAAGACACTTCCAGGAGGAATGCAGTCCCTACCTAAGAGAAGTCTGCAAGTTGAGAATATGAATGTAGTCCTTTCTGCTATGAGGTTTTTTGGAAGTAGGGCATGTCACAAAACATCTTGGCATTCTACCCAAGAAGCAAGCTTTCAAACAGCATTTCTTTCTTACAGGTGTTGAAAGGTGCTACTCCCCAAACAGTAAACAGCAGTGATTCATTAGCATAAGGGCGTAGAAAAACAGAACTGTGTGAATGGATTATTCTATTGCTGGGAGTTGCGGTAATGAGTCATCATTTCTACTCAATATTCCTCCCTTCTCATTTTGAGTAGCTGCTCTTCTTGAAGGAAGACCTTATGAGGAAGAGACTTTATAAACCAGAACTGGGAAATGATGTCCTTCAGCTTTGACTCAGAAACTTGGCTGAGGAAATTCAGCAACACATACCAATATTTAAAAGTTGAATGCAGCATTTTCATTAACTTTGAACAATCTGATTTTTCTAATTAATTTCTACACAGACTAAAAAAATCTAAAATTTCTCCCCCAAAAATGTTTAAGGCTAGGGTGACCACAGGTTCCTTCCATAAATTATTTTGCCTTTAAAAATACATTAGGATCCAAAGCCCAAAGATAAATTTTGTATGCATTTGTTCTAAATACATGGATGGAGATTTCTTTTAATTAATTATATTTAGCTGGGAGAATTTGTCCTGATCAATGATTTGAAAGGCTCTTATAGCAAGGAAATGGGATGAAGAGAGTAAAGGCTCTAAGGGATCTTATCTGGTATAGAGACGAACTTAATGTACCAGCAACTTTCTCAGAGCCATAGCAAACATCTATATTTGCATCCTTAAAATTCCTAATTTCTAAGTTTTTGGAAGAGCAACTGTTAGCTCTACCTTCAAGACCTACATCTTAATTTATGCTCATGTCCAGCAGACAATGGTATGAAGAGAGAGGAGTCGGGTGGTAAATAATGTTGTGAATAAGACAATACTTCTGTTCTTGCTTGTCTAGTTTTAACAAAAATGTGCCTATGCCAAATCTGGTAGTAGGATGACAGCTAGGAAGCCAGCTGAGAGGCATCAGGGAATTCGTGGGAACTGCACTAGATTGAGAGTCGGGAAGGTTTGGGTCTTACCTCAGCTCCCTCACTAACTGGCTGTACAACCTTGGCAAAGCCTCTTAGTGCTCAAGTCCTTCTTTTCTGATCTTTAAATTGAAGGGATTTGGACAAATGAGACAGTTCTAGCAAGTTTCCTCATCATATGCAAATTTCTAGCTAAAAGAGACAAAGCTAAAGTGAGAATACAACGTGGTCTGTCATTTATATTCCAACAAGGAAAAGGAGCCAAAAAATTTGTGTTAGGGAAGGTTGCCCTAGGGTTTGTTGCCTTTAATAGCATCTTTATATTCTGGGCAAGCCTTCTTATACATTTTGGGAAAAGGCAAAAGGAAAGCTTTGAAGTTGATTCACATGAAAATACTTCCTCTGTTAGACAGAAACACTCAGATATAGACATCTAAGTGTGGTTGGTAAACATAAATCCTAATCAAGGATTATGAATAACAATGTCAATGATGATAAGTTGATGAAAGTTAATGATTACTTTGAGAGGTACTGAATTTTTCTAGTTTTCTTTAAAATCTTCATAAATCATAACAGTTTTAAAGGCAGTTTTGAACAATATAGCCAATAACTACCATCATAATATCCAACATGTTTTGAAGTCATTGCAATGTATTTGAGATTTTAGATGCCTTCCATTTATTCTTGATAATAACTACATAAATATTGAATAAGTAATATCATTACTTTCATTCTACAGATGAGGAACAAGTTTCAGAGAACAGAAGGAATTTGTCTTGGGCTGCACAGTCACTAAGGAGAGAGCAGGCACCCAAACTGTGCCATTCCCTGTCCTCTTGGGAGCTATACTCTTCTGTATCCCTGCTTCTGTTCAACGTATCTGGCTCAAGAGACATTTACAAAGGAAGGAAACACTCGTTGTATGAAAAACAAACATGATATAAACCTGTTTCGTTAGCTTTCAAGACTACCCTACCCAGGGGTGGCTACCCTAAAGAGAATAGCAAAGTTGATAAGAGAAAGAATGATAAAACTATCAGATTTCTCCCTATCACATTTTTCAAAATATTTCACCACATCTGAAGAGGTATTTTTCATTCATTTTCTGTAAGATAGTAGAAATGAAAGTGGTCTAAAACGCTAAATAAAAGGGATATTGTTTGTATTTATTACTTCTTGAATGCAGTGTATATTTAGAACTCAGAACAATGGTTGTATTTAGCCTATACACTCCTTTTAAGAAATTCACCCCATGTATGTGGGCAGCCTTAGATCCTAGATTCATCACAGCTTCTATTTGTGAACCATTAGTTTGTATCCCTCTTTTGACAACCACCTTGGAAAATAATTTCTCTCTCATGCAAACCTGTCCCACCTTATTGAAGGCCCACTGTAGCCTTTACAACTTAAAACAGTTCTCTGTACTGAAGTAGTCATGTTACTAACTGCACGAATGACACTAGCAAGTTAAAACAACGTGAATTCTTAATGTATGTCGGATTTAAAATTCTTTTGATCCCCGATTTGTTGTGCTCAGCATTGTAGTCTGTGCAAAGCAAAGTTATTAGCTGAGAAAATTAAGATGTTTGAGTATTCTATATTTCTATTCTTTGATGTGTATAAAAATTAGAATTGGAATTACAATTAACTCTGAAGTTACTATCAGAGCAAAGTAAACAAAATGTCATTGATATGTAAACAAATTCAATGCCCTAATCAAAAAATGTAAATAGAATGGGATTTGAATTCACATCATATTAATTCTAAAGAGAAAGTATGATAGAAAGAACATGAGCATGGAAATAGCAAAACAACACAGGTCAGGTATGAGTTTTTGAAAAATCCTGATTTGAAAATCCACTTGTTTCCTTAATAAAGTTATTTAACCATTTCAAGCCTTAGCTTCAACATCTGTAAAATGGGATTTACACTATCCAGCTTGGAGAATCTTACAGAAATTAGAGAAATAACATAGAAAACAAATAGCAACCACAGCTAATTCAGTCACCTATCGGCTTGCTTACTTTTGTTGTGCCTATTTAGAAGAAATATAGTTAATACCAAAAGACATCATTAATTATGGGTCAACTTTGTAAATTCTAAACCGTGGCCAAAATGGCAACATAAGATTGCCATGGCTGGAGATTTTAACTGCTTTTACATGAGACACATGGTGAGGTATAAAGTACTTTCCATTGGAAGAAACATCTATGATATGTTTCTCAATATGAACGCTGGTATGCTTTCATAGTCCAAGGTTTCTCACTCATCTATGGCTTTTTCAAAATGTCCTAATTTCTAGCCAGGCACAGTGGTTCACACCTGTAATCCCAGCACTTAGGGAGGCCAAGGTGGGAGGATCACAAGGTCAGGAAATCGAAACCATCCTGGCCAACGTGGTCTCTAGTAAACCCCGTCTCTAGTAAACATATAAAAATTAGCTGGGCGTGGTGGCATGCTCCTGCAGTCCCAGCTACTCGGGAGGCTGAGGCAAGAGAATCGCTTGAACCTGGGAGGCAGAGGTTGCAGTGAGCTGAGATTGCGCCACGGCACTCCAGCCTGGCGACAGAGAGAGACTCTGTCTCAGAAAAAGAAAAGAAAAGAAAAAGTCCTAATTTCCTTAATATGTGAATCTTTGATTACTAATCACCTGTTATTTGTCTCCCACATAAGGGTGAATACTGCTAAAAGTGTAATTTCTATCAGCGAGATAAGAAGTGAAAAATGTGGTTTAAATGTATGGGCAAGTGGGCTACCTAACATAGACACCCAGAACAAGATAGACATGCACACACCAGCATACCAGTACTGGTCCTGACTAGACCTCCCTACCTGCAGGGCTGCCCCACAGGATGAACAGTGTGGATGGAGAAAGGAAAATGTGTATTCCTTACATGCAGCTCACTGTCCAAGGAGAAGAAGTGGAGGAGATATGCATACACAGTTCCTGCTACCAAACTCACCCCTCAAATTAAATCACACATCCTCCATAGGGCAAAGTGTGCAAGGAGGTAGAGAGTGGCCAGGAGAATTCCACTATTAAAGATATCTCTGCATGAAAGGAGACATCAAGAGTAGGGAAGAAGTACTGCCCCACCCAACACTGACACATTTACTAGCCACTTGTTGGCATACATTTTAATTGAAGAACCTAGGCAAGTTTACATTTAAAAAATCCCTTACTTAATTCCAAAATTGACAACCTAGTCGAAATAGACTTACTCAATATGGCAGATAATTTACATGATGTTAGAATTAATGACAATAATTGGCATCATGACAATCACCAATGCCATATAAAGTACCAGTCACGAGGTTATATCTTCTACCTATATTACTTAGTAGAAAATCTTAGGGAAAGTATTATTTTTTTCATTAAATCTCCATAGAGTTTAAATAATTCACAGAAAACCACAACTAGTACACAGTAGAGCCAGAACTTAAATCATAATCTGTCAAAACAAAGCCTTTGTTCTAAGTGAATAGAAAATAATTTCTTTGTAATGCATACCTGTCCCACCTTATTGAGGGCCCATTGTAGCCTTTACAACTTAAAGCAGTCCTCTGTACTTAAGTAGTCATAACTAACTGCACAAATGACACTAGCAGGTTAAAAGAATATGCATTTTTAAAGTATGTGGAAATTAAAATTCTTTTTATCCTCAGATTTGTTGTGCTCAGCATTGTGATTTATGCAGAGCAGAGTTATTAGCTGAGAAAATGAAGATATTTGAGCATTCTATTCTTTGATGTGCATGAAAATTAGAAGTAGAATTGCAATGAACTGTGAATTTACTATCACATCAAAGTACACAAATGTCACTAATATGAACTGTATATTCACACTCAAGCTTTTTGCTATAATAAGACAAACTCCCAATATCTTTGTTCCACTTCTCCATTGTGGAATACAAAATCAGGTCACTCACCATGCACAGTGGCTCACAGGCTCACACCTGTAATCCCAGCAATTTAGAAAGCTGAGATGAGAGGATCATTTGAGGCCAAAAGTTTGAGACCAGCCTAGGGAAAAAAGCAAGACCCCACCTCTACAAAAAATAAAAAAATAAGCCAGGCGTGGTGGCACACACCTCTATCTACTGGCAAGGCTGAGGTGGGAGTGACAGGTGAAACTGGCTGGGCTTCTGGGTCGGGTGGGGACTTGGAGAACTTTTCTGTCTAGCTAAAGGATTGTAAACGCATCAATCAGTGCTACATCTAGCTAAAGCTTTGTAAATGCACCAATCAGCACTCTGTAAAAACACACCAATCAGCACTCTGTGTCTAGCTAAAGGTTTGTAAATGCACCAATCAGCTCTCTGTAAAAACGGACCAATCAGCAGGACATGGGCAGGGCCAAATAAGGGAATAAAAGCTGGCCACCTGAGCCAGCAGCAGCAACATGCTCAGGTCCCCTTCCACACTGTGGAAGCTTTGTTTTTTCGCTCTTTGAAATAAATCTTGCTGCTGCTCACTCTTTGGGTCCACATTACCTTTATGAGCTGTAACACTCACTGTGAAGATCTGCAGCTTTACTCCTGAAGTCAGTGAGACCATGAACCAACTGGGAGGAATGAACAACTCTGGACACACCACCTTTAGGAGCTGTAACACTCACTGTGAAGGTCTGTGGCTTTACTCCTGAAGTCAGCGAGACCACGAACCCACCAGAAGGAAGAAACTCTGGACATATCTGAACATCTGAAGGAACAAACTCCAGACACACCATGTTCAAGAACTGTAACACTCATCGCAAGGGTCTGTGGCTTCATTCTTGAAGTCAGCGAGACCAAGAACTCACCGGAAGGAACCAATTCCAGACACATTTTGGTGACCCAGATGGGACAATCACGAAGCAGTGAGTACCATCGGACCCTTTTGCTTGCTATTCTGTCTTATTTTTCCTTAGAATTTGGGGGCTAAATATCAGGCATCTCTCAGCCCATTAAAAGTGATTAACGTGGCTGCTGGACTAAAGACATGGATGTCAGGCTTTCTGGGAAAGAGCTCTCTAATAACCCCTGACTCTTCGGAGTTCAGAGCGTTGGTTTGCCTGGAACCAGTTTCCACTTTTCCTGTACTTCTGGGCTGAGCCGAGAGTTGACAGAGAGGAAAGCCATTCAGCTCCGGGGTCCTGACAGCAATTTGGTTGACCCTGTGGCCATGAGCAGAACTCTCAAAGTCATGTCACCGAAGCGAGACTCGCCCATCTATCCTATCTGTCCTGACCCTTGCCTCCTGGGTCCTAATGCCTGTCAGACAAACTTCCTCTCGCCTCTCTTCTCTGAGGCTAGTCCCGCTTCTAAAAACCACTCCCTGTCTCTGGTACTTTTCTAGTTTCTCCTATAAGAATGATTTCTACTATATACTCCAGGACTCTGTTACCTTCTTTAGGCACCTGGGCTCACCAATCAGAAAGACATAATTTTTGCCCAAAGCCCTGTCATAGTGGGGACTATCTGGAATTTTAGGATCCCTCCTCAGACAAACAGGCCTAACAACAGCTATTCCTGAAGGTAGGATATGGGAAGCCTCAGAAATTATATCCTTCCTATTCATATAAGTGAAGACAAAAGGCTCCACTCTTCCAACTCTGAAGATCCATTCCCTCCCTCAGGGTATGGCCCTCCACTTCATTTTTGGGGTATTGACTCGAGTAAGGTCTCAATACTAACAGGAGAATGCTTAGGACTCTAACAGGTTTTCGAGAATGTGTCAGTGGTAAGGGTCACTAAATCTGATTTTTCTCAGTCCTCTTTGTGGTCTAGGAGGACAGGCAAGGGTGGAGGTTTTTGAGAATGCGTCAGTAAGGACCACTAAATCTGACCTTCCTCAGTCCTCCTTGTGGTCTAGGAGGAAAACTAGTGTTTCTGCTGCTGCGTCGGTGAGCGCAACTATTCCAATCAGCAGGGTCCAGGGACCGTTGTGGGTTCTTGGGCAGGGGGAGAAACAAACAAACCAAAACCATGGGCAGTTCCGTCTTTCAGATGGGAAACACTCAGGCATCAACAGGCTCACCATTGAAATGCATCCTAAGCCATTGGGACCAATTTGACCCACAAACCCTGAAAAAGAGGTGGCTCATTTTTTTCTGCACTACTGCCTGACCCCAATATTCTCTCTCTGATGGGGAAAAATGGCCACCTGAGGGAAGTATAAATTACAATACTATCCTGTAGCTTGATCTTTTCTGTAAGAGGGAAGGCAAATGGAGTGAAATACCTTATGTCCAAGCTTTCTTTTCATTGAAGGAGAATACACAACTATGCAAAGCTTGCAATATGCATCCCGCAGGAAGACCTCTCAGCTTACCCCCATATCCTAGCCTCCCTATAGCTCCCTTTCCTATTAATAAGCCTCCTTCAATCTCCTCCACCCAGAAGGAAACAAGCAAAGAAATCTCCAAGGGACCACAAAAACCCCCAGGCTATTGGTTATGTCCTTTTCAAGCTGTAGGGGGAGGGGAATTTGGCCCAACCCAGGTACATATCCCCTTCTCCCTCTCTGATTTAAAGCAGATCAAGGCAGACCTGGGGAAGTTTTCAGAAGATGCTGATAAGTACATAGATGTTCTACAGGGTCTAGGGCAAACCTTCAATCTCACTTGGAGAGATGTCATGCTATTGTTAGATCAAACCCTGGCCTTTAATGAAAAGAATGCAGCTTTAGCTGCAGCCTGAGAGTTTGGAGATACCTGGTATCTTAGTCAAGTAAATGATAGAATGACAGCTGAAGAAAGGGACAAATTCCCTACTGGTCAGCAAGCCATCCCTAGTATGGATCCCCACTGGGACCTCGACTCAGATCATGGGGACTGGAGTCGTAAACATCATTGACCTGTGTTCTAGAAGGACTAAGGAGAATTAGGAAAAAGCCCATGAATTATTCAATGATGTACACCATAACTCAGGGAAAGGAAGAAAAACCTTCTGCCTTCCTCGAGCAGCTATGGGAGGCCTTAAGAAAATATACTCCCTGTCACCTGACTCAGTAGAGGGTCAATTGATCCTAAAAGATAAGCTTATTACCCAATCAGATGCAGATATCAGAAGAAAGCTCCAAAAGTGAGCCCTGGGCCTTGAACAAAATCTGGAGGCATTATTAAACCTGGAAACCTTGGTGTTCTATAATAGGGACCAAGAGGAACAGGCCCAAAAGGAAAAGCAAGATCAGAAAAAGGCCACAGCCTTAGTCATGGCCCTCAAACAAACCTTCGTGGTCCAGAGAGGACAGAAAATGGAGCAGGCCAATCACTCTGTAAGGCTTGTTATCAGTGTGGTTTACAAGGACACTTTAAAAAAGATGGTCCAATGTGAAACAAGCTGCCCCTTGTCCATGTCCACTATGCCGAGGCAATCACTGGAAGGCACACTGCCCCAGATTGCAATGATTCTCTGGGCCAGAAGCCCCCAACCAGATGATCCAACAACAGGACTGAGGGTTCCTGGGGCAAGCACTAGCTCATGTCATCACCCTCACTGAGCCCCAGGTAAGTTTAACCATTGAGGGCTAGGAAACTTCCTCCCAGACACTGGTGCAGCCTTCTCAGTGTTAATCTCCTGTCCTGGATGACTGTCCTCAAGATCCGTCACCATCCGAGGAATCCTGGGACAGCCTGTAACCAGGCAGTTCTCCCACCTCCTCAGTTGTAATTGGGAGACTTTGCTCTTTTCACTTGCCTTTCTTGTTATGCCTGAAAGTTCTACACCCTTATTAGGGAGGGATATATTAGGCAAAGCTGGAGCTACTGTCTACATCAATATGGGGAACAAGTTATCCATTTGTTGTCCCCTACTTGAGGAGGGAGTCAACCCCGAAGTCTGGACATTGGAAGGACAATTTGGAAGGGCAAAAAATGCCCACCCAGTCCAAATCAGGCTAAAATATCCCACCACTTTTCCTTATCAAAGGCAATATCCCTTAAGGCCTGAAGCTCATAAAGGATTACAGGATATTGTTAAACATTTAAAAGCTCAAGACTTCATAAGGAAATTTAGCAGTCCCTGCAACACCCCAATTCTAGGAGTACAAAAACCAAATGGTCAGTGGAGACTAGTGCAAGAGCTTAGACTCATCAATGAGGCAGTAATTTCTCTATATCCAGTTGTATCCAACCCCTATACCCTGCTCTCTCAAATACCAGAGGAAGCAGAATGGTTCACTGTTCTGGACCTCAAGGATGCCTTCTTCTGTATTCCCTTGCACTATGACTCCCAGTTCCTCTTTGCCTTTGAGGATCCCACAGACTACATGTCCCAAATTACATGGATGGTCTTGCCGCAAGGGTTTAGGGATAGCCCTCATCTGTTTTGTCAGGCACTGACCCAAGATCTAGGCCACTTCTTAAGTCCAGGTACTCTGGTCCTTCAGTATGTGAATGATTTACTTTTGGCTACCAGTTCAGAAGCCTCATGCCAGGAGTCTACTCTAGATCTCTTGAACTTTCTAGCTAATCAAGGGTTCAAGGCATCTAGGTTGAAGGCTCAGCTATGCCTACAGCAGGTCAAATATCTAGGCCTAATCTTAGCCAGAGGGACCAGGGCCCTCAGCAAGGAATGAATACAGCCTGTACTGGCTTATCCTTACCCTAAGACATTAAAACTGTTGTGGGGGTTCCTTGGAATCACCAGCTTTTGCCGACTGTGGATCCGTGGATACAGTAAGATAGCCAGGCCCCTCTATACTCTAATCAAGGAGACCCAGAGAGCAAATACTCATCTAGTAGAATGGGAACCAGGGGCAGAAACAGCCTTCAAAACCTTAAAGCAGGCAATGGTACAAGCTCCAGCTTTAAGCCTTCCCACAGGATAAAACTTCTCTTTATACATCACAGAGAGGGCAGGGATAGCTCTTGGAGTCCTTACTCAGATTCGTGGGACAACCCCACAACCAGTGGCATATCTAAGTAAGGAAATTGATATAGTAACAAAGGGCTGGCCTCATTGTTTACGGATAGTTGTGGTGGTGGCCGTCTTAGTGTCAAAGGCTATCAAACTAATACAAGGAAAGGATCTCACTGTCTGGACTACTCATGATGTAAATGGCATACTAGGTGCCAAAGGAAGTTTATGGCTAATCAGACAACCACCTACTTAGATATCAGATGCTACTCCTTGAGGGACCAGTGCTTCAAATACATACATGTGCAGCCCTCAACCCTGCCACTTTTCTCCCAGAGGATGGGGAACCAATCGAGCATGACTGCCAACAAATTATACTCCAGACTTATGCTGCCCAAGGTGAGCTCTTAGAAGTCCCCTTAGCTAATCCTGACCTTAACCTATATACAGATGGAAGTTCATTTGTGGAGAATGGAATACGAAGGCCAGGTTATGCCATAGTTAGTGACATAACTGTACTTGAAAGTAAGACTCTTCCCTCAGGGACCAGCGCCCAGTTAGCAGAACCAGTGGCACTTACCCGAGCCTTAGAACTGGGAAAGGGAAGAACAAATGTGTATACAGATAGCAAGTATGATTATCTAATCCTACATGCCCATGCTGCAATATGGAAAGAAAGGGAGTTCCTAAACTCTGGGGGAACCCCCATTAAATACCACAAGGAAATCATGGAGTTATTTATTGCATGCAGTGCAAAAACTCAAGGAGGTGGCAGTCTTACACTGCCGAAGCCATCAAAAGGGGAAGGATAGGGGAGAACAGCAGCATAAGCAGCTGGCAGAGGCAAGGAAAGACCAGCAGAAAGGAAAGAGAGAAAGAGACAGGAAGTCAGAGAGAGAGAGAGAGAGAAAGAGACAGAGACAAAGAGGGAGTCAGAGAGAGAAAGAAGTAGTAAAGAAAAAAGAGTGTACCCTATTCCTTTAAAAGCCAGGGTAAATTTAAAACCTATAATTGATAATTGAAGATCTTCTCCATGACTCTATAACACTCCAATACCACCTTGTTGTCAGTGCAAACAAGGGCATAGCCCGAAAGCACTGAGGCCACAGACAACTCATAGTCTTCCTATCAAAAATCCTTAACCCAGCAGGTTTCCTAACAGGGGATCTAAATCTTAATTAATTACCATACAAAGGTCTGATCAGATCTAGGAGGAACTCCCTTCAGGACAGGATGATAGATGGTTCCTTCCAGGCAATTAAGGGAAAAAAAAAGACACAATGGGTATTCAGTAAGTGATAGGGAAACTCTTATAGAAGCATTTAGGAAACTTACCTAATAATTGGTCTGCCCAAACCTGCAAGTTGTTTGCACTCAGCCAAATCTTAAAGTACTTACAGAATCAGAAAGGAGCCATCTATACCAATTCTATGTTAATATGGACTGAAGGAAGTTTTATTAATAGCAAAGAAAAATTAAAATCCCAAACTTACAAGGTTTTCAACTGAAGTAAAGTTTGCTAAAAGTTAACAGTGTAACATACATTATCCTACTACCACACAGTCTCAAAGGATTTCTCAGACAGTTTGCAAGAAATAACAAAATCTATCCTTACTCTACAATCCCAAATAGGCTCTTTGGCAGCAGTGACTCTCCAAAACCACCGAGGTCTAGACCTCTCACTGCTGACTCTTCTTAGGGGAAGAGTATTGCTTTTACACTAACCAGTCAGGGATAGTACGAGATGCTGCCTGTCATTTACAGGAAAAGGCTTCCGAAGTCAGACAATGCCTTTCAAACTCTTATACCAACCTCTGGAGTTGGGCAACATGGCTTCTCCCCTTTCTAGGTCCCATGGCAGCCATCTTGCTATTACTCACCTTCGGGCCCTGTATTTTTAACCTCCTTGTCAAATTTGTTTCCTCTAGATCAAGGCCATGAAGCTACAGATTGTCTTACAAATGGAACCCCAAATGAGCTCAACTAACAACTTCTACCGAGGACCCCTGGACCAACCTGTTGGCCCTTTCACTGGCCTAAAGAGTTCCCCTGTGGAGGACACTACAACTGCAGGGCCCCTTCTTTGCCACTATCCAGCAGGAAGTAGCTAGAGTAGTCATCACCCAATTCCCAACAGCAGTTGGGGTGTCCTGTTTAGAGGGGGGATTGAGAGGTGAAGCTGGCTGGGCTTCTGGGTCAGGTGGGGACTTGGAGAACTTTTCTCTCTAGCTAAAGGATTGTAAATGCACCAATCAGCACTGTGTCTAGCTAAAGGTTGGTAAATGCACCAATCAGCACTCTGTAAAAACGCACCAATCAGCACTCTGTGTCTAGCTAAAGGTTTGTAAAGGCACCAATCAGCACTCTGTAAAAATGGACCAATCAGCAGGATGTGGGTGGGGCCAAATAAGGAAATAAAAGCTAGCCACCCGAGCCAGCAGCAGCAACACACTCGGGTCCCCTTCCACCACTGTGGAAGCTTTGTTCTTTCACTCTTTGCAATAAATCTTGCTGCTGCTCACTCTTTGGGTCTGCACTATCTTTATGAGCTGTAACACTCACCGCAAAGGTCTGCAGCTTCACTCCTGAAGTCATTGAGACCACGAACCCACTGGGAGGAACGAACAACTCCGGACGCGCCAACTCTAAGAGCTGTAACACTCACTGTGAAGGTCTGCGGCTTTACTCCTGAAGTCAGCAAGACCACGAACCCACCAGAAGGAAGAAACTCCTGACACATCTGAACATCTGAAGGATCACACTCTGGACACACCATCTTTAAGAACTATAACACTCACCGCGAGGGTCTGCAGCTTCATTCTTGAAGTCAGCGAGACCAAGAACCCACCAGAAGGAACCAATTCTGGACACAGGAGGATCACTTGAGCCTGAAAGGTTGAGGCTGCAGTAAGCTTCATCACCCACTGCACTCCAGCCTGGGTGACAGAGTGAAACCCTGTCTCAAAACAAAACTTAACCAAAAAGGTCACAAATTTCCTGATGCTCAATGTATAAAAACTCAGTTTCTACATGTTCAAACTGGCAGGAAAAACAATCTTTTGCCAAGTTTTTCTGCCGAGGATTCATAAAAACTACTCCCAAAGTAATCATTTGATGGAGTCTTCTAGGACTTCCCTATTGCACCAACTCTGATGTGTCCATTATGGCCAATCTCTCAGACTTGACATGTAAGCCTCACCCCTTGCTGGCTTACTTCAGTTTTTTCCAATGTAGCTCTGATAGTTGTAAATAATAGGGCCTAATTTCATTGCTAAAACTAGGACAGTACAGCAGTTTGGCACAAAGCCCTTTCAGTGCAACTGATGGTCTTGCAGTGTTTTCTCAGGTGCAAGGGAGAACATACCTGTCTTCAATTTTATGCTCAACAAGAAGTGTCCCATGGGTCTAACCTCAATGTTGTAAGTCTTTATAACTTGCATTTTACTTATTCATCTGCATGGCTCCTTCTTAGCACATAAGGTAACCAAAAGACTGCCGGGTCAACCCATGTCGTAGTGTAAGCCCCTTAAGAGACCTCCAACTTTCCAACTCTCAGCTCAGGCACCAGCCTTTTGTTCTTCTCTTTCTCTCTACTTTCAGCAGCCTTGTTACTTTCTTTACCATCCAACCTTGTCAAAAGGTTCATTATAAATTTAAAATGGTAACAAATGTGCTTCAGGTCTTAATCTATTCCTTCCCAAAAGAAATTTGTGCTCATGAAACAAATCTTTGTAAGTTTTCACCAAGAACATCCAGTTCACCATAGCAATGAGTAGAAAGAAAGGGCATTCTGCTACCTCTCCAGGCTGATTTTCAAACCATGACTAGATACATTGTCACTATGTAAAAACTCTCTTTTCTTTCCCAACTCCTTTTACTTTCCAAACATTGCATTACTCCACAATAACTGGACAGCCTGACAACCTAAATGAAGTCTACATAATTGTTCTCTGAAACCATATACTAATTTCTTTTATTTCAATAGTTTTCAGGGAACAGGTGGTTTTGGGTTACATGGATAATTTCTTCAGTGGTTATTGCTGAGATTTTGGTGCACATGTCACCTGAGCAGTGTACATTGTACCCAATGTATAGCCTGTTATCCCTCACCCCTTCCCACCATTCCCCCCAAGTCCCCAAAGTCCATTATATCATTCTTATGCCTTTGTGTCCTCATAGCTGAGCTCCAACTTATAAGTGAGAATATATAATATATGGTTTTCCATTCTTCAGTTACTTCACTTACAATAATGGTATCCAATTCTATCAGGTCACTGTGAATGCCATTATTTGATTCCTTTTTATGGCTGAGTAGTATTCCATGGTGTATGTATGCCACATTTTCTTTATCCATTCATTGGTTCGTGAGCATTTAGGCTGGTTCCATATTTTTGCAATTGAAAATTGTGCTGCTATAAATATGCATGTGCAAGTGTCTTTTTCATATAATGACTTCTTGTTTTTTGGGTAGATACCTAGTAGAGGGATTGCTGAATTGAATGGTAGTTCTACTTTTAGTTATTTAAGGAATCTCCATACTGTTTTGCATAGTGGTTGTACTAGTTTACATTTCCACCAGCAGTGTAAAAGTGTTTCCTTTTCACAACATCCACACCAAGATCCATTATTTTTTAATTTTTAAATTATGGTAATTTTTGTAGCAGTAAGATGGTATCTCATGTGGTTTTAATCTTCATTTCCCTGATAATTAGTGATGCTGAGCATTTTTTATATGTTTGTTGGCCATTTGTGTACCTTCTTTTGAGAATTTTCTATTCATGTCCATTGCCCACTTTTTGGTGGGATTATTTGTTTTCTTACTTGTTAATTTGCTTGAGATACCTCAAGGAAATAAAAGCCATCTATGACAAACCCACAGCTGACATTATATTGAATGAGGAAAAGTTGAAAGCATTCCCCCTGAGAATTGGAACAAGCCAAGGATGCCCACTTTCACCATTTCTATTTAACACAGTACTGTTACTCCTAGCCAGAGCAATCAGATAACAGAAGGAAATAAAGGGCATCCAAATTGGTAAAGAGGAAATCAAACTGTTGCCATTCGCCAATGATATGATTGCATACTTAGAAAACCTGAAAGAATCATGGAAAAAGCTCCTAGATCTGGTAAATGAATTCAGTAGTTTCAGGACACAAAATCGGTAGCACTGCTGTACACGAACAACGACCAAGTGGAGAATCAAATCGAGAACTCAATCCTTTTTACAACAGCTGCAATAATAATAATAATACTATTAAAACACTTAGGAATATACCTAACCAAGGAGGTAAAAGATCTCTACAAAGAAAACTACAAAATACTGTTGAATGAAATCATAGATGACACAAACAAATGAAAACAAATCTCATGCTCATGGATGAGGAGAATCAATATTGTGAAAATTATCACAAACTGCCAAAAGCAATCTACAAATTCAATGCAATTTCCATCAAAATACCATTGTCATTTTTCACAGAACTAAAAAAAAATCCTAAAATTTATAAAGAACCAAAAAGGAGCCCACATAGCCAAAACAAGACAAGACTAAGCAAAAAGGACAAATCTGAAAGCCTCAATTACCTGACTTCAAACTATACTATAAGGCTGTAGTTACCAAAACAACATGGTACTGGTATAAAAATAGGTGCATAGATCAGATGAACACAGAAGAGAATCCAGAAATAAAGTCACATACAGCCAACTGATCTTTGACAAAGCAAACAAAAACATAAAGTGGGAAACGACATCTTTTTGAACAAATGGTGCTGGGATAATTGGTAAGCCACGTGTAGAGAATGAAACTGAATCCTCATCTCTCACCTTATACAAAAATCAACTCAAGGTGAATCAAAGACTTAGAATCTAAGACATGAAACCATAAAAATTCTAGAAGATAACATCGGAAAAACTCTCCTAGTCAATGGCTTAGGCAAAGAGCTCATGACAAAAAACCCCAAAAGAAATGCAACAAAAACAAAAATAAATAGATGGGACCTAATTAAAAATTTTCTGCACAGCAAAAGAAACAATCAGCAAAGTAAACAGACAATCCATAGTGGGAATACATATTTGCAAACTATGCATCCAACAAAGGACTAATATCCATATACTAATTTTTCATCAATATATCACATTTGTATTTATCTTCTCATCTTTCCATTCCATTTGAAATAATCTTTTCTCTAAAATTAATCCTACTATCTAGATCCCATTATTTTCTAACTGCTGAGGGAATTGGCTCCTTCTTTCTCTAACTTAATGCACTCCTTCAACTATCTTGTCCTTGTTTGCACTTTTTGTCATATACTCATGTTTAACATCACCTCCCATGTGCACATCCTTGCCCTCGTGATTACTTCTCTGTCAGGTTTCTTGAAAGAATTGTCTATATCTATACCTATTGCTTTTATTTCCTTACCTTTCCATATCTTAATTTATTTGCATTCCCAAGAATAGCTTTCTTCTCATCAAATCTAATATTCTTTCCCCAGGCCCTTTTCTTCTGTTCCTCCTTACAATAATTGATATCTGTTCTTGATCCTCCATTTTCTCCTGTGGCTTGAACTTTACCATCTGATCATATTGTTCTATATTATTTCCATCAGAGAAACATCTCTCACTTTCACAGGTTGAATGATGCCTAACTCTCAAATCCATATCTTAAGCTCAGATTTCTTTGTTAACATAGAGCCTTTTCCCAGTCATCCACCTGACAATTTGATGCTCCAAACCATGAACTCTGTATGTCTAAATTAAATTCAAAATCCTGCCCCCATTCTATCTCCACATACCAAACTCCTCATTTCAGGGTCTAATATTAAAAGTCTTAGATTTATCTTTGACTCTTATCTTCTTTTCTTTTCTTAGATCCAATCAGTCATCAAATCTTGTAAACATATTCATCAAAATGTCTAAGATGTGTCCTTTCATTTTAATTCAAACTCTCATACCTTCTTTTTTGAGTTATTGCAATAGCTTCTCAACTTGTCAATCTAATTTTATCTACATTCTGAACATTGTGTTCAGTTTAGTTTTCTAATGTATGACAGTCCTATTTTCAACACTTATAAAATCAAATCAAGTTTTTAATCCTGGTTTTTGAGCTTATAAAAAGGTGGTTTCACTTCTCCAAACTTCAATTGTTTTGGAACATAAAATTTTCTCATTATGTTTTCTCACCACTACTCCTAATTTTTACCTAATATTCCCTTCCCACCACCATCATATACAAACATTCAATGCTCAATCTTGTCTTCAAGTTTTCAGTAGTTATTTTCTTCAGACTGAAACTATGTATCCAAATCCTATCCAACAAAAACCTCTCTTTTTTAAGACAATTTTTACCTCTATTACTTCACTCTCTTTCTAGTCTATTTAATAATTGTTAACAATACCATACACTTTGGTACCCATATCAGTGACAGTTAATGCTTGAAAAAAAATAAAGCTGAGTATTTTTTCTAACTTAAAATATTCAGATTACTATCCACTTAATTTACAGTCTTCACTATTGAAATTTTATTTTAGTTATTCAGATTTAATTATAAAAATTGACTAATTTAAGGTCTATTAGTATTCATTCATGTCTTTATAACTTGTTTATGCTAAAGAATTGTGATCCTAATAGCTATAGTTGCAGCCACTGAGAATTCAGAAAGTGAAGCATAAAATGAGACAGTAAATAGTAAGTACCTTGAATCATAAATCTCAAAATCAAAAGGCCTGCATTCAAATACATAGGACCATTGAATTTAAGAGCTCAATGGAAGGCAATTCAGTAGGAATGGAATTTCTTGAGCATTTACTATGTGAAGTAGTCTAATCCCTTCAATGAGAAAATGACTTCGTAGAGCTGATAGTCAATTAGGGAATTCAATTCTTATGCAAATGATACATCATCAGTATTTTTAAATTATCCAAAACTTGAAATAAGTCAGATGGCAGCATGCACTTCTAATGCCATACAAAAACATTTTTAAAGGCCAAACTAATGATTATTTAATTATCTAGGTTAATATGCCTTTGTTTAACTTGACATTTATATATTAATTTAAAAATCCATTATTGTGAAGTTACAGGATTTCTATCTAGTAGAAAAGCCACAATTTTATTATCTCGTAAAACATTATACAATTTTTAGAGCTAATCTAGCAATCTTTTTTTAACTTAAATTTCTGTAAATGCCTATTAAAACTCTGTTCCTTAAATGTTCTTGTAATGAATTAGTCCAAACATGTGTTCATTGTATATGTATGTGAGAGTGAGAACTAAAATCTGCCCATGAGTGAGGATGCTTTCTGTCCCTGTGTCAATACCAGCTTTTTAAAAAAATTATGTCAGCTCAACGAAATATGTATTCACTCCTAAAAGACTATAAACCAATAAAAAGACCACCTTATTAAGACTAATAACTTTCTTATCAAGATTGTTTCAAAACCCTCGCTTTGCTGTGCTAACCAATCCAAAGCTGTATATATAAACTCTGTCCAATCCATATCTTACAAACCTCATCCTAAAATCACCCAGCCCAAGACTTAAAACCCTAGAACTATTCTTACTTAAATTCCCTATTTTGAGACACCACTTGAATTTTCCAAAATATCACCAAACAATCATTAATGAAGCTAAGTTTATTAGAACACACTATAGTAAAGCAGAATACCTTGTGTTAGTAGTGTCTCAGAAGAGGGGAGTTAGGCAGCGATATTGATAGTTTGGGCTTCTAAGCTCAAGTGGTTTAAGGTGGGTGTTTTCAAGGTTTGTTAAGGAAAAGAAATCATTGAGAATGGGCATTTTTAATACAATAATGTGGAGTTGTTGGATGCAGTGACATGAGGATCTTGAAGTGAATCTTCATAAGTAAATTGTTACTTGATAAGTGAGCTGTTTAACCAAATGAGCTAAGACCTGAGACCGTTGTCTCAGGAAAAAAATCATTTACATGAATTTTCTGAAGCAATCAGTAAAAGTACTTATTATTTGCTGTCTTATCTTTCCTGAGTGAAGATTCCCTGTGCCAAAGCCAGACTGAAACTCTGTATCCAAATCCTAGCCAACAAAAACCTCTCTTTTTTTAAGGCAATTTTTACCTCTATTATTTCACTCTCTTTCTAGCCTATTTAATAGTCTTTTAACAGTCTATTTAATAGTCTTTCTAGTCTATTTAATAATTGTCAACTATACCATACACTTTGGTACCCATATCAGTGACATACCACGACAGCTCAGCTCCACATATTGATGTAGGTGCCATCATTTCTCTCTAAGATTCTGTTAACTTGGTATTTCCCTTAACTGCAATAAATCAGTAAGTTTAGCTTCCCTAGCTCGACAAATTATTTCTTTTAGTTTTGGAGTAATTAACGGTCAACAGGAGTTATGTTTTTAATGTGTAGAAAAATATACTTTGACACACAGGTAATTGCTAAATTTAAATATGTGATCAACAAACAATTGTTGAAAAAAGATATGACATAAAATATCAAAATGTTTTATTAAGAAGTGAAGGGGATATATATTATTTTATTTAGTTATCTAAAATTTTATAATTGAAATACTTCTATCATTTTAATGGCAAATTTTAGCTCCTTCATAATTTGGGGGTGGGGGCATATGCCAGTAACTTATGAAGACTATCCATGAGATTCCATGAATATGTCACAAGAAAAGTGTCAAACAAATTTCATAGACAGTCATTCTCTTGTGGATTCACCGTTCACATCAACACATAAATAGAACTGAGAAGCTTTATATCAAATAATCAGTTACAATTTTACACAGCATTTTTCAAAACTCAGATTGTGGAACTCTTAACTTCTATAACATTTAATATCCTATAGGACTGGACTTAATATAACATTTGGGGGAAAATAAACCTTAAACATATTCTTATTTTTGCAATGATGTGAGCAGAGAGACGAAGACACAAAGTTTCTATTACCATATGCATAAAGTTTACTTAAATACTCATCTGTTATGTTTGCTTTAAAAAGTAATTGACTTAGAACCAAGAATATACTCTAAAATATGTAACAATAAATTCAAACATACTTAATCAACTGTTCAAATCTTTTGACATCTTTTATTAATTCCCCAAATCAAATTATAATAAAGACTTTTTGACCACAGATTGACTTTCAGACTTTTTTAGAGGCCCCCCGAAAAATCTCAAAAGAATTTGTTCTCTTGCTTTGTAAAAAAAGAAATATTAAACTAATTAGGTTTATTTAATATATTTGGATATATGGAAAGCATCATCAAATAAGAAGTAATGTTAAACTATCTTTGTGTAGATAGATAATTACTAATATAAATACTTCAGAAATTGTATAAAATTACCAGTAATTTGTCAATGTTCTTATGGTCTGTATAATTGGTCCTAATTCCAATTACTATTTTTAAATGTTGTATGCCACAGAAATACTCCAGAGAACATGTTTCTGATAACTGTAAAATCACACCCCTGAACTCATTAAGAATTCCAGAACTCTATTGGAGAAACTCATAGATTCATAAAATTGTTAACCCAAGATCAAGTAGAACAAGAACGAATTACACGGGACCAAATAAACTGATGAGGATGATTATGATTTTTCATTACCTTGTTTGAAACATTGCTGGTTCTTTTATGTTTCGTTTTCCAGAATTAAAAAACCTCATTCCCTTTTTTCTTAAACTATCTATAACTTACAAGGATTTCACAGATTACACCAAAATGATACATTTATTTTTTTTTCTCCCTAGCTAATCCCTGCAGAATTAAGAGACTCTTATGCAATATTAATTTCATGGCAATACAGTTATTTACATAATTTTAATAAGAATCCATTCTTCTTGGACAGGTGTGGTGGGTCACGCCTGTAATCCCAGCACTTTGGGAGGCCAAGGCGGGCAGATCACAAGGTCAAGAGATCAAGACCATCCTGACCAACAAGGTGAAACCCCGTCTCTACTAAAAACACAAAAATTAGCCGGGCGTGGTGGCACGTGCCTGTAGTCCCAGCTACTCGGGAGGCTAAGGCAGGAGAATCGTTAGAACTCGGGAGGCGGAGGTTGCAGTGAGCCAAGATCATGCGACTGCACTCCAGCCTAGCAACAGAGTGAGACTCTGTCTAAAAAAAAAAAAAAAAAGAATCCATTCTTCTTATAATAGTAAGAAATTGGAAACTTTGCTTACCATGACTGGACAATCATATTTGAGAATGATGTGCATAGAATTGGATATGACCAAATTGCTCCAACGATCTCAGGTTGACTTTATGGAACCAATACTTACAAAGTACTTACAACCAATACTTCCCTCTCAGAAACCAACCTGGTATCTAGCTCAGAGTGTTTCCATCGTTACAGGTGAGTGAGGAGGACCACTTCCCTGAAGGTGCAGGAAACTGGAGATATCTTAGAGACTTTGAGAAGAGAGTAATTCATCCAAATCTACAAGTACTGAAGGCAAAGTGTGGTGGCGAATTCCTGACTTGGCTTTAAAAGGCCTTGAGCAACACTCTACAATAATTTCTAATGATTCTCCATAATTTTAAAATAAAATTGAAATTATAGCTCTGATTTGTTAGTCTATACAACATCAAAACAAGTAGGGATTTTTTAATCTCTTAAATTATTATTCCAGATTTTAGAGGTGCTGAGGTATTGATCTCTTTATTTCAAAAACATGCCCTGAACATATTTTCACAAAATATCATAAATGAAATACTTTATGCATAAAAAAGCACAGTAATCTTTGTTTATTGAAGTAGTTTCATAAGGAAAATAACAAGTAGTTCTTTTTTTCAGAGAGAGCTAATATTGTAATGATCTCCAAGCACTATGAATTGTACTCAAGTATAATGGGGTAAAAATTATCAGCAGAAGGAGCTGATATCTTAGCAAAGACTGTAGACAATTCCTTGGACTTCAATAGCAGCACCACCTTCAGCACAAAAATCAGATTTTTCAGCTGACGTTACCAATGTCTTTGCAGCAGCTTCCTTATAGATGCTGAAAACATTGCTACCCATTTCCAAAAAGAACCTTTGGCTTATCTTTCTGAGGAGGCAATCATGCACAACACAAAGAACAAAGGAAACTAGTTATTTCCAGATACCTGCAAGAAACTACATGTTAAAAAAAAAAACATACACGTGCACACACACACGCACACATGCGCGCGCCCACACATACACACATACACAACTTCCCAGCATTTATCTTGCCATATCAACTTTGAATACAAATTACATATACAAAGGAAAAAACAAAAATGTGAAAATTTTCTAATTCTTTCTTTTTTATCATACGCATAGATTGCAGGTTGTACATCTGTTTCTAGTTTATGTCAGAGCCTCAAGACACCCACTGATATTTTTTTCCAGTTGGTTGACTTAGTTTCGCTTTTGCCTTTTCCCATTTGAATTAATCTAGGCCATGACTAATAGAGGAGAAGATTTCACTGGAATTTGGCTGAGGGTTTTTCAAAAGGTCACATAGACACTTCAGAGTTTATGAAAGCTAAAACAGTGACCATTTTCTTCAGGTGTAACAGTAGCTCATAATCAGTTAATTGTTCATCAGGAAGAAGGCCTCATTCTTTCAATCTCCTAAGCAGGTTTTATGTTTTAGGCTCTGTCTTCTCACCTGCAAAGAAATGTGGAAAGCAAGGCCCAGAAAAGCAGCAAGGCACTTAGCATTTTCTTATTGGGACATGAATCACTTTAGTACTGTATGTCCTTTAAAACAATGGAGTTAAAGTATTATTATAAGAAAACTGTACCAAGTTAGAGCAAAGCCAAAAAATATATTCAATTGAGTTAAAAATAAAAATAAAAAAAGAGGTGCATACATGTGAAAGGGTTAAACAAAAGAACTTGCAAGAGATACAGAATTACAGAATTTCTAAATATACGTAATAATACAGCAAAATTTCCACTTCTCAGTTGCCTTCCCTGCATTCTCATTTGAAATGGATTTTTAGAACAGAAAGTGGTCAATGAAACTGCAGCATCTCCAAATCTAGGACCTTGCAACCATAGGTTTTCTTAAAATTTGCTCCAAGAGTGGACCTGCATTCCATTTACTCAATGTGAGAAAATGTGTGCTAGCAAGAACACTGTCTGAATTTATATCTAAAATATCTTTAATTTGGAAGAATAAAAAAGGTTACAAAAAGGACAGTTTTTTTAATTTTTCTTTTTTTTTTTTGAGACGGAGTCTCGCTCTGTCACCCAGGCTGGAGTGCAGTGGCGTGATCTTGGCTCACTGCAAGCTCCGCCTCCCAGGTTCATGCCATTCTCCTGCCTCAGCCTCCCAAGTAGCTGGGACTACAGGCGCCCACCACCATGCCCAGCTAATGTTTTTGCATTTTTCGTAGAGACGGGGTTTCACTGTATTAGCCAGGATGGTCTCAATCTCCTGACCTCACCCACTGTGAGCAAGCTGGAAATGCCTGATCTCCCTCGGTTTAATGTAGAGGAAGGGATCCAAAGGCTTAGGGAGATTGGGATGGTGGAGTGGATTAGTCACTTTAGACTTACTCATCTCAGCTTGGAGGGTCCAGAAGATATGCATTTGACCAATGCCTTGTGAAACAGATTTGTGAGGGCAGCACTTGCATCTTTGACGAGCCAGCGATTGGTCTTCTCTGTACGTCAGATCTAACGTGGGAACCGCAGTCAATGAACTACAAAATTTAAATACAATGGGAATAATTGTATCCTGAGGTGGCAGGTGTCAAGTGGCAGCACTCAACTGTCAAAGGCAAGGTGGGTGTATCTACTGTAATGGACAGCAGAGGCAAAGTGGCAATCAGAATAGTCTGACTTGTGTAGAGCTCTGGTATTTGCTAATTAATCACGGTGTTTCTAGAAGTGAAATGATAGGAAGCCTACCTCATTCCTACTTAATTTATACAAGCAGAAACTTCTATGTCGAATGGACAAAAGATTAATTTGAATTATAAAAACAGAGAATTATACCGCCTCAATTAATGTCCAGACTTGAGCCAGTTTACTGACCTAGAACTTGAATGAAGGGGAGGCTGGGTCCCTTTGAGGAAGGACCTCACTACACTACCGACAATTTATGCAGTGAATCTTTCTGCCATACTTCCCCAAGGAGATGTATGGCCTTTTACCAGAGTGACTATGCATTGGGGAAAGGGAAATAATCAGACATTTCAGAGACTACTGGACACTGGCTGTGAGCTGACATTGATTCTGGAAGACTCAAAACATCATCATGGTCCTCCAGTTAAAGTAGGGGCTTATGGAGATCAGGTAATTGATGGACTTTTAGCTCAGGTCCAACTTACAGTGGGTCCAGAGGGTCCCCAGACTCATCCTGTGGTCATTTCCCCAGTGCCAGAATGCATAATTGTGATAGACATACTTAGAAGCTGGCAGAACCCCTACATTGGCTCCCTGACTGGTAGGGTGAGGACTATTATGGCAGGAAAGGCCAAATGGAAGCTATTAGAGCTGGTGCTACCTAGAAAAAATAGTAAATCAAAAACAATATTGCATCCCTGGAGGGAATGCAGAAATTCGTGCCACCATCAAGGACTTGAAAGATGCAGGGGTGGTGATTTCCCACCACATCCCCATTCAACTTTCCCATTTGGCCTGTGCAGAAGACAGATGGATCTTGGAGAATGACAGTGGATTATTGTAAGCTTAACCAAGTGGTGACTCCAATTGCAGTTGCTGTACCAGATGTGGTTTCATTGCTTAAGCAAATTAACACATCTCCTGGTACCTGTTATGCAGCCATTGACTTGGAAAATGCCTTTTTCTCCATTCCTGTCCATAAGGCCCACCAGAATCAATGTGCCTTCAGCTAGAAAGGCCAGCAATATACCTTTACCATCCTACCTTAGGGGTATATCAACTCTCCAGCTTTGTGTCATAATCTTATTCTGAGATAACTTGATCACTTTTTGCTTCTGCAAGATATCACGCTGGTCCATTACATTGATGACATTATGCTGATTGGATCCAGTGAGCAAGAAGTAGCAAACATACTGGACTTACTGGTGAGACATTTGCTTGCCAGAAGATGGGAAATAAATCCGACTAAAATTCAGGGACCTTCTACCTCAGTAAAATTCCTAGGGGTCTAGTGATGTGGGCTGTCGAGGTATTTCTTCTGAGGTGAAGGATAAATTGCTTCATTTGGCCCCTCCTACCACCAAGAAATAGGTACACAGCCTAGTGGGGCTATTAGGATTTTGGAGGCAAGACATTCATCATTTGGGTGTGTTACTCTGGTTCATTTATCAAGTGACCCGAAAGGCTGCCAGTTTTGAGTGGGGTTCAGAATAGAAGAAGGCTCTGCAATAGGTCCAGGCTGCTGAGCAAGCTGCTCTGTCACTTGGGTCATATGATCCAGCAGATCCAATGGTGCTTGAGGTGTCAGTGGCAGATAGGGATGCTCTTTGGAGCCTTTAGCAGGCCCCCATAGGTGAATCACAGTGGAGGCCTCTAGGATTTTGGAGCAAAGCTCTGCCAACTTCTGCAGATAACTACTCTCCTTTTGAAAGACAGCTCTTGGCCTGTTACTGGGCTTTGGTGAAAACTGAACATTTGACTATGGATCATGAAGTCACCATGCAACCAGAACTTCCTATCATGAACTGGGTGCTTTCTGACCCATCTATCCATAAAGTGGGCCATGCACAGCAGCATTCCATTATCAAATGGAAGTGGTATATATGCAATCAGGCTCAAATAGGTCCTGAAGGCACAAGTAAGTTACATGAGGAAGTGGCTCAAATGTGCATGGTCTCCACTCGTGTTACTGTGCCTTCTCTCCCCTAGCCTGTGCTGATGGGCTCATGGGGAGTTCCCTATGATCAGTTGACAGAGGAAGAGGAGACTAGGGCTTGGTTCACAGATGGTTCTCTACTATATGCAGGAATCACCTGAAAGTGGACAGCTGCAACATTACAGCCCCTTTCTAGGACATCCCTGAAGGACAGGGGTGAAGGGAAATCTTCCCAGTGGGCAGAACTTTGAGCAGTGCACTGGTTGTGCACTTTGCATAGAAGGTAGAAATTGTCAGGCTGGGTACAGTATCTCACACCTGTAATCCCAGCACTTTGGGAGGCCGAGAAGGGCGGATCACGATGTCAGGAGATCGAGACCATCCTGGCTAACACGGTGAAACTCCATCTCTACTAAAAATACAAAAAAAAAAACCCAAAAAAATTAGCCTGGCGTGGTGGTGGGCGCCTGTAGTCCCAGCTACTCAGGAGGCTGAGGCAGGAGAATGGCGTGAACCCGGGGTGCAGAGCTTGCAGTGAGCCAAGATTGAGCCACTGCACTCCAGCCTGGGTGGCAGAGTGAGACTCCATCTCAAAAAAAAAAAAAAAAAAAAGGTAGAAATGGTCAGATGTGAGATTATATTCTGATTCATGGGCTATAGCTAATAGTTTGCCTGGATGGTCGGGGACTTAGAAGAAGCACGATTGGAAAATTGGTGACAAAGAAATTTGGGGAAGAGGTATGTGGATGGATCTCTCTGAGGGATCAAAAGCTGTGACTATATTTGTATCCCATGTGAGTGCTCACCAACAGGTGATCTCAGCAGAGGAGGATTTTAATAATCAAGTGGATAGGATAACTCCACTTTACACCACTCAGCCTCTTTCCCCAGCCACCCCAGTGATCACTCCATGGGCTCATGAACAAAGTGGCCATGGTGGCAGGGATGGGGGTTACACATGGGCTCAGCAACATGAGCTTCCACCTACCAAGGCTGACCTGGCTATGGCCACCACTGAGTGCCCAATTTGCCATCAGCAGAGTCCAACACTGAGCCCGTGATATGGCACCATTCCTGGGGGCAATAAGCCAGCTACCTGGTAGCAGGTTATATTGGACCTCTTGCATCATGGAAAGGGCAGAGGTTTGTCCTCACTGGAATAGACACTTACTCTGGATATGGGTTTGCCTATCCTGCACACACTGTTTCTCCCAAAACTACCATCCATGGACTCATGGAATGCCTTATCCACCGTCCTGATATTCCACACAGCATTGTCTCTGACCAAGGCACTCATTTTATGGCTAATGATGTGCATCAGTGGGCTCATGTTCATGGAATTCACTGGTCTTCCCATGTTCCCCATCATCCTGAAGCATCTAGATTGATAGAACAGTGGAATGGCCTTCTGAAGTCACAATTACAATGCAAACTAGATGACAATACTTTGCAGGGCTGGGGCAAAGTTCTCCAGAAGGCCATGTATGCTCTAAATCAGTGTCCAATATATGGTATTGTTCCTTCCATAGCCAAGATTCACGGGTCCAGGAATCAAGTGTTGGAAGTGTAA
Source organism: Homo sapiens (assembly GCF_000001405.40). NCBI lineage: Eukaryota > Metazoa > Chordata > Mammalia > Primates > Hominidae > Homo > Homo sapiens. Next base: position 101,616,387 of record NC_000004.12, on the reverse strand, counting down.
ATGGCACCACTCACCATCACCCCTAGTGATCCACTAGCAAACTTTTTGCTTCCTGTTACCACGACATTACATTCTGATCATGTAGAGGTCTTAGTTCCAGAGGAAGGAATGCTGCCACCAGGAGATACAACAATGGTTCCATTAAAGTTGAAGTTAAGATTGCCACCTGGACACTTTGGGCTCCTCCTACCTTTATGTCAACAGGCTAACAAGGGAGTTACACTGTTGGCTGGGGTGACTGACCTGGACTATCAAAAACAAAATCAGTCTACTACTCCACAACAGAGGTAAGGAAGAATATCTCTTAGTATTACCATGCCCTGTGATAAAGGTCAATGGGAAACTACAACAGCCCAATCCAGGCAGGACTACAAATGACCCAGACTCCTCAGGAATGAAGGTTTAGGTCACTCTGCCAGGGAAAACAAAACAAAACAAACAAACAAACAAAAAAACCCCATGACCTGCTGAGGTGCTTGCTGAAGGCAAAGGGAATACAGACTCTGTAGTGGAAGAAGGTAGTCATCAATACCAGCTATGACCACGTGACCAGTTCCAGAAATGTGGATAGTAATTTTCATGAGTATTTCCTCCTTCTTTTGTTAAAACGTTTGTGCATATATACACTTGTACTAAGAAAATATCTTCATTTAATTTCCTTTCTGCTTTATCATGTGACATAAGATTTATTGACTTCACATCAGTATGTAAGTATTCTTAACTTCATGTAATAATTTTTGGGTTGGGGATTGGTATATTTCTGGCTGTACAAAGGATAGTTGTATTATGGTAGGTGTAATTATGACCTTATTATTGTCTTTATTTGAAGACTATGTTTGATCTCAGGAGATGTGTATGGGTTCAAGTCTACAAGGGGTGAACTTGTGATGGTTGATACTGAGTATCAACTTGATTGGATTGAAGGATACAAAGTATTAATCCTGGGTATATCTGTGAGGGTGTTGCCAAAGGAGATTAACATTTGGGTCAGTGGGCTGGGAAAGGCAGATCCACCCTTGATCTGAGTGGGCACCATCTAATCAGCTCCCAGCATGGCTAGAATATAAGCAGGCAGAAAATGTGAAAAGAGACTGGCTCAGCTTCCCAGCCAACATCTTTCTCCTGTACCGGATGCTTCCTGCTCTCAAACGTCGAACTCCAAGTTCTTCAGTTTTGGAACTCGGACTGGCTCTCCTTGCTCCTCAGCCTGCAGACGGCATATTGTGGGACCTTGTGACTGTGTGAATTAATACTTAATAAAAAATCCCCTCTATATATATATCTATTCCATTAGTTCCGTACCTCTAGAGAACCATGACTGATACACCTGGGAAAATAACCAGTTCCTGTAACTGTGCCCCATTATAAAATAAAACAAGTTCTTTTTTTTTTTTTTTTTTTTGAGACGGACTCTCACTCTGTCCCCCAAGCTGGAGTGCAGTGGTGTGATCTTGGCTCACTGCAAGCTCCGCCTCCCAGGTTCACGCCATTCTCCTGTCTCAGCCTCCCGAGTAGCTGGGACTACAGGCACCCACCACCATGCCCAGCTAGTTTTTTGTATTTTTAGTAGAGACAGGGTTTCACCGAGTTAGCCAGGATGGTCTCGATCTCCTGACCTCATGATCCACCTGCCTCAGCCTCCCAAAGTGCTGGGATTACAGGTGTGAGCCACCACACCCGGCCAAATAAAACAAGTTCTTGTTAAACATATGCAAACAAATACAACGCCATGAATTAAGAATATTCACAAATATTACAAATTCTAAAGAAATCAGGCAAAGAGAGAGAAATATGACTCAAATTCTGTTTACCAGAGTATACTCTACTCAATACACTTAAATTATATTTTAAGACTATAAGTGGCTCAAAAGAAAGAAATTCTCCAGACCCAGAAAAACAAAAGAAAAATAATTAGCAATATTTCAAACAAAATAAGTCATAAAAATTAGTTCAGTCCTCTATTAGTTCAGTCCATGCAGTCAGCTCCTGCTCTGCTCCATATGGGATTAGCAATCTTTATGAACATATCAGCATTTTTTTTTAGATGAATTATCCCTCTGTCACCCTGGCTGGAGTGCAGTGATGAGATCTTGGCTCACTGCAACCTCTGCCTCCCAGGTTCAAGTGATTCTCATGCCTCAGCCTCTTGAGTAGCTGGCATTACAGGCATTCGCCAACATGTCTGGCTAATTTTTGTATTTTTAGTGAGACAGGGTCTCGCTATGTTGGTTAGGCTGCTCTTGAACTCCTGACCCCAAGTGATCACCTGCCTCAGCTTCGCAGAGTGGGATTACAGGCATAAACCACCATGCCCAGCCCATATTAGCCTTTTTAATTAGAGTCCTGGAAGTTTTCTCTAATCCAGTGCCACAATCCCTAAAGTTGTTAGAAACCTGCATTCAAGAGTTCTTTCCCTGAACCTCCCCAAAGAAACAAACGCTGGATTTCAGCTGATTAAGTCACTTTTTGTGAAGAATTAAAGTGAAACAATTATGGATGACAAAAGTCTTAGGATAGCCATAATCAAAGGTACAGTTGACCAGGAAATTGGGTTATTTCTGTGGCATATAACAACTTAACATAACAATTATAACCATTACTGACAACACATATTTAGACATAATCAGAATTTCAGGAATGTCATACAATCCTGGAACACATATTAAGACATATCTATGTAAATATAATTCAAATAAAGTTAAATACCACCTCACAATTGACGATGCTTCCTGTGTAATTCTAACATAACTAATAATCCTAATATGTCTCTCTTGGACTTAGGAAACCTAACATCCAAAAAATTTTAAGGTCAAAAAGACTGAATTTAGAACTTGAAATTTTACTGTTGGAAAGTCTGTCAAATATCAAAGGTCTAAGACACTTGATATCACAAAATACGATCACAAGTTATGATAAAACAGTCCTTCATTTAGCCTACATTATGTTAATGTTAAACTAATTTAAATAAAACTTTATAAAAAAAATCTGTCCCTTTTTTTTGGGGGGGGAGATGGAGTGTCGCTCTGTCACCCCAGCTGGAGTGCAGTGGCACGATCTTGGCTCATGCAACCTTTGCCTCCTGGGTTCAAGTGATTCTCCTGCCTCAGTGTCCCTAGTAGCTGGGATTGCAGGTGTGCACCACCATACCCAGCTAATTTTTTTATTTTTAGTAGAGACAGGGTTTCACCATGTTGGCCAGGCTGGTCTTAAACTCCTGACCTCAAGTGATCCGCCCCAGCTCGGCCTTCCAAAGTGCTGGGATTACAAGCGTGAGCCACCATGCCTGGCCCAGATCTATCAAATTTTAATCAGTTTGACCATAAGGTAAGATTTCCATAAACTTTTTATAACCTTTTACAATTTTCTATAAAAGGGCAGATCAATGCGCCAAGAAAACCCTGTTATTCCATCCAACACATGGGTCCAGATGTTGGCCTTGCACCAGTGTACTTTTGATATTAGTATTTATGAAAAAATTCTAAACTAATCTTATCCCTCAAAATTGGCCCTTACAATCTCATGAACCCAACTATTCCATGATAGGCCCTGGGTCTAGAGGGATTGAATAGTTTTAATTTCTGGCCCTGTTTCTTACGAAAGCAAGTCATTTTGATTGACCCCTTCTGCTGGGTCTGAAGATGAGGCTTCAACTGGTGTCAATGCTCAAGACTAAGCAAGGGTCAGTGCCTTTTTCAGACCAAGGAGTCAAAGCCCTGTAACTTAACAACACAAAGATTATTTGATAGAATATGTATACTAAAGACAGACATCATTCTGTCTAACATTGTCACAAATTAAAACAGTGTTATTTAATGTCTAAGAAATCCTGCCTGTAGCACTTCAAACCATTATTACAGGAGGTAGGTAACTCACTGCATATGTCTAATTGCTAGCATTCTAATGACAGAACTGGGACCAAAAGCATCAAAAATGTGGTAAGTCTTATGCCACATTATCACAGTAAGACAACTAGCTTCTCTTTCCATTATTTAAAAAAAAAAACGGTAAATGAAAATATCAGTTTTGGAAATTCAATAGGAGGATAAATTCCTTTCACTTAAATATTATACAACAAAACAGCGACAAAGTAAGAACAAACACACAGTAATTTCTTTTGAGCTATTAATATTTTAAAAGAGCATCATCATCCATTTCCATGATTGTTTTCCAAATACAGTACTGACAACTAATTAGGTAATTTTTACCACTAAAATCTTCAAACCAGTGCAACATTTGTACCTATTATTTTCAAGTACATACATAAAATGTCACTTTTTTTATTACTACTTAATCCAAGTGAATGTCGCCTTATTTTAATAATGGTAAACACAACTAAATTTGTTTGAGAGAAATCCCAATCAATATAATTTCCTTAAGGACAAGGCCAATCTTTCCTAAACATTAAAACTTTGTACCAATATAACAGTTTTTCTTCATTACCTAAAGGAAAATATCTGAAATCAACTCAAATCGTTAATTGGATTAATTACCTTGGAAATAAACAAACACCATTTAAACATTTTTATCCTCACCTGCTTTTTCAAATCACGAAATAAATAAAGTACTGTTTCTGTGCAGAATTTGAAAAAAAAAATACTGTTTGTTTTTTTTGGCCATGAACCTTAAAGCTCTTGTATCTTTCTAAATCAGAGGTAAGCCAAACCAACCAAATTTTAAATGATCTGTGTGGCTCTATCAATTTTTGCAGGCTTGACAAATGTAACTTAGGAATTCTAGATAAAGAGAACAAATGATGACTTGCTAGAAATGCATAGGAAACAAAATGGCTATTCATAGGACAAAATAAATTATTTCCATTAGAAACTAAAAAGCATCAATGGTTTTATATGTATATATAAGTAAAACCCAAAGAAGAACAAACAGCAAATATATACAAATTAAATTAAAAGCAAAAACAAATAAATAGAGAACCAACTCCAAATTTTTCTCCTACTCAGTTAACCTTGGGGCTAAAGTTTTATCCAGAGCCTAAAATACACATGATAGATTTTTTTGTTACTGGTACACAAATTATGTCTTTAAGTCTAGCACTAGACTTAAAGATACCACTATACATTTTGTGCAATTAAGAAAATCACTTTAGACACATGACCAGTAAGTAAGTACTTTAGTGCTAGTACTATCTATGCAGATGAGCAAATATAGAGTGAAACAAAGCAATGCAAGCATTTATGGAAAATTTGGCTCTATGTTAAATCTGGATTCATGCTTAAGTATATTAAAAAAGAACTGCCAAACTGCCAGCGTATTTTATTACATTTCTTAATTTACCTTCATCGACACTAAAAGTTTTAACTATAAACAGTGTTAATTCACCAAATTTATCCAGGATTTTATCAAGTTTTAAAGAATATTTTACTATCTAAACTTTTTAACTTTCTATTTTCTCTGTATGTGCATTAACAAACACATAGAAACAGGAAAAATACTACACAACTTACACAGACCATGTTACAAGACCATGCTTGAACTTTCTTTTTTGTTCGAAATTTTCTTTTCTTTTTTTCAATGACCAGTCATTTTATTTTAAGACACAAATACACCATACAAGATCCTTTCTCATACAAAATTATTCTTTTCTTTATAACCTTCATTACCAAAAATACATCTTCATATCCATAACTTTCTTCACATCTCTCTCACCTATTTTACTGTTTTCTTTCTACCTTGTTTCAGAAATAACCTTTTCAAATGTATAATTTGAATTAACCTTTAATAACTTCTGGATTAGATGAAATGATTCTTTCCCTTACTGGGATCACATCTTATTAGGCACATTTTATATAGAGAATTATATAGTAACTATAACTCCTATTCATAGCAACCTTAAATTTTAGTGAAACCCTAGGAAGCAAGAAATCCTTAACTCTCAGTTATTAGCATCTTACAGATGAGAACAATTCTACACTTTTTTGAAACATATTTCCCCATATCATAACCCTTTCTTAATGGGAAATGACTCACGCATCTAATGAATATCAAAAATAATTTTAAAATTTTAAATTTCACAAAAAGTTTACCTATGGCACATCCATTTATATTTTAATTATTTTAGCAGTTTATCTAGATCATTTATATATGATTTATTTTCTTGTTAAATATTTTTATAACCTGTACATATGAGGTGATCACCTAAATAAGAACCTTAAAGTTAACTACATGGATATTTTCACCAATAACTCAGAAGATTCAACTGTTTTCATTAAACTAACAACATTAAATTAGTCTTACTTATCAAAAAATTCACACAAAGATCATTTTGTTTTGGCTGGGTTTATGGTTTTATAACTTTCTGTGCCAAATCCTAATTTCTCAAAATATCTAGCAGAGACAAATATAAAATGCAGACAAAAATGTATGCTGACAATTCTGAAGACATTTCTATTTTTTATTTCACCAATAATTTTAAAGCCAGCTTCTTTAGTCAAGATTTACTTGAGTCCAGGGAACCTGAAAATTGCTTAGACTTATTTACTTAATTTATGAGTGCTCTTTTATTTATAAGACAATTTGGTAGAAACAACATAAAACATAATAAATGTACATCCACATAAACACATCTAGAAATGTGTACATGCACACAGACAAAGACCCAATAGCTTTTACCTTGGAACTCTAGCCATGAGACAGCAATACAAACTCAGCAGTGTACAAACATGTTCACATGGCTGAACCAAAATTTTGGGTGAAGTATTTTCCATTGCAGTTTGATTTTTAAAGGCCCAACTTCCCCAGATACCAAAGAGCACTGGGGCCAAAGAGCACCACAGAAAACCACCTGGAACCTACTAACCAAGCCCATCCCTGCTTAAAACAGCAACATAAAAGCCTGAATATTGGCCAGGTGCGGTGGCTCACACCTGTAATCCTAGCTCTTTGGGAGGCCAAGGCTGGCAGATCACGAGGTCAGGAGATTGAGACCATCCTGGTTAACATGGTGAAACCCCATCTCTACTGAATATACAGACAGCACAAAATCCATCTTGCTTTCCCATTCAACAGAAAGCTTCAGATTCCAAAGAATATTGGGGCCAAAGAGTATTACAAAAGAATATGAGTTTACCAAATTATTTTTATTTGGTTGGTGTATTAGTCCATTTTCATCCTGCTGATAAAGGCCTACCCAAGACTGGGCAATTTACAAAACAAAGAGGTTTATTGGCCTTACTGTTCCACATGGCTGGGGAGGCCTCCCAATAATGACAGAAAGTTAAAGCGAAGGAGAACCAAGTCACATCTTACATAGATGGTGACAGGCAAGAAGAGACAGCTTGTGCAGGGAAACTCCCATTTTTAAAACCATCTGATCTCATGAGACTCATTCACTATCACGAGAATAGTGCAGGAAATACTTGCCCCCATGTCTCAGTTACCTCCCACCATGTCCCTCCCACAACATGTGGGAATTCAAGATGAGATTTGGGTGGGGACATGGCCAAACCATATCATTCCATCCCTGGCCCCTCCCGAATCTCATGTCCTCACCTTTCAAAACAAATCATGCCTTCCCAACAGTCCCTCAAAGTCTTAATTCATTCAACATTAACCCATAAGTCCACAGTCCAAAGTTTCATCTGAGGCTAGGCAAGTCCCTTCCGCCTATGAGTCTGTAAAACCAAAAGCAAGTTAGTTACTTCCTAGAAGCAATGGGGTTATAGGCATTGGGTAAATACAGCTGTTCCAAATGGGAGAAATTTGCCAAAACAAAGGGGTTACAGGCCCCTTGCAAGTTTGAAATCCAGGAGGGAAATCAACTCTTAAAGCTCCAAAATGAACTTATTTAATTCCATGTCTCACATCCAGGTCACACTGATGCGAGGGGTAGGTTCCCAAGGTCCTGGGAAGCTCCATCCCCGTGGATGTGCAGGATATAGGCCCCCTTCTGGCTGCTTTCATGGGCTAATATTGAGTGTGGGCGGCTTTTCCAGAAGCATGGTGCAAGTTGTCAGTGGATCTATCATTCTGGGGTCTGGAGGATGGTGACCTTCTTCTCACAGCTCTACTATGCTGTACCCTAGTAAGAACTTTGTGTGGGGGCTCTGATCCCACATTTTCCTTCTGAACCACACTAGCAGAAGTTCTCCATGAGGGTTCCACTCATGGAGTGGAAATTTCTGCTTGGGTATCCAGGCATTTCCATACATCCTCTGAAATCTAGGTGGAGGTTCTCAAACCTCAATTCTTGACTTCAGTGCACCCGCAGACTCAACACCACATGGAGGCTGCCAAGGTTTGGGGCTTCCACCCTCTGAAGCAACAGCCTGAGCTGTACCTTGGCCCCTTTTGGTCAAGGCTGGAGTGGCTTGGATGAAGGGCACCAACTCCCTCAACTGTACACAGCAGAGGGACCATGGGCCTGGCCCAGAAAACCATTTTTTCTTCCTACACATCCGGGTGTGTAATGGGAGAGGCTGCCGCAGAGGTCCCTCACATTCTCTGGACACATATTCCCCATTTTCTTGGTGATTAACACTCAGCTCCTCATTACTTATGCAAATTTCTGTAGCCGACTTCAATTTCTCCTCAGAAAATTGGATTTCTTTTCTATCACATTGTCAGGCTGCAAATTTTCTGAACTTTTATGCTCCATTTGCCTTTTAAAATGGAATGCTTTTACCAGCAACCAAGTCACCCCTTGAATGCTTTGCTGCTTAGAATTTTTTTCTGCCAGATACCCTAAATCATCACTCTCAAGTTCAATGCTCCACAGATCTCTAGGGCAGGGGCTAAAACATAACAAGAGTCATCTTTGCTCCAGTTCCCAATAAGTTCCTCATCTCCATCTGAGACCACATCAGCCTGGATTTCATCGTCCATATAATTATCAGCATTTTGGTCAAAGCCATTGAACAAGTCTCTAGGAAGTTCCAAACTTTCCCACATTTTTCTGTCTTCTTCTGAGCCCTCCAAACTGTTCCAACCTCTGCCTGTTACCCAGTTCCAAAGTTGCTCCCACATTTTCAGGTATCTTTTCAGCACCCCCGCACTCCAGGTACCAATTTACTGTATTAGTCTGTTTTCATGCTGCTGATAAAGACATACCTGAGACTGGGCAATTTACAAAACAAAGAGGCTTATTGGAGTTACATTTTCACCTGGCCAAGGAGGCCTCACAATCATGGCAGAAGGTGAAAGGCAAGGAGGAGCAAGTCACGTCTTACATGGATGGCAGCAGACAAAAAGAGAACTTGTACAGGGAAACTCCCATTTTAAAAACCATCAGATCTCATAAGACTCATTCACTTTCATGAGAACAGCGCAGGAAAGAACCACTTCCATGATTCAATTACCTCCCACCAGTCCCTCCCACATGTGGGAATTCAAGATGATATTTGGGTGGGGACACAGCCAAACCATATTAGTTGTTTTTTGTTGTTGTTGTTGTTACTGCTGTTTTCTTTGTTGAGACAGAGTCTTGCTGTGTCACCCAGGCTGGAGTGCAGTGGCCTGATCTCAGCTCAGTGCAACTTCGTGTGCCACCACACCTGGCTAATTTTTGTATTTTTAGTAGAGACAGGGTTTTGCCATTTTGGCCAGACTGGTCTTGAACTCAGATAAAACAAATGTAAGTTTCAAGCTTTAAGACTAGAAGGGTCTATTTCTATATTTATCCAAAAAACTTTTTATAGGATTATTGAGTAGGTTTCAATTTCACAAATAGTTTTTTAGTCAACTTTTAATTTTTCTTCACAATTTTAGTTAGAAATACGTATAAAAAATCACACATTTTCTGTCTTACTACACAAATAAACCTAACAACCTTTCCTAGGTGGCTCAAATCTATTATTTAAAGCAGAAGTTATAATAAAGTACTGGAAAAATAATACTACCCTTACTACTTCGGCAGTAGGCAAGGTCATTATCCCTAAACTAGATGTGTCAAACTTATTTTATCTTATTATGATGATTTTAATAATTTTCTCTCTCTTTTGTCATCAGTTTGCTTTCAATTACTAGTCTCACGCTAGCTTTTTTTTTTCTACTCTCTGAATTTGCCCCCTTACAATCTGCTGATAATCAAAGCTGTCATCATCTCTGTAGTTTAAAAAAAAAGTTATGAATGAAAGGCTGAAGAGTTCCTCTAGAGTAAAGTAAAATGTCGGTGAACTTAAACTCAAGTGTATATCTTTTATCTCATGCAGGTCTTTTTTTTTTTTTTTTTTAATTCAGCCTGGTTTTTCATCTGCATTCACTAGTCACGTGATGTTTCAGATAAGTGACTTTCAGACACATGCATTATTATTATCTCTATTTTTTTTTTTTTTTTTTTGGAGACGGAGTCTCGCTCTGTCACCCAGGCTGGAGTGTAGTGGCACGATCTCAGCTCACTGCAACCTCTGCCTCCCGGGTTCATGCCATTCTCCTGCCTCAGCCTCCCGAGTAGCTGGGACTGCAGGCACCTGCCACCACGCCAGGCTATTTTTTTGTATTTTTTAGTAAAGACGGGGTTTCACTGTTTTAGCCAGGATGGCCTCGATCTCCTGACCTTGTGATCCACCTGCCTTGGCCTCCCAAACTGCTGGGATTACAGGCGTGAGCCACTGTGCCTGGCCTATTATCTCTATTTTTTTAAAAAGCAGAATCTGACAAAGTCCTTGCATTTTGTATGCTATATGTATATTCCAATGACAAGTTAAATCTCTCTTAAATTAAAAGTCAGTGGAGAGATCAGATATCTCTTAGAAAAAACTTTTACCTGGCATATAGTAGGTTTCCATAAATATTTATTGAATGAATAGATGATATGCTGATATTTTGTGTATACCTGCATATGCATCTGTACATATTTTTTAATGTGGGTGAGCAGTTTTAAGTAGAATGTCATCATAAGAATTCCTTATTATTATCATGGTATTTATATCAAGTATAATGCATAACTATGATTTTCTCTAATCAATTTCTTCTTATCAAAGATTGAAGATTTCTTTTCTTTTGTCTTTTTTTTTTTATTGAATTCTCAGCTCTACTTTCTCTCTGAGTAACCTCTCCATTCTTACCTTTTTATGGTCTGAGTCCCTTGACGAAATGTTCCTTGAAATTGAAAACAAAACAAAACAAAACAATCAAATCCCCAAGAACCTTAACATGGGACCACTTTTTAAAATGTAGGCCACAAGCATTCCTTGTGGTAATTCAAGGGTATCACAAATTCCTTCCTTGTGCCTAAGTTCCCTGATCTACAAATATCCAGGAGGCTTACTGTAATAACATCTTAATGTGTCTATTAAGACATCACATGGAAAACAGATGGTTACAGCCTAATCTCCAATGACTGCTCAGCATGACCTTGTCATCACCAACTACATGGTTTCATTAATCTTATTTTGTGAACCAACTGTGTAACATCCTATTTCTGGGATATTCACTTAGTGAATTTCTCAGAGTTTCTCAGAAGAAAATCACAATCATATTGAATCAAAAATGGATACTTGAGAAAGTTGAAACTTAGAGATTCCTTTGTTATATCTACATCGAGAAATGACAAAAATTATTCTATGCTTATTATTTAATTGGCCATACAAAAAGTCTAATCAGAAATGTTCCTCAGAATTATGGAAAGGGAAGAACGCATGTCCCCATATTTGAAAACCTACTAATCTTACTTATTTTTCTTTGAATCCTTATCAGGGAAAACTGGTTTATTGCCATATAAGGAGTATCCATAAATACTTATGAAATGAATGATATGATGATTTTTGATCAAAATTTTAAGAAGCTGTGTTTTCAATTAGGCAGTGCCAAAGAATTGCTAACAACCAGAGATTGAGATCTCAGTGCTATAATCTAAAAGGTAAGGCCCTGAGGCTCTGGTATTGCCATGCTAGGGCCTCATTCCATTATGAAATAAACAGTCATTGGCATCATTGACAGAGCAAGCCCATTTTACCATAATCATCTTTCCTCTGTCAATTCTTTCAGTCTCTATTTAAATAGTTTTAAATGTATTCTTTCTAAATTCTGTTTGGGTTATGATGCTGTGAAAAGAATTCGCTTTCTCTCTCAAGAAGAAGATTTCCATGCTAAGCTACTTTGACTCAGCTGCTATTCCAAGGAATGAAAACGAAGGGCAGCCCAGGAGAATACTGAAATCAGTCTTTTCCTTCAAAGTGTATACAAATCATTTACCATGGTGTAAGTAAAACAAATTTAATTGATTCCACTTCTATCATTCTTTATTAACCCTTAAAGATTCGTCAAATGCTTCATTCAGTTACGCAAAATCTTGATTATCTGTAGCAAGCCTATTTCTCCTACTATATATTCCCTTCATCCATTACAATGGCTATCAACTGCTAGTACTTGCTGCTTCCATTTTGTCTCTTCACATTTTGGACAAGAGGAAAGACACAGGAAAACTGAATATACTTCTTTTTCTTCTAACCTAAGGATCCTCTTCTTCCTTACACTCCTGCTTCAAAACGCCTTTTGACCCTTAAGCTTTAAAAGGATAATTTAAAAGCATACTTGGCTATTTATATGGGAAGGAACTGTGTGCCACTGAATAATAATTCTCCTAAACACACTGTGGGTACTGCTTCCAGCCCCTTCCTGTCATTCCACTGCTGCTTTGCAAACCAGCACAGAGGCAGAGCGAGCTTCAGGTTGCAATGAAGTCACAACAGAGTAACAGTCTTTCCACATCAACAATTCTCCTGATTCCCACAGCACGGACAACAGTAACACTCTGTGTGTAGGTATATCCCTGGAATCTCCCAGAGACAGGTGGTAGGGAGGTCTACCCTCCTACAACAAAAAATGTCCTGCTTCTTTATTTAGTATGTGGAATCACAAAACATTATTTTTCTGAAAGAACCTAAAAGCTCATCTAGTCTAACCTATTTATTTTGGTATAAAATTATTTTATTATTCAAATTTATTTATACTGTAGAAAAATTAGAAGTATCAGCAATCAAAGAGAATAAACATAAGGTCATCCTACATTTTACCTCTTAGAAATATTTCACTTAACTTTTTGGAGAAAAATCCCTCCAACTATTTTATATATGTGTGTGCATATGTATGTAACTGATATACATGGTTAGGCTTTGTTCCCCACCCAAATCTCATCTTGAATTGTAATCCCCACATGCAGAGAGAGGGCAGTGAAGTGATGGGATTATGGGGGAGGTTTTCCCCTTGCTGTTCTCGTGATAGTGAGTGAATTCTCACAAGATCTGATGGTTTTATAAATGGTTGTCTATCCTGTGCTCTCACACGCTCTCTGCCACCACGTAAGATGTGCCTGCTTCACCTTCTGCCATGATTGTAAGTTTCCTGAGGCCTCCTCAGCCATGTGGAACTGTGAGTCAATTAGACCCCTTTCTTTATAAATTACCCAGTCATGAGTAGTATCTTTTTTATTTCTATTTTTTATTTTTTTAGAAGGGGTCTCGCTCTGTCACCCAGGCTGGAGTGCAGTGGCATGATCTCAGCTCACTGCAACCTCCACCTCCTAGGTTCCAGCGATTCTCCTGCCTCAGCCTCCTGAGTAGCTGGGACTACAGGGGCATGCCACCACACCTGGCTAAATTTTGTATTTTTAGTAGAGACGGGGTTTCACCATGTTGGCCAGACTGTTCTCAAACTCCTGACCTCAGGTCATCCACCTGCCTTGGCCTCCCAAAGTGCTGGGATTACAGGCATGAGCCACCGTACCCGGCCACAGGTAGTATCCTTATAGCAGTGTGAGAACGGACTAATACACACACACACCCAATCGGAATGTGTTGTAAGAAATGTATCATTAGGCAGTTTTGTCACTGTGTAAACATCAGAGTGTACTTACACAAACCTAGATGATATAATGTACTGTACAGCTCAGCTATATGGTTTAGTCTGTTGCTCCTAGGCTACAAACCTGTACAGCATGTCACTGTACTGAATACTGTAGGCAGTTGAAACATAATGGCAAGGATTTGTGTATGTAAACATTGAATTCAGTAAAAATACAGTATAAATAATTTTAATATGGTACACCTGTAGAGGGCACTTATCATGAATGGAGCTGGTAGGACTGGAAATTGCTCTGGGTGAGTCAGTGAGTGAGTGGTGAGTGTATGTCAAGGCCTAGGACATTATTGTATACTACTCTAGACTTTATAAATGCTTAGGCTAAATAATTTTTTTCTTTCTTGAAAAATAAGTTAATTTTAGGTTACTGTAACTGTTTTACTTTATAAATTTTGAAATTTTAACTTTTTGGTTCTTTTGTGGTAACACTTAGCTTAAAACACAAACTCATTGTGCAGAGCCACAAATATATTTTCTTTCTTTATATGCTTATTCTATAAGCTCTTTTCTACTTTAATTTGTTTTTCTTTTTAAACTTTTTTGTTAGAAAAATAAGCCACCAACACTTATTAGCCTATGCCTACAGAGGGTAAGTATCATCAATGTCACTGTCTCCCATCTCCACATCTTGTTCCACTGGAAGGTCTTTAGAGGCAATAACATGCATGGAGCTGTCATCTCCTGTGATAACAATGCTGTCTTCTGGAATATCTCCTGAAGGACCTGCTTGAGGTTGTTTTACAGTTAACTTTTTTGTATGTAAGTAGAAGGAATGCACTCTAAAAAAACTATATAAATTATAATATAGTAAATACATAAACCAGTAACATAGTCATTTATTATCATTATCAAGTATCATGCACAGACATAATTGTATGTGTGACAGTTTTACAGGACTGCGGCAGAGTATGTTTGTTTCTACCAGCCTCACTACAATAATGACACTGCAACATTGTACTATGACATTACAACAGCCACAGCATCACTGAGTGATAGGAATTTTTCAGTTGTATTAAAATCTTATAGGACCACTATTGTACATTTGGTTGGTCCATTGTTGAGAAAAACATTATTATGCAGGGCATGACTGTATATAAAAATATATATGATAGTTTCTTTTATCAAAAATGGGATCATATTATACTTCTACTTTTTGGCCCACTTAATTACAGATCTGCCACTACTAGCTGTGTGTCAAATTTCTTAATTGCTCCATCTTAATTTCCTCATCTATAACACGGGCATTAACAACAGTCCTTGTGTTGTTTCATATGTTGCTCACTGGCATAACAACAGGGTTGTTATGAGGATTAAATGAGTTGATGCTTGTGAAATGCTTAAAATAGTTTTTTTTTTTTTTATTGTTTTGTTTGTTTGTTTTTTGGAGACGGAGTCTTGCCCTGTCGCCCAGGCTGGAGTGCAGTAATGAGATCTCAGCTCACTGCAACCTCTGCCTCCCAGATTCAAGTGATTCTCCTGTCTCAGCCTCCCAAGTAGCTAATTGTTTTGTATTTTTAGTAGAGAAAAGATTTCACTATGTTGCCCAGGCTGGTCTTGAACTCCTGACCTCAGGTGATCCACCCACCTCAGCCTCCCAAAGTGCTGGGATTACAGGCATGAGCCACTGTGCCCAGCAAAATATTATTCAATAAATGTTATTATTATACTACAATCTATTATATACTTTCTTACTGTTTGTCATATGAACTACAGCCAATTAATCCCTTCATTATGCAGATGAGAAACATGAAGCTCAAAGAGGATAATTACCTTGACAATTTAACAATGTTCCTAACAGAACCAGAATGCCAGGACTTTTCTCAGTACTTTCTCTTCTTAACACCAACAGAACAGCTAGTAGCAAGAGACCTTACTAGATGCACAGCCCCGTGCTGAGAACTTTGCATCCATTAATTCACATGATCCCGACAAATAACCTTAAAAAGGCAATTACTATTATGATTCTAATCTTATCCATGAAGAAACTAGGACCTATACCAGTTCTAAGCGAGCAGACTTTGCCTAAGAAGTCACAACTAGCAAGCTGCAGAGCCAGATTTCAATTCAGGTATTTCTGACTCAGAAGCCTTTGCCTTAAAACATAATCCTATGCCTTATCACATGAGGATTTCCTCATATTAATGGGGATTTCCTCATGCTAATGGTGATTTGCCAGTAAATCTCTAAAAGTCATTAAGACTATCAAGGTCATTAAGATAGCATGATTCTCCAATGAGCTAACTTATTATAAAGGGACTTAAGTACCATGAAGATTCCAGCAGCCAGACATTCAAAGTTCTGACTTAATTCACCTTAGATGTATATTTCTACTTTCTGCCTCGCAGTTCCTCAGGCACACCTGCAACATGAAAGCCCCCTCTGTACTCATATCTCACTCAGTACACCTTCCACTTTCCTTCAAAAAAATAAAAAAAAAAGAAAACCAGTTGCTTTTTGTTGAGTTTTGAAAACCGCTGCAGTAACAGGAGTACGATGTGGGGATCTTAGATTCTTCTCAAATGGTCAGGGAGGGATTAGGGTATTTGTTAGGCCTAATCTCACCATGCTCTCTCGAGACTGTAGGATACATTTTCAGCAATGCAGGAAGAAGCAGGCATGCTGCAAATGTTGAATAGATTTGTTTATGAGCTAGGACAGAAGGTCATATTTCCCGTTTTGAATAGGAAAAAATCCTAGGCAATCTTTTGTGTTGAAATATGAAATTATTCCATCCTTTCAATTCTTTGCTGCTTTTACATATTGCTCACTTGTATTTCATAGTGAGTCATGCCTGCAGCAATCTAAGGCTTGTCTTGCTTCATTGTAACCACCTGCTTTCTCATCAGCTCAATTGATGAAAACTTCAAGTGCAACTACAATATATGTTTTTACTGATTTTTGTGGCCAAACAAAAGCCTTCAAATGAATGTTGGGAAACTACCGCCACGTATTTTGCCCATAAACACAAAAACTCCAATATTCAAGGGGACAACTGGCCACTTAAGTATTAGAATTTTACAAGTTCATTTCATAGACTGGTTACAAAAACTTTACAGAGCATTTTATCTTTATAAACAGTCAGAAGCTTCCCTTCTTTAGTTGAATATGCATTTTTGCTCAGGTGAGTTCCTGATAGAAGATGCCAATATTCTATAAAACACTTTGGATAATGTGATTGTTAATTTTATGTCACCTTGACTAATCTAAGTGATGCCCAATAGGGGTAAAATATTACTTTTGTGTGTGCCTGGGAAGGTGTTTTCTGAAGAAAATAGACTGAGTAAGGAAGATCGCCTTCACCAATGTGGGTGAGGCCCAACAAAAAAAACAGACGGGTGAGTTTGCTCTCTCTGTTAGAGCTGGGCCATTCATCTTCTCCTGCCCTGAGACATCAGTGCTCTTGGTTCTTGGGCCTTTGGACTCCGAAACTTACACTACTGATGACCCTTGTTCTCAGGACTTCAGTTTGTACTGAAATTACACCACTGGCTTTCCTCGGCCCCCAGTTTGCAGGGGACAGCCTGCAGGACTTCTCCGCTTCCATAATCATATGCATCAATTTCTCATAATGAATATATTTCTATATATCTATATATAATATTGGTTCTCTTTCTCTGGAGAACCTTGACTAATGCGGGAAATAATGATAAACCCAAGGAAGCAAACAAGATAATAAGGATTTGAAAAATAAAGTAACTATTTACCATCCTACATATTAATCCACCCAATTAGCTCTGAAATCAGTTAGCATAAACTGTAAGAGTTAAGAGTACAAGAGCCTGCTGCAGGAAAACAGTTTAAACCAATCAGAGACATATAATGTTATTTCTTCAAACAGTGAAGATTAAGTAAATGCAATCATGCATGTAAATATATGTATGTAAATCATGTGTGCAATGTATGTATGTACAGTGCTGAACATAGATGCTGAAAAATAGTTAATGAACTTTTCCCTTAACATTTACCTTTGGAGATTAACATAATTATTTATAAATCTGGTGAAAGATGTAGATATTCTCCCCCAAACATACCCAGAAGCATTTGCATCTCAAAATTTTACCACTGGGATAAGGGACAAAGATCTAAAGCCCATCCAAGCAACGCCGATAAGAACTTACATAGTCCACAGATAAGGAGAAGGAACAAACTACTCCCTTCAAGAAGCCTTCCCCTAACTAACTGCTATTCTTTCTATAACCCTATCATGGGAATTAACATTCTCATTCCAGCCTACAAGCTTTCCCTATACTATATAAACCTTTGGAAACACTGCAGTGTGCTAACAAAGTTGCTACAGTTAAATTTTAGAATGTCCTCTGGGATTCAATTAAATTCAAGAAATATCTATTTTGCAAATCACTAATAAAGTTGTACTAAGGGTTTTCTCAAAATTCTTTTTGTGCTATGAGTTCAAGATTCTGAGAATATTTTGTTTATATTTTGCCTTTATTTTTCATATTTACAAATGTGGCTTTCTGGTATTAGATACTTTATGTCATATATCATTTTCTTAAGCATTACGATGTTCAAAGTTCAGATCTATTTTATAGCTCTTATTATTAGATCTAATATATTGCATGAGTTTAAAAACAATGAATTCAAGACATATACATGGACTAGCACTGCAATTTTCAATCCTAGAGTCTGTGTATGTATATTAGTGCTTAAGAAAGTTAACTTGGAGTTCTTTAACTTTCACAAGACTTAGAGTTGCTGATGAAACAAACAAATGAAAATCTCCACAGGCTTGTTTAGGATTTGCCATAAAGCATAGCATGAATACAGGGTTTAGATCCAAATACGTGTATGGCTTTGGTTGGAATGCTTAAGTCAAGGTGAATCCACACAACTACAAGGGTACCTTATAGTTCTGGATAATTACAGAGTTGTTTTCCCACCAAGCAGCTAAGAGTTAAAGAGATGATTCTAACCCAAACCCTGCAACTAATTGTGTGCTAAGTAAATCATCTAATCTCACCAGATATTCATTATCTAATCCACAACGTAAGAATATTTTAAAGATGGTTTTCATTCCCTTTTACCTCTAAACTATGGACTGTATATAGGTAACTCAGTAATTAGACAGTAGGAAGAAACAAACTGAGGATGGTTGACAGTGTGAAGCATTTGCCTTCTGGTGGATTATACCACTCATGAGCCAGTAAACTCACCACCAGGGGGAGGAGGAAAACCCTGATCTGTGACATTTGCCAATTTCAGTGGTGTAAATATTCCCGCCATTGCCAATTTCAAGCTGCTTATGTGATGTGAATGAACACAAAGTTTGGAAGAGATCTGCATATTCAACTCTCAGGAACTGGTATGAGCACACTCCTAGGACACCTGTGACTCCAGTTTCTACATCCAAGTCTTAGTCTTAAGCTACAGATGAAAAATATTCTTTACCAATTTAAAAGGATGCCTTAACAACAAACCAAGCCAAAGCTTTGCTGAGAAACATTTTCCTATTTGGATGAAAAGATACACAGTACCCATTTGTTTTGGCCTTGGGGAAATAAAAGTGCAAACTAATATCCCTAAATGAAATGCACAAAACACATCTCAGTTTCACTTCCCACTAAAGTAGGTTGCAAGTTTGCAAATTCTCATTCAACAGAGGAGCTCATGTGAGTCCTTTCATTCAGATTGGCTGGCAATATTTCTCTTAACATCACGCTACATTTATACAAAACAAAGTTGAGGAACAACCTAAACTTGGAAAAGTTTCAAATGAATAATTCAATTGAACACATGCAGAAATCTGCAGAAAACAGATCTTTCTTCCCTGAAGGCATCATTAAGATCTTGCCAGACCTTCACCATTTATAGCATCAGCCATATTTACAGTATAGAGATACTTTGAAGAAAAGATATATTTGTTACCCTGGGTACCTAGCAGAAAGCAGGCCCTTGGAAAAAAAGGCTTACATGTACGTAGTTTATTTCTGAAAGTGATCCCATGGAGCAGAAGTAGCAAATAGGAAAGAATGTAAAGGGAAAGAAGGAAAATCAGTAGAGGGGTATGTTGTCAAGCTGTCTAATGTTCTGGGCAGCTGGACCTCCAAACTCTCAGTACACAAAATTTGCCTCAAATTTTTCTGCCCTGTGGCTGGAATGGGGAACATTTATTCACCACCTTTTCTACCATAATTCAAGAATTGCTGCAGTGGGAATATATATATTATATATATAATATATATATATAATATATATATTATATATAATATATATTATATATAATATATATTATATATAAATAATATATAAATAATATATATAAATAATATATATAATATATATAAATAATATATTATATATTATTTATATATATTATATATATTATTCATATATATAATATATATTATATATTATTTATATATATAGTGTATACACACACACACACACACAATTATTAGCACAATCATCACTGCAAACATTTCCATTACCCCAAATTTTCTTCATGCCTCTTTGCCAACCATTCTCTTTCTACCTGGCATTACCAGGCAATCTCTGACCTATTTTAGGTCAATGTGGTTTACATTTGTATTTACATACAGAAATTATTTTTGTCAAAAATTGGTATAATTTTTCCTAGAATTTTTTAACAAAACAGTCATTAATGCATGCCATTTTCGAAACTGTCACATTCAATCCTATTAGCAAATATAGTATGGGCTGTATTATTTATAGAATTCCTTTTCCTTGCCTCCTTTCACCTGATAGAGTTTTGGGGCCTTCAAGAACAATAAAAACATAGCTTAAACATGTGACTTTTATCGTAAAGACTGACATTTTAAGGGCAGCCTCAGCTACTGCTATTCAAATTTATTTCACTTTTTATTTGGCTTGCACTCTGAGGTAGATTCACTAAAAGGTTCAACAATCAAAACAAGTGTGTTCGATTGATTAAAGCTCATTTTAGGTAATTTTAAAAACATTTCAAGGAGAAAATAACTGCCCTAAGGGAACGTCTCTTCTGAGCTGTTTGCAGAAAACCTGAAGATGTAGGCCAAATATTGGAATATTTTAAGGGATAATTCTTTAAAGGGAAGGTTATTCTGTACACATAGTTATGGATATAATGGTCTTGTTGAATATTAAAAAGCAAAATTAAAAGGTATCAAACAAAGGTTGTTCTCTT
Source organism: Homo sapiens (assembly GCF_000001405.40). Lineage (NCBI taxonomy): Eukaryota > Metazoa > Chordata > Mammalia > Primates > Hominidae > Homo > Homo sapiens. The sequence continues at coordinate 101,595,434 of NC_000004.12, read as the reverse complement.
TTAGGCTTAAAATTTCAATTGCGAATAAATCCAATATTCACAATCTTTGTTCATAGGCCTTAGTAAGATAATAAGAAAGGTATATATTAAATCATATGTTTCTTTCTATATTAACTGTCCTTATAGACTAGAAGGATTTCTGAGGCTAATAACAAAGACACCATAGATGTTCATGAAAAGTCACTCACCACATTTATGCTTATATGTACTTGACATATTTAAGGTTCTAAACTAAGTATCTTGCCACTGTACCCTGCCTTTCTACATCAAGCAAAGTTACTAACAAGTATTTTAGAAATGAAAGTCTAAAACTTAGGGATTAGGAGGAAAACAAGAAGGAAAAGAATTAAGGGAGACTGCTGTAACATCAACAAAATAACAAGGACTTTTTTAATCATAAAAGATAAATGCTTTGTAATCATATTTAGCCAATATTCTATAGTGTATAAATTATTTCTTTTGCAGCTTGCCTTTTTGGCAAATTTTCTTGCAACATTTTCTAACAGGATTAATAATCAGTAGCAACAAAAACCAATATAGTACATGAGTTTTATGTCCATTCTTTTATTGCAGATAGACAATCCAGGCTGCTAACTATATAAAGCATTATAAAATTATTGTTTTATGGCCAGGCGCGGTGGCTCACGCCTCTAATCCCAGCACTTTGGGAGGCCGAGGCCGGTGAATCACAAGGTCAGGAGATCCAGATCATCCTGGCTAACACGGAGAAACCCCCTCTCTACTACAAATACACACACACAAAAAAAAAAAAAAAAATAGCTGGGCGTGGTGGCGGGCGCCTGAAGTCCCAGCTACACGGGAGGCTGAGGCAGGAGAATGGCGTGAATCCGGGAGGCAGAGCTTGCAGTAAGCTGAGATCGCGCCACTGCACTTCAGCCTGGGCGACAGAGCGAGATTCCGTCTCAAAAAAAAAAAAAAAAAACTTATTGTTTTATAAATAAGTGGAAACTATAAATCAGTTGTGTATGAAGGGCATCATACAGTAGTTTAAAATTTCACTTCGAAAGGATGCAGATCTGGGTTTGAATCCTAGTTTTATATTCTCCAATCTCTGTGAACATGGCAAGATTTCTTAACTTCCATGGGTCTCCGTTATGACACATGGGTAGGGATAAAATAAGGATAACAATATCTTTCCTACAGGTATGCTATGATATTCAATGACATGACTAGAGCGTGGCACAAGAGGGCAATGTGCCAAGCTGATAGTATTATTAATTGATTTTTTTGGCTGCTGTTTTAATATTATTCAAAGCAGCACTAAAATCCTTTCACTTGAAAGGAGGAGATTCAATTTATTACATGAAAAATATTTTAAAGTTAAGATGCCCAAGGGATTTTTTTTTCATCAAGGTTAATATATAAAAATATGTATAGCAGGATCCAGGACTTAGGTTGACACTTAAGATGGTCTATCTCTGGCCCCTAAGAGAGCTGCATCAGCTGCTTTCACACAATATCTTCCTTTATCTCTGCCTGAACTGTCTTGATACTTGCTGACATCCATCTATATGTCATCCTTCATCATAAACTTCCTACTCACTGCTGTGATTACACATTCATAGACTTTCGAAATTCATGAAAACCCCAAAATCACTGCCAAGAGATGCAGGAGAATCTTTTTCTCTGTTTGCAGCAGAAGAGATTGATTGTTTTTGTAATAAACAATTGTAAGAACTTATATTTTTAATATGGATTTCTAAGAATAAATACGTTAATTTGTTTTGCCAGCATCTTTATGAGGTAAATGTTTTAATTCTATTATCCAGAAGACTAAAGAATGAATATAAGAGTGCAAGTATGTTTCCAAGGTAAAATGACTTCCTTTTCTCATTCACTCTCCAGTACAGGCTTATCTTTAGGCATTTAGAGCAGGCACATCCCACCTTGTAGGTGTTTCATCCAGGTGAACCCAGTTTTAAGATAGCACAATGGAATCTTAAAGGAGAAAAATAATTACACAGGCAGAAATGTATTATCTTCTTATTTCCTAAATATTTCTTCTTGGGGTTATTTTATTTATGAGTTTTTTTCAATATTAATTACTAGGGCCTCTCTTTCCTCACTGTTTCAATAATGTTACTTATATACAATTCTCCAGTAGTACCAAAAATAGTAATGATAATATTTATCAAGGGCCTCCTCTGAGCCAGGCAATGTGCTAGGTGCATAGCACATGTGAATATTCCATTATAAATGAAAAAACTGAATGCAAAGTTAAGTCACTTGCTCAAGGTTACTAAGGAACAGGGAACAAGGAATTCTATCTTTTTCAGTTTAATTTAATACTGTTTATCTGTAAATAAGAGGTTTAGACAAAATGTTTCTTAATAATTATTCCTACATGACATGAACTAGTGGGGGAAAGTAGGCATTACTCTGCAAAAAAGACACAGCAAAGCTGAATAACTTGTTCAAGTTGGATTAGAACCCACGTTTGTTTAAGTATGAATTTATTACCTTACCACCATATTAATATCCCAAAATTATGAGTTGTTCATTAGTGTCTCACATTTCTAATTGATACCTACCAATTATTTGAGAAAAATTATCTTTACTTAAAAGATTTCTTTTTTACTTTCTTCAGGGCAAAGAAGTAAAGGGCTCTCAAAACAACTCCCAGGACATGAAAAAATAATTCCTTTCACCACAGATCCTAAAGCCTAAGATAAGTGCTAGCTTTAAGTTTGAGACCCATCACAAAAATGCCTGAATCTGCAAAACCAAATGTGATCTCTCTTTTCCTCCAAGTTTGGAAATATCTGCATAGGGCTTCTTATCAGATACAGTTTTGTACCAGAACAGAGAGATGCTTGAAAGGCAAAGAAAGGGATAAGGTAAGTAAAAGACTGATTAAAAGAACCTAAGTTCCAAGGAAATTGGCAGGTTTTTTGTTTGTTCTGAAAAAAAGACAGATGGATCTTTAATAAATTTATTTCTATTTCAACCTCAGAAACTACTTTCTGTCACTTAAACGACAAAATGAAAAACATAAGTCATTGAGAAGCTCCCAATGAAATACATACATTTTTTTCAGAATAATTACCCAGCACATATATCTTTATAAAATTTAAAAGCTGACACCGTAAGATTATACTTTGAGGTTTGCCCTACACTCTAAACATCTAGCAATAGTGAGATGTAAAGTAAATCTAAACATGAAAGTCTGACAACACTAAAAGTAAACAAAATAAAGAGAAAAATATGTAGCAGTCAAGATCCCAGCAGGAAACAGGTGTCACCCTCCAGAAGCTTAACCTTTGAAGAATTAAATAAGGAGCCCATGTGTGAAAGTGTAGCCAGGATTAAGGGAATCGATAGGGAGGATAATTCATCCCAGGACAGGCAACAGGGGGAAGGAAGCCTGAAGGGTGAGGGAAGAAGGGAACAATGATACCAGTTGTAGGTGAGAACCAAAACTTTCTTAAAAATAAACTTATTAACACTGAGCCAACTTTGTCAAAATTAAATACCTTTTATTGTTTATTTTTACACTCATGATTATAGGTACTATAAACTAAGACTAATACAATTCGTATTACCTCAGATATTCTAAATTTTACTGTAGAGCCTCCGCTTGTCCTAGTCAATTGTCTTTCATATTCTAGCACACCAACCATTTTACTTTATTTTTCCTCTTCATAGACAAAAACCAAACCCATTATCCTCCATACACATGTATATCTTTGCATCTATTGAATTTGCTAAAGTCTCTATTGCCAATATTAATTTCTTTTTAGTTGAAAGCTGATATATTTCCTCACTTCAAAGAGATTATCATTTGTAAGACATACTTTCTTTTTTTAAAGTTCATTTATATATATATACTTCTATTTTAAGTTCAGGGATACATGTGCAAGTTTGTTACATAGGTAAACGTGTGTCATGGTGGTTTGTTATGCAGGTTATTTCGTCACCCAGGTATTAAGCCTAGTACCCATTATTTTTCCTGATCTTCTCCCTCTTCCCACCATCCAACCTCTGATAGGCCCCAGTGTGTGTTGTTCCCCTCTATGTGTCCATGTGTTCTCATTTTAGTTCCCACTTATAAATGATGACATGCAGTATTTGCTTTTCTGTTCTTGCTTTAGTTTGCTGAGGATAAGTCTTTATTAATGATAAACTGGATAAAGAAAATATGGTCCATATACATCATGGAATACTATGCAGCCATAAAAAGAATGAAATCATCTCCTTTTCAGGGACATGAATAGAGCTGGAAGCCTTTACCAATATTAATTCAACTATTAATTAAAGCTACTAACTTCTGTCACAGGCCAGAAAATACTACAAAATAAATGGAGAGGTGTCTGCCACATGTAAGCACATTAGCAGAGTAAAGTTCTGGAAAAAACTGCATACCACTATACACATCTATGTATGGCAGACTACATTATTGGCCCCAATTCTTCACTACATTGTTGTATTCATTTACTTTCACACACATACCACATCCTCATGGTGGGTAAAGTGCATTTTTTAATTCCCTCATTTGGGATTGACCACATGCCTGGCTTTGGCCATTGAAGTGTTAGTGTGCTAACTCAAAGGATAAATGCTTGAGGGGAAGGATAACCCATTCCCCACGATGTACTTATTTCACACTGCATGCCTGTATCAAAATATCTCATGTACCCCATAAATACATACACCTACTATGTACCCATAAAAATTTAATAAATAAAAAAAATCTTAAAAAAGTTAGTATGCATGAGATAAGCAGAAGCTTGAAGTATTCTTTCACAGTTGAGTGTGCCCTCTTACACTCCAATGATCCGCCATTAGAAAAACATGCCCCAGGTGGCCGACACCCCTTCAGTCTATATACCCCAGAACAAAAGTGCTTGCATCACGGAGCTTGCAGCTCGAATCCGAGAGCTGCGAGTCCAGACTAACTCAGCTTATGTGTAGCCTACTGCAGACATACGACCATGGAAAGAAATATTTAATCCTTTAACCTACTGAGTTTTGGCGTAGTTAGATATGCGCATTATTATGGTGATACTTGATTGAATCATGGTACCATCATTCACATGCTTTTCACATTTGCGAAGGTTAATAAACATGTACAACTAATACAAGCTAATATAAAATACATTTTTTGACCGGGCGCAGTGACTCATGCCAGTAATCCCAGCACTTTGAGAGGCTGAGGTGGGCGGATCACCTGAGGTCGGGAGTTCAAGACCAGCCTGACCAACATGGAGAAACCCCATCTCTACTAATACAAAATTAGCTGGGTGTGGTGGCGCATGCCTGTAATTCCAGCTACTCAGGAGGCCGAGGCAGGAGAATCACTTGAATCTGGGAGGCAGAGGTTGTGGTGAGCCAAGATTGCACCATTGCATTCTAGCCTGGGCAACAAGAGTGAAACTCCGTCTCAAATATATATATTTTTAATTTACTAGCTGATGGCCACTTTTTATTGTACAAAATTTATATGCCATTAGTGTATTTGGAATTATTAGTTTAATTGATTTGTAGCATCATAAGAAGTTTAAAACATTTTAGAAAAAAACCTTTTTAAAATTTAGTTTAGTTTTACATTTAAATCTTCCTTAGACATTTCAATGACACATGAATTTGACCCATATAATCAGTGTAGGAAACTAGAAATTTCAGAAAAATTAACCTTTGTAGGAGCAAATAAATACATTTTATATAAAATAAAACATTAATAGAATAAAATAGAACATATGCTAATGTAATTTTCTTCACACTGTAACAAAATCAAAGAAATGACATATATTGTTTTAAATCAAAATTACGAAACCAGTATAAACTGTCCAGTTATTCGCCTGGATGAGGAATATTGCCTAAGTTATTTATTTTACATTTATACAAAAACATATATTTTTTAAATTCTTTAATGCTTATTTATAAGAAGTGAGGTTTTTAGTTTGGGGTTTCTTTCTTGCTTTTTTTTTCCTGATATCAATTGCATCCTGTGCTTCTTATCCTGCAACTAAGCAATCAAAGTCATTTTTTAAAGGTTCTCTATTTCCCTTGAGTTACATCCCAACAAGTATTTTAAAGTTTTTTTATGTTCCTGGAAATTTATGAATTCTCTCATTTCAAATTTATATAAATCTTGTTAGTCTCAAGAGACCAATGAAAACATGAGCTCTGTTAAGTTTAAACAAATTTATAATCTAATTCATCCATTTGTCCTTGGAGATAGGTTATTATATATTATTCTATTTGTTTACAAAATATGTTACATCACATAATGGAGTATTGTTATCAAACTCTCAGGCAAACTAGAGAACTCTGTGGAAATTTACAGTTTTATTTTTCCCTGATACATTATGTGTTGTTTTTGATAGCACTCATTCAGACTGAGAGGTCATGCTAGGAGTACAACTTAAAGTTTATTAACTTGTTGGTATGTAAAACTTTCCCTTACATCTTGACCTGAATCATTTGCATATTTCTATGGACTTCTTTATTTGTAAGAGAGGAGGGAATGTCATATACTCAGAAACCTAGATTTCTATGAGTAATGGAACTACAGAAATCTGAGTGTTTAAATCCGAAAACACTCAGATTAACTTTTTAAATTTATATACAAAACATGCAAAGCCCTCTTTCAGAAACCCTTTCTTTCCCAAGGCATTCAAACATGTGAGAAGTTGTTCAAATGCATTATTTATCAGGGAAATGCATATTAAAACTCTGATGAGTTACTGCTTCCCACACATTAGAATGACTAAAATTAAGAAGACTGGCAACATCCAAAGTTCCTGTTGCAAGTGATGTAACTGAAACTCTAAGAAATGTCTAGTGAGAGTGAACCATTTTAGGAAACAGTTTATCAGCCTCTTATATAAAAGGTACACCTACCCATTGATACAGTATTTCTGCTTCAAAATATTTACACAAGAATGTTAAAACAAAAATAAAAAATAAAATAAAATAAAATAACTGTACGGGAATGTTTATATCAGTTTAATCATAACAACACTAAATTGGAGACTAAATTCCATTGATTCCCTCAATGGAAAAATGAGTGAACAACCTGTACTATATTTATACCCTGGGAAACTGCTCAAAACTAAAAAATGAACTACTAATGTGACATGGATAAATTGCAAAAGAAACACACATATACACATATAAAACTCAAGAAAGACAAAACTAACCTATGGTGATAGAAATCAGAAAAGTAGAGTACATTGGTTGTCTTGGTGGGATGAGGGGGAATTATTTAGAGTAATGAAATTTTTATCATATATAGTTATTTGCCAAAATGTATGAATATCTATGCATTTTATTAAATGCAAAGTATATCTCATTTTTTTTGAGACAGTCTCGCTCTGTCGCCCAGGCTGGAGTGCAGTGGCTCAATCTCGGCTCACTGCAAGCTCCACCTCCGAGGTTCACACCATTCTCCTTCCTCAGCCTTTTGAGTAGCTGGGACTACAGGCACCCGCCACCACATCTGGCTAATTTTTTGTATTTTTAGTAGAGACAGGGTTTCACCGTGTTAGCCAGGATGGTCTCGATCTCCTGACCTCGTGATCTGCCTGCCTCGGCCTCTCAAAGTGCTAGAATTACAGGCATGAGACACCGCGCCCGGCCGTATATCTCAATTTTTTTTAAAAAAGTCTATTACAGAAAACGTAAAACTCAGGATACTGTTTGCCTCTGAGAGAGGTAGCAGGATAGGCTAGAAAAGGACTACTCACTGGCCAATACTGGAAGTTTCTAAGGTTGTAAATGAGGTGATATGTTCATAGATGTTTATTTTATTACTCTGCTATGTAATATACATAAGTTATGTATATTGACTTGCCTTTATCAACTATTATAATATTTTTCAAAATTCTTTTTCACTTTTCTGGCATTTTTTTTTAATTCCAGAATTAAAATGTCCTTGAGTTTGCTTTGGAATATTATTAACTGGTGAATTAATTCTTTTAAAGGTATAGGACCATTCAGACGTTCATTTCTTGAGTCAGTTTTAGCACATACCTTTCTAGAAAGGTATATATTTTATCTAAGATTTCAAAAATATTGACACAGAGTGCTGACAATGTCCCTAATCTTTTCAGAGTCTACATATTTTTGTTAGTTTTATTCTTAATTAATAATAGTTTTTAATATTTTTCTGCCTTTGTCTTTTTATTTACATATCTTCCTTGAAAAATTATAAATTTCATCCTCTTTTGGCTTTGCTGATTCTTTCTGTTATGTTTTCTACTTTAGTAGTTTCAAGTCTTTTATTCATCATTTCCTTTCTTCTTCTTTTTTTTTTTCTCCTTGGGTTAGATATTTGACTCATTAATTTCAAACTTTCCTTTTTTCTATTATAAGTATTAATACTTTAAATTTCCTATAAGTTATGCTTTGGTTGTATCTCATAACTTTTTTCATACAGTTTTGTCATTATTATTTACTTATAAATATTTTCTAGCTTACATTATGATTTTTACTCCTAAGATAAAAACTTTTTTAGATTTTTAAGACAAATTTTTTTCTGGTTATGTTTTGTTGTTCTTCCTTAATTAATTGCAATGTGGTAGTATGATGTGGTTTGTGTGCTTACAATTATTTAAAAATATTGAGACGATTTTTTAGAAGTTCTGTATATTCTGCAGATCTAGGTTTCTATACATGTCCATTTCACAAACCTTGACATTTTTGTTGCTCTTATTTTCTGAGTTTTTATACTTGAGATAAATGTAAAACAAAAAATTTCATTTATTCGGTGAATTGCTATTTACCTGTGAGATATTAATTCAATTAACATTCTTCGCATTTCCACTATATGTTTCAGACTACACTCAATGATCAGGGCCATAAGATCTTTTACTCCCTAAAGATGTATTTAAAACTTTTGTCTGGTATTACAATGGGGAAGACAAATAATATAAATGAATACATACAATATCTGATATAAGTGATATAAATGTAAGTTCACTCTATGAAATCACAAAGGTGGGACTAACCAAATTTCAGATTATCTGGGAGGTCTTCCCAAATGAGCAAATATTTCAGCTAGATCTTAAAGGGTGAATGGAAATTCTGAGAGCTGGAGAAATAGAAAGCAGAGGGAAAAGGCATTTTAGGTAGAGAAAATAGTGCTTGATATTAGAGAAATTTGGAGTATATCCACACAGGTAGGACATGGTGTGCTTGTGAAGCATGATAGGAGAGAAGGGGACTTATATGTCAGAGTGTAACTGTGGATTCAAGAGTCAAAGGCATTTGAAGATAAGATGAATGACCCACGGGAGAAATCGGCACTATTTGTTGAGAAGGTAAAGTTTGGGCTATGTTCTAATGAAAGGAGGCTTTGGATGGAGCAAGAGGCAAACAAAGAGTACTTTAAGAAATATTGGTAGTAGAGCAAAAGCTTAGAGCATATTTAAGAGGTCCCCTGGCATTTGCATTGGAAAACAATAAAAGAAAAGTTTTTAAACAATGCGGGTAGAACTGGAGATATCATAAATACCTGGCTGAAGAGTTGGTAACTGTTCTTGTAGGTTCTGTAGGTGTTATAAGCACAAAATGTATAATACACTTAATTTACATACACTTTTACAAATAAAAATATCGTACATGAATTAGAAATATTTTATTTTCTTTAACAATGATACCTGAGAGATCTCATACTATATGTGATGATGCATATGTTAATTTGCTTGACTATACTCATCCTTTCACCTATTTATGATTTATATTATAACATCATGTTGGCCAGACATGGTGGCTCACACCTGTAATCGCAGAACTTTGGGAGGCTAACATAGGAGGATCATTTGAGTCCAGGAGTTTGAGACAAGCCTGAGCAACATAGCAACACTTCATCTCTATAAGAAAAAAATAAAAAAAATTAGCCAGCTTGATGGCAAGCACCTGTAGTCTCAGCTTGGGGGGCTGAGGTGGAAGTTTTCCTTGAGCCCAAGAGTGCAAGGCAGCAGTGAGCTAGGATAGTGCCATTGCACTCCAGCCTGGGTAATATATCAAGGCCTTGTCCCTAAACAACAATAACAAAAGCTATACTGTGTACCTTAAATAATATACAATAAAAACAAATTAAGAAAAATAACAATGCCTGTATATTGTTAGGGAGAAATATTAGGAAAAAATAGAGTGGAGCAGGGACAGGTTCTATACCTCAATGGTCTTCAAACTTCCCCACACATACATCTCAAGTTATTTTCATAATTTAAAAGGTTTAAAATTTTTATTTTCAGCATACTGCAATAATATATTAAATATTCTAATTGAATGTAATTGCTATTAATATAAAATCAAATAAGATTATGACTTTTGAAAAATACGAGGCCAGGCGTGTTGGCTCATGCCTGTAATCCCAGCACTTTGGGAAGCCGAGGCGGGCGGATCACAAGGTCAGGAGATCGAAACCATCCTGGCTAACATGATGAAACACTGTCTCTACTAAAAATACAAAAAAAAAAAAAAATTAGCCAGGCATGGTGGCGGGCACCTGTAGTCCCAGCTACTCAGGAGGCTGAGGCAGGAAGATGGAGCAAACCCAGGAGGTGGAGCTCACTGCACTCCAGCCTGGGCGACAGAGCAAGACTCTGTCTCAAAAAAAAAAAACAAAAGAAAGAAAGAAAAATACGAAATATGCACAGTAAGTTTTTATTGGAAATGCAACTAAAAGTAAATGGCGATTTTTTTCAGTTTGTTTATAGATTTGTGACTATTTATTGCTAGAATTTTTTTTATATTTAGATATATGTAAGCATGAGAAAAATGGTTTACATAAATAAGTCGATGAAAATGGGAGAAGTTTATTATAACAGTATTAATTTATTGAATACTTTCAGACTTATATATCAAAAATCACATAGTGAACATTCAACAAAAGATATGTTTAATGATTTACCAATGGTCAACCCAATTCTTGTTTTTAAAGGAAAATAGAAACCATCTGAGTCACCAAATTATTTCTTAGTCATTGAGAATCATTCGTTTTTTCAATTTCTAGGAAATATACCAAAAATAAAAAACACCACCTTACCAAGACTTACCAAATAACTACTAATTCTATTTCTAACTCATTTGCTAAAATTGCTATATTATCATGACATGTTTAGAAAGGGTTGGAAATACAAAAAAGTTGTTACTTTTAAATACACACTTTCCAGTGCATTACGTATTAAGAAATTACTTAACTTGCAACTTAAATCTGTATTTTTCAAAAGCAAGGAATTGCAGATTTAGATCCCTGAATTATAAAATATTTCTTACAAATATAATGGACCAATCCAGTCTTCATTGTCAAGCCAATAAAACTTATTGTCAATATGTAAAATATAACTTCATTTTTCAAGTAAAATAAATATTTTAATAAAGATGCCCATGAAAATATATCACTTCAAATTCCATCTCGGAGAAAGATAGATCAGGAAGCTGGACATGGATTAGATATCTGGGTGAAACATTTATCGATGCTCTCTGCTCCGCTATCTCAGATATCTCTTTCCAAGATTTAAATTAAAGGAAGACACACCTTTCTTTTATAAAGCATAAAAAGGGTAATTTGTATAAAGGAATATGAGAAAGAATAATTGGCATGATTTAGAAAAATTATTTTTAGAAAGAGGTGCATATTTATAACAATATATTAGGAAAATTTAATAAGAAAGCTGAGAATTGGGGAGTTGATTCTTTTAGATTGAGGTTGACCATTAGTCAAACAAGGACACTCTCAGAGTAAAAAGGGATGATAATAATAACAGATAATATGTCGGGCATAAATAACAGGCATAAATGAGGACTATATGGGACAAACCAGGGTGTGTCTAGAAACCTCACTCAAAACTCTGCGTGCCAATGAAGACTATGGAAAGTCTTCATGTGCCCCGCTATATTTAATTTGAGTACTGCTGCCCAGGCTACAGAGTTGGGAGTCTCTGCTAACATTTATTTGGTGAATACTATAACTCATTTATTTGGTGAATGTCATAACCTAGAAAGGAACGGGGTTATGTGCTTTACAGACATTATTGTAGTTAATTCTTATAACAAGATTGTGTGCATGTGTGTATACATATACACTTTTATTTTACCTATGAGGAAAACGAAGCATAAATTTTTAAGAATGTGTTCATGTTTTCATAGCTACAAAACAATTTGATCCTAAATCTCTCAATCATCAGAGCTCTAAGACTGTGCTCCCTATTAAACATTACTGTGAGGCTTTTACGTGGTATCAGCAAACCTGTCATAAAATAAGTGAGACTGGCACTTTATCAGTCTTCATTGCAAAAGATTTATTTTGCTAGTTCATTCTTTTATTCAGATTTTCGTATTATTTATTCCATTTAATTTATACACAAAGACCCTATTATATACCAGATGCTATGTTAGTACTTCAAAAAATGCTTTAGTTCATTTTTACCACTGTTTGGGGTGATAGTTCTTACCTTTAAAGAACAAGCAAGCTCAGAAAAGGGAGGTAATATAATCAGTCACATAGCTGGAAGGTGAGATGGTTTCATTTCAACCTACTTCTTTTGATCACAAATTCCCAGAAATGTGTAATATCTGCTTAAATATGTAGGAAATGCTAAGTAAAAGTAAAATTTAGATTGTATTCCCATGCATGCTACTTGGGAGAATAAAGGTGGCCTGCCATCACTATTGACACTGCCGATGCCACACACAACACCCAGAGACTAAAGGATTTGCCTGCCCATCTGATCCACTGCTGTCACTGCTGGCACCCAAGCAAGCCCACCTCTAGGTCCAAGGATCAGCCTGCTCAGATTTGCTACTGCCAGAATCCATGTATGCCCACAGGGGATCAAGGACTCCCATGCCAGGCCTGCCAACAGCACCACTGTTGCCCAAGAACTGACTGATCTGGTGGCCCCATCCCCAGAAAAGCCTCTCCACAGCTTCCACTAACAACCACAGCCTAAGCCACTGAGGAACTCACAGACACTACTGATGCTGATTATAGCTAAAGAAGTCATACAAAGACTGCATTACTTTACTCACCCAGAATCAAAGTCAAAACACCCTACCCAAAGAACACTGTAGATATAGGCACAGGAAAAATTCTTTCTCCAAAATTGCCAATCCAAAAAATTAGAGGAAGCAATGGTCACACCAGATGTGCAGATATCAATGTTATAAAAAATATAAAAATATCAAAAAGCCAGGAAACATGACACCTCCAAAGAAACAAAATAATTATCCATAGAGGTTTCTTACAAAAAGAAAATCTATTAAGTGCCTGAAAAAAAATTCAAAATAATGATACCAAAGAAATTCAGTGAGATAGAACAGAGGTAAACAATACATGATTTAATGAGATAGTCGGCAAAGATATATATATGATATATATACCTGATTTATGATATATATATATATATCATAAAAAAGAACCAAACAGAAATCCTGGAACTGAAGAATTCAGTGAATAAAGCAAAAAATACAACCGAGAACTCAAACAATAGTCTAGATCAAACAAAAGAAAGAATTTCTAATCTTGAAAAAGATCTTTTGAAAGAACTCAGACAAAAAAAAAGAACAAAAAAGAACGAAGAATGTCTATGTGGCATATGGGACACCATAAAGGAACCAAATATTTGAATTTAGAGAGTTTCAGAAGGAGAAAAGATGTGCAAAGACATAGAAAACCAATTTAATGAAATAATTGCTGAAAAATTACCAAGTATTGCAAGAGATGTAGACATTCGGATATGGGAAGCTTAAACATTTCCCAATAGATTCAACCCAAAAAAGTTTTTTCCAAGACACATTATAGTCAACCTGTCAAAATTCGAACACAAAGATAACTCCAAAAATAGCAAGAGAAAAGTATCAAGTCATATATAAGGGAATCCCCATCAGACATACAGCGGATTTCTCAGCAGAAACCTCACAGACTAGCAGAGAATAAGATAATATATTCAAATGCTGAAAGAAAAAAAACTGACAATGAAGACTACTATACCTACCTAAGTTATCCTTCAGAAATAAAGGAGAAATAAAGTATTTTGCAGACAAGCAAAAACTAAAGAGATTCATCACCACTACACCGAACTTACAAGAAATGCTTATGACAGTCCTATATCTGGAAGTGAAACGATGATATCTACCATCAAGGAAACACGCAAATATATAATTACGGTAGAACAGACACAAATAAGAAAAAGAAAGAAGTCAAATGTTGCCACTACAAAAAAAAATCACCAAACTACAATGATAAATAATGAGAGATAAAGAAACAAATAAAAAATATACCAATCAACCAGAAAGCAATGAACAAAATGGCAAGAATAAGTCCTCACCTAACAATAATAACTTTGAATGTAAAAGGATTACATTCCCCACTCAAAAGATAAAGAGTGGCTGAATAGGAAATAAAAAATGGCCCAGCTGTATTCTGCCTAAAAGAAACTCACCTCTCCTGAAAAATGTAAAGTGAAGTGATGGAGAAAATATTGCACAAAAACAGAAACCAAAAGCAAGCCAGAGTAGTTATACCTATATCAGATAAAACAGACTTTAAGTCAAAAACTATAAAAACAGACAAAGAATGTCATTATGTAATGATTAAAAAGATCGATTCACGAAGAGGCTGTAAGAATTCTGAATATCTATGTGCCCAGCACCCAAGCAACAAAATATATTAAGCAAATATTACTATATCTAATGGGAGAGATAGAATCCAATAAAAGCAATAGTCAGGGACTTTGACACCTCTTTCTTAGCATTGGACAGATCATGTAGACAGAAAACAAACAAAAAATTAGATTAAAACTGCACTATAGACCAAATGGACCTAATAGATGTTTACAGAACATGTCACCCCAAAGCTACAGAATCCAGATTCTTCTGGTCAGTACACAGAACATTCTACATTATAGACCATATATTATACCACAAAACAAGTCTCAACAAATTTAAAAATAAAAATTATACCAAGTATCTTCTCAGACTATAGTGGATTTAAACAGGAATGAGCAGAAATTTGGAAATGGTATAAACATATGGCAATTTAAAAACATGCCCTGAACAACCACTGGGCAAATGGAGAAACTAAAAAGGAAATCAATTGATTTTTTGAGCAAATGAAAATTGAATCACAACATATCAAAACCTATGGAATATAACAAAAGGAATACTAAGAAGGAAGTTTATTGTAATAAACACCTACATCAAAAAAAGAGAGAAAGATTTAAAATAAACAATGCAACAATGCAGCAAGGCGTGGTGGCTCACACCTGTAATCCCAGCACTTTGGGAGGCCGAGGTGGGCAGATCACGAGGTCAAGAAATCAAGACCATCCTGGCCAACATGGTGAAATCCCATCTCTACTAAAAATACAAAAACTAGCTAGGCGTGGTGGCTCATGCCTCTAGTCCCAGCTACTTGGGAGGCTGAGGCAGGAGAATCACTTGAAACGGGAGGCAGAGGTTGCAGTGAGCCAAGATTACGTCACTGCACTCCAGCCCGGTGACAGAGTGACATTAAAAAAAAAAAAAAGCAACATGCAACTCAGGGAACTAGAATAGGAAACCAAACAAAACCCAAAATTTGTGGAATAATAAAGATCAGAGCAAAACTAAATAAAATGGAGACTAAAAATAATGCAAAGGATCAATAAAATAAAAAGTTGGTTTTTGAAAATATAAACAAAATTGATAAACTGCCTGCTAGACTAAACAAGAAAAAAAACAGGTAAGATTCAAATAAATAAAAGCAAAACTGAAAAAGGGGACACTGAAACTGATGCCACAGAAATTTTAAAAAATAATTAGAGAATATTAAGAATAAATATACTCTAACACATTGGAAAACCTAGAGGAAATGAATAAATTCCTGGACACATACTCCTACCAGATTGAACCAATAAGAAATAGACCAATAACAAAAAGTAAGATTGATTTAGTAAAAAAAAACTCCCAATAAAGAAAAGCCCAAGGACCGATGGTTTACTACTGAATTGTATCAAACTTATGAAGAACTAACACCAATTCTTTGCAATCTGTTTCAAAAAAATGGAAAAAAATGAATTTTTTCCTAACTCATTCTGAAAAGCCAGAATTACCATGGTACCAAAACCAAACAAGGACACAACAAGAAAAAAAACTACAAGCCTATATATTTGATGAGCCTAGAAGTGCAAATCGTCAACAAACGACCTGCAAATTGAATCCACTAACACATCAAATACAATACACATGAGGAAGTATCTCCCGGATGCAAGGATAATTAAACATACGCACACCAATAAATGTGATATATCACATACACAGAATTAATGATATGATTATCTTAATAGATGGAGAAAAAGTTTGAAAAAATATGCTTTCATGCTAAAAACTCTCAAGAAATTGGCATAGAAGGAATATTCCTCAACAGAATAATAGCCATATATAACAAGCCCATAGCTAACATCATACTGAATAGGGAAGAGCTAAATGCTTTTCTTCTAAGAAGTGGAATAAAAAGAAGTGGAACAAGGCCAGGCGCGTTGGCTCACGCCTGTAATCCCAACACTTTGGGAGGCCGAGGTGGGTGGATCAAGAGGTCAAGAGATCGAGACCATCCTGGCCAACATGGTGAAATACAAAAATACAAAAATTAGCTGGGCGTGGTGGCATGTGCCTGTAATCCCAGCTACTCAAGAGACTGAGGCACGAGAACTGATTGAACCCAGGAAGCGGAGGTTGCAGTGAGGCGAGATTGCACCACTGCACTCCAGCCCAGGCGACAGAGTGAGACTCCATCTCGAGAAAAAAAAAAAAAAAAAGTGGAACAAAACAAAGATGCCCACTTTCACCACTCTTTTTTTTTTTCTACTTTAAGTTCTATGGTACATGTGCACAAGGTGCAGGTTTGTTACATAGGTATACATGTGCCATGTTAGTTTGCTGCACCCATCAACTTGTCATTTACATTAGGTATTTCTCCTAATGCTATCCCTTCCCCTAGCCCCCCACCCCATGACAGGTTCCAGTGTGTGATGTTCCCTGCCCTGTGTCCAAGTGTTCTCATTGTTCAATTCCCACCTATGAGTAAGAACATGCAGTGTTTGGTTTTCTGTCCTTGCGATAGTTTGCTGAGAATGATGGTTTCCAGCTTCATCCATGTCCCTACAAAGGACATGAACTCATCCTTGTTTGTGGCTGCATAGTATTCCATGGTGTATATGTGCCACATTTTCTTAAACCAGTCTATCATTGATGGTCATTTGGGTTGGTTCCAAGTCTTTGCTATTGTGAATAGTGCTGCAATAAACATACATGTACATGTATCTTTATAGTAGCATGATTTATAATCCTTTGGGTGTATACCCAGTAATGGGATGGCTGGGTCAAATGGTATTTCTAGTTCTAGATCCTTGAGGAATCGTTACACTGTCTTCCACAATGGTTGAACTGATTTACAGTCCCACCAACAGTGTAAAAGTGTTCCTATTTCTCCACATCCTCTTGAGCACCTGTTGTTTCCTGACTTTTTAATGATCACCATTCTAACTGGCGTGAGATTGTAGCTCATTGTGCTTTTGATTTGCATTTCTCTGATGACCAGTGATGATGAGCATTTTTTCATGTGGTTGCCTAAATGTCTTCTTTTGAGAAGTGTCTGTTCATATCCTTTGTCCACTTTTTGATGAGGCTGTTTGTTTTTTTCTTGTAAATTTGTTTAAGTTCTTTGTAGATTCTGGATATTAGCCCTTTGTGAGATAGGTAGATTGCAAAAATTTTCTGCCATTCTGTAGGTTGCCTGTTCATTCTGAGGGTAGTTTCTTTTGCTGTGCAGAAGCTCTTTAGTTTAATTACATCCCAGTTGTCTATTTTAGCTTTTGTTGCCATTGTTTTTGGTGTTTTAGTCATGAAGTCTTTGCCCATGCCTATGTCCTAAATAGCATTGCCTAGGTTTTCTTCTGGGGTTTTTATGGTTTTAGGTCTAACATTTAAGTCTCTTTATTTTATTTATTTATTTATTTATTTATTTATTTATTTATTTATTTATTTTTTGAGATGAAGTCTCGCTCTGTCACCCAGGCTGGAGTGCAGTGGCTCAATCTCAGCTCACTGCAAGCTCTGTCTCTCACGGGTTCACACCATTCTTCTGCCTCAGCCTCCGAAGTAGCTGGGACTACAGGTGCCTGCCACCACACCCAGCTAATTTTTTTTTTTTTGTATTTTAATACGGATGGGATTTCACCGTGTTAGCCAGGATGGTCTCGATCTCCTGACCTCGTGATCTGCCCTCCTCAGCCTCCCAAAGTGCTGGGATTACAGGCATGAGCCACCGTGCCCAGCCAGATTGGATAAAATTAAATGCAACCTTTGGTCTTTTCTTGTGGTTTTATCTACCTTTGGTCTTTGATGTTGGTGACCTACAGATGGGGTTTTGGCGTGGATGTCCTTTTTGTTGATGTTGATGCTATTCCTTTCTGTTTGTCAGTTTTCCTTCTAACAGTCAAGTCCCTCAGCTGCAGGTCTGTTGGAGTTTGCTGGAGGTCCACTCCAGGCCCTGTTTGCCTGGGTATCACCAGCGGAGGCTGCAGAGCAGGAAATATTGCAGAACAGCAAATATTGCTGCCTGATCCTTCCTCTGGAAGCTTCATCCCAGAGAAGCACCCACTTGTATGAGGTGTCTGTCAGCCCCTACTGGGAGGTGTCTCCCAGTTAGGCTACATGGGGGTCAGGGACCAACTTGAGGAGGCAGTCTGTCTGTTCTCAGAGCTCAAATGCCATGCTGGGGGAACCACTGCTCTCTTCAGAGCTGTCAGACAGGGACGTTTGAATCTGCAGAAGTTTCTGCTGCCTTTTGTTCAGCTATGCCCTCCCCACAGAAGTGGAGTCTATAGAGGTAGTAGGCCTTGCTGAGCTACGATGGGCTCTGCCCAGTTTGAGCTTCCCAGCCACTTTGTTTACCTACTTAAGCCTCAGCAATGGCAGATACCCCTCCCCACACCAGGCTGCAGCCTCACAGGTCGATCTTAGATGGCTGTGCTAGCAGTTAGCAAGGCTGCATGTGCATGGGACCCACCGAGCCAGGCACAGGAGAGAAATCTCCTGGTCTGCTGGTTGCTAAGACTGTGGGAAAAGTTCAGTATTTGGGTGGAAGTGTCCCGTTTTTCCAGGTACAGTTGGTCACAGCTTCCCTTGCCTAGGAAAGGGAAATCCCCCAACTCCTTGCACTTCCTGTGTGAGGCACTGCCCTGCCCTGCTTTGGCTCTCCCTCTGTGGGCTGCACCCACTGTCAAACCAGTCCCAGTGAGATGAACCAGGTACCTCAGTTGGAAATGCAGAAATCACCCATATTCTGCATCAATTGCGCTGGCAGCTGCAGACTGGAGCTGTTCCTAGTAGGCCATCTTGGAACAGACCATCCACTTTCATCACTCTTCATCAAAATAGTACTACATGTTGTAGCCAGAGCAATCTGAGAAGCAAAGGAAATAAAGGCTTCCACATTGGAAAAAGGAAATTTAAATTGTCCCTCCTTACAGATGACATGATCTTATGTATAGAAAAAGCTAAAGACTCTATCAAAAAAATCTTAGAAATGAGTAAATTCATTTCTCAATGAGTTCTCAATGAATTCAGTAAAGTTGCAGAATACAAACAAAATCACTAGTGTTTCTATACACTAATAAGAACTAGCTGGAAAAGTAATAAAAAAAAAAATCCCACCTATAACTCCAAAAATTGAATACCTAGGAATAAATGTAACCAAACTGGTGAAAGATCTCTACCACAAAAACTACAAAAAACTGATTAAGAAATTGAGGAGGAAACAAACAGATGGAAAGATACTCTTTTCTCATGGATCGGAAGAATTAAAATATTTTTAAATGACCATACTATCCAGAAGAATCTACAGATTTAATGCAACCCTTATCAAAATGTCAATGGCATTCTTCACAGAAATTGAAAAATCAATCCTAAAATTCATATGGAAACACAAAAAACCCTGAATAGCTAAATCAATACTGGATAAAAAGAACAAAGCTGGAGTCATCATGCGTCTGCTAGGAAAACTAAATATCCACATACAGAAGACTAAAAGTAAACCCTAACCCTTGCCATATGTAAAAATCAACTCAAATGTGATTCAAAACCCAAATGTAAGACCTGAAACAATAAAACTACTAGAAGAAAACATAGGAGAAATACTTCAGGACATTGGTCTAGGCAACAATTTTATGGCCAAGACTTCAAAACCACAGGCAACAAAAACAGACAAAAGAAACTATATTAAACTAAGAAGCTTCTCCACAGAAAAGGAAACAATTAACGGATTAAAAAAGACAAGCTGTAGAATGGGAGCAAATATTTGTAAGCTATTAATCCAACAAAGAACCAATATCTTGAATATGCAGAAAAACTCAAACAACTCAACTGAAAAAAACCGATAATCCCATGTAAAAGTGGACAAAAAATCTGAATAGACATTTCTCAAAATTAGATATATAAATGACCAACTAGAATTGGAAAAGAAAGTTCAGCACCATGAATTATCAGGGAAATGGAAATAAAAGCCACAACGAGGTATCAGCTCACCCAAGTTAGAACAGTTATTATCATAAAGGCAAAAAATAAATGCTGGTGAGGATATGGAGAAAGAGGAACTCGTATACTCTCTTGGTGAGAATGTAAAGTAGTACAGCCATTATGAAAAACAGTATGGAGGTTTCTCAAAACTCTGACACAAAATCAACACACAAAAATCACTAGTGTTTCTACATACTAATAAAGAACTAGCTGAAAAAGAAATCAATAATTACCATACAACCCAGCAATCCCTCTACTGAGTATTTATTCAAAGCAAAATAAATTGGTATACCAAAGGGATACCTACACCAGCATGTTTATTGCAGCACTATTCAAAATAGCCAAGAGATGGAATCAACCTAAGTGTCCATCAATGGGCAATTGGAAAAAGAAAATGTGGTAAATATGCATAGTGGAATATTATCTAGCCACAAAAAATGAATGAAATTCTGCCATTTGCAGCATAATGGATGGAACTGGAGGTCATTAGGTTAAGTGAAATAAGCCAGGCACAGAAAGAAAAATACCACGTTTTCACTCATATGTGGGGGCTATAATAGTTGATCTCATGAAGGTAGAGAGTAGAATGATGGTTACCAGAGCCTAGGAAGGGTGGGGCAAGGGCATAATGAAAGGTTGGTTAATTTTTGTAAAAATACAGTTAGATAGAAGAAATATGTTCTAGTGTTCAATACCGGTAGGGTAACTATAGTTAATAACAATGTGTTGTATATTGTAAGATAGCTAGAAGAGAATATTTGAAATGTTCTCGACACATAGAAATGATAAATATTTGAGGCAATGGGTACCCTGAAAAACCTGATTTTATCATTACAGATTGTATGCATGTATCAAAATATCACATGTATCCCATAAATACGTACCATTCTGTATCAATAAAAAATAAAAAAGTAAATGATATATTAGTTCTATATAATTCTCAATAGCCCTATACCACACATAACTTAAAGTTTCCCAAGAAATTCACATTATAATAAATCTCTATTATTAAAATGTTTTTATGAAACTCAACCCAACCATGAATCCTGACAAATGAGACTGAAATGCTTTTCTGTCATAGAAGAGCTGCTGGTGTTTTTGGACTCAGTAAATGCTGTTGTTTGCAGTAATACCAGGAGCCCAAATGCTCAGAGCAGCAATTTAATAGCTGAAAACCAACTATAGTAGATTAAAGAATCAATGTTCCTTTATATAACAGTATCTCCAGAAAAGGTTTATAAAAAGAAGTTATCTGGGTTGACTTTCTGATGTGCTTATGAATATAGTTGTTAATCATCACCTGTAAAAGGAAAATTATCTTTGGAATCTAACTTCAAATTTTAATGCAATTAGATTTAAGTCATTTAGCAAGCTCTCCCCTCTATGTTGCCATTGAAATCTGTCTTTAGAATATGAATAAAGATGTTGAAATTCAGTTAATTCGGTTATATATATGTTTAATAATGTATATAAAAGGATATGGTAAGTTTTTCTTTCAAATTTGAAATTGTTTCTTTTTAAGCCATTACCTATCTGGTTGAATTTTCCAAAGAAAAATATAATGATGCATTTCTCACCAATTTCTCTCTCTCTCTCTGTGTGTGTGTGTATGTGTGTGTCAGACACACACTCACACAATTAGTATTTGAAAAGCTCACCTTGTGCACTACATGAACTCCCTAATAATCTGAAAAACCCCTAAACTTTTTCCTAGGATACAACATGAGGTACCTGACCTCAAGTTATTGCCAAAAAATTAAACTACGGTGTGATACAAAATGAATCCATAATGTTTTATGAAAAAAGATCTATGTTGAAAGTAAAAGATTGGTTTATCTTTGTCTTTGAAATTTCTCTCCCTGCATTTGATACAAAACAGTTACTAGAAAGTTGTTTAATATAAATTAAATTGTGGTAATGCCATCAATTCTATTTAATTTTGCTGAAGTTTTATGAGTGCTAAAGTAAATGCCACTGACTGCCAGATTAGTCTTCCTAAAACAATAGAATATTATATTCTCTTCTTTCTTAGGAACTTGTTTCCCTGCTTCCTACTATATTGTATCCAAACTCCTTTTTAAAATCTGATTATAATCTGCAGACCACATTTTTTACCAATTCCCAATGTTCATATTCAGACACCTTCTCCATTTCCAGCCCTATACCTTTCCATGAATTCTAATAGGAAAAGCAATAAAAGTATTAATGGAAAATAATAAAATGACAGCCAACGTTCTGAAGTCCTTGAATTTCCTATCAGCCACCTACTATGGCCAGAAATGCCCTCTCTAGATACTCGCTTGGTTAGTACACAGAGACTACAGGCAAACAATCTATTAGCAACTGGGATTTTTGCTATAACTCTATACTTTCCTGGTGGGTGGGCCTTGATCGCATATGCATCACAAGAATTCCTTTTTTATTTTATTTCATTTATTTATTTTTTTTGAGATGGGGTTTCGCTCTTGTTGCCCAGGCTGGAGTGCAATGGCATGATCTCAGCTCACCACAACCTCCACCTCCTGGGTTCAGGTGATTCTCCTGCCTCAGCCTCCTGAGTAGCTGGCATTACAGGCATGTGACACCACACCCAGCTAATTTTGTATTTTTGATAGAGATGGGGTTTCTCTATGTTGGTCAAGCTGGTCTCTCAAACTCCCGACCTCAGGTGATCCACCTGCCTTGGCCTCCCAAAGTGCCAGGATTACAGGCATGAACCACTACGCCTGGCCAACTACACAAAATCTTTAAAGCTCAAGATATCAAACTAAATCAGTGAACAGAATGCAAAGCAAAGCTTGCCTCACAGATGCTGTGTTTTACCATCTTTTCCCAAGACACATCAAAATTACCACCTTCTGCTACTATGGCTCATTTTCTTTTTTTCGTCGAGAGAGGTAAGATGACCTGAACAACCTTAAAAAAGGAAGCATACGTGGACAACAATTCCTATTTTTCCCTTCAAGGTAATAAAAAATGTCCCCACATTAAGTGAAACTTTTGTTCATGGTAGTTCTCCTTCATTCATTTATTCATTCAGTGAATATTCATTGAGCACCTACTATGTGTTATGCCTTATTCTGTGAGTTTGGGATACAGTAATGTGGAAATAAAGACTAACCAAGTACAAAAGCAAAGTTATTTATTAGGCAGAGGAATGGGAAAGCTTTATAATGGAAAGAAGGGAAGGCTTTACGTATGTCCTGATTGAAGACTGATGACCTGAGCAAGCTGTAGCCAGGTTAACCAGAAGGTAGGCATCCTATGTGACTGGTTAGAGGCACATATTTGGCTTTCTCTGGTTGGTCCTAAGTTGGAAGCAGGGACCAAAATTAGGGAAGCTGTCAGTTATTAATCAAGTCCTGGCCATTTGTGGCTGATTTTCACAGAAGTTACTGTCAGAGGCATATGAACAAGAGCAACTCTATCTTAAACAGGAGCTGGGTAAAATGAGGCTGAAACCAACTGGGCTGCATTTCCAGATGGTTAAGGCATTCTAAATCACAGGGTGAGATAGGAGGTCAGCACAAAATACACATCATAAAGACCTTGCTGATAAAACAGGTGGCAATAAGGGAGCAGGCCAAAATTCACCAAAACCAAAATGGCCACGAGAGTGACCTCTGGTTATTCTCATTGCTACACTCCCACCAGTGCCATGACAGTTTACAAACACCATGGCAATGTCAGGAAGTTACCCTATATGGTCTAAAAAGGGGAGGCATGAATAATCCACCCCTTGTTTAGTATATCATCAATAAGTAACCATAAAAATGGGGAACCAGCAGCTCTAGGTGCTGCTCTGTGGAGTAGCCATTCTTTTATTCCTTTCTTTCGTAATAAACTTGCTTTCACTTTGCACTGCACACTCGCCCTGAATTCTTTCTTGCGTGAGATCCAAGAACCCTCTCTTGGGGTCTGGATTCAGACCTCTTCCTTGTAACATTATGCTTAATGTCCTAGATTGTCACTAGAGATAGCAATCTGGATTCTTGCAAGTCTGACTTACAGCAGGTTGAATTTCTGAGCTGTTCATTGTAGATAAAGATGTTAATTTCCTGGGGAGCTTCCATGACTTTCAGGACAAAGTTCAATTTTTATATATGGTTTAGCCATTGTCTGTTGATATATTCAATATCAGTAGTGAATAAAAACAATAACAAAAAACTGTCCTTCTGGGGTTTACATTATACAAGAGATCTTACATTGACTTCTCCCTTCTCTAGATCTTTTTGCATGTATCATTTCATGCAATTGGCAAATGGCATACAGTCCTATTTTTAAAAAATATTTTATTTTTTAGTTTCAATAGTTCTGGGGAAGATGTGGTCTTTAGTTACATGGATAAGTAATTTCTGAGATTTTGGTATACCCCATCACCCAAGCAGTGTACACTGTACCCAATGTGTAGTCTTTATCCCTCACCCCCTCCCACACTTCCCCCTGAAATACAAGCTCATTACATCATTCTTAAGTGTTTAGCTCCTACTAAACACTTAAGGAGTGTTAGCTCCTACTTATAAGTGAAAACATAACCATATTTGGTTTTCCAATCCTGAGTTACTTCACTTAAAATAATGGTCTCCAACTCCATCCAGATTGCTGCAAATGCCATTATTTCATTTCTTTTTACCACTAAGTAGTATTTCATGGGGTATATATACCAATTTTCTTTATCCACTCATTGGTTCATGGACATTTAGGCTGGTTCCATAATTCTGTAACTGCAAATTGTTCTGCTATAAACATGCATGTGCAAGTGTCTTTTTCATATGACGACTTCTTTTCCTCGGGGTAGATACCCAATAGTGGAATTGCTGAGTCAAATGGTAGTTCTACTTCTAGTTATTTAAGGAATCTCCATACTATTTTACATAGTGGTTTTACTAGTTTTACATTCCCACCAGCAGTGTAAATTGTTCCCTTTTCACCGCATCCACACCAACTCATATAATTTTTTTATTTTTTAACTATGGCCATTCTTGCAGGTTTATCTCATTGTGGTTTTAATTTGCCTTTCCCTGATAATTAGTCATGTTGAACATTTTTTCATATGTTTGTTGGCCATTTGCCTATCTTCTTTTAAGAATTTTCTATTCATGTCCTTTGCCCACTTTTTGATGGGATTGTTTGTTTTTTTCTTGCTGTTTTGTTTGAGTCCCTTGTAGATTCTGGATATTAGTCCTTTGTTGTATGCATAGCTTGCAAGTATTTTCTCCAAATTTGTGGGTTGTCTTATTACTCTGCTGATTATTTCTTTTGCTGTGAAGAAGCTTTTTAGTTTAATAGGTCCCATCTATTTATTTTTTATTTTGTTGAATTTGCTTTTTGCTTCTTGGTCATGAACTCTTTGCCTAAGCCAATGTCTAGAAGGGTTTTTCTGATGTTATCTTCTAGGATTTCTATGGTTTCAGGTCTTAGATTTAAGTCTTTGGTTTATCTTGGTTGATTTTTGTATAAGGTGAGAGATGAGGCATCAGTTTTATTCTTCTACCTGTGGCTAGCCAATTATCCCAACACCATTTGTTGAATAGGTATACTTTCCCCACTTTATGTTTTTGTTTGTTTTGTCAAAGATCAGCTGGCTGTAAGTATGTGGCTTTATTTCTGGGTTCTCTATTGTGTTCAACTGCACTATGTGTCTATTTTTACACCAGTACCATGCTGTTTTGGTAATTATAACCTTGTAGTATAGTTTCAAATCAGGTAATGTGATGCCTCCAGATTTGTTATTTTTGTGTAGTCTTGTTTGGCTATGTGGAGTCCTTTTTGGTTCCATATGAATTTTATAATTGCTTTTTTTCTAGTTTTGATGGTGGTATTTTGATGGGTATTGCATTGAATCTGTAGATTGCTTTTGGCAATATGGTCATTTTTCACAATATTGATTCTACCCATCCATGAGCATGGGAGGAGTTTCCATTTGTTTGTGTCATCTATGATTTCTTTCAGCAGTGTTTTGTAGAATTCCACATAGAGATCTTTTACCCCCTTGGTAGGTATATGCCTAACTATATATTTTGTTTAATGGCAGCTGTCATAAAGGGGGTGGAGTTCTTGATTTGATTTTCAGCTTGATTGCTATTGGTGTATAGCAGTGCTACTCTTTTGTGTACATTGGATTTGTATCTTGAAACTTTACTCAATTCACTTATCAGACCCCGGAGCTTTTTGGATGATATTTTAGAGTTTTTAAGGCATACTATCATATCATGGGCTAACAGCAACAATTTGACTTTCTCTTTACCAATTTGGATGTTCTTTATTTCTTTCTCTTGTCTGATTGCTCTGGCTAGGACTTCCAGTGCAATGTTGAATAGAAGTGGTGAAAGTGGGCATCCTTGTCTTGTTCTGGTTCTCAGAGGGAATGCTTTGCTGGCTAGGGGTTTGTCATAGATGGCTTTTATTTCCTTGAGGTATGTCCCTTCTGTGCCAGTTTTGCTGAGGGTCTTAATCATAAAGGGATGCTGGATTTTGTCAAATGCATCCACTGAGATAATAATATGATTTTTTGTTTTTAAATCTGTTTACTTAATGTATCACATTTATTGCCTTGTGTATGTTAAACCATCCCTGCATCTTTGATATGAAACTTACTTGATCATAATTTATTATCTTTTTGATATGCTGTTGGATTCAGTTAGCGATTATTTTATTGAGGATTTTTGCATCTATGTTCATCAGAGAAATTGGTCCGTAGTTTTCTTCTTTTGTTATGGCCTTTCCTGGTATTGGTATCAGGGCAATACTGGCTTCATAGAATGATTTAGGGGTGATTCCTTCTTTCTGTAACTTTTGGAGTAGTTTCAGTAAGATTGTTACTAATTCTTCTTTGAACGTCTGATAGACTTCAGCTGGGAATCCATCTAGTCCTGGACTTTTTTTTCTTGGCAATTTTTTAAATTACTGTTTCAATATTGCTAGTTATTATTGGTCTGTTCCAAGTTTCTAGTTCTTCCTGATTTATTCTAAGAGAATTGTATATTTCCAGAAATTTATCCATCTACTCTAGATTTTCTATTAAAAGTTTGTGTGCATAAATGTGTTCATAGTAGCCTTGAATGGTCTGGTCTTTTGTATTTCTCTGGTATCAGCTATAATATCTCCTATTTCATTTCTAATTGAGCCTATTTGGATCTTCTCTCTTCTTTTCTTGGTTAATCTCACTAATGGTTTATCAATTTTATCTTTTCAAAGAAACAGCTTTTAGTTTCATTTATCTTTTGTATTTGTTTTTCGTTTGTTTCAATTTCATTTAGTTCTGCACTGATCTTTGTTATTTCTTTTCTGCTGCTGGGTTTGGGTTTGGTTCGATCTTGTTTCTGTAGTTCCTTGAGGTGTGACCTTAGATTTTCTATTTGTGCTCTTTCAGACTTTTTGATGTAGGCATTTAATGCTATGAACTTTCCTCTTAGCACTGCTTTTGCTGTATCCCAGAGATTCTGACATTTTGTGTCATTATTATCATTCAGTCCAAAGAATTTATTAATTTTCATCTTGATTTCATTGTTGACCCAATGATCATTCAAGAGCAGGTTACTTAATTTCCATGTATTTGCATGGTTTTGAGGGTTCCTTTTGGAGTTAATTTCCAATTTTATTCCACTCTAGTCTGAGGGAGTACTTGATATAATTTTGATTTTCTCAAATTTATTGAGACTTGTTTTGTGGCCTATTATATGTCCTATCTTGGAGATGGTTCCATGTTCTGATGAAAAGAATGTATATACTGCAGTTGTTGAGTAAAATGTTCTGTAAATATCTGCTAAGTCCATTTGTTCTAGGGTATAGTTTAAGTTCATTTTTTGTTGTTGTTGATATTCTGTCTTGATGACCTGTCTAGTGCTTTGAGTGGAGTATCGAATCTCCCACTATTATTGTGTTACCATCATCTCATTTCTTAGGTCTACTAATAATTGTTTTATAAATCTGGGAGCTCCAGTGTGTTAGGTGCATATATATTTAGAATTGTGATATTTTCCTATTGAACTTTTTATTATTATGTAATGTCCCTCTTCTGTCTTTTTTAAGTGTTGTTGCTTTAAAGTCTGTCTTGTCTGATATAAGCATATCTACTTCTGCTCAATTTTGGTTTACATTTGCATCAAATATCTTTTTCCATCACTTTACCTTAAGTTTATGTGAGTCCTTATGCATTAGGTTAGTCTCTTGAAGACAACAGATACTTGGTTGGTGGATTTTTATCCATTCTGGTATTCCGTATCTTTTAAGTGGAGCATTGAGGTTATTTACATTCAATGTTAGTAGTGAGAGATGTGAGGTGTACTGTTTTATTCATCACCCTAGTTGTTTCCTGAATACCCTGTTTTTTGTTCATTGTGTTATTGTTTTATAGGCCCGTGAGATTTATGCTTTCAGGAGGTTCTATTTTGGTGTATTTTGAATTTTGTCCCAAGATTTAGAGCAACTTTTAGCAGTCCTTGTAGTGCTGGCTTGGTAGTGGTGAATTCTTTCAGCATTTCTTTGTCTGAAAAAGAATTTATCTCTCCCATCTATGAAGCTTAGTTTTGCTGGATACAAAAGTCTTGACTGGCAATTATTTTGTTTGAGGAGGCTGAAGATAGGAGCCCAATCTCTTCAAGCTTGTAGGTTTTCTCCTGGAGAAATCTGACATTAATCTGTTAGGTTTTTCTTTAGCTGATGGTTAGCTGATGCTTTTGCCCCACAGTTCTTAAGTTTCTTTTCTTCATCTTGACTTAGATAACCTGATGATTATGTGCCTTGGTGATGACCTTTTTGTGATAAATTTCCCAGGTGTTCTTTGAACTTTTTGTATTTAGATGTCTAGATCTCTAGCAAGAACAGGGAAGTATTCCTCAATTATTCCCTCAAATAATTTTTCCAACCTTTCAGATTTGTCTTTTTCCTCAGGAACACCAATTATTCTTAGGTTTGGCCATTTAACATAATCCCAATTTTTTTGGAGGCTTTGTTCATAATAATAATTATATTATTATAATAATTTTTATTATTATTATGCTGGAGTGCAGTGGCGTGATCTTGGCTCATTGCAACCTCCACCTCCCAGGTTCAAACAATTCTCCTGCCTCAGCTGCCTGAATAGCTGGGATTACAGGCACACTCCACCATACCTGGCTAATTGTTTTATATTTTTAGTAGAGGCGGGGTTTCACCATGTTGGCCAAGCTGGTCTCGAACTCCTGACCTGAAGTGATCCACCCACCTTGGCCTCCCAAAGTGCTGGGATTACAGGCATGAGCCACTGTGCCCAGCCTGTTCATTATCTGAAAATTATTTTTATTTGTTTTTGTCTCATTGGGTTAATTTGAAAGCCTTGTATTCAAGCACTGAAGTTCTTTCTTCTATTTATTCTAGTCTATTCTTGAAATCTTCCAGTGAATTTTGTATTTCTCTAAGTGTTTTTTCCAGAATTTTTTATTGTTTTTTCTTTATGATAGTGTATTTCTCTGGAGAATTTTTCTTCCATATCCTGTATTTTCAAAAATATTTCTTTAAGTTGGTTTTCACCTTTCTCTGGTATCTTTTTGAGTAGCTTAATAATCAACCTTGTGAATTTTCTATCTACCAATTCAGAGATTTCTCTTGGTTTTGATCCATTGCTGGGGAGGTAGCATGATGTTTTTGGGGATGCTATCGAACCCTGTTTGGTCATATTACCAGGATTGCTTTTCTGGTTCTTTCTCATTTGGGTAGACTATTTCACTGGAAAGTACTAGAACTCAAGGCCTACTGTTCAGGTTCCTTTGTCCCACAGGGTGCTCCCTTGATTTGGTGCCTAAAAACCACCCCCCACCCAACCCCAATTATGGCTGTGGCAAGTCCAAATCCACCTAACCCTGCCTCCACCTGATGGTATTTCTCTATCCACCCTGGTAGCTGAACACGAAAGATAGAAACTCTTGGGAGGTTTATGGCCCTACCTATTGCCTGAGAAACCAGAATGCTTACCCTAGACAACTTAGGGCAACTGAGAAAGCATGGATATATGGTTGGAGGCAGGCTATCCTCTCACACTTTGGGAACTCACACTTTTTTGGCTGTCTTGCAGAATTTGTAGTGGCATGCCACTTATTTTAAAGGATCTGTGAATTATTTAGTTTTCCTGGTATGATCTTGTGGTGGTTCAAAAGTTCACAGTGTGAGTCTCCACATGCTGTTCTGTCCATGCAAGTGAGAGCTGCATGTTAGCCCTGTCTCCTAGCTGCCATCTTTTCCCAAGTCCCTTTTCTTTAATTATTGGCATTTCACAATTTGGGGTTTTATTAAGTCTGTATATAATATTAAAATATTAATTTTAAAATATTTACTGATAACCTACTATGTGCCAGGAACTGTTACAGGCAGTGAAGATTCAGTAGTGAACAAAGTCCTGCCATCAATGAGCTTATATATGGTAATAATAATTATAGTAATTATAATTAATAAAATTAATTGTGGTTTGTTAGAAGGTAATAAATGCTATGAAATGAAAAAAGCATTGTAAAAGGAATGGAGAGTCTCAAGAATAAAGGCTTGCAATTGTAAATAGAGTAGCTAGGGTTCACCTCAAAGAGAAAATGACATTTGAACAAGAACATGAAGGAAGTGAAGGTAAAAAGCAATGTGGATATCTACAAGATGAGAATTCCAGACAGAAGGAACAGCCAACACTACATCTTTAAGTGAGAAAATTTCTGATGTTCTCATGAAACATCAAGAAAGCCAGTGTGGCCGGAATGGTGTAAATGAGGGGAGGAAAAACCAGAGATGACTGGGGGGCAGATTACATATGTTCTTATATAAACCCCTGTAAGACCTTTGGCTTTTTACAAAGCATGAAATGGGGAGACACTGTAGGTTTTGAGCAAAGGAGTGACATGATATGGCACAGTTTATCATTAGTTCTCTGTCTACTATAAAGGAAAGAGAGTAGGGGCAGGAGAATGAGGCAAGCATGAAGAAAAGACCAGTTAAGGAGATTTTTTTCAGCAATCTGGGGGGTAAATGATAGTGCCTTAGACAACAATAGTAGCAGTGAAGGTGAAGAGACATTGTCAGGTTCTATGCAAATACTCTAGTCAATGCCTTTTAAATGATTAAATTATCAAGTCAAACCACTGGAGTATTATTTAAAAATAGATAATAGAAAGCACCAAGGGAGTAAAATATCTCCCAGTCTTAACCATGCCATATTTTTATTCTTGAGCAATTTAGTAATAATGATATCTTTAGTAAAGATGTTTAGGTTCTGAGATCATATTGGAAAAGAATCCTAATTTTCATTTTGCAACAAGAGAATCCATTCAAAAACATTATTTAACACATTGAGAATAAACCCTGTCCTGATAAAAATTGTAGTAAAGTTGAAATAGTGATGTCTTTTTTCTTGTTACCATAGTTCTTTAAGAGTCCCTTAATAGCTGGAAGAATAACTCCATCCCTCTCTCAGAAGATCTCTGAGCAGATAAGCACTTTGGGCTCTTAGAGAAAATTGCTGTAGTGAATAAAATACATTTTTTTTGGAGACAGTGTCTCACTCGGTCATCCAGGCTGGAGTGCAGTGATGCAATCTCGGCTCATGGCAGCCTCAACATCCCGGGCTCAAGTGATCCTCCCACCTCAGCTTCCCCAGTAGCTGAGATTATGAGCAGGCACCATCATGTTCAGCTGATTTTTTTTTTTTTTTTTTTTGTAGAGACAGTGTTTCTTCATGTTGCTCAGGCTGGCTGGTCTCAAATTCCTGGGCTCAAGCGATCTGCCCACCTTGGCCTTCCAAAGTGCTAGGAATACAGGCGTGAGCCACCACACCCAGTCAATAAAATAACTTTAAATAAACAACCCTAACGATTAATCTCTACTTACAGATAGCAAAAGAGAGGCTTCAGATTATGAACATTTCCAGAACAGATCATGGCTTCTTTAGGACCAGACCAGGCCACGCATTCCCTAGATTCTGTGTCTAGTCTGAGGTTAGTCTAAAGATCTTTCTTAGCAGCTGCCGAAAATTCATAATAAAATATTTCCTCCACTGAAGCCGAATTTTTAACTGGAAAGAAAAGTTTTCTTCTACTGACACCTCATCAAGATTTGACAGAGTGCTAAGGCACCTATTCTTTCTCTATTTCTTTCACATTAACCCATAACCTTCCTGTAACCTCTTCATCTGGGTGCCAAGCCTCTCAAGAAGCTTAGCTTCCACTGGTCTACTTCACTTTCCTAAGTATTTATATTTGTCACTAACTGTATGACTTTTAGTGTAATATTTCTATATTTTTGAAGGAATATCTATTTATAGTCAGTATAGATTGTGATTTTTTGTGGATAAACATGGTATATTCATTCAGCAAACATTTATTGGGTATATAATATGCAAGCACGAAGCTAAGGACTGGAGAAACAAAAGTGAATAGGAAATATTATCTGCCCTATGGAAACCTACAGACTGATAGCTGTTGTCATAATCATTTCCGTATCCCTAATACCTTTGCATGTGTGGTGGGTGGGTAAAGAGTGGAGAGGGAGTGGGGCAGCAACTTGTGTAATGGTTGTCATGTGCTAGACATTTTATATACCAACACTACAATTTGCAGCCTTCTATTACTCTCATTTCCCCAATGACAGGTATGAGAATTATTAAAAGTAGGTTGCCCAAGTCTCACGGCTACTAAAAAAGCAAAACTGAGATTCAAAGTCAACTCTTTCTGACTCCAAAATCAGTGAATTTTCCACAAATTTGGTTTAATAGGTACTTAATATCCAAGTTTGTTAAAAGAAAAATGGAAAGAATAAAAAAGTTTTTTTTTTACTGATTCATTTTTTACTCATCTGAGCATTGAAGTCTATTCTCAATCATGCACTTTTTTTCATGTGAGCCTTTAACTTGCCACTCTTTTACTCAAGGTGATCTCCACTGCCTTCTATATCTGTCCAACAGCTGGATATTCAGAAATGTAATCTATTACAAATCTATTTCGATGTTAACCTTAGTGTGTGTGTATGTGTGTGTATGGAGAGTAAATAAAAGTAAAATGAAATTCTTACTAAACATCAGTACCAAAGAATGTTCTGCTTCTCAAAAAGCGCTAATATATGGCAGGCTCTGAGATGCAAGAACAAGTATATTAACCATACATTGACATATATTAACAACGTGTTAGACCATGCATTAACAATGTTAAAATCTTTAAAGGTAAGTAAAACATTTTTTTCCAACAGTAAAATAATTTGTGTCAAGCCATTTGAGTATGGCCCACAAGTGAATGCGAAGTAGCGGGAGTGTCAGGGAGGTGATGTATGCAAGGGAAAAAACTGGAAAACCAGCCTTAGTGCAAACAGAAGAAAAACCTTAACACTCTTCCAACAATACGCCACTTGTCAGGGAGAATCATCAGTGAAGATGTCAACACTGACTATCTTGCCCATCCTCTGATGAAGGGAAGTCTATTGCTTTCATTACATTGAGGGTAGGTTGAGGTATAAAGTAAAGTATAGGTCTCAGTTACAAAGCCATGACCAAACCATCTTGTTGACGTTCTGTTTAGACCTGTTTTATTCTAGATCACAGCTAGTGGTCGTTTTATTGAACTAATTATGATTTGAGCTCTTCATGCTGGCTGACTTCAGATTTTAAATAAAGATAAACCTTAATAATAAGGATGAATGGTTTTAATTACCAAAGCCAACCCTTGGAGTATTGTGCTAGCAAAAGAATGTTTATAACATCTTCATCTGTAAGGAAATAAGAAAATTTTTCTTTATTCTACCCTTTAGAACTCTACACACCATTTTCCAGCAGTTCTGAGTTGACCACAGATGACTTCTATTGATTTTATCAGTTGAAATCCATGGATAGCACTGTACCTTCTAAGAGCTTTACTTCACCAGAACCACTATCTGACCTCTACAGCTTACTGCTTTGTCAAAATCACTGGGTACTTAGTGTCAGCCATGGAAACTCACAAATAACCTAAAGAGAAAATATTCAAATGTAATTCATTTTATACATCCCAAAAAGCAAAGTCCTTTCTTCTTCAGAAAGATCATTTTATATGTATTACATTATGAATATCTCTTAAATGATACTTATGTAAGTCTGGGTCTGTGAGTAGCATTTATCTGTACTATGTCACAATTATGGGAATTTGTATTTTCAGTTGGAAAACTATTTACCTTTCCTGAAGTTAAAAGAAATTCTATCACATTGTAGATTATTTTCAAAAGAATTTTTGAAATATTTCCTTCCCTAAAAATAGAAAAATGAATTACTTAGGATCAAAAGGGGATTTCTTTTGTAAACTCCAAGTTTAACTTAATAGAGACTGTTTTTTAATATATTTAAAGGTGGTAAACATCATTAAGTGGAAAAGAATGTACCTTCACGAAATAAGGTACATTTCGGCAAGATAAAAATCCATCAGTACAGGTAAACTACTAGGCAATTTAACTCCACTGAAACTACATTTATTAGAATAAGAACAACTTAGCTACAAAGAAAAAAAGTATCAGAAGCGGCTGACTTTGAGACAGGTCCTAAATAAGGTTTTTGTTTTTTGTTTTGTTTCTTCTATACATGCAGTTTGTAAGTGGCCAGTGGTGTACTTAAATACATAATTGGTAAAAATTTCTATTCTAATCTTTTCCCTTCAATTCATAATAAACATTTTCAGCAGGTTTGGCCTTTCTTTGTCATTGCAGACTGTATTGTCCTAAGTTGCAGAGTGTTTAAAAGGGAAAGCCATAGCTAGACTTGAAGCAAGGGTCAAAACTCAATCTGCCACTTGATAGATTTTTTTGACTCTACATTCTCTGTGCCTCAATTTTCCCGTCCTTATTTTACTCTAAGATAGTAATTGGACAAAATTTATAGGTTATGGTGAAGATTAAAGGAGGTAAGACACATGAAGTCCTTAGTATATATAGTTAGCACTCAATAAAGGATATTAATTTTTAATGCAACCAAACCCATCCCATGACATATCTCTGCTTTGATTCACTGTGTGGTTACAGGTCCTCTTCTGCCTCTCATACCAGGGGCTTATAGAGGCTTTAGATAACCTGGTAAGAATCACCTTTCATAGGATTTTGTTTTGTTTTGTTTTGTTTTGAGAGACTTGATGGTTAATTTAACATTTTCTAGTACTGTTGTCTATGACTCAAGAAACAAGAGGCATTTGGAAGTCTCTAATTTCCTTCTGTCTCCAATAAACCCCTGTGGGTTTGGACTCATCAGTCAGCATCAAGTCAGACTGCGGGACTAAGAGCCTCTGCTCTGGGATCAGAATTCAGCCTGCTGCTTCAAAACACTCTAACAACTCTTTGAAATTCAGGACTCTGCATCCCCTCTGTCACTCTGAACTTGACCTTGCCTTGGCAGAGAGCATCTGCTGCCCCAGAAAATCATGAGTCCTGCCAGCCCTATTATCCTGAAACTTTTTATTATTATTCTCAATTTTCCCATAGGAGTAAAATCTGGATCGATCTTTGTTGTTGTTGTTTTGGTGGGGGAGATTTGAGTTTTATTATTACTCAAATCAGCCTCCCACCAAAAGTCAGAGACTAGGGTTTTTTGTTTTGTTTTTACTTTAAGTTCTGGGATACATATGCAGAATTTGCAGGTTTGTTACAAAGGTATACATGTGCCATTGTGGTTTGCGGCACCTATCAACCCATCATTTAGGTTTTAGGCCCTGCATGCATTAGGTATTTGTCCTAATGCTCTCCCTCCTCTCTCCCACCCCATAACAGGCCCCTGTGTGTTGTCCCCCTCCCTGTGTCCATGTGTTCTCATTGTTCAGCTCCCACTTATGAGTGAGAACATGCGGTGTTTGGTTTTCTGTTTTTGTGTTAGTTTGCTGAGAATGATGGCTTCCAGCTTCACCCATGTCCCTGCAAAGGACATAATCTCATTCTTTTTTATGGCTGCATAGTATTCCATGGTGTATTTGTACCAAATTTTCTTTATCCAGTCTATCATTCATGGGCATTTGGGTTGGTTTCAAGTGTTTGCTATTGTAAATAGTGCTGCAATAAACATACATGTGCATGTGTCTTTATAGAATGATTTGTAATCATCTGAGTATATAACCAGTAATGGGATTGCTGGGTCAAATGGTATTTCTGGTTCTAGATCCTTGAGGAATCACCACACTCTCTTCCACCATGGTTGAAGTAATTTACATTCCCACCAACAGTGTAAAAGTATTCCTATTTCTCCACAACCTCACCAGCATCTATTGTTTCCTGATTTTTTAATAATCGCCAATCTGGCTGGTGTGAGATGGTATCTCATTGTGGTTTTGATTTGCATTTATCCAATAATCAGCGATGATGAGCTTTTTCTCATCTGTTTGTTGGTGGCATAAATTTCTTCTTTTGAAAAGTGTCTGTTCATATCCTTTGCCCACTTTTTGATGGGGTTGTTTTTTTCTTGTAAATTTGTCTAAGTTCCTTATAAATTCTGGATATTAGACCTTTGTCAGATATGCAGATTGCAAAAATTTTCTCCCATTCTGTAGGTTGCCTGTTCACTCTGATGCTAGTTTCTTTTGCTGTGCAGAAGCTCTTTAGTTTAATTAGATCCCATTTGTCAGTTCTGGTTTTTGTTGCAATTGCTTTTGGTGTTTTCATCATGAAGTCTTTGCCCATGCCTATGTCCTGAATAGTCAAATGGAAAAACTATCCATGCTCATGGATAGGAAGAATCAATATCATGAAAATGGCCATACTGTCCAAAATAATTTATAGATTCAATGCTATTCCCATCAAACTACCATTGACTTTCTTCACAAAATTAGAAAAAAAACTACTTTAAATTTCATATGGAACCAAAAAAAAGGGCCCATATAGCCAAGACAGTCCTAAGCAAAAAGAACACAGCTGGAGGTATCATGCTACCTGACTTCAGACTATATTACAAGGCTACAGTAAACAAAACAGCATGGTACT
Source organism: Homo sapiens (assembly GCF_000001405.40). Classification (NCBI taxonomy): domain Eukaryota; kingdom Metazoa; phylum Chordata; class Mammalia; order Primates; family Hominidae; genus Homo; species Homo sapiens. The sequence continues at coordinate 101,557,979 of NC_000004.12, read as the reverse complement.
GTTACCAAAACAGGCATATAGACCAATGGAACAGAACAGAGACTTCAGAAATAACAACACACATATACAACCATCTGATCTTCGACAAACCTGACAATAACAAGTAATGGGGAAAGGATTCCCCATTTAATAAGTGGTACTGGGAAAACTGGCTAGCCATATGCAGAAAACTGAAACTGGACCCCTTCCTTACACCTTCTACAAAAATTAGCTCAAGATGGATTAAAGACCTTAATGTAAAACCAAAAACCATAAAAACCCTAGAAGAAAACCTAGGCCATTCTGGATCTAGATCTTTTGCAAAACCAGAAGTTCTACTAAAATATTTTTTCTCAAATAAAAGAGCAGTTTTCCTGAGTGACAAATTTTATCAACAGTCGTGGTGCAATAGGCACAGCCTGCAGGCAATGTTCAAATGGCATATTTCTAATCCTGATATAAAATGTTCCTATGATAGTTGTGATAGGAGTACATACAGAATAGAGGAGAAACTGAAAGGAGTTAATAATCAATTCTAACCTGGGTTCTTGAAATGTGAATACAGCAAGCAAATACGGCAAGTTGGTACAACCACATTGGGTGTGTCTCGAAAATTGCAAGCTACTTGGTGCAAGTGGAAAGCACTGGGGAAGTGGGGTGAGGGTGGCCAGCAAGATTCAGATTGTAGAGGGCCTTATATGTCATAATAAATAATTCAGACTTTATCCAGGAAACATGTTCTCCCTTACCAGGCTGCTATTAAAACAATCTGAGGAGCTTTAATAATAAGCTAATTTTGAAAGCCCTGTGATATAATCTGGCTCTGTGTCCCCACCGAAATCTCATCTTGAATTGTAATCTGAATTGCAATCTCAATGTGTTGTGGGAGGGACCTCCTGGGAGGCGATTAGACATGGGGGCAGTCCCCTCATGCTGTTCTCGTGACAGTGAGTTCTCATGAGAGCTGATGGTTTTATAAGGGACTTTCCCCCTTCCCTCTGCACTTCTCTCTCCTGCTGCCATGTGATGAAGGACGTGTTTACTTCCCCTTTCACTGTTATTGTAAGTTTCCTGAGGCCTCCTCAGACATGCAGAACTGTGAATCAATTAAACTTCTTTCCTTTATAAATTGCTCATCTTGGGTATGTCCTTATAGCAGCATGAGAACAGACTAATACAACTTGTAATGGAATTTCAAACTGAATATGAATTACGTGGAAACATATAGCACTGTACAGGATCTGACTAGGTGGTAATAATGTGTTTAATATCAGCATTTAGATATTAGAATAAGATTATTCTAATATATTATTATTAGATTCTAATATATTATTCTATATATATTTGTACTCTTTTAATACTGTTTTGGTGATTTCTGATTTTTATTTTTTTCAAGTCTTTATCATGAGTTTATCTCATATTCATACATATGTATGTATATGTGTACATGCACAAGAATACATGTTCTTCCTTATGACTAAGAGATTTATATAAAATAAAGAATGGGCCAGGCATGGTGGCTCATGCCTGTAATCCCAGCACTTTAGGAGGCCAGGGCATGCAGATCACCAGAGGTCAGGAGTTTGAGACCAGCCTGGCCAACATAGTGAAATCCTGTACTGAAAATACAAAAAATTAGCCAGGCATGGTGGCGCATGCCTGTAGTCCCAGCTACTCAGGAGGCTGAGGCAGGAGAATCTCTGAACCCTGGAGTGGGAGGTTGCAGTGAGCCAAGATAGCACCACTGCACTACAACCTAGATGACAGACCAAGACTCCATCTCTAAATAAATAAATAAGATTGGAGAAAGGAAACTAATATAAAGAAAACAAACACCAGTATACAATAGAGAATACACTCAAATATTACGTAGCCCTGACACTGGGATTCTCAAGTCCCAATGCAGGGAGGATTTTTTTTTTCTTTTTAGACAAAATCTGGGGTGTAGTGGCCTGATATTGGTTCACTGCAACCTCCGCCTCCTGGGTCTGAGCAATTCACCTTCCTCAGCCTCCCAAGTAGCTAGGATTACAGGCATGTGCCACCATTCCTAGTTAATTTTCGTATTTTTAGTAGAGATGGGGTTTCGCCATGTTGGCCAGGCTGGTCTCCAACACCTGATCTCACCCTCCCTAAGTGCTAGGATTACAGGTTACAGGCATGAGCCACCGCACCCAGCCGGCATGATTGTTATGATGTGAATCCTTAAGAGACATGTTATACAGTCCAAAAATGCCTCTCTAGAATCTACTTTAACATTAAAAAGATGGATCTGATCCTAGATGATTAAGGCAATTGGTACTGGAATTTCTGGTACACTCAGAAGTTCAGAAACAAGCCAATGTATGTAAAACCTATCATCTCTCTTCTGCATTCTGTACCTTCCACCAGTCATGAAGTCCTGATGATTAGTCTCATAAGTGTTTTTCTCAGGCTCATCTGCATTCCACATCCCCGGCAGCTGACCTAGTTCAGGTATCCATTTCCTCTTGCTTAGACTTGGTCAAGTCATCTCACTGTGCAGCTTTCTGCCTCCTCCTACTGTAATCTTCCTTTCGTTATAATGTCACTCTGCCTAACATATCCTCATGCTCAACAATTGTTTATTGAACTGGTTATAAACAGGTTTTTTTTTTATTTGAGTGAATGCAATTACAAGGTCAGGTACTGGTGCTCTCTATCAACATATGTACACAGTCACAGTCTTCTCTCAGAAGAAATAAATACTGGTACAAAAAGGAGAAAAATTCTATTTTCATTCCCATTCAACTCAAGCTATCAACAAAATCTCTACAGAAGGTTCATAATATAATAATGATAGCAATAATAACAACTACTATTATTAAGTCAAGGCCGAGAATTTTACATACATATATATTTTGAATCTCATAACAATATTGGCAAGTACTGTTATTATTCCCATTTGTGCATGGCTTAGAAACAGAGAGATTATTTTCCCCAATCACACAGCCACCACATCCATACAATGTACTCTAGACATTTGTCAGAGCATTTTTCCAAAACAGTTTCCTATGGTGGAGATTACAATGCTGACTACGAACTAGCTCTTTAAGCCACATTTGGACAATAGTAGACAAACATTATTGTATGTGTTGTCTGTATCATCCAAAAGTCTTTTTGCGCTGTTGCAGCATTTTTGTTTTTTGAGACAGAGTTTCACTCTAGTTGCCCAGGCTGCAGTGCAATGGTGCAATCTCGGCTCACTGCAACCTCTGCCTCCTGGGTTCAAGCGATTCTCCTGTCTCAGCCTCCTGAGTAGCTGAGATTACAGGTGCCCACCACCACGCCTGGCTAATTTTTGTATTTTTAGTAGACACGAGGTTTCACCATGTTGGCCAGGCTGGTCTCGAACTCCTGACTTCAGGTGATCCACCCGCCTTGGCCTCCCAAAGTGCTGGGATCACAGGCATGAGTCACTGCGCCTGGCCTATTTGGAGATTTTTTTTAGTGGAGGTCTTGAAGCCAAGTCAATAAATATTTTTTTTTTTTTGGATAAACATACTTTTTTGGGGATAAACATAGAAACTTTTTTGGATAAACATAGAAATTGACCCTTCTGATCTTAAAGCTTCAAAATTATATTTGTTTTCTCTGAGTTCCTTCCTCAGGAAAGATTTTCAGGTCTCTCAAAGGAAGTATCAAATAACTGAAACTCACCAGATCACCATATCCAGACAAAGGGGTGGGGAGGGGGTTGGTGCTCATTCATCATGATTGCTTCCTTGCCCCTCCCTAGTTCCTGTTTTCCTACACGTTGTTACATTTCTTCCCTACTGTATAAACCCCTAGTTTTAATCAGTCAAGGAGATGGATTTGAGAATGAGCTCCCATCTTCTTGGCTGCAGCATCTGATTAAAGCCTTCTTCCTTGGCAATACGTGTCATAGCGATTGGCTTTCTGTGTGGTGAGCAGCAAGACCTAGACTGAAGCCTTGGTGTTTGGGTAACAGTCTCAGATACATCATTTGTGTCTCTGCTTTGGAAGCATACATAAAAACCTACATACTACTTTATTCACTGAAGAATGCAGCACATATTTCAATTTTTCACATGCTCTTTAGTCTTCACATAGTTCCCCTTGGCATATAGAGCAGTCACCATCACTATATGTTCCATCTCTCCCTTGCGTTCTAGCTTGAACAGCATCATTTCCCTCAGAACAGATTTTTCACATGAATATCTGGACAAATTACCAATATATTTTACATAAGCCACTAAAACTGTGTTATACTTAGCTGTTTTCATCCACTGTAGTTCTGGATGAATTTTACAGTGCTGCAAAATATGGCTTCTTTCTAACTTTCAAACCAAGTAGTCCCCATCCTGAAGATCTGACACCTAAAAATTGCAAAGCTTTGAAACAGTGCTAACAACTTATCTAGGTCTCAGAAATCTTTGGAGACACTGAAAAATAATAAAAGCAAGTAATTTTAAGCCTAATTTCTTAAGAAACATGTTCTAATTTTATTCTAAGCTGAACAACCTTTGAAATACCCTCCTTCCTGAGCCTTATTTACCTATGGTTAACATTATACCTAACTGCAGATACTTAAGAAAATCCAAACCTTCATGTATCTAGTTATGGTCCCAAGTAAATTATTTCAGTTTAATTTGTGTTACAGGAGAGTTATAATATTCTTTTCTGTTTTTGTGTTAAAAAGAAAATGGCTTTTGCATGTTTGATGTGTGCTTTCTGATGTTTGCCTCCATTTATATAATGAGGTTACATTCTAACTAGTTTTCATAAATAAAAGGCTGAATTGTATTTGTTCCAAGATGCAGTTATGCTAACTAGAAGACACACTACAATCTAGACCTATCTATGATCACTTTCACCTGTCAGGATTCATTTAAACTGTGCAAAATAAGCTTTGCATTTTATACAGGGGATTGGAGTAAAATTTTTTGCTGGAGTGCAGTGGCAAGATCTTGGCTCACTGCAACCTCTGCCTCCTGGGTTCAAGCAATTCTCCTGACTCAGCCTCTTGAATAGCTGGGATTACAGGTGTGTGCCACCGCACCTGGCTAATTTTTGTATTTTCAGTAGAGACAGGGTTTCACCATGTTGGTCAGGCTGGTTTTGAACTCCTGACCTCGTGATCCACCCGCCTCAGCCTCCCCAAGTGCTGGGATTACAGGTGTGAGCCATCGTGCCTGGCCGGATTGGAATAAAATTAAATGTAACCTTTGGTCTTTTCTTACATCTGTTAGTGTCTAATATATGTAAGAACAGACCTCTCTGTGCTTTGGTTTTCTCATCTATAAAGTTGGATACTGAATTATTCTTTAAAAGTAACATTCTAGTGATTCCAGTTAGAACTCAAAAGTAAATGGATATTTGAGATGTAAAAAGGAAATTTTCAAATAGTAAAGTTTTTTTGGAGAAGCAGTATTGTGTGATGGAAAGAGCACAGATTTTGTAGCTTGAGTATACGAATTGGATTCACCAAAATGAAATGTATTAGCAATATTGAAGCAGGATATTTCCCTTACCCTTTCATAGGTGGGAACTGTAGTACACAGGTGCTAGAACTAGCCCACCACTTTGGTGCCAGCAGGGGCAGACTCCACTCCACTCAACTCTGTTCTGCTGCATTCCACCCCTCACAGGAAGGGGAGCACAGGTGAGCAGGTGCAAGAGCCAGGGTGAGTGCTTTTGGGCACCAGCAGGATCTGAAACTGTACAGGCCCTGCAACAGCATCTAGGGGGATGCCCACAATCCCTGAAGCCCCAGAAGGAGTATTACAGTGCCCTTTTGTCTTTGCCATCTGCAGATGGCTTAAGTGTTAACAGTTTAGCGTGACAGCCTTTTGCATGCACACCCGAGTTCTTGTCTGGCATCCAGGAAGAATGAGATCACACAAATGAATTGAAAGTGATAAATGTGGGGGATTTTATATCCAATGAAAGTGGCTATCAGTGGGAGGGGGAGCTGAAAAGGGGATGGAGCAGGAAGGTAATCTTCCCCTGGAGTCCAGCTATACCCGGCCAGACTCTGCACTGAAGCTACGCTGTCAAGCTGTCCCTCTGAAGTCAAGCCACTTCTCTCCTATGTTCAACTATAGTCTCTGACATTCAGCTGCTTCTCATCTCTCTGCCAGCTGAGCCTGGGGTTTTTATGGGCACAGAACTGTGGGCAGCGTGGGCCATGGGTGGTTTTGGAAAAGGCAACACTTGAGTGGGAAAACAGGGATGTCAGTTCTCACTTTGGGCCACAGTTCCTGGCTTTTCAGCTTGAGGGTGAGGTCCTCACCAGAGACCTGCCCTCTTCTGCCCAGAATTTCCCTGCCTCCTGTCTCTATCAATATGATCTTGACCTCACCATGAAATGAGGAAATAAATCATTTGTCCTGCATGGGTTCCATAAGGTTTTACAAAACAGAGTATAGAAAGTACTTGTACATAACAGATCCTCCATAATGGTAGCTATTTGGGGCATGATAGGATGCTCTTCTCCATTACTTCTTCATTCCTTTACTTCTTCACCTATGGAAGCAAAATATTTTTTCACATAATGAAAATGCTGTGGAATGAAAAGTAATGGATATTAGTAAGAGAATGGATGTTGTGGAATGAGAAGTAATGGATATTAGTAAGAGAAACATTCTTGGTCTAGATGTCACTCCTGTGAATTCCAAGCAACCTCATACTGAGGATGAGTATCCACAACATGAGGGACTAGGGATGGAGTCAGGATAACAGTCTTCTGGCTATGACCTTGCTGCAGGCAGGTCAGCATTTACCCATTGCTTTTTACCACATAAATGAAACACAAAAAGCAGAGAGATAAAACAGAAAGAAAGGGAAAAGACTAACAAACGTAAAGAACCTCTGGGACCTCATCTGAGGACATATTTGTAGGAATAGTATGTGAGCTGCTAGCAATTATTAAAATGAAGTTTTAGACCATCCTCATGAATTCAAGTACCTATGTGATTTGCTACTAATAAGACTGCATTTTTTTCTCAAATGGATGAACCAACAGATCGTCCTTGGTGTATATAGTGACCTGTCATTAAGGGGAGGAAAGAAGTTTATTTTGATCTTTCTATATTGTGCACTGATCCTGACCATCTGAAATAGCAATCATTCCTCATGCAGAGAAAAATGGCAAACGGGTTGTAATTCTTATAAGTTTTCTCTATATGTTGCTATAATTTATACTTATGTATTCATTGGCTGTTATACCTTTAATCCTAAATAGGCAACTTGGCAAAATCACTTATAGGTTTAGCAGACAAATCAGACTCACCACAGCCAAAAAAGAACTACTGGTTTCCTCTCTTCAGCAAACGTGCCCTACCACTAGTCCTCCCCACCTCATCGCTCAAAGAAAGAACAAAACACACACAGGCATCTCTTATTACTCTCTTTTCCTCACATCCTACATCCAACTCAACAGAAGCTCTATCCATTTAACTTCTAAAATTTATCCCAAGTCTTGCACACCTTTCCACCTATACTATTTCCAATGTAATTCAAACCACCACAGTTTTCCCTACTTCATACTGTTTGTTTTGTGGTGCTATAACAGTATACCACAGACTGGGTAATTTATAATGAACAGAAATTGAATGGCTCATATTCTGGAGGCTGGGAAGTCTAACATCAAGGTGTCGGCATGTGACATGGACCTTCTTACTGCATCATTATATGATGGAAAAACGAGAGAGAGAGAGAGATCTAAACTCGCCCTTTCGGAACAACACCATGAGGATGTAGCCCTCATGGCCTAATCACCTCTTAAAGGTCCCACCTTTTAATTCTGCTACAATGGCAATTAAATTTTTACATGAGTTTTGGAGGGAACAAACATCAAAACCATAGCACTCCACATGAGAGCCAATTTTTAAAAATATAAACCAGATCACACTGCTCCTAGTTTATGATATTTCAAGAGCTTCCCATCAAATAAAATTAGACTTCTTACCTAGGCCTATAAAGCCTTATCATCTGCTCTCTCCTTCCTCACTGACCTCAACTCCTCCACTCTTTTTCCCATCCACCAAGTGGCCTTTTTTCTCATTCTCAAAAGTGCCAAGCTTATTTCTACTTTAAGGCCTTCATACCAGGTCTTGACCTGTCTGCGTAGGGTCGGCTTCATGGGTGTGTGAACTGTGAAGTCACAGAAGTGCGCACTGGGCTCACAAGAGCCCCAGGCCTGGTTTAATGCTGTGCCATTGCTGTCTCAAGATTTTTAAGAATTTGTATCTTTCACAGTTTGTATCTTTAAATGAAATCTAATGGGACAATGGAGTACACAGGTGAGCAGAAGAAATACGTGCAAGATTTCCACCATTTTTTGCCAGCTAATTTGCACACAGCATTTGCAATTTTAAACACTCAGAATTCTGGTGGACCTACAACATGGGGGAGTTCATGATGACACAAAATGAATACTAGGTAATCATGTTATTATGTCTAGAACTGGGTAAGCAGGGGCACTGACAACTCTGAAAGGTCATGCTTCTGTTAAGAATCAGAACTTTCTTCAAAAATTTCTCCTTTCTACAGAAAGGAGAAAATTGCATTCCAAGAAACATGAATGACCAAAAAACCCTATTATAACCTTTCTTACTGATGTAAGTTCTCAGTATTAAATAACCACCTATAGTGAAAATAATGGAATAGAAGGAAAAAGAAAGGTAAGGCAATCCACGGTTCATTTTCCTTTTGTTTCTCCTTACTCATAAGTAAGTTAAAGTTAGAGAGTGTGGAACGAATGTATGCCTGTCAAGTTGTGAAATAAAAAACTGTTAATTCTGGATAATGCTTCTACTGTCATGGTAAGAATGAAATACCTATGTATGTACAAGTTACAGAATTAAAAATCATTTAATTTTTGTGATGACACATGAGTTAAATGCTCTTTAAAAATTTCCTGTTTCCTATTAAAACTGGTACAGTGCACACTATAAAGATGAATGGTAACATTTAGGCTGATAATTTGAAATTTTAATCTTCTTTGCTTAGAATGACATTAAATAGGAAATAACAAAACACCATGAGTACAGAGAAGAAAGGGGAAAGCTTTATATTTTAGCATCTTAGTAATACTTTTTTTCTGTTTTTGGAAGAAGAGATCGTTTTCATTTTGCATTGGGCCCTGTAATTTATGTAGCCAGCTCTGCTGGTATGGAGTGTTCTTCCTCTGCCCACAACCTTACCAAGGTGACTCCTTCATGTAATTTGTATCTCTGATCAATTACTGGCTTCTTTGAGAAGTCACCTGTTACCCAGCAATCTAAATTTGTCACCTAGTGCTCTCTAGCAAAACATCATATCTCAGTACTCTCCGTAAAGTTGTGTATGAATGTTTTTCTGTACATTTCTATCTCTCTGTATCGTCCCTCTGTGGGCGCAGAACTATGACTTTCTTTTCACTACTTACCCTTAGAGTTGAAAACAGTGGCCAGAACTTATTAAGTATTCAGTAAATATTTGTGGAATGAGTGAATAAATGAGTGATTACCAAATATCCTACATACAATAAATTCTTTTCAAGTTACAGAGTAATTTTTCAAAAGACAATACTTCTGCTATTTAAAAATTTAGAAGAGCAAAAAAAAAAATCAATCAATTTTGAACCATAGACAACCAGAGATTAATCTGGAAGTTGGCACCATAAAATTTCAGCAATTTTTTATAATGTGGCTGTAAAAATGATTATTGCAACAATGTTTTTCCTATTTCCCTATTATATATTTTTAAATAATTGCATGTTATTTTAATGTATCATGTCTAATAATCTTTTGATTAAATGCTTCCAATGATTGACCAGCTATAAGTTTCAGACAGAGACTATGTCATGGTTTTTTATTTTATTTTTAAATAATTTCCTCCTAAAACATTTAGGATAGGCAAGGCTAATGGGTTACGTCTTGTGTGTTATATTGCTAGATAGGAAATAGTTGCCTGAGAGATTATGTTAAAAATAATAACAATTTTTTGCCTTACTATTTGGGAAAGGCTGAATAATGATGTCTTCAATGCGTGCAAAAGTGGGAAATGGGAGCCCAAATACCATGAATCTACCATCCCCATTCTAAGATACTCACCAAGATAAGGATAGTATAAAGCCAAAAGAATTTCAGCTTTTCTGGTCTAGAATAAAAGTGTATATTCTTTGTGCTCCCAAGGTAACAATTTTCCCTTAGGCAATTCTGAAAATAATTGTGAATGATGATAAGGAATCAAAATTCTGCAGAACATAAAACAATGTCACCCTGTGATTTGTTATGAATATAATTTCTGTAGAGCCAAATATATACAGGTATGCCTAATTGTCATTAATACTAAATATATTTTCATCTTTAGTAAGATAGGGTTTAACTTTTTGGAGGGGGTATTAAGTTAATATATTTGGGGTATTTGTAATACAAGGGTAAAAATAAATTTATATGTACTATAAGAATTTTATTTGTCTTTGCGAAATGCTTCTAGCCATCAGTATTTGTAACAAATTTTTTGCTTTATCTAATTGTATTGTCTATACCAAAGACAGAATAAAATGGTTTTCCCTTTTCTTAATCAACGCTGAGTGCTCCATGGCAACTATGTGAGAATGATCATATAAACCCTGAACCTTTCAGTTACTTCAATGGGATATTTATGATAGAATAATATATCCTATTTTATTAAATGTGATAGGTGTAACTCTATAAAATTAAGATGTAAGGGAACAACTACCAAGAACTCTTCACAGATTAATTTTACAATCTAGATGAAATGGACCAGTTCTTTGAAAACTGGTTCAATATGCAAAAATCAATTAATGTACTCCACCATATTAATGGCTAAGGGAGAATTATATAACCATATCAATTGGTGCAGAATAAGCATTTTGCAAAATTCATGATAAAACACCCATTTGTGATTCAAGATAAAAACACCATTTCATGATGAAAACTATCACAAAACTAGGAGTACTGGGGAACTTTCCTCCTAAGATCAGGGGAAAGGAAAGAACTTCCACTCTCACTACTCATATCCTATATAGGACCAGGATATCTAGCCAGCCCAAAAAGGCAAGAAAAGAGATAAAGGGTGTACAGATTTTTTTAAAAAAAATCTGTTTCTATATACAAATGATGTGAAAATCCCAAGGAAACAATGACAAAAATTTCCTAAAGCTAATAAGTGAGTCCAGTACGATCACAGGATACAGAATCAACATGTATAAAATAGTTGTATTTCTATATACTAACAATGTACACATGAAAATCAAAATTAAAAATATAAAACCATTTACAATTGTTCAAAAATCATGAAATCCTTAGATGTCAACCCAAAAAGACATATAAAGGACTTGAATGCTAAAATTACAAAATGCTCATGTAAAGAAATCAAAAAAAGCTCTAAATAGAGAGACATATCTTGTTCATATCATGGGACACAGTAAAGATGTCATTCTCTCCCAAATTGAAATGTAGAATTAATTAACACAATTTCTGTCAACATCTTAGCAAGTGATAGATTTATACAAGATTATTTTAAAATTTATATGAAATGGCAAAGCAAATGGGATAACTAAAATAATTTTGAAATTATTATTTCAAAGAGAATTATAAAATTAATTACAATTCTCTTTGAAATAATAATTTCAAAATTATTTTAGGAATCAACCTACCTGATTTCAAGACTTATTATATAGCTACAGTAATCAAGACTACATGGTATTGGCAAAGGGATAAACACATTGATGAATGGAAAAAAATAGAGAACCCAGAAATAGTCTCACAAAAGTACAGCTATTATAGTCAGAATAATGCCCCTTCCCCCTGCAATAGCCACATCCAGTTCCTGGAATCTGTGATTAAGTTAGGTTACATGGTAAAGGGACTTTGTAGGTGTGTTTAAATTAAGGATCTTAAAAGAAAGAGTTTATCTTGGATTAGTCAGCAAAGACCACTGTAATCACAGGTATTCTTATAAGTGAAAAGGGGAGGCAGGAGGTTCAGAGTCAGAGAAAAAATTGAGATGCGATGCTGTTAGCTTTGAAGATGGAGGAAGGGACCATGAGCTAAAGAATGCAGGTAGCCTCTCAAAGTTAGAAAAAGCAAGAGGTTCTTCTATAGAGCCTCCAGAAAGAATGCAGCCTTGCCAATACCTTGATTTAGCCCATGGAGGTTCGTTTCGTATTTTGGACCTCCAGGAGTATGAGATAGTAATTTTGTGTTATTTTAAGTCACTGCTGTAAGTGGTGACTTTTTACAGCAGCAGTAGGAAAGTAATATGATGGCCAACGATTTTGGACAAAGATGCAAAAGCAATTCAATGGAGGTCAGATAGTCTTTTTAACAAATAGTGCTAGAGGAATTGGACGTGCATTGGCAAAAAAACATAATAATAATAATTGAACCTAACCCAAAACTCACAGCTTATGCAAAAATTAATGCAAAATACATCACAGATTAAAACATAAAATGTAAAACCATAAAACTTTTGGAACAAATTATTGGATAAAAATCTTTGGAAAATAGTGCTTGGTGAAGACTTCTCACATGTCACACGAAAAGTACAACCCATAGAAGAAAAATAATCAATAAATTAAACTTCATCAAAACTAAAAACTTTAGCTCTGTGAAAATCCCTGTTAAGAAGATGAAAAGACATGTTACAGACAGGGAGAAAAGATATCTTCAGATGAACAATCCAACATCAAGTTTTTTCCTCTCTGCCTCCCGTTTCCCAGATCCTGAAATGCAGCATTCACTCTCCTTTCCCTAACAATATCATCTACCTGGAGGAAGGGGAAGAGAAGGCTGGGGAAAGTAGTAGATGGGTCCCTAAGAGATCATCCAGATTTAGATCTTTCACACTCAAACAACATTTAGTAATTTTTACCATAGATTTGGAAATAAATATTCTCTCAAATATGTTTCTACTAATATAGGAGGCCTTTCAAAAAAGCTACAGGTATGAAGCCCGCCCAAGGCTTTACTCATGGACTTTACTGCAACATTTAACGTTATCCCATTAGCAGGCCAGATAATGCAACTAAGCAGAGAAGCCCATTTGTATGCTGAGTTAAGGAATAATTCCCAGTGCAGAATTTTCCCCATGTGGTCCTTGCTTGCTCTTTAATATTCTATGATGCTTCCAATTATTTTAGATCGTCATCAAATGTCACATTCTCAAAAAACAAAAATAACTTTAAAAGTTACTTTAGTAGATATAAATGCCTTGTGATACATTTCGAAGTTTGTATGCAGGAATGGCCATGGAGTGTCAAAATTCCAAAAACATTGGTAAGCACAGATAGATAGATAATAGGTAGATATATTTACACGAATTTAAATGGATATTTACAGACACACACACGTCAATGATTTGGAAATACATCATACTTTCAAGAAGAAATACTATGTGAATTTAAAATTATTTGCCATGATAATGCATCGTCACTAATATTTTTGCTTCTAATATATATCATATTTTCATTTCTCACCTTTTTTTGAGAAAAATTAAAAGAAAAAGAGTTGTTCTCAGAGAGGTTTTTTTGTTGTTGTTTTTTGTGTTTTTTTTTGAGATGGAGACTCACTCTGTCACCCAGGCTGGAGTGCAGTGGTACAATCTAGGCTCACTGCAACCTCCACCTCTCAGGTTCAAGGGATTCTCCTCCCTCAACCTCCTGAGTAGTTGGGATTACATGCACCCACCAACACACCTGGCTAATTTTGATATTTTTAGTAGAAAGAAGGTTTCCCCATGTTGGCAAGGCTGATCTCCAACTCCTGACTTCAAGTGATCCATCTGCCTCGGCCTCCCAAAGTGCTTTGATTACAGGTGTGAGCCACTGCGTCCAGCCTCAGAGTTTTAGATTAGGAGCTTAGAGTTTTAGATCAGTATACTTATACTGACCTTATTGGTGAAAAGTACTGAACATTATATTCACTTACCTTAGTGGCTGCTTTGAGGCACTTTCAGATCCTCCTTAAAATTGTGTTTGAGAAAAAGGCAGTCACTTCTTTTGTAACATAATGAGTTTAATAAGTAATGCACAGCATTTGGTTGCTCCACTGTTCTCTAACAGTTTAGGAATGACAGTTTTCATTACAAATGCAGCCAATGGGTTCATTTCTAAGCATAAGCCTTTTTTAGAAAAATTGATATACTAATATTTGTACATTTTTATGGTGTACATTTGGTATTTTGTTACATGTATAGGATGTGTAATGGTCAAATTAGAGTATTTAGGGTATCTATCACCTCAAGTATTCATGTCTACATATTGGGAACATTTCAAGTCCTTACTTCTAGCTATTTTGAAATACACAATACTTTTTTGCTAACTACAGTTACTCTACCCTGCTATTAAACATTGGAACTTATTCTTTCTATTTAACTATGTTTGTACACATTGACCAAGCTCTCGTCATCCCCCTGCCCTCAACACACACCCTTCCCAGCCTCTGGTACCTATCATTCTACTCTCTACCTCCATGAGATTAACTTTTTTAGTTCCTACATGTGAGTGAGAACATGCAACATGTGTCTGTGTCTGACTTCACTTAAAATAATAACCTCTAGTTCCTTCCATGTTGCTGCAAATGATGGAATTTTATTATTTTTATGACCAAACAGTATTTCCTGTGTACATATACCACATTTTTTTCATCCATTTGTCCATTGATGAACACTTAAGTTGAAATTAAGTTGATGTAGAAAACTGTAGATCCTTTTTGAATCAATCAGTAGAGGCTCTATTTTTTGCATTGTTTATTAGGATAGATAGGATTTATAAAAGATAAAGTATTTGTCTCTGCAGAACAAACTTCACTATTGATTTATCCCATTTATATCCTAGTTGCTAACTAAAATATAGAGGAACATTTTTTTCAGTAAAGTGGTTATTAGCAGAAAGACAAAACTTTTTAAATGGCATGTCATATGATTTCTTCCTAGACTAGTTAAAATACTGAAATACAGTGTCTCCTGAGGTAGTGTGGGGTAGTTTATCAGAATCTTCTAAATTGCTTTTACAATTCAACAGAGAGACTCTCCCCTCCTTTTCTAAAGGCACATTAAAATTTAGGAAGCGGTGGTTATTTTGAAGATAACCTCTTCAGGAATTTTTTTTTTTTTTTTTTAGATGGAGTCTCACTGTGTCACCCAGGCTGGAGTGCAGTGGCGCAATCTTGGCTCACTGCAACCTCCGTCTCCCTGGTTCAAGCGATTCTCCTGCCTCAGCCTCCTGAGTAGCTGGGACTACAGGCATGTGTCACCATGCCTGGCAAAGTTTTGTATTTTTTTTAGTAGAAATGGGGTTTCGCCATATTGGCCAGGCTGATCTGGAACTCCTGACCTCATGATCTGCCCTCCTTGGCCTCCCACAGTGCTGGGATTACAGGTGTGAGCCACTGCACCTGGCCCTCTTCAGGAGATTCTAATGCACCTCCTCTTACTGAACAATTAATCTCTGAAATTAAAGGCTCTTCTGATTGTTTAGCACACGGGTCTAGAAATTTCCTGATGTACGTTTCAAATGTCTTAGGCACACAAAAATGCAGATGGTTGGGCTTCATTCCCAGAGATTTTGGTTCTCTTGTTTTGAGAATCCACATTTCACAAAATATCCTCCCACCCGCAAACCCCCTCAGTGATTTCTAAGCAGCTAGTCTAAGAAGCATGATTTGATAACCACCAATCACTGGGCAGTGGTTTCTAAACCTGGAAGATCATCAGAATTACCCAGGGTTATTATGATTATGATTATGATTATTTAGATGGTTTCTTGCTCTGTCACCCAGGCTGGAGTACAGTGGCACGATCTCAGCTGACTGCAACCTCTGCCTCCCAGGTTCAAGCGATTCTCCTGCCTCAGCCTCTCGAGTAGCTGGACTACGGGCGCCTGCTACCACGCCTGGCTAATTTTTTGTATTTTTAGTAGAGACGGGGTTTCACCGTATTAGCCAGGATGGTCTCGATCTCCTAACCTTGTGATCCGCCCGCATAAGCCTCCCAAAGTGCTGGGATTACAGGCATGAGCCACCAGGCCCAGCCTACCCAGGGTATTTTTTAAAATACTAATAAGTTTGCTTCATAACCTCGAGTTTTAAATTCTGTTTACCTCGTTGAATTCAGGGAATTGTGTGTGGATGTTATTTCTATTCTTCAGACATTCTTCACGTCATTTTGACATGTAACTAAGTTTGGGAACCACTGTGAGTATTATAAGGATGTATTTTATCTCATTATATCCTCTAAATTATCTTTATACTAAAGTTGCTTAAAGTACATTTAGAGTACCCACTATGGGCAGGCATGGAGCTAGTGGGATACAGAAAGTGGCCCTGGAGACATTTAGAGTGTGGACCATGTAGCGGGTCCTCAAATGAACAATGACACTGGAAAGTGATGCTCACTTTAATAGAGATATCACAAACTGCTAAATATAGTGACCCTTTGTGTTCAAAGACTTATCAGAAAATATGAGCAATATATTTAACTGAATCGATTTAGAAAAGAACTTCCTCCTTGACAAAGGTAAGAGACACAAAAGGAATAATTAGTAACTTTCTGCCATATGTTGTGAATTATGTTAGGTGCTTTTCCTCCATCACCTTTAATCCTCACAACTTCCCTTGAAATGGGCATTATAATCCCTCTTTTTCCAAAGAAGAAGCTGCAGCTCAGAGTGATTTGACCAAGACTTGTCAATGAGAAAGTATATTATAGCCAGCAGCTAAATCAGAATCTGTCTGACTCCAAAGCCTATGCATTTTCCTCTTTATCTGGCTAAGGATTCCCAGTGGGATGATAATCCAGTGTATGCTGTGCACAGAGAGTTATTTGTTCTTCCCTCCCCTCCGCTGATGTACTCATAGTACATGTAAATGGATTGCCCTCTCCTCTGAGAAAATGTGGAAATATTTAGAAAATAATTATTTTTAGTATTCTAAATGGAGGTTTAAAGATTAAAAATGCTGAAACTATTGCTTACAGTAAGACTGTGAAGTAACTGTGAATTTCATTAAACCATGTTATACCTAGCCTTGAGCTATTCCAATCTTCACACCTTTTCCTCACTACCTTCTCTCCTATAAGAGTAACTCTTAAATATAACATTTATATACTTTCATTGGGATAGAAGATGTACTCCATGAGCAAAATTTAAATGTGTAGTTGCAACAAATATATATACAGATAGTACGTGTGTGTGTGTGTGTGTGTGTGTGTGTGTGGTGTATATGTGTATGTATGTGCATAGGTTTAGGCAGAATTGCAGGAATTACATCATTCTCTTATTTGATAAGCAATTCTGGACACGTGGGGATCTAGCAATAAACAAGACAGATATGGCCTCTTTCTTTGAATGGCTTGTAGTCTGCAAAATAAAAAGTAATAATAAAGAAAATTAAAACATTCATGTATGCACACACACAAAGGAATGGAGCAAGCATGAATGTTTTGATAGTGTAAAAAAGGAACTTCCTCTTCTCTAATTGTTACAAAACTTATTACGTTGGTGTTGGTTGCTGTAGTTATGTTTGCACCACTCTGGTTATAAAGTGCAACATTCAACTCTGGTTATAAAGAAAATATCATTTCATTTCCTCTGGAGGTTAGTCAGAAAACCAAGGAAATAGTCCAAAAGATCTAAAGAACATATTGATTTATTTGAAAGCAACAAAAATTCAATGTCATTCAGTGTAAGAAATGTTTGAAATCACATGGGAAAAATTCTAGCTCCTGGGGTATCTCAAGAAAGAAAATATGACGGATTAATGCAGAGTTAATTACAAATTTAATTTTCTTATTGCCAGAGAAGGCATTTGTTGTCACTTTCATCATGCAGTAACTTAGGTACTTTTTCTTATTTTTATTATAATAATGCATAAAGTTTTGTTCTATTAATTTAATACTTTATGGAAGAACCTGCAGTAAAATTGCCTGCCATGGAACAATCATTTCAATGGTGGAATTTTAAATATTAGTTAAGAGAGGATGTCATTCAGCAAGTGTTTTTCTTAGCACTCTTTCTTCTCTAAGATTTATAAAATGCTAGTGTAACACAGAAGTGTCTGTGTGAAAGAGCATGGGGTGGGGAGAGGAGAGACAGGTGGGAGAAAGTGAGAAGAGAGAGACAGATAATGATAAAAATGGTCTAACATCATTGAGCACTCATCTTTGTCTCAGTTGACTAAAGCCAGTGCTGCCCATTTGCAGTGAGATGACACCAACAGCCTCAGAAGTGTGCCACGTGAAGCTGAAACATAAGGCCTTTTAAATTCCTGCTTCTATCTATGACAACCCATCTCATCTTACACTGAAAAGTCGTGTCTCTTTTATGACTCTTTTCATTATAACCCTAAAAATACCTTTTCTTGGTTTCCTCTGCTTAAAATTAAAACTGAAAAGCAAGCTGAACATTACTAGAGGAGGAATATTAAAAGGGAGAATGTCAAGAACACATAGGCAGGAGAATTGAGGAGGTATTAGTTTTATGCACATTATGCAAGAGGTTTTGGTGGAATTTCTTTTTTTTTTCCCAATATACCTCAATAGGTTTTGGGGAACAAATGGTATTTGATTACATTAACAAGTTCTTAATGGTGATTTCTGAGATTCTGGTGCACCCATTGCCTGATCAGTATACACTGTACCCAACGTGTAATCTTTTATCCCTCACTCCCCTCCCACCCTTTGCCCTGAGTCCCCAAAGTCGACTGTATTATTCTTTTGACTTTGCATCTTCATAGCTTAGCTCCCACTTATAAGTGAGAACATATGGTGTTTGGTTTTCCATTCCAGAGTTAGTTCACTGAGAATAATGATCTCCATCCATCCAGGTTGCTGTGAATGCCATTATTTTGTTCCTTTTTATGGATGCGTAGTATTCCATGGTACATATATCATGATTTTCTTAATCCAATTGTTGATTGATGGGCATTTGAGGTGGTTCCATATTTTTGCAACTGTGAATTGTGCTGCTGTAAACATGCATGTTCAAGTATCTTTCTCATGTAATGACTTCTTTTCCTCTGGGTAGATACCTAGTAGTGGGATTGCTGGATCAAATGGTAGTTCTATTTTACTTCTTTAAGGAATCTCAACACTGTTTTCTGTAGTGGTTTTACTAGTTAACATTCCCACCAGCAATGTAGAAGTGTTCCCTTTTCACCACATCCACACCAACATCTATTTTATCGTTTTTTGATTTTTTGATCATGGCCATTCTTATAGAACTAAGGTGGTATTGCATTGTGAGTTTGTTTTGTATTTCCCTGATCGCTAATGATGTTGAGCATTTTTTCATATGTGTGTTGGCCATTTGTATATATTTTTCTGATAATTGTCTATGCATGTTCTTAGCCTACTTTTTAATGGAATTATTTGGTTTTTTTTTCTTGCTGATATGGACTAATATCCATAATCTAATTTTGTTGGATTATAGATTGTGAATATTTTCTCCTACTCTATGGTTGTTTAGTGATTATTTATTTTGCTGTACACAAGGTTTTTAGTTTAATTCAGTCCCATCTATTTATCTTTGCTTTTGTTGCATTTGCTTTTGGGTTCTTGGTCATGAAGTCTTTGCCTAAGCCAATGTCTACAAGGGTTTTTCCAATGTTATTTTCAATAATTTTTATAATTTCAGGTCTTAGATTTAAGTGTTTGATCCATCTTGAGTTGATTTTTATATAATGTCAAAAATTTGGGTCCTGTTTTATTCTTCTATATGTGGCTTGCCAATTATAGCAGCACTATTTGTTGAATAGAGTATCTTTTCCCCACTTTATGTTTTTCTTTGCTTTGAAAAAGATCTGTTGGCTGTAAGTATTTGGCTTCATTCTGGGTTCTCTATTCTGTTCCATTAATCTATGTGCCTATTTTTATACAAGTACCATGCTGTTTTGGTGACTATGACCTTACAGTATAGTTTAAAATCAGGTAATGTGATGCCTCTGGATTTAATCTTTTTGTTTAGTCTTACTTTGGCTATATGGGCTCTTTTTTGGTTCCATATGAATTTTAGGATTGTTTTTCTAGTTCTGTAAAGAATTATGGTGGTATTTTTATAGGAATTGCATGGAATCTGTAGATGGTTTTTGGCAGTATGGTCCTTTTTCACAATATTGATTCTACCCATCCATTAGCATGGGATGTGTTTCCATTTGTTTGTGTTGTATATGATTTCCTTCAGCAGTGTTTTGTAGTTTTCCTTGTAGAGGTCTTTCACCTTTTTTGGTTAGGTATATTCCTAGGTATTTTACTATTACTTATTATTATTTTTGCAGCAGTTGTAAAAGGGGTTGACTTTTTTATTTGTTTCTCAGCTTGGTCACTGCTCATGTATGGCAGAGCTACTGATTTGTGTACATTAATTTTGTATCCTGTAACTTTGCTGAATTCATTTACCAGTTCTATAAGCTTTTTGGATGAGTATTTTGGGTTTTCTAAGTGTTCAATCATATCATCAGCAAACAGTGACAGTTTGACTTTCTCTTTACCAATTTGGATGCCCTTTATTTCTTTCTGTTGTCTGATTGCTCTGGATAGGACTTACAGTACTGTGCTGAATAAGTGATAAAAGTGGGCATCCTTGCCTTGGTCCAGCTCTCAGGGGGAATGCTTTCAACTTTTCCCTATTCAGTATTATGTTGGCTGTGGGTTTGTCACACATGCCTTTTATTACATTATGTCCCTTGTATGTCGATTTTGCTGAGGGTTTTGATTATAAAGGATGCTGAATTTTGTCAAATGCTTTTTCTGCATCTATTGAGATTATCATGTATTTTTTGTTTTTAATTCTGTGTATGCAGTGTATAACATTTATTGACTTGTGTTTGTTGAACCATCCCTGCATCCCTGGTATGAAACCCAGTTGATTATGGCGTATTGTCTTTTTGATATACTGTTGGATTCAGTTAGCTAGTATTTTGTTACAGATTTTTGCATCTATATTCATCAGAGATATTGGTCTGTAGCTTCCTTTTTTTGTTATGTCAATTCCTGGTTTTAGAATTAGGGTGATACTGGCTTCATAGAATGATGTAGAGGGGATTCCCTTCTTCCCTATCTTGTGGAATAGTGTTGATAGAATTGGTGTCAATTCTTCTTTGAATGTCTGATACAATTCAGTTGTGAATCCATGTTGTCCTGACTTTTTTTGTTGGCAATTTTAAAAATCACTCTTTCAGTCTGTTAGTTGTTATTGGTCTGTTTCAAGTTTCTATTTCTTCCTGGTTTAATCTGAGAGAGTTGTATATTTCCAGGAATTTATCCATCTCTTCTACGTTTTCTAGTTTATATGCATAAAGGTGTTCATAGTAGCCTTGAATGATCTTTTGTATTTCTGTGGTATCAGTTGTAATATCTCCTGTTTCATTTCTAATTGAGTTTATTTGGATCTTCTCCCTTCTTGTCTTGGTTAATCTTGCTAATGGTCTAGCAATTTTATTTATCTTTACAAAAAAACAGCTTTTTGTTTCCTTTATCTTTTGTGTTGTTGTTGTTGTTGTTGTTGTTGTTTCAATCTCATTTAGTTCTGCTCTGATCTTTGTTATTTCTTTTCTTCTGCTGGGTTTGGGTTGGTTGTTTTTTTTTTCTTTAGTTTCATGAGGTGTGTCCTTAGATTTTCTATTTGTGCTCTTTCTGACTTTTTGATGTAGGCATTTATGCTATGAACTTTCCTGTTAGCACTGCTGTTGCTGTAGCCTAGAGGTTTTGAGAGGCTGTGTCACTATTATCATTCAGTTCAAAGAGTTTTTTTTTGTTGTTTTGTTTTGTTTTTGTTTTTGTTTTTGTTTTTTGAGATGGCTTCTCGCCCTGTCACCCAGGCTGGAGTGCAGTGGTGTGATTTCGGCTCACTGCAAGCTCCAACTCCCAGGTTCATGCCATTCTCCTGCCTCAGCCTCCCGAGTAGCTGTGACTACAGGCACCTGCTACCACATCTGGCTAATTTTTTTGTATTTTTAGTAGAAACGGGGTTTCACTGTGTTAGCCAGGATGGTCTCAATCTCCTGAACTTGTGATCTGCCCGCCTCGGCTTCCCAAAGTGCTGGGATTACAGGTGTGAGCCACCATGCCTGGCCCAGTTCAAAGAATGTTTAAATTTCCGTCTTGATTTCATTGTTGAACCAATGATCATTCAAGAATAGACGATTTAATTTCCAGGTATTTGAGGGTTCCTTTTGGAGTTGATTTCAAATTATATTCCACAGTGATCTGAGAGAGTACTTGATATAATTTCAATTTTCGTAAATTTATTCAGATGTATTTTGTGACCTATCATATGGTCTATCTTGGAGATGGTTCCATGCACTGATGAATACAATGTATATTCTGCAGTTGTTGGGTAGAATGTTTTGTAAATATCTGTTGAGTCCATTTGTTCTAGGGTATAGTTTAAATTCATAGTTTCTTTGTTGACTTTCTGTCTTGATGACCTGTCTAGTGCCGTCAGTGGAGAACTGAAGTCCCCTGCTATTACTGTGTTGCAGTCTACCTCATTTCTCAGGACTGGTAGTAATTGTTTTATAAATTTGGGAACTCCAGTGTTAGGTGTATATTTATTTTGGATTATGATACTTTCCAGTTGGACAAGTCCTTCTATCATTATGTAATGTCCCTCTTTGTCTTTTTTAACTGCTAGTGCTTTAAGTTTTTTTTGTCTGACACAAGAATAGCTTTCCTGCTTGCTTTTGATGTCCATTTGCATGGAATATCTTTTTCCACCTCTGTACCTTAAATATATGTGAATCCTTATGTGTTAGATGAGTCTCTTGAAGACAGCAGATACTTGTTTGGTGAATTCGTATGCATTCCGCCATTCTGAATCTTTTAAGTGCAGCATTTAGGCGATTTACATGTGTTTTTGTTTTATAGGTCCTGTGAGATTTATGCTTTAAGGAGGTTCAATTTTGGCGTATCTTAAAGATTTAGAGCTACTTTTAGTAGTTCTTGCAGTGCTGGCTTGGTAGTGGTGAATTCTCTCAGTATTTGTTTGTCTAAGAAAGACTGTATCTTTCCTTCATTTGTGAAGCTTAGTTTCACTGGTTACAAAATTCTTGACTGAAATTGTTTTGTTTAAGGCGGCTAAAGATAGGACCTCAATTCCTTTTAGCTTGTAGGTTTCTGCTAAGAAATCTGTTAATCTGACAGGTTTTCCTTTATAGGTTACCTGGTGCTTTTGCCTCACAGCTCTTAAGATTCTTTCTTTCATCTTGACTTTAGATAACCTGATGACTATGTGCCTAGATGATTATCTTTTTGAGGTAAATTTTTGAGGTGTTCTTTGAGCTTCTTGTATTTGGATGTCTAGATCTCTAGCAAGGCCATGGAAGTTTTCCTTGATTATTCACTCAAATATGTTTTCCAAACTTTTAGATTTCTTTTCTTCCTCAAGAATACCAGTTGTTCTTAGGTTTGGTCATTTAACATAATTCCCAACTTCTCAGAAGCTTTGTTCATTTTATAAATTCGTTTTGCTTTGTCTTTGTTGCAATGGGTTAATTTGAAAACCTTGTCTTTGAGTTCTGAAGTTTTGTTTGATTCTATTGCTGAGACTTTCCAGTGTATTTTGCATTTCCGTGTGTCCTTCATTTCCAGAAGTTGTGATTGTCTTTTATTTATGCTATCTATTTCACTAAAGATTTTCCCCTTCATATCTTGTATCTTTTTTTTTTCATTTCATTAAGTTGGACTTCACCTTTCCTTGGTGCCTCCTTGATAAGCTTAATAATCAGCCTTCTCAATTATTCTTCTGGCAATTCAGGGATTTCTTCTTGGTTTGGATCTGTTGCTGGTGAGCTAGTGTGATCTTTGGGGGGTGTTAATGTACCTTGTTTTTTTCATATTACCAGAATTGTTTTTCTGGTTTCTTCTCAGGCAGACTGTGTCAGAGGAATGATCTGTGACTCAAGGGCTTCTGTTCAGATTCTTTTGTCCCACATGGTGCTTCCTTAATGTAGTGCTCTCCCCTTTCCCCTTGGGAAGTGGCTTCCTGAGAGCCAAACTGCAGTGATCATTATTTTTCTTCTGGATCTAGCCACACCACAGAGCTACCAGGCACTGGGTGGTACTGGGGAGTGTCTGCATAGAGTCCTGTGATGTGAACTGTCTTCAGGTCTCTCAGCCATGCATACCAGCACCTGCTCCAGTGGAGGTGGCAGGGGAGTGAGATGGACTCTATGAGAGCCCTTAGTTGTAGTTTTGTTTATTGCACTAGTTTTGTGTTGGTTGGCTTCCAGCCAGGAGGTGGAATTTTCAAGACAGCATCAACTGTGGTAGTATAGGGAGAATCAGGTGGTGGGCAGGACCCAAGAGCTCCCAAGGGATTATGTCCTTTGTCTTAGGAGTTTTTTGGCTGTTTTCCAGGGCCTGTAGGAGTGAAACACTTCCTTTGAAGGGTCTTGGTTTTGGAGGAATTTCTTATAACCCCAAAAGACTCCTCATTAGCATGATGTTCAACAAAACAAAAGTGATTGCTTTATCTTCATTATGATGTAGAAAACTTAGAATTACAGAAAAAGATAATAAAATTAATCATGTTCATCTAAAGCTCTTGGCCATGTCTTCACATATAACTTCTCATTGAGGAATGAGATTTGAGTATCCAGAAAGATGGGCTTAGCTAACAAATAGTCAACAGCTGGCAGACAGAGGTGATAGATGTAATAACAAAAGAATCATCCCATGTCTTGGGTGACCACTTGCCCAAAGTCACAAATAGATTATGATCAGTAAAATCAGAAGAGGCAGTCACCCCATGCAGAGGAGAATGCAGAGGTTGACAGAGTGGATTCTGAAAAATGATCAGCAAAATTCTCAGATGCATACTCAATCAGCTTTAGATCAGTTACATGATCTTATCCAACATCTTCTTTTTCTTAGATGATGAAAACATTGCTCAGAACAGAAAGGCCTACCAAAGGCATACAGCTAACTAGGGGTAGAGTTGGGATAGGAGAATAGATTACGGGACACCCAGCTTTGACCTTCACTGCTTCATGCTGTAGTGCCTAAGTTTAATGGTTTTGATGTTGCCTTTTCTCTTCACCCTCATTTAGAAAGGATCAATTGGGATTTGGCTTTATCATCTCTTACCAGGAAGAATGGATGACTATTGGGAGATCTTGGTTCAGTGTGTCTCATTTACCACACCACCCTAAATTAAAGAAGCAAGAGAGAAGTAGCCTCAGTAGAGTCCAAAACTTTTGGATGTAGAAAACAACACAAACATCTCTCTTTCCTTCTCTGGAAGCACCTCAACAGTTACCAACAGAGTGGGAAGCACTCACCCACACTCAGCATGATTTATGTCCTTTCTTCCAGATGGTAGTGTAAATTCTGAGTCCTCTACTCTCCTGGAGAATGTTTCCTCTATGTAGATCGCAACACTGACAGTGCTCTGAGGCCTTGGTAGCAATAAAGACTCTTTAGTCCAGGAATCCAATCTAGTCCACAACTCTAACCCAGAAGTTGTGTCCAGAGCCTCTGCAACATTCACACCATTTGTGTTTTGCTAATTAAAATAGATTGAAGGTCTAGTACTGTAAGTCTTAGCCATAGCAATCTGACAAGAGAAAGAGATAAAGGGTATCCAAATCAGTAAAGAGGAAGTCAAACTGTCCCTGTTTGCTGACGATATGATCATTTACTTAGAAAACCCTGAGGACTCCTCCAGAAAGCTCCTAGAACTGATAAACTAATTCCACAAAGTTTCCAGATACAAGATTAATGTACACAAATCAGTAGCTCTTCTATACACCAAGAGTGACCAGAGAATCAAATCAAGAACTCAACCCCTTTTACAATAGCTGACAAAAAATAAAAAATAAAAATCTTAGGCATATACCTAACAAAGGAGTCAAAAGACCTCTACAAGGAAAACTACAAAACACTGCTAAAAGAAATAGACAACACAAACAAATGGAAACACATCCCATGATCATGGATGGGTAGAATCAATATTGTGAAAATGACCATACTGCCAAAAACAATCTAAAAATTCAATGCAATCTCCATCAAAATACCGCCATCATTCTTCACAGAATTAGAAAAAACAATCCTAAAATTCATATGGAACCAAAAAAGAGCCCACAGAGCCAAAGCAAGACTAAGCAAAAAGAACAAATCTGGAGGCATCACGCTACCTGATTTCAAAGTATACTATAAGGCCATAGTCACCAAAACAGCAGGGTAGTGGTATAAAAATTGGCACATAGACCAATGGAACAGAATAAAGAACCCAGAAATAAACCCAAATACTTACAGCCATCTGATCTTTGACAAAGCAAACACAAACTTAAAGTGGGGAAACGACTCCCTTTTCAACAAATGGTGCTGGGATAATTGGCTAGCCACATGCAGGAGAATGAAACTGGATCCTCATTTCTCACCTTACACAAAAATCAACTCAGATGGATTAAGGACTTAAACCTAAGATCTGAAACTATAAAAATTCTAGAAGATGACATTGGAAAAACCCTTCTAGACATTGGCTGAGGCAAGGATTTCATGACCAAAAACCCAAAAGCAATTGCAGTAAAAACAAAGATAAATAGCTGGGACCTAATTAAACTAAAGAGCTTTTGCATGGCAAAAGGAACAGTCAGCAGAGTAAACAGACAGTGCACAGAGGGGGAGAAAATCTTCACAATCTATACATCTGACAAAGGACTAATATCCAGAATCTACAACGAACTCAAACAAATCAGTAAGAAAAAGACAATCCCATCAAAAAGTGGGAAAAGGACATCAATAGACAATTTTAAAAGAAGATAGACAAATGGCCAACAAACATATGAAAAGATGCTCAACATCACTGATGATCCAGGATATGCAAATCAAAACCACAATGCAATCCTACCTTACTTCTGTAAGAATGGCCATAATCAAAGAATCAAAAAACAGTAGATGCTGGCATGGATGTGGTGAACAGGGAGCACTTCTACACTGCTGGTGGGAATGTGAACTAGTACAACCGCTATGGAAAACAGTGTGGAGATTCCTTAAATAACTAAAAATAGTACTACCATTTGATCCAGCAATCCCAATACTGGGTATCTACCCAGGGGAAAAGAAGTCATTATTCGTAAAACATAACTTGCACATGCATGTTTATAGCAGCACAATTCACAATAGCAAAACTGTGGAACCAACCCAAATGTCCATCGGTCAGCCAGTGGATAAAGAAACTCTGGGCTGGGACGCGGTGGCTCATGCCTGTAATCCCAGCACGTTGGGAGGCCGAGATGTGTGGATCATGAGGTCAGGAGTTCAAGACCAGCCTGTCCAAGATGGTGAAATCCCATCTCTACTAAAAATACAAAAATTAGTCATGCATGGTAGTGTGTACCTGTAACCCCAGCTACTTGGGAGGCTGAGGCAAGGAATTGCTTCAACCCAGGAGGCGGAAGTTGCAGTGAGCCAAGATCGCACCACTGCTCTCTAGCCTGGGTGACACAGCGAGAGTCCATCTCAAAAAGAAAGAAAGAAAGAAAGAAACAGGTATATACTGATACACAGACACACAGACACACAGACACACACACACACACACACAATGGAATACTACTCAGCCATAACAAGGAATGAATTAACAGCATTTGCAATGACCTGGATGAGATTAGAGACTATTATTCTAAGTGAAGTAACTCAGGAATGGAAAACCAAACACTCTTTTTTTTTTTTTTTTATGTTTTTTTTTTTAATTATACTTTAAGTTTCAGGGTACATGTGCACATTGTGCAGGTTAGTTACATATGTATACATGTACCATGCTGGTGCGCTGCACCCACTAACCAAACACTCTATGTTCTCACTTATATGTAGGAGCTAAGCTATGAGGACGCAAAGGCGTAAGAATGATACAGTGACCTTTCAGGACTAGGGAGGAAGAGTGGGAGGGGGGCGAGGGATAAAAGATAACAAGTAGGGTGCAGTATATACTGCTCAGGTGATAGGTACACCAGGTTCTCACAAATATCCACTAAAGAACTTGCTCATGTAACCAAATACCACCTGTACCCCAATAGCTTATGGAAAAATAAAACTTTTTAAAAAAGAATTTAATTAAGTGCTGCCATTTTGTTATATTAGGAACTTGGGAAGGACTAGCTCCCTCTTTGACTAATACCAGAGTAATTATACAGCAAGTTAATGTAAGACTTTTTTTTTTTTTTTTTTTTTGAGACAGAGTCTCATTCTGTCGCCCAGGCTGGAGTGCAATGGCACAGTCTCGGCTTACTGCAAGCTTCGCCTCCCGGATTTACGCCATTCTCCTGCCTCAGCCTCCCGAGTAGCTGGGACTACAGGCATCTGCCACCACGCCTGGCTAATTTTCTTGTATTTTTAACAGAGACGGGGCTTCATCGTGTTAGCCAGGATGGTCTCGATCTCCTGACCTCATGATCTGCCCGCCTCAGCCTCCCAAAGTGCTGGGATTACAGGTGTGAGCCACCGCGCCCATCCGAAACTTTTTTAACTGACAGAAAATATTGTATTTACCATGTAAAACATATTGTTCTGAAGTATATATACATTGCGGAATGACTTACAAAAGTTAACATATGCATTACCTCACATGCATATCGTTTTTAACACTTTGCACCCACTGTCTTAGCACTTTCCAATAACACAATATATTGTAAACTATAGTCACCATGTTGTACAATAGGTCTCTTGAACTTACTTTAAGTTAATGTGAAATGTGGAAAGATAGTGTGTCTTAGGTTCACAGTGAAAAAATTATTCAATATTTTCCGTTGTTATAAAATAATTATCATCATAGACATTTATTCTAGTATTCCTTATCTTATTTGAACCTGATGATAATCCTTATAAATAGTCACAGTAGATGTAATTATTTATATTTTTATCCTGAGGATTCTGGCTTAGAGAGTTTAAGCAATCTGCTCAAGAGCTATAGCTAGCCATGGGAAAGCTAATGCTAAAACTCTGGACTTTCAATTCTGGTCTAGTGGGCTTCCTATAACAAGTAGTCTAAAAATCAGTGTTTTTAACCTGGGGATTGACCCAGATGACCTTAAAGTTGCCCTCAGCTTGAGTAAACTTTAGGCAGACTTCTTTTTGACTATAGGCTTCTGACCTCCCTTTGCTTACAGAATTTAATTTAGAAAACCTGTCATTGCACATTCTTTCTCATCCTTTTGAAATGTATGTAAAATCTGCCACCCTTTTGACAGTTTTACCACCCAGGACTGTCTTTCTCAAGAACCTGGAGCCACCCCTTTGAAATGTAACCAAGGACAATAGCACCCTTATCTCCTGGTCTCTGTGGAGGGTAGCAATCTACTTGTTGTCAAGTAGCAAACACAGATGGACTAATCACACAGAAAAACATTCCTGCAAACTCAGGAATAACTCTATTTACTTGACACATTCCATTTATCACCCTCCCTCCCAATATCCTCCAGTACTTTTCTACTAGCTCAGCCCAGCTCTTAAAACCCCCCTGCCTTTTGTTTCCGAGAAGTTGAGTTCAATCTCTCTCTCCTATTGCAATAGTCTTGACGAAAGTCTTCCTTACTTGTTTAACTTTGTCCTGTGCAATTTTTTATTGACAGGACCATGTTCCCTGGGAGACTGTGAGAACTTTTCAAACCCAAATAAGCACCAAGCATTTTATATCAGAGAAATAAAAGCATTTAAATTATATATGTGTATGTGTATATACATATATAATTTTAGTATATATTTAAACATACATGTTGCAATTATCACTTTAAATACAAATTGATTTGAAAACATTATATAATTTTAAAGCAGCTTTTATACATTTTGTATTTTCTCAATAAATGTAACAATCCTGTGGAAATCTTGGAAATCTTCATTTCCAAACAATTTCCAAACAATTCTATGGAAATCTTGAAATCTTTGGAAATCTTGGAAATTTAGAGATGTTAAATTTATCTTTTTGAGTAATAGAGGTCAGATAATTTTCTTTGTGTCTATTCAGCATAAAGATGCAGACCTAAGTACTATTAATTAGGGAACTATGTCACAGATACGTTGCTACCCAAACTGCTTCTTCTACCAAATTTAAGCCATCACAGAGCAAAACATAAATTCTTGGTAACCCTAGAAAAACTCTCTAGTGACAGAAAAAGAACTGAATAGACACTACCTTATTTAGCCTCTCTTTTTAATTTATACCATTGTTTTCTGGAGATGCTAAGTATAAAAATATGCATCAGCAGGAGAGAATATGGCCTCACATATAATATCATTTATTGATTTTTTTCCAACATTTTATTTCAGACTTGTTCTTCTCCAGAAGAGCTCTTATTCCAAGGGGATATGTGAAGTGAGAGATCCACCACACTGACTTCCTTAACTGAGATTTCTCTGATCATTTTCTCCTTTAGGCTTATTTTCTCACAAAATAATCCATTATAGTTTGCCATAGCTTAGGAACTTGCTTTTTGAAAAATCTATTTTTTGACAGAATCTAAAACACTTGAAAGGGATAAAGACAAAAACAAAAACACCTGAATCTTGATTTAACAAAGGATGAAGACAGCAGAGCTTGGGATTTCCCTCCTCTACTAAAGCTGCTATCATTCTTGGTGATGTCAACAACCACAAAGAAGTCATCAAGCACTGTGGTTTCTCACGCCTACCCATCTTTTCCCCTACCCCCTCCTTTGCCACACACTTTTATTGTCATCACCAATAACTAGAGTAGCACCTCTGAAATCTCAATGGCAAGCTAACACTGCTCTTCTCCTGCTTATTATATCGTCTCAATTGCTATAACTCTTTAGTTATATTGACTCTTGTTCACTGACTCTACCAATTTTTCCTTGTCTATCTCATCCAGTTTTGTGACTTTATGTATTATCTACCTACTGAGGACTCCCAAATTTCTACTTCAGTCTACATATGAGGCTGCTGTGGGAGGATATTTTTAAGATTCTCAAATGCCCTATTTTCTAGAAAAAGAGTCTATTTAGAGTTTTCTAGGTAAGAGTCTATGCAGACACTGGCTTAGCAATACCTTTTGGAAAGGATCTCATGGCCACACACGACTTGATATTTACTTGCAGGCCTCATTTGATTGATAATTTTTTTTTTACCAGCTAGAAGACTGGGTGAAAGGTGGTTTGTTCTCCAATCCAGCAAGTCCTGGTACTTCTATACTTTTCATAGTTTTGGCTTGCAAACTGAACAGTCTCTTATAGTTTCTTTCTTTCTGTGTCTTATCATACACTAACAGAAGCAGCTTGTCACATTCAGTATTCTGTCTATAAATCTATTTTGTCAGAGCTATATATTCTTTAGGTATTGCCATGGATTGAATGTTTGTATCCCCCACAACATTGACATGTTCAAACTTAATTCCCAATGTAATGTATTTGGAGGTGGGAGGTAATTAAGTTATGAGGGTGGTCCCTCGTGAATAGGATGGGTGTCCTTACAAAAAGACACAAAAGAGATCATCTCTTTCTGCCATGTGAGAATACAGTAAGAAGGTATTCATCTGCAAACCAGGAAGAAGACTCCTATCGGGAACCAAATAAATTGGCACCATAATCTTGGACTTTCCAGCCTCCAGAAGAGAGAGAAATAAGTTTCTCTTGTTCAAGCTACTTGGTCCATGGCATTTTTATCATAACATCCTAAACTGACTAAGGCAGGTATATTCTCTATCTTCTAAGTTACCACAGGCAATAGTTATGCTAATTGTACAGGAATTACATAACACGGATGTCCATTCTCCTGCCTCCCATAACAGTTTCCTCATTACTTTTCCAGCCTCCTCTAATAGTCTCATAATTCATTCTCTATCATTGACCCACCACCTGGTCTTAAAGCCAATGCCATATTTTCATGTCTATATCAGAGCTGAAATCTACCTCTAGGTACCAATTTTGCTATCAGCTAAATATTTATAAATTTAACAAATCACACTAAGATTCAGTGGCTTAAAATGAAATTTATTTTTCTCTTGATTCTTGGATTATTTGCAAAGTTCTCTGTTGGGCAATTATGTGGTTACAGTGTACTAACAGCTTGCCTGGGGTTGCAGGGAATAAGAGAATGATGCTGGCTGTTGGCTGAGCCCTCTTCATGTGTTCTCTTGTCATTCAGTAGGCTATCCTGCATTTCCTTAGATAGAGGTGGAAGTAGTTAAGGAGGATAAAGCCTAAATCTGCAAGGTCTCTTGAGGCCTGTGCTCCACAACTTATACATCTTTACTACCACTACATTATATTGGCCAAGCAAGTCACAAGGCCAATACAGATTCAAGATGTATACAGAAATAGACTCATCCTTATGGGAAGAGCTGTAGAGAATGTGTGGCCATATTTAATCTACCACACTTGATAATCAACAATGCAATAGAATACATGAGTATAAAATAAACAGAATGGTTTCAGGTGATGAAGTCCATTTGGTTTTGAAAAAGCATGTAACATTGGCTGTGAGTGGATATTCATGAATTCAAATCATCATTTTGCTCTTTCCTTTTTATGTGACTTTGGGCAATCAACTTTGCTGTATTCTCAGTTTTCTTGTTTGTCAAATACAGTTAATTTCTACTTCTTTAAATAAAATTATATATAAAGTGTCCTTAAAACATTAAGTAGCTAATATCATTATTAAAGCAATTCCTAACAGAGCAAAGGACAAAAAAATAATTTCCAACAGGGAAGATTGCATTATAAAGGTGGGAATGAACTTTCCATGAAGAATAGGAAGATTACACAGGATTCAGAGAAACAAAGAGGAGCAGGTAGGGCAGGGCCATCTAGTATGGAGCAATAATAGTTAAAGTTTGTGAAACAGTAATTTTGTCAATAATTATATATATATAAAATCTCAATTTTCACATTCACACTATGAAGGAGATGGTTATTATTTTACCCATTAAATTGGTTTGCAGAGTTTTCTCAAGCACATAAAGATAGTAATTGGCTGAAGTGGGCTGGCATTCCAGGTGTGTTTTACTCTAAAACAAGTACAGTAATTATTCTATTCTGCTATGCTGGGTGGTAATATATGCTATCGTGGGAATTTCTGGGGCACAAGTACAATTAGAATCAGTTATGAGAAGAGTGAGAAATAAGGCTGAAAATAAGGCTGACTGGGGTCAGTCTAGCAAGATGAGTTTTCATCTGTGATGGTAGCTCTAAGTCTCCTTAGCTAGAGACCACCCATTTGTCCTCAATTCTGTTTGACAAACGTTTATTGGGTGCTCACCATGTACCATGCACTTTATTAGTTGCCTGCATACAAAATTTACAGTGTGATGAAGGAAAAGGACATGGTCACAGATATACATTAAAGTTGAGGTTTCGGAGTAGCAAAGATTTGCAATAGTGCAAGTGAGAGATTCCAAGGACCAAAGCTAAAAAGTATTGGTGTATAGATAAAACAGTGGGCGTCAAACTAAGAAAGATTTAGGAGGACTTAAGTGATTGGATATATATTATGGAGGAGAAAAATTCAAGAACAAAATTGAGATGTTTTTGCTTGGGGTACCTGAATGTACGGTATTTTTCCTGAAAGCTGGACGAAATGTAGGCTGAGAAGCATGCTTTGGTTTGAATTTATTTCTGGACAATATAAAAAATCTGCACAGATGCATCCAGGTGGAGATGTGCAGCAAGCATTTGAGAAGATCAAGGCTGAGTGCTGAGTGTGTAGTCTGAGAATTATCAGCCCATAACATGTTAGTTAAACCCTAGCCCTCTAAAGCTGTGACCTAGACACCTAGTCATAATCACACAACTTCTTTGCCTAGTGTAAAGGAGGGATACAAAACTTCTAAGGATTCAGGGAGTGGATACCTACTGTTTGCTTCAGACAGAACCAGATTGATGCAAGGCAGACTAGTCCCAAAACTTGGGCTTAGCCTGAGAGGGTTCTTGGCTTTGCCCAGGAAAGAATTCAAGGGCAAGCCCGTGGTATTAGATTGTAATCTTTTATCGAATGGTACTGCTCTTTACAGGGCAGGGATAACTCACAGGCGGTGCTCCCGGAGTCGGCAAGATATGGGTGCTTGGCACTGAGCCCTTTATACTCATGTAAACCCACTTTCAATCACATACAAATTAAGAGGTAGGTCAATGTAAATTGAGAGGCAGGTTGTTTAGAAGTTTATGGGAAAGGGGCAGTTACTTCCAGGTTGCTTCCATGGCATTTTCCAACTGTCATAGTGTGAGTGGGACTGTCTTATGCTAATGAGCAATGAGGGAAGCTAGGGAGAGCTCTCATCACCATCTGTTGGTTCCTTCAGGTTTCTTCACTTTGCCCTGTCTGGACCAGATCCTGTTTTGGTCAGCAGTGTTGTGACCAGAAAACAAGTCCTCCCAGTCTCCTGCCTCAAAAGTACCATACATAATTTAGTTATGTAAATTAAGTAAGTTAATTAAATTATTCCTTATTTTGGCATCTACTTTTTTTTTGAGACAGGGTCTCACTCTGTTACTCAAGCTGAGTGCTATGCTGTGATTATGGCTCACTGTAGCCTTAACTTCTTGGGCTCAAGCAATTCTCCTATCTCAGCCTCCTGAGCAGCTAGGATTGGCAGGTGCATACCACCAGGCCCGGCTAATTTTTGATTATTTGTACAAATGGGGTCTCACTATGTTGCCCAGGTTGGTCTCAAACTCCTGAATTCAAGTGATTCTCCCAGCTCGGCCTCCCAAAGTGCTGAGATTACAAGTATGAGCCACCATGCCTGGCCCCTGTCATCTAAATTTTAAGTTACATAGTTCTCGGATCAACTATCACACTTACCTTTAGGTTTCTGTTGGTGACAAATTGAAAAGATAATTCAGAAGCTCAGGTTCCTGTCCATATCCTACTTTTATGGGCTTCCCAAGGTCATGTTATATTAGCAGGTAACATGTAAATTGGAAACATCCTCAACAGTCCCTCATAAACTCCACAAAGGTTAGTTTATTTCTTCTATTGTGCTTAATATCGTGAAGCATTTTTTGTAAGTTCCACTTTTATTAGGGCAATCTCCTTAGGCAATAGCAAAGAAGCTCAAGTTTCTTTAATTTGTCATCCAAATCATATATCTTCTATAAATATAAATATTAAGGTTTTTTTCTCAGATGGCAGGTCTGAAATGAATTTTATCCCAATTTTATTGGGAAAGTTTTAACTTTTCAATTTCGGTACCAAATTCAGTAAAACAAAACTATTATCTTTTAGGCCTACATTATGAGTTTCCCAAAATTTCCTCCTTTACCTTATAAAAGAAAGGGGCATAGAAATAGTGCTCCTAAATTTTACTTAATTCGAAATAGTTCTGAAAGCTCTTGTCTACCAAACTTAACACATATTTTTTAATTTGAAAAAATCAAGAGTTTATCTTTCTAGTAAATATGTAAATATAAATGATCTTTTAATGATTGAAAAACTTGTCAAATTAAAAAAGCATATTTTTATTTCACCTTAAATATGGGTACAATAAATGTCACTAATGGGATTTACTTCCGTGACTCTAGGTTCATAAAACTTTTTCTTTTTTGTTCATTTAAAGTCTGAAAAATTATTAGGGGTGTGAGCCAATAGTATGTATGTAATCACAGATCTATTACTTATTTCAGTCTTACTTTAAATTCAGTAGCCAAGCCATATCCATCGTGTCTAAGAGTTATAGCAGCAATAGAAAAACTTGTGAAATCCATGGTTGATTTAGTTGTAAAGTGCCCACTAAGCTTAATGGATTCCCCTGCCATAAAATCTCTTCTATTGGCAAAATACCCTTAGCACTTTTCAGCTAGTTGTTCCACTAGGTAATGTGGACATCAAGCTTACCTTGACCTGTCACACACTAACTTATCCTGTGTATTCAGGATAATTGCCAGACTTTCCAATGTTTAAATCACCAACCTACCATAGATCATCTTTCCCTGAAAATAACATTCAAAAACCTTCCCAAAGAGGCAAACTTAGGCTACTTTGGAGAAACTTCTAGAAGGAATAGCCAACCTTCTCTCGATGCATACAGTAAGACAGGACAATTGGAAAAGGTATTTTGAAACTGGCAGATATAACAAATGATACAAATTTTGTCTGGATGCCCAACAAATCATTAAAGTTACATTTATTACTTAGAGTTATGGTTAATTACACAGGAATTAATTGCTTCTTAGCTAGCCAAATAAAAAAATGTGTATTATAGCAAATATTTCTTGTTGCACCTAAACTGGTAGAGGTCAAGTAGAATAGTGAATGATTAGCTTACAAAAAACAACATCAAGAAAAGCCACCAGGTTTCTTTGAAACAGACCCAGTTAGATTCTGGAGCATGTTTTTGTAATTTATAGCCTAAGTTTTATAATTTTGCCCTTTACTGACATTTTTTACAAGGAGCAATATTGGATTCAGCAATTTTGTAGGAGAAGAAAGGTAATCATATCATATCTGAAGCTGGTAGAGTAAGCTTTGTGTTGAGAAACAAATAATTACTGTTGAAGATACTTTTGCTTGATGTGATAAGGACTGGAACTAGAGTGCCATGGTTTGAGGGGTCACTGAAGAATCAAAAAGTGTCATTTTAAAGGAATGCGAGAGGTACAGAAAAATCTAGAGATGGTTTAACATCTGAGAAAGTTCCTCATATTTGGGAGAGACTAACACATTTGTATGCCCAAAGGAAAGAGAGAGAGTCAAGTAGTGGGAGAAGGGTGGAAAAATCAATGAAGCTAGCTTATTTTTTATTTTTATTTTATTTTTTTGAGATACAGTCTTGCTCTTGTCACCCAGGCTGGAGTGCAGTAGTGATTCTCCTGCCTCAGCCTCCTGAGTAGCTGGAATTACAGGCACGTGCCACCATGCCCAGCTAATTTTTGTATTTTTAGTAGAGACTGGGTTTCACCATGTTGGCCAGTCTGGTCTCAAACTCCAGACCTCAGGTGATCCGCCCACCTTGGCCTCCCAAAGTGCTTGGATTACAGGTGTGAGCCACGGCGTCTGACATGGAGCAAGCTTATTAAGTATGTGGGTGATAGAGGTGGACATGCTACCCAGTGCCT
Source organism: Homo sapiens (assembly GCF_000001405.40). Classification (NCBI taxonomy): domain Eukaryota; kingdom Metazoa; phylum Chordata; class Mammalia; order Primates; family Hominidae; genus Homo; species Homo sapiens. The sequence continues at coordinate 101,521,008 of NC_000004.12, read as the reverse complement.
AGTTGAGGGATCTGTCATCAATAGAGAGGATCACATTTGACAATACAAGAGATTAAAATGTCTAAATAATAGACCATGAGTTTCAGGATTCCTTCGAACACCTTCGAATAAGCTATTAGTGAGTTATAATTATTGTTTTTATTCTTCAGATAGTTTGAGGCTTTACCTTGATGTAAGCTTTCACTGTAAAGGTAGGAAAAAGAAAGCATGATTTTACACTTCAGGAATTCCAACTTATCTCTCCAGTAATAGGGACACACATTTCATCATTTCTGTTATTTAAGAACTCTGTAAATGATCATTACTTGGAATTTCCACTATCTTTATCATACCAAACTTCAGGAAAGATGAAGAGAGCCAAGGGATTTTAAAACTATAATTAACAAAGCTCTCAGAAACCTCAAACTATCAAGACTAAGGTACTATCGATAGCCTTGATGACAACAAATCAATCCTCCCTAATATCTACAAGTTATCTCCTTTTGAATGAATACCAGCCCTATCTTAGAAATTTGAGAATAACTTCCAATCCTAGATTCCACTCCATCAAGAGCTGATAAAAAAAACAGGCAAAATTCTTTAAAACCTACAGATGAATTATGTTGACCCTCCTACTCTCTAGCATCTCTGTCATCTGGAGGGATCTTGATCATTTTAATATCCCATAGAATGTCATGCTGATCTGTGACATTGATGGTATTATGCTAATTAAATTCAATGGATTTATTTAATCATAACTCAATGATTAAGGTGCTTATTAGTCATTTTTTTCAAAAATAAACAATCTTGAAAGATGAATGTACTTTTACCCATTGGTTTCCAGATCTATACATTCTAACTATGAGAATACAAATATACTCACACACATATATACAAATACATATACACAATACATATACACACAAATATGTATATGTATGCATTGGGGGGGTATTGCAATGTGTAGAATAAAAGCCCAATCTTGAAAGGAGTTATGTACTAGTGAGCAATGTAACTGAGCCTATGGAAGGCCATTTTATTACACTATCAAGTCAACTGCTTTTGGATAATGTAGTATGGAATAATTTTGAGGCGTAGGCTTATTAATGTATATTCTTTAACCTAAAAGCAGCCGTCTAATTGGAGGTGATATTGATAGATAAGGCTTTCCATGAGTACACACATGCTGCTGCTGACAGAGAAGGCAAATTCATCCCAGAATATTAATCTATTCATGTGATACAAAGCATGACCCCTTGATGATGGAAGTGGTCCAATATAATCAGATAGCCACCATTTTGCTGGCTGTCCCCACTGAGGAATAATGCCATATTGAAGACTCAGCATTGGCCTCTGCTTTCGACAGATGGGCAACACAGAAGAATAAGCAGCAGCTCAGCCTTGGTGAGTTGAGGAACATATTGTTGAGCTATATATCTTCTCCAAAATCTACAGAAGCTCATCAAGCATTTTCTTTTTATGATGAACAGCAAAATACCACTTCTTCTCTTTAGATGGAAAAGCTAAATAGAACACAAATCATGGACCCCTAGAAAGAGATAATGTGACAAGCCTCTGAAATTTCTTCCACATTCTGGTTCAAATATGTCTTACTAATGCATTCAGAGCACTTGCTACATCTTGTTCAGCAATTTTAAGTGGCATACTACTATCAATGTTACAGATCAGCATGACATTCTATGGGATATTAAGATCATCAAGGTCCCTTCAGATGATAGAGATGCTAGAGAGTAGGAGGGTCAACATCATTCAACATAGAGTAGGAGCTCAACATAATAAAAATATACTGTTATCCCTGCCATTGAATGAAAATTGCTTCTGATTTTCCTCACTGATTGAAATGAAAAAAAAAAATAAAGATTGCAGATCAATCACTACAAGAAGCTGTGCTTATTTGCTCTAGTATAAGTAGCACATCTGGAACTGCAGCTGCAATTGGCATCATCACTGAATAAGTTTGGGATAATTACCCTTCATTTTCTACAACCCATCTGGCTTTGGCACTAGCCAAATGGGAAAGTTTAAATAAGGATGTAGTGGGAATCAGTATCACTGTATCAGTTAAATATTTGATGGTGACATGAATCTTGGCAATTACACGAAAGATAAGGTTATGCTTTGGGTTTATTATCTTTGTTAGAAGAATCAGTGTCAGGACTTATGTTTAGTCCTTCCTGCCATTTAGCCTTCATCCCATGGATCAGGGGTTCTAATAGTTTCAAAGTGTATCTGTTTTCTCTATACATTCTAAGACTTGAGAAATACAGTAATTACAGGACTTATTTTACCTGGAAATGAGCCAAGACTTCATTATCACCTGACAATCATAAGCTCTCATTCTGACCAGAAAACCATGGTAATGTTTCAGGTCTCCAGAAATCAGGGTAAGTTCATAGGTCACAATTCTAAACATCTTAGAATTTTATGACTGAGAGATATTTCATAGATTTTGTGTAATATATTCATCTAACATTCCTATATAGCTAAGTCTTCAGATTCCTTCCTGTATGGTGCCAGGAAAGTTCTAGCACTTTATCTTATTAACTTGGTTATCTTTCCATCCCAGGCTTCAATGACCCAAGCTATCGGAATATTTAGATGACTCTCTGAGGCTTAAACACACATATTAAATCCTAATACCTTATGAATTTACCTTTATTGATGAAGATTTGACCCAACTGAGCATATTTCCTTGTTCTTGGTTTATCATCTTTCAAACATACTCCTACTCATATGACCAATGCCCCTGACAATACAGATATTGAAATCTTGTGACAATTGATTTAAGACCCCCTCCTTGCAAAGCAAGATTTTAACTTCTTATGGCTATGTTGGTATGTAATTAATGAGGACACAAAGGTAATAAGAAATCAGGGTGGATGTTCAAAAGATCTTCATCAGCTCCTGAGACAATTGCCTGTCATGTAATAACTGAATACTTTAACTAAAGGAGGGCTGATAGAGGGACAAGGCTCCCTCACCAACAAGGGGATTTTACAGGTAGTTGGAGATCAAAGATTTCAATGTCAGTCCACAATTTTCCCAAATGGCCCCGACCCAAATCTCAAGATTCCACTTATTTCCCTGTGTCCTTCCTTTTAAATGAGAGATCTGGCAGGACTGAACATTTAACTGGAGCTACAACTCTGCAGTCCTTACATTTACGCTTCTAGATATGCAACCTCAGGAGAGGTTCCAATCTCCCACAAGTATTCTTAATTATATGTTTATGGCTCTTAATTTCTGTTTATGCTCTCTGCTGCCCAAATTGATAAACAACTGATTCCATAGCTCTTGTATTTTTATTTATTATTTACAAAATAACTCAATTCCTCAGCTACTCCAGTCAGGTCTTGCCCCTCACCTCTACTTTATCTTATGCTATCAGGCATGATCATGTGAGCAGATTCCAGCACACACCGTGTATTACACATGTCCCTTTCATCCTGGCAAAGAGGTTATCCCTGAGTTCCTTTAAAAATAAACCACCCAATTCCAGTCACCCATCTTAAAGGTGCATTTCTTAGGGAAGCTCATGGTACAAATGATTATATCAGTCCAGTTCCCAACAGGAACTTGGAGCATTTACAATACAAAGATCTTGCAGGATGTAGTGGAACTCCAAAGTGTACTGCAGAATGGTGGGGTTGGTAAAAGCTGTTATCATCTGTTGGCTTGAAAGGATAAGAGGAAGGAACAGTCACCAATACCAAGAAGGAAGATGTTGGGAGAAGAGGTTAACCTGAGAGAACCTACAGTCAAAGAACACAGCCTTCCTGAAGTGACCTTGAAGAGAGTAAGGCAGGAGAATAACTGCTCTAACCACAACTTCTCATCTCCTGTTGGTGCTCCCCACTGGCCAAACTCAACAGGAAGCTAGAGGACAAGGTGGGCCACCCATTTAGTCCATACAGTCAGCCTCCTGGGATAGAAGGCAGGGAAGGAGAAGGTAAAGACAAGATCTGGAGAGGAAAAGAGATGGGGTCTGGCTCACTCCTATTGTGGAAATTCTCCTGTGCTCCTATTTCAGCTCTGCTGGCAACTAAAATCATTATTGGTGGCTTCCATGAAATCCTCACACTTCCAGATTTCTTGGAAGAGGCCTTTCTGATCTTTCCTTTTGCAGCTCTTCCAGTGGTTGTCTAAGCCTGAAATTCTTTATATTAATTTTCTTTCCGCTAATATACCTAAAATGGCTTCCTCTTTCCTGACCAAATCAGACTGATCCAAGAACATTGCCTCCCTTAAAAGGAGCTCTATAGCCAAAAAGTAAGTGATCAGAGAGAAACAAATCCAACATGTCTTTCTACAGTTCCTCTGGTTAGAAAAATGAGAGCTGAACAGAGAAAGAAAGTGTTTTCCTTTTGCTTCGTTGGAGACTCATGGTATTGAATGAAAGCTCATGAGGAGTCTGCAATAACATTTAGCCATATGTAAAAATATAGCATGTTAAGACAAATACATGTAGATATGGGTATTTAACACAGACAGAAAGAATAGAGGCTTCTTAAAGCAAAATTGCTATAAAGGAGTGTCACTTTTTAGCTCTTCCTTTCTCTGGGCACCAAAATCTAGACTGCTCAAGTATACAGGAGAAAAAAACAAAAACACAGAATGGAAATGGATCTTATAGACCTTGAGAGGTTTATTAATTTAAGACAGATGTATAGTAATGACTGGAACTAATCATCTGTAGGTTACTCTACAATTAACTTTGTCATAAATATAGACACAAATAAAGACAAATCTTACATCAATTCTAAGGAAAACTGTGACAACTTTTAAGCCTGTCTCCAGTTCAGTCCATATTGCTTTTCCTCCTAAACCTGATGACATTCTTGTTTACCACACACTTCTTTTCTCTTACTTATTGATACTTACATGTTGTTTTCTCATATAAAGGCTTTTTCTTTCAGGTCCTACACATGTATTTGCTCAAATATACTTTAACTGTATAGCCTTTATCAATGGTATTCTGGGGGTGAATGAGAGCAGTAGCAAACTCTTGAGCACTTACATGCCTAGCATTCCATTAACTACATTAAGTACTGGACTCTCACAACAACTATATGAGTTAGTTTATTATCTTTTTATTATTTCCAATCTATATATGACAAAATGGAGGCTTAGGGGTCCTGCCTATATTCACAAGTTGGAATGAAAACATGAAAACACAAGTCTGACTGTTCCTAAAGTCAATGTTCTTTTTAAGTTTCATTTTCTTTTTAATTGACCTATCATTCTTAGCCCTTATATTCTGCCCCCTTCTTCCAAGCAAACAAGCAACCTATTACTGGGAAATGCTTTTTCTCTTTGTTTTCACTTTGAAGTTGCACTTTTGTGTTTCTCTTACCACTGTGAACTGAAAATCTTGTTTCCTATGTCTTTTCTGCTATGTTATTATGTGTTACAGTGAGGGAAAAGATGGCATTCCACCCATTTTGTCAGGAAGAATAACTTACTGATAGAAGTAAAACCTGAGAATAGTTCTCACGTTAGGAAGCACTTGGAAGTGTTGCTACTTCCTATGTATCATGGTGAAACTTCCCTGCAGAAAAAAACTATTTTGTTTCCTTTTTCTGGACATTATAGGCTGGGTTTTTTTACCATCCAAATCTGTGACCTCTTCAATCATGATTAACAGCCATATCCTATTCGCATGGGCCCTGTGAATTCACAGTTAACAATGACGACTGTCATTTGCTTAGGGCTAAATTATTCTTGCTGATTCCACCTTAACTTATTCATTTCTAGAAACTGCTTTTACCCTCAACACTTGCTTTCCAGGAAGGGAACATCTCCACATTCATCTTTTGCCTTCCTCTTATTCAACACAAAGAGTAGTTATGGCCTAAAATAAAGATAAAGACTATCCAGCTATGAACACACACTTTATTTTAGCAACTAAAAATGTTCTCCACAGATTATTCCTTTAATCCAAAGATCTTTAAAGTGTTTATAAAAGACAACAAACTAAGCTTTGCTATATACTCATATATCTTACAACCTGCTCCAAAGCACCTTCTTACAAGGTTTTGAAACATTCAAGGTGAGCTTTTAATCCCACTGAAAACCAAAGAAAAATAGGCTGTACCATCATGCCACTTATCGGCAGAGGTGAAAAGTAAATGTCCTCTGAAGTGTACCTGAAATCTATTTCAGTAATTATCTGAAGCCTTCTAAAGATTAAGAGACAGGCCCTTCCTTTCTAGCCAACAGAAGTTCATAGAGCAGTACTCTGCCATGTGCCTGTTTTGTCTTTGATTGACAAGTTTAAAGAAGTTTTTTACATAGAAGACTTTGACTACAATCTCTTCTAACTGATTCAAAATTCACTACAGGTATCAAAAGATGATGAAAAGTTGAAATTCTGATTGAAATCACCCTGGTTACCCTTAATTTAAGTTCTTGGTTTTGGCTTAATTCCTTCAGTCTTGGAAGAGAGATTTAGTATATCCCTTTTAGGAAAGCCAGTTTGCAGAAGGCTGCTCTTGGGTGTTTTTCCATGCTGTTCCAATGCTGGTGAATTTGCTGTAGATGGGAATGTCTTACCCTAAGGTGGACTGCAAGTCAGGAGAATGAAAGGAACACTTAGCTCCTAGGCACATTTCTCCAGCTTATCTGATTCCACTGAAAGCTCAGATTCCTGTAATACATTTTCTAAACACAATGGCCTTAGTTTCATACTTACCTAACAGCTAGAGTGCAACTCCAAATAAATTGTGCATGGGAAAATACATTCTTACACTGAGAGAACTGCTACATATATATTCACTCTCTCTTCCAAAGTAATCTGAAATGAAATTTTCCAAGTAACAAATAAAGTGTACTAGTAATGAGTTGAGCAGTTTTATGGCTTATTGGTCATGTTCTTGATAATATCTCTGAACATTTCAAGTACCCACACACAAAATGAGTTTTCAGAATGGGGAATAGCATTGAACATTAAGGTAATGGGTTCAAAAATTGAAAGCCAGATTTATGTAACAAAAGAGACCATTTCCAATGGGTTTGAAACTCACATTTAATGACAGAATATTCTTTAAAAAACTGCAATATCAAGAATTGCTAATCAATTATGCTAAGATTTATTCCCAAAGATGATTAAAATTTAGACAACTATTTAATTCAGATGTGTAACTGACAAATTGAAGCTAATTGAAAATGTCAAAATTTAAAAATTAAACTAGCATAATCCAGATGGCCTAAGAGAAAAACTTTGTTAAAAATAGAAATGCCAAATAATAAATTCGTGTTTGAAAGCTGAAACCATAAAAAGCTCATTATCTATCTATAATAATATTTAAGAAAATGTGATTCAGTTAGAAGTATAGTTAAGTCATATCTTAATAATGTAGAAAAGCTGAATAGATTATCCAAATTCATTCATATGTAATCATATTATGTTTTATACTTTCACTTGAATATGGATTTTACTTCTAAGAGTTCACAATACAATAAAATAATTCATATACTAGTATTAGAGTTATTGATAATTCAGATTTGAGCTTGGATAAAGTTTATCTTTCTACTGCCTAATAAAGGGAAGTTTACTAAGCAAATTAAAACCACAACTAAAATTATAGAGTAATGAATGACATCCTAAATGCATTGTCTCAAGTGCTTTATAATTACATTTACATAAAGTAATGTACTGAATGCTCAACATTTTACCTGCACTGTCTCATTTAATTTTCACAACCACTTTATGAGACCCGATTAATAGAACCTTCATTTCATAGATGAGAAAAATGATGTGTAAAAAAGGCTAATTTCCTTCAGGCCATTTAGTCAGTAGCTAGTAGAGTTAAAATCTGGAGAGTGTTAGACTCCAAACCATTGTCATTGTATCATACTCCTTCCTGCTGAACTGTGACAAACAAGCACTGGTAGTGTGGGAATCGGGAGATGTTATGGGTGGACTAGCTAAAGGAACCCATTGGTTGAGTTTCTGTTCACTCAAATAATGTTATAGCCTTATATGAACTATTAGAGCACCTGCCAAATCTGCTCTCAGTGCAGAGAGGCTATCTTTCCAACAAAAACTTAAATGGATGTATTGGGCACCCATTCTGTGCCAGGCCTGGTACTAAAGGATTTAGGATACATTAATGAACAAAACAGTTAAAGTTACTTACCTAGCAGAAGACAAATGCAATAAACCATGAAAACAATACATAAGAATATTATACAGCAACTTAGAAACTAAAATTGTCATAAAAGGAATAAAGGAAATGATAAAGGGGATAAGAAATTATGTGTGGTGGGGTAGGTTGCACTTTAAATAAGGCAGCCAGGTTAATATTTTTTTAAAGCACATTTGACAAATGCTTAAGAGATGAGGCAGTAATGTAGGATTCTGGCAAGAGAAGAGCTAGTGCAAGGACATTAGTGTTGGATCTTGCCTGCCAGTTGAAGGAACAAGGAAGATGATGCGGGTGGGTGGGTGGACGAAAGGGTGGGGCAGGGAGACAAGGAGGAGGGGAAAGCTGGTGATGGTGAGCAAGCAGGTCACATAGGGCCTTCCAGGCTCTTCAGGCAGAGGCACAGACTTTAGCTTTTTCTGTAAGCAAAATAAGGAAACATTGCAGAATTTTGAGCAAAGGGTGACCTGATTTTTAAGATTGCTGTGGATGTTGTGTTGAAAATAGACATGGGGAGCAAGTGAAGAAGCAGAGGAATAGCTGAAAAAATCAGTCAATAACTGATGGTGGGTGGCCACATAGTGGTTGCAGTGGAAGTAGTGAGAAGCAGTCAGGTTCTGCATCAATTCTGAAGGTAGAGTCAACAGGATTTTATAATGGTTGAATGCGCATTCAGAGAGCAAAAGTCAAAGACAACCCCAAGCATTTTGCCCAAGCAAATGAAAGAATGTAGTTGCCAGGCCTTAGATAAAAGCTAGCTTAGGTTTTGCACTTAGCCCTTCTAAGAATTCCTCAGAAAAAAATGGACTACAGTTGAATTTATAGTCCAAGGAATGCTGGTTCTCCATTAAAGTCATAATATTGTTACTTATAATTAGTCTCCTCTAAGAAACAAATTTATTAACATATATTCTTTCCAGGAATCCCTATTATGTGCTCCTGCTTATACAGCACTTCATTGTCTTCTACATGCAAGCAGTGAGTAAAAATGTGCTCCCTCTTAACCATGGAAGTTTAACATCGGCATCATCACGCAGATTTTCATTACTACAAATCTGTAACAGCTGCCACTGTGCTTTATTTCTGTATTTTTACTGGTTACCAACATTATGGACCATTATCTTACTACTCCAAACAATTACTAATAACGCCCTTTCACTTGCACTGCATCCTAACTTCTGCACATTACAGTGGTTCAACAACTGTGCAAGAAAATTCCCATTAGCCTTATTACTTCCAACAACTGAATATTTTATCAATCAGCTAGGCTTTCAGGATCGCCTTCTTTCTTCTCCACTGTTTCCCCCTACTTGGAGCATGTAGGCTTTAATATCACACACGAATCCCACTTCAACTTCACTTTCCTGAGTGAATCACTATGGTTTGAGCTATATGTGTATGTGTGAGTGCTTCAGCCTGTTTGCTCCAGAGTTAATTCTTTCTGCTACTTTGGGACCATGTTCTTTGACTAAACACAATGTATTTATGGGAGGGAAGTCTTGCTCTGATCTGATGTGGTCAAATATCAACTATCAATAAAAATAATTCTTTTAATTAGTCACAGAGAAAACTATAATGTTTCTGTGAGAGCTTTTCTTAATTCTTTAGAATAATATTATCAATTAAATTGATGCTATATTCTCTGTTAGACCGACTCACCATTGATTCCAGCCTTTATCTAGAGTACCTTCTTATACTACTGCAGACTCCAGAAAACTAAAGTCAATATTTCTCAGACTGCTATGTAATTAGCGTTCTAAAAGCAAGTTAGGTTCCATCAATTATATGTAGTGAAGTAAGATTTAGAGGGCAGAAGTGTGGATGAAGCCATCTTTTTGTCTCTTTTGACTATTTTCTGATGGCCAACAAGTTCAAAAATGTGTGAGGTCTTTTTCTGCAGCAGCATCCCACCATCCATTCCCCAGGGCCCTAGCTAAGAAGGAACAATTTCAAAGGAGAAAATTTTTTCTTGACCTTGGCTTTCTGATTCTTGAATCAGAGGTATGGAATGTGTTTTTGAATTTGAACTTAATATTGCAGGGGGAGCCACAAAGGTACAGAAGAGTTCTGATGGCCTGTCAATTCTGAGGTCTTTCTGGGGACTCCTTCAAAGAACTCATTTTTCCAGCTAGGCCAACAACCCTCTAATGACTTGTGAGTACAAAATTGCCCACATTAAATCCCTGCATCCTTAAAATGGAGCAGTCTCTGTTTTCAGAACTGAATTTCGAGTAATACATGCTCACATGTGCAAAAAGGGATGTGTTCAAGGTTGTTCATTGCAGTGTAGTTAGTAATAGCAAAAGGTTAAGGAGAAAAAGCTTAATATTGGTAAGCAGAAACTGGTTGAATAGATATCATTACAGCTGTAAAGAGAAAGTTGGGGTTGGTCTTGCTGTCTCAGTGTTGGCAGAGGGCTAAGAAAATGCACGAAATGGACCTAATAGACATCTACAGAACTCTCCACCCCAAATCAACAGAATATACATTTTTTTCAGCACCACACCACACCTATTCCAAAATTGACCACATAGTTAGAAGGCTCTCCTCAGCAAATGTAAAAGAACAAAAATTATAACAAACTGTCTCTCAGACCACAGTGCAATCAAACTAGAACTCAGGATTAAGAAACACACTCAAAACCGCTCAACTACATGGAAACTGAACAACCTGCTCCTGAATGACTACTGGGTACATAACGAAATGAAGGCAGAAATAAAGATGTTCTTTGAAACCAACGAGAACAAAGACACAACATACCAGAATCTCTGGGACACATTCAAAGCAGTGTGTAGAGGGAAATTTATAGCACTAAATGCCCACAAGAGAAAGCAGGAAAGATCCAAAATTGACACCATAACATCACAATTAAAAGAACTAGAAAAGCAAGAGCAAACACATTCAAAAGCTAGCAGAAGGCAAGAAATAACTAAAATCAGAGCAGAACTGAAGGAAATACAGACACAAAAAACCTTTCAAAAAATAAATGAATCCAGGAGCTGGTTTTTTGAAAGGATCAACAAAATCGATAGACCACTAGCAAGACTTATAAAGAAGAAAAGAGAGAAGAATCAAATAGACGCAATAAAAAATGATAAAGGGGATATCACCACCGATCCCACAGAAATACAAACTACCATCAGAGAATACTACAAACACCTCTACGCAAATAAACTAGAAAATCTACAAGAAATGGATAAATTCCTCGACACATATACCCTCCCAAGACTAAACCAGGAAGAAGTTGAGTTTCTGAATAGACCAATAACAGGCTCTGAAATTGTGGCAACAATCAATAGCTTACCAACCAAAAAGAATCCAGGACCAGATGGATTCACAGCTGAATTCTACCAGAGGTACAAGGAGGAACTGGTACCATTCCTTCTGAAACTATTCCAATCAATAGAAAAAGAGAGAATCCTCCCTAACTCATTTTATGAGGCCAGCATCACCCTGATACCAAAGCCTGGCAGAGACACAACCAAAAAAGAGAACTTTAGACCAATATCCTTGATGAACATTGATGCAAAAATCCTCAATAAAATACTGGCAAACCGAATCCAGCAGCACATCAAAAAGCTTATCCAACATGATCAAGTGGGCTTCATCCCTGGGATGCAAGGCTGGTTCAATATATGCCAATCAATAAATGTAATCCAGCATATAAACAGAACCAAAGACAATAAACACATGATTATCTCAATAGATGCAGAAAAAGCCTTTGACAAAATTCAGCAACCCTTCATGCTAAAACCTCTCAATAAATTAGGTGTTGATGGGACGTATCTCAAAATAATAAGAGCTATCTATGAAAAACCCACAGCCAATATCATACTGAATGGGCAAAAACTGGAAGCATTCCCTTTGAAAACTGGCACAAGGCAGGGATGCCCTCTCTCACCACTCCTATTCAACATAGTATTGGAAGTTCTGGCCAGGGCAATCAGGCAGGAGAAGGAAATAAAGGGTATTCAATTAGGAAAAGAGGAAGTCAAATTGTCCCTGTTTGCAGACGACATGATTGTATATCTAGAAAACCCCACTGTCTCAGCCCAAAATCTCCTTAAGCTGATAAGCAACTTCAGCAAAGTCTGAGGATACAAAATCAATGTACAAAAATCAGAAGCATTCTTATACACCAATGACAGACAAACAGAGAGCCAAATCATGAGTGAACTCCCATTCACAATTGCTTCAAAGAGAATAAAATACCTAGGAATCCAACTTACAAGGGATGTGAAGGACCTCTTCAAGGAGAACTACAAACCACTGCTCAAGGAAATAAAAGAGGATACAAACAAATGGAAGAACATTCCATGCTCATGGGTAGGAAGAATCAATATTGTGAAAATGGCCATACTGCCCAAGGTAATTTATAGATTCAATGCCATCCCCATCAAGCTACCAATGACTTTCTTCACAGAATTGGAAAAAACTACTTTAAAGTTCATATGGAACCAAAAAAGAGCCCGCATCACCAAGTCAATCCTAAGCCAAAAGAACAAAGCTGGAGGCATCATGCTACCTGACTTCAAACTATACTACAAGGCTAGAGTAACCAAAACAGCATGGTACTGGTACCAAAACAGAGATATAGATCAATGGAACAGAACAGAGCCCTCAGAGGTAATGCCACATATCTACAACTATCTGATCTTTGACAAACCTGAGAAAAACAAGCAATGGGGAAAGGATTCCCTATTTAACAAATGGTGCTGGGAAAACTGCCTAGCCATATGTAGAAAGCTGAAACTGGATCCCTTCCTTAGACCTTATACAAAAATTAATTCAAGATGAATTAAAGACTTAAACGTTAGACCTAAAACCATAAAAACCCTAGAAGAAAACCTAGGCATTACTATTCAGGACATAGGCATGGGCAAGGACTTCATGTCTAAAACACCAAAAGCAATGGCAACAAAAGCCAAAATTGACAAATGGGATCTAATTAAACTAAAGAGCTTCCGCACAGCAAAAGAAACCACCATCAGAGTGAACAGGCAACCTACAAAATGGGAGAAAATTTTTGCAATCTACTCATCTGACAAAGGGCTAATATCCAGAATCTACAATGAACTCAAACAAATTTACAAGAAAAAAACAAACAATCCCATCAAAAAGTGGGCAAAGGACATGAACAGACACTTCTCAAAAGAAGACATTTATACAGCCAAAAAACACATGAAAAAATGCTCACCATCACTGGCCATCAGAGAAATGCAAATCAAAACCACAATGAGATACCATCTCACACCAGTTAGAATGGCAATCTTTAAAAAGTCAGGAAACAACAGGTGCTGGAGAGGATGTGGAGAAATAGGAACACTTTTACACTGTTGGTGGGACTGTAAACTAGTTCAACCATTGTGGAAGTCAGTATGGCGATTCCTCAGGGATCTAGAACTAGAAATACCATTTGACCCAGCCATCCCATTACTGGGTATATACCCAAAGGACTATAAATCATGCTGCTATAAAGACACATGCACATGTATGTTTATTGCGGCACTATTCACAATAGCAAAGACTTGGAACCAACCCAAATGTCCAACAATGATAGATTGGATTAAGAAAATGTGGCACATATACACCATGGAATACTATGCAGCCATAAAAAATGATGAGTTCACGTCCTTTGTAGGGACATGGATGAAATTGGAAATCATCATTCTCAGTAAACTATCACAAGAACGAAAAACCAAACACCACATATTCTCACTCATAGGTGGGAATTGAACAATGAGAACACATGGACACAGGAAGGGGAACATCACACTCTGGGGACTGTTGTGGGGTGGGGAGAGGGGGAAGGGTTAGCATTAGGAGATATACCTAATGCTAAATGACGAGTTAATGGGTGCAGCACACCAGCATGGCACATGTATACATATGTAACTAACCTGCACATTGTGTACATGTACCCTAAATCTTAAAGTATAATAATAATAAAAAAAAGAAAATTCACATATAAGTGGACCATGCAGTTCAAACTCATGTTCAAGGGTCAACTGTAATTGAATAAATGGTAATTGCAGTTAGACAAATCCACTCAGGGAGTAGAAAATGACATTTTTGTCAATGCACACAAAGACTACATGTGTGTGGGTATAATAAAAGTGATAAATAAGATTCAATCTCCTAATTTAATATGGTCACGTTGGTGATATCAATAGTAATAATCTAGCTAAAATTATATGCTAGACATAGTGCTGTTCTACTTACCGCATCCTTACAAAAAAACCTATGTGATACATGATATCATCTATACATATAGAAAAATTTACATTTACAGGTCAGGCGCGGTGGCTCATGCCTGTAATCCTAGCACTCTGGGAGGCCGAGCTGGATGGTTCACAAGGTCAGGATATCAAGACCATCCTGGCTAACATGGTGGAACCCTGTCTCTACTAAAAATACAAAAAATTAGCTAGGCGTGGTGACGGGCACCTGCAGTCTCAGCTCCTCGGGAGGCTGAGGCAGGAGAATGGTGTGAACCCAGGACGATGAGCTTGCAGTGAGCCGAGATCGCGCCACTGCACTCCAGCCTGGGCCACAGAGTGAGACTCTGTCTCAAAAAAAAAAAGAAAAGAAAGGAAAAGAGAAGAAAAATTTACATTTAGAGAAGGTAAATAATTGCCTAAGGTTGCACAGCTAGCTGGTAGGTGGCAGCCCAGACTTTGTTGGATGACAAAGTTGGAACATTTAATGGCTACTTTATACTATTGTTGTCTGTATAGCAGCCACATTTTTTTTTGCTTTCATTTATATGACTTCTCTGCGCTAGAGTGACTATGCCATAGTGGATTCAGAGATATTCTTTAATTCTTCAATCCATCATATAGGTAACCAATGGATAGAATCTATTTCCATGGAGATGCTTTTCTAAGGGTGAAAATGTTTTCATCCCCACCCTTTGTCAGGTAAAAAGCCAGATTATAAAATAGTTCATCATAAACACACTATTTTTATACCTGGAACTTAGATCATAAATCACATCCATCTGGAAGAACAAAAGGATGGTGCATAATAGAGATACTGTCTGCTACTCCTTTGGTGAGGCAGTATGCTGAGCCATTTGCAGGAACAGCACTCCTACTTGGGATATTGTCAGAGAAGAAAAATATAATCTAGGGCTAGCATTCTTGGCAAGAGTGCATCAACTGAGAAGTTCCTGGGCTTCTGGATATTCTGCAATTTCAACTGAGATAGAAAGAATATGGATATTTCTTCCATTTCTGTTCATGGATGATGTAAGTCTTCACCTATTTAAAACACAGTTTACATATAGGATGCTTTCTCTGCCTTTTAAGATCTTGGAAACTCCCACATATAACAACTGTAAAACTTGGCTAAGAGAGTTGCCCACCTCCTCTCTCATCCCCCATGCACAGACACACACAACCCATGGAGCCCTCAGAAATCATCTGCATTAAAGTTTGCACTGAATAATACTGACTTTTGACTAGCAACTGACTCAGCAGTCATCAGAAAAATGTGACAACTTTCATCAAAAACACTTGCTAAAAATTAAAGCTGAACCTCACTAGATATGATGTCTCAAAGGGCAGTTACCCTATTATTGGCATCCTGCCCTCTTGCAGTTTTTCAGATTTGCAAGTAGGAGAAAGCAACAAGAGCTGTATCTGGGAAAATTCTGCCTGACTACAGGCGTCAGTCCTAGGTAGGCATTTGTTTGGCAGGCTGGATGAATGTTTCTGGGGCACAAAAGTCTTGTTTGCAGGTTCCTTAACATGAAATTGATCCATTATAATTCTTGCTTACTTCTTTTTCAGGATTGCTTCAATAATCAACATGAAATGTATAAATGAAGAGAAATTCATTACTAATTATTTCTCCTCTCAGAGATCAGATGAATAAGTGATATGCCTTTGCAAATGAGGAAGGAAAATGATTCCCTCCACAGGATTCCATCTCTCCCCTAAACCCAAAGAAAGGTAGGTAGGAAATGCTAATTTCCTAATTCATTTTCATTCTTTTTTTTTTTTTTTTTTTTTGCATTTGTACCTGTCAGTTCTACAAAAAAAGCTAAAAGACGAAGCAACTAGAATGATAGGAGATGGTGAAATGGGTAAATGTGGTCACTCCCAGGGTGTAGTCAAATTGATCTTCACAATGTCAATTATTCTACATTATTCCTTTATAGAAAGCATGACAAGCTATTAATATTTCATAGAGATCAGAAGAAGCACTTAAGTGATAGCCCTGAAGAAACAACTGAATTTATGTCTATGACAAAACTCTAAAATTTTTTTTTTTTTTTTTTTTTTTGAGATGGAGTCTCACTCTGTCCCCCAGGCTGGAGTGCAATGTTGCGATCTCAGCTCACTGCAACCTCCGCCTTCTGGGTTCAAGCGATTCTCCTGCCTCAGCCTCCCAAGTAGCTAGGGCTACAGGCACACGCCATCATGCCCAGCTAATTTTTGTATTTTTTTTTTAGTAGAGACAGGGTTTCACCATGTTGCCCAGGATGGTCTCGATCTCTTGACCTCGTGATTCGCCTACCTCGGCCTCCCAAAGTTCTGGGATTACAAGCATGAGCCACCGCATCCAGCCTCTAAAATATTTTAAAAAGTGAAACATACAACCATGTTTTCAGTTTTTTCAGTAAAAAAGCCTAAAACCTTTTTTACTGAAAAGCTTACCCCCATTAAGTTAGAAATTTTAGAACTGCCCACTGTATTTTCTCTTAAGTTAGGCCCTGTGCTCCTTTTATGAGGGATAATTGATGAATAGATGTGAAATAAATTAATCATTTTGTCTAACACTTTGTATAGTTAAGTGTTAAGTATAAAATCCCTGAAAAGGGTTGGTTCTTGTTCAGGTACAAGATTCAGGTTCAAGTTTTAAGAACTGGATTTGCTCACTCTGGGCAGAAAATTCTTCATTGCCAAATATTATTTTTAGTCCTATTTGTTCATATACTAGTCCCTAGCAATATCTGAAAGGATAAATCATTTTTAAAAGGACAAACAAAAGTTTAAGCCAAAACCAACCCTAACCAGGCTATTTCACTGTATAGTCTTTATAGGCTACTATAATTACAAATATGACATACAATTATGTATGTAAATGTATGTATGTGCGTGTATATGTGTGAATATGTACATTTATATACATACATATCACATATAGAAGTCCCTTTAGTTACCATATCAATGTGGCTAACATCACCTTTCACATAGATCATAACCTACCTGATCATGTGAAATGGCCAGAGCCATTAACAATATCTTACTAGAGCTGGGTGCAGTGGTTCACACCTGTAATCCCAGCACTTTGGGAGGCCAAGGCAGGTGGATTGTTTGAGACCAGGAGTTTGAGACCAGCCTGGGTGATATAATTTGGCTCTGTGTCCCCCTCAAAATCCAAATTTCATCTCAAATTGTAATCCCTACATGTCCAGAGGAGACTTGGTGGGAAGTGATTGGATCATGGGAGTGGTTCCCCCATGCCGTTCTCATGATAGTGAGTTCTCATGAGAGCTGACGGTTTTAAAGTGTGGTACTTCCTCGCTCTGTCTTTCTCCTGCTGCCTTGTGATAAAGGTGCCTGCTTCCCCTTCACATTTGACTATGATTGTAAGTTTTCTGAGGCTTCCCCAGCCATGTAGAACTGAGTCAATTAAACTTTTTTTGTTTATAAATTACCCAGTTTCAGGTAGTATCTTTATAGCAGTGTGAAAATAGACTAATACACTAGGCAACATAGCGAAACCCTATATCTACAACAAAATTAGCTGGGCGTGGTGGCCCGTACCCATAGTCACAGTACCTGTAGTCACAGCTGCTCAGGAGGCTGAGGTGGATCACCTGAGGCCAGGAGGTTGAAGCTGCAGTGAGCTGAGCCATGAGCATGCCATTGCATTCCAGCTTGGATGACTGAGACTCTGTCCCCTGAACCCCCAAGAAAGAATATCTTACTAGGGAAAATGTAAATTGGAATGGAAATATCAGTGACTGAAGGCCTAATGAGAAATACATGAGCCGCTGTTGCTGAAGTCCCCACGCTGTAGGAAAAACCAGGCTCTTGTCACATGACCAGGAAAGATTAGGCTCGCAGACATTTTAAAGGATGAGAGGGAACGGAATTTGTCGGGCGAAAAGGAAAAAAGCTCAGCAAAGCGAGAGGTGTTCCTCTTAACAGCCCCTCATCTCACAGACTGAATCCCAGGTTACTACACGGGAACAGGTTACCACACGGCAACAGGCTTCTCCCATCTGGGCACAAACTTCCTGAGGCCCCACCCCAGTCTCCCAGGGCTCAGGTGGGCATTATCCAGAAAGAATCAGTTGGGTGGGGGGAAGGCGGGCTTCATCTGGGAGCAGTCCAGTTTTTCAGCCTTCAGGCTGTTTTAGGCTTAAAGGTAGGGTTTTGCCAGGGGTGGAGGGGCCTTGGCTCCCTCCTGTCTCTATCACCCAGAGCAGGCCAAATTCTTCTACTCATGTATCTCTGAGCCTGTCCACCCATTCTGGACAAACCCTACCATCCTGCCTACAAATTCCATGTTTTACTGAAATTAATGATTTTGCTGCTTGCAAACAAAACTCCTCAACAGACCCATGTAAACATACATACAGATAGATGTACCCATGTATTATGTAGGGGTATCACTACAGAATAGTTGTGAAACTAAGTAGAGTCCCTTCTTACTGGAGAAATGATAAAATGTTTAGCTATAAGTTGCCAAGTGAGATTCAGGAAATGATCATAGGTATTAAACTGTGAATAAATATTTTAATCTTTTTGAGACTCAATTTCCTGATCTAGAAAATGGGCATACCAATACCTATTTCAAAGATTTGTTATCAGGATTGTTATGGACTGAATGTGTCCCCCAAAATTCATATGTCAAAGCCCTAACTCCCAATGCGATGGTATGTGGAGATGGAGATTTTGACAGGCAATTAAGTCAAGATGAGGTCATAAGAGTAGGGCCCTCATGATGGGATTCATGTCCTTATAAGAAGAGAGACAAGTGTTCTCTCTCTTTTCTCCCTCTCCCTCCACCATGTGAGGACACAACCAGAAGGCAGCCATCTGCAAGCCAGTGAGAGCCCCCACAGGAGACCATACTAGTTGGCACCTTGATCTTGAACTTTCCAGTCTCCATAACTGTGAGAAATAGATTCCTGTTGGCTTACTTACCCACTCTGGGATATTTTGTTATGACAGTCTAAGCTGACCAAGACAAGGATTCAATGTGATAAGACAGCAGATTTTCCCTTTAGCCTGGAGCCTCTTGTTTTGTCATCATTTCTTGCAACATCACTGTTCTATGTGCCTTTATCTGCTCAACATTACATGCCAATCTGTAACAATGGTCACTCTTTCATATAAGAATTGATACTCTAATTGTTCACAGTTTAGATGTAAAAAATAACAGTTAAGTTGTTTAAATTATATTTTGATAGCTTTACCCAGCTCACATCCTATAAGTCACCTCATATGTATTGAATGCTGATATTCTATAAATGTAATCTATATAAAATTGTTTGCCACAATTGTTCAGAATATTGTGCAATGATGCAAATTGTTTTGTTTTGTTTTGTTTTTGAAGCTTTTAGTAGAAAGAAAACAACTTCTACCAGAAAAAGTAATCCTCAAATACCCAGGGATATCCTGTACTTTCTGAATTTCATTTCCAAAGTCCTTGCCATTTTCTCCTAGCACTGTTCCCTACCCACTGCCTCCCCAGATAGCCTCTAGAATTCATACAATGCCAATGGAAGTATGATTGCTGGTGCTTCAATATTTTCAGCATATAGATGGATCCACCCACAATGTTTGCTTAACTTTGAAAATATTTTTGCCCTCTTCTAGATGGTTGCCAAAAGACATTTCTGCCCCAAATCTTTGAGTCAGCAGCTCCATGTAGACACAATTTAATCCATCATATGAACCCATACAAGTCAATTGAAACTTTTCAGTCTGACTCATGGTGTCATGTCAATTTATATGAATATCCCTTTGTCAGTGTGTAAATGAAAAAGAATGATCAGTGTCTTAATCATACTATTGGATAATTTTATTTTACTCTTTATTTTCATTTTTTTCCACAGGGTGTTTTCTCCATGATGAGTGACCAATTCCATCACTCCTATCAAAGGAATGGTGTATCGTGACATTTCGCAAGTTCTTACCCCCAGTTTTCTTCTTTGCTGCCATTTTTTTCCTTTTTAAAAAATAAACTTTGTTTTTACAGTGGTTTTAGGTTCACAGTTAAATTGAATGGGAAGCATGGAGAGTTCCCATATCCCCCATATACCCCATATCCCAGCACACACACACACACACACACACACACACACACACACACAACCTCCACCACCATCAACATCAGTCACCACAGCGGTACATTTGTTACATTCGATCAACCTGCTTTGACACATCATCACCCAAAGTCCATAGTTTTCCTTAGAGTTTACTTCTGGTATTTTTTTTTTGATATGGATTCTCACTCTGTCACCCAGGCTGGAGTGCAGTGGCACAATCTCAGCTCACTGCAACCTCTGGCTTCTGGGTTCAAGCAATTCTCTTGCCTCAGCTTCCCAAGTAGCTGGGATTACAGGCGTGTGCCACCACACCTGGCTAATTTTTGTATTTTTAGTAGAGATGGGGTTTCCCCATGTTGGCCAGGTTCATCTTAAACTCCTGACCTCAAGTGATCCACCAGCCTTGGCCTCTCAAATTGCTGGGATTACAGGCATGAGCCACCACACCCGGCCTGGTGTTTTCCATTCTATGGTGTATTAGTGTGTTTTCACACTGCTATAAAGAAATACCTAAGACTGTGAGGTTTATAAAGAGGTTTAATTGACTCACAGTTCTGCATGGCTGGAGAGGCCTCAGGAAGCTTACAATCGTGGCAGAAGGCGAAGCAGGCATCTTCACAAAGTAGCAGGAGAGAAAATTGTGTGAAGGAGGAGCAGTCAAACATTTGTAAAACCATCAGATCTCATGAGAACTCACTCACTATCACGAGAACAGAATAAGGGAAACCTCCCCCATGATCTAATCACCTTCTTCTCTCCACATGTGAGGATTACAATTTGAGATCATATTTGGGTGGAGACACAGAGCCAAACCATATAATATGGAGTTTGACAAATACATAATGGCATGTACCCACAAATATAGTATTGTACAGAATTGTTTTTTTGTCCCAAAAATTTTCTGTTCTAAGCCTATTCATTCTCCCCTCTAACCCTTAGCAGCAATTAATCTTTTTACTATCTTCACAGTTTTGCCTTTTCCAGAATGTCATATACTTGGGACTACTCAGTATATAGCCTTTTTCTGAATGTCTTCTTTCATTTATGAGTTTAAGCTTTTTCCAAGGGTTTTCATGGCTTGATTTCTTTTAAGCACTGTATAATATTCCATTGAATGTAACATATCTTATTTACCCACTTAGGTACTGAAATATATCTTGGTTATTTTACAGTTTAGGCAAATATAAATAAAGCTACTATAAAAATTTGTGTGTAGGTTTTATGTGAACATAAATTTTCAGTTCATTTGGGTAAATAACAAGGGGTGATTGAATTTTTTTTTCTATTTTACATTCAACCAACTCACACCATGATTAATGAACCTTATGCTAAAGAGTAAATTTAGTTTTGTAGGAAACTGCCAAACTGTCTTTCCAAGTGGTTGAATCATTTTGCATTCCCACCAGCAATGAATGAGGGTTCTGTTGCTCCACATCCTCACCATCATTTGAAGTTATCAGTTTTTGGATTTTGGTCATCTTAATAGATGTGCAGTAGTATCTCGTTGTTTTTTAATATGCAATTACCTAATGATGTACAACGGTGACAATCTTTTTATATGCTTGTTTGTCATTTGTATATCTTCTCTGCTAAGAAATTTGTTCAGGTATTCAGAACAGAGCCCTCAGAAATACTGCCACATATCTAAAACTATCTGATCTTTGACAAACCTGACAAAAGCAAGCAATGGGGAAAGGAATCTCTATTTAATAAATGGTGCTGGGAAAACTGGCTAGCCATATGTAGAAAGCTGAAACTGGATCCCTTCCTTACATCTTATACAAAAATTAATTCAAGATGGATTAAAGACTTAAATGTTAGACCTAAAACCATAAAAACCCTAGAAGAAAACCTAGGCAATACCATTCAGGACATACGCATGGTGGGCAAGGACTTCATGTCTAAAACACCAAAAGCAATGGCAACAAAAGCCAAAATTGACAAATGGGATCTAATTAAACTAAAGAGCTTCTGCACAGCAAAAGAAACCACCATCAGAGTGAACAGGCAACCTACAGAATGGGAGAAAATTTTTACAATCTACTCATCCGACAAAGGGCTAATATCCAGAATCTACAATGAGCTCAAACAAATTTACAAGAAAAAATAAAACAACCCCATCAAAAAGTGGGCAAAGGATATGAACAGACACTTCTCAAAAGAAGACATTTATGCAGCCAACAGACACATGAAAAAATGTTCATCATCACTGGCCATCAGAGAAATGCAAATCAAAACCACAATGAGATACCATCTCACACCAGTTAGAATGGTGATCATGAAAAAGTCAGGAAACAACAGGTGCTGGAGAGGATGTGGAGAAATAGGAACACTTTTACGCTGTTGGTGGGACTGTAAACTAGTTCAACCATTATGGAAGTCAGTGTGGCGATTCCTCAGGGACCTAGAACTGGAAATACCATTTGACCCAGCCATCCCATTACTGGGTATATACCCAAAGGATTATAAATCATGCTGCTATAAAGACACATGCACATGTATGTTTATTGCAGCACTATTCACAATAGCAAAGACTTGGAACCAACCCAAACATCCAACAATGATAGACTGGATTAAGAAAATGTGGCACATATACACCATGGAATACTGTGCAGCCATACAAAATGATGAGTTCGTGTCCTTTGTAGGGACATGGATGAAGCTGGAAACCATCATTCTCAGCAAACTATCGCAAGGACAAAAAACCAACCACTGCATATTCTCACTCATAAGTGGGAATTGAACAATGAGAATACATGGACACAGGAAGGGGAACATCACACACCGGGGACTGTTGTGGGGTGGGGGTAGAGGGGAGGGATAGCACTAGGAGATATACCTAACGCTAAATGACGAGTTAATGGGTGCAGCACACCAGCATGGCACATGTATACATCTGTAACAAACCTGCACGTTGTGCACATGTACCCTAAAACTTAAAGTATAATAATAATAATAAAAAATTAGAATTTAATAAACATGTCTGATCTTGCTTAGTAAAAAAAATAAAATAAAATAAAATAAATTTGTTCAGGTATTTTCCCATATTTTAATCAAGTTGTTCCTTGCATATTTTGGATAATAGTCCTTTATTAGATATGTCTTTTGTGAATTTTTCTACAAGTCTATGATTTTTCTTATTCTCTTGACATTGTCTTTCACAAAGCAGAAATTCTTAATTGTAATGAAGTCCAGCTCATCAATTAATTCTTTTCTGGATCCTTCCTTTGGTGTTATGCCAAAAAATTTATCACCATACCCAACATCATCTAAGATTTCTCTCATGTTATTTCCATGAATCTTACAGATTTGAATTTTACATGTAAGTCTATGATCACTTTTTGAGTTAATTTTTGTGACTGGTATAATGTCTGTTCCTAGATTCATTTTTTCATCACATGAATGTCCAATTGTTCTAGCACTATATTTTTTGAAGAAAGAAACTTTGCTTCACTGTATTTTCTTTGCTGCTTTGTCCATTATCAGGTGACTATATTTATGTGAATCTATTCTGGGCTCTCTATTATGTTCCATTGAACTATGTGTCTATTATTTTAATAATACCACACTATTGCTTTTAATACATCTTGAATCAAGTAATATCAGTGCTCCAACTTTGTACTTCTCCTTCAATACTAAGTTCTCTGTTCTGAATTTTTTGTCTCTCTGTATAAATATTAGAATCAGTTTGTCCATATCCACAACATAACTTGCTGGGATTTTGATTGGTAGTATGTTGAACCTATAGATTAGGTTGGAAAGAACTGACATCTTGACAATATTCAATCTTTCTATTCATGAACATGAAATATCTCTTGATTTATTTAGTTATTTAGTTATTTGATATGGTTCATCATGTTTTGGAGTTTTCCTCATATACATCTTGCATATCTATTGTTAGATTTATACCTAGGCATATTTTTGTGCAAATGTAAATGGTAGTATTTTTAATTTCAAATCCCACTTGTTCATTGTGATACATAAAAGAAAGTACTTGATGTTCATGTACTAACCTTACATCCTACAATATCATTTATCAGTTCCAGGTTTTTTGTTGATTATTTCAGATTTTATTCCTAAACAATCATGTCATTTGTGAATAGACAGTTTTGTTTATTTTTTGCTAGTCTGTATATTCTTATAATTCCCTTATTTTTTCATAATGCACCATCTAAGACTTCCAGGGTAATCCTAAAAAAGAATAGTGAGAAGGGACATCCTTGCCTTTTTTCCTAATTATAAGGTAAGCTTCAATTTCTCACCATTAAATGTGATGTTAGGTATAGGTTGTTTGTAGATGTGATTTGTCAGGTTGGGGAAGCTGCCTCCTATTCCTTTTTAATAAGCTTTTTTTTATATATCATGAATAGGAGTTGGGTTTTGCCTAATGCTTTTTCTACATCTATTGATATGATCATTTGATTTTTCTTCTTTAGCCTGTTAATGTTAGAATTACATTAATTGATTTCTGAATGTTTAAACAGCTTTGCAAACCTGATATAATTCCACTTGGTCTTGATTGTTGGATTGTATTTACTTATATTTTAATGAAATTTTTTGCATATATTTATGAACATTATTGGTCTACAATTTTCCTCTCTTGCAATTTTGGTTTTGGTATTAGGGTGATGTTGGTCTCATAGAATGAGTTAAGAAAAATTCCCTCTGACTCTTGTTTCTGAAACTGTAGTGAATTTGTATAATTTCTTCCTTAAAATGTGTTAGAATTTACCAGTAAACCGATCTGGGCCTTGTGATTTTGGCTTTCTAAGGTGTTTAATTATTGTTTCATTTTATTTAATAGATATAAGCTTATTCAGATTGTATCTTTATTCTTACATAAGTTTTGGCAGATTGTTTCTTACAAGGAATTGGTCCATTTCATCTAGGCTTTCAAATTTGTAGGCATAGAGTTATTTATATTACTCCATTATTATACTTTTTAAGTCCTTAGGAACTCTAATGATATCCCTCTTTCATTTATGCTATTATTAATTTGTGTCTACTCTCCTCATTCTTAGTTAGCCTGGTTGGAGACATTAATTTTATTGGCCTTTTAAAAGAACCAAATTCTTATTTCATTATGTCTATTAATTTCCTGTTTCAATTTCATTGATTTCTATTCTAATTTTCATCCTTTATTTCCTTCTGTTTTTTTTTTTGGATTTGATTTCATCTTCCTTTTCTAGTTTTGTAAAGCTGAAGCTTAATTATCTTAGATTTTTCTTATTTTCCAATATATGTATTTGATGATATTTTGATGATATAAATTTTCCTCTGAAAAACAATTCTTTTGCATCTCAAATTTTTATAAGTTGCATTTTCATCTTCATTTGGTTCAAAATATTTTTAAACTTCTCATATTTATTTTTTGACCTTTGTGTTATCTAAAAGTGTGTTGTTTAATCTCCAAATAATTTGGTGATGTTTCAGCTATCTTTCCACATTGATTTGTAGTTTAATTCCATTCTAATCTGAGCAAACATTGTATGATTTTTATTCTTTTAAATTTGTTCAGCTGTGTTTAATGACCCAGAATGTGGTCAAACCTAGTGGATATTCTATGTGACCTTGAAACAAATGTATAATCTGTTGGTTTGGGATGAAGTAGTAAATTTCAATTACTTCTGATCAGTGGTACTGTTGAGTGCTACTACCATGTCCTTACTACTGATTTTCTGACTATTGAATTGGTCATTTCTGAAAGAAGGGTGTGGAAGTCTACAAGTATTATAGGGGATTTATATATTTTTCTTATACATTTTTGTTTCTTGCATTCTATTCATTTTTGCTTCATATGTCTTGATGCTCTGTTAAGACATCTAACATGCTTATAACACTGAGAATTGATCTGTATTCTTTAAGAACTGATTCCTTTATATTTATATAAAGCCAATCTTTATTCATAATTTTCCTTGCTCTAAAGTTTGCTGTTTGTGAAATTAATATAGGTAATTGAACTTTATTTTGATTGTTTGCATGGCATATTTTTATCACTTTGCTTTTAATTTGTATGTGTCTTTATATTTAAAGTGTTTTTTGTAGACAACATATAGTTGGGTGCTTTTTCATTCACTCTGACAATCACTGTCTTTTAATTGGTGCATTCAGATTATTAACATCTAAAGTGATTATTGACATAGTTGATTTAATATTTATCATATTTGTTACAATTTTTAATTTTATCCTTTGTTCCTATTTTGGTCTTCTATGCTTTTTCTGCCTTTTGTGGTTTAATTGAGCATTTCATAAAATTTCATTTTCTCTCCTTTCTTAGCATTTCAATTATACTTTTATCTTTACGTACTTTTAGTGGTAATTTTAGATTTTGTAATATACATTTACAACTAATCCAAGTCTACTTTCTATTAACACTATACAGCTATACGTAAGTAATACAAATATCTTATGATAAAAAATACTTCTCCAAGCAGAAGAAAGAATTTCAGAGCTTCACTACTAGTCTCTTGAGCTAATCCAGTCTGACAAAAATAAAGTAAAAAAAAATTTTAAGAATGAGCAAAGCCTATAAGAATTATGAGATTATGTAAGGTGGTCAAACCTATAGATTATTGGCATTACTGAAAGATAAAGAGAAAAAGTAATCTGGAAATTGTATTTGAGGGAATAATTTAAGAGTATTTTCCTAACCTTCCTAGAGAGGTAGACATCCAGATATTAGAAATCCAGAGAACACCTTTGAGATATCATACAAGATAATTATCACCAAGGCAATTAGTCACCACACTATCCAAGTCAATGTTAAAGAAAAAAATCTTAAAGGCAGCTAGAGAAAAGTGTTAGATCATTTACAAAGGAAACCCCATAAAGCCAATACTGGACTTCTCAGCAGAAAGCATACAATGCAGAAGAAACTGGGAGCATAGTTCTAGCATTCTTAAAGAAGTTCCAACCAAGAATTTTATATCCCACTAAACTAAGCTTTACAAACAAAGGAGAAATAAAATCTTTTCCAGACAAGCAAGTGCTAAGGGAATACAATACCACAAGACCAGCCTCACAGGAGATCTTTATGGCAGTTCTAAACATGGAAAGAAAAGAATACTTGCTAATACAGAAACACACTTAACTACATAGCCCATATACACTGTAAAGCAAAAAAACACAATGGGAATTACAAAGCAAACAGCTAACAACTTCATGACAGGATCAAATATTAACCCTGACTATGAATGGTCTAGACACCCCACTTAAAGGCACAGAGTGGCAAGCTGGAGAAAAGAAAAACAAACACAAGACCTACCTATCTGCTGTCTTCAAGATACCCATCTCACACATAACAACATCCATAGGCTCAAGGCATTGGAGAAAGATCTACCACACAAGTGGAAAACTAAAAAGAACAGGGGTCACTGTTCTTATATCAGATAAAACAAATTTTAAACTATCAACAGTGAAAAAAAAAAGGACATAGAAGGTCACTACATAATTATAAATGGTTCAATTCAACAAGACTTAACTATCCTAAATATATATGCACTGAACATTGGAGTACTTGGATTCATAAAATAAGCACTTCTAGGCCTATGAAAAGACCTAGAAGGCTACACCATAATAGTGGGGGACTTCAACTCCCCACTGACAGGGTTAGACAGTTCATTGAGGGAGAAAGCTAACAAAGAAATTCTGGACTTAAATTCAACACTTGTCATTGGACCTAACAGATATCTATAAAATACTCAACCCCAAGACCACAGAATATACATTTTCCTTATCTGCACACATAAAGCTATCAAAGATTTACCACATCCTCCACCATAAAGCAAATCTCAATAAATTCAAACAAATTGAAATCATACCAAGCATATTTTGGGACCACAGTGGAATAAAAATAGAAATAAATAACAAAAGAATCTCTGAAAAACACACAATTACATGGGCAACTTGCTTTTGAATGACTTTTGGGTAAATAACAAAATTAAGGTAGAAATGAAAAACTTCTTTGAAATGAATGAAAAAAAGAGACACAACATACTACAATTTCTGGGATGCATCAAAAACAGTGTTAATAGGCAAGTTTACAGCGTTAAATGCTAACATCAACAAATAAAAAATTTTCAAATTAATGATCTAACATCACACGTAGAAGAACTAGAAAAACAAGAAGATACTAACCCCAAATCTAGAAGAAGAAAAGAAACATCTAAAATCAGAGCAGAGCTAAATGAATTTGAGACGAAAAAAATCCATATAAAGAATCAAAATGAAAAGTTGAGTATTTGAAAGGATAAGAAAGATCAATAGACTTCTAGCTGGACTAACAAAGAAAAAAAAAGAGAGAAGGTACAAATAAGTACGATCAGAAATGACAAAGGAAACATTATAACTGATCCCACAGAAATACAAAAGATCCTTAGAGGCTATTATAAATACCTCCATAAACAAAAAGTAAAAAATCTAGAGGAAATGAATAAATTCCTGGAAACATACAACCTCCTGAGATTGAATCAGAAGGAAATTCAAACCCTGAACAGAATAGAAATGAGTTCTGAAATTGAATCAGTAATAGAAAACATACTAACCAAAAAGATCCTGCAACAGACGTATTCACAGCCAAAATCTACCAGACATACAAAGAACAGCCAGTACCAATCCTGCTGACACTATTTTAAAAAATCTAGGAGGACAGACTCCTCTCTAACTCATTCTACAATGGAAGAATAATCATGATACTAAAATTTAGTAAACATAAAATGAGAAAAGAAAACTACAGGCCAATATCTCTGATGAACATAGACACAAAAATCCTCAACAAAATACTAGCAAACCAAATCAAGCGGCACATGAAACAGTTAATTCACCATAGTCAAGCAGGCTTTATTCATGGGATGCTCGCTTGGTTCAACATTTGCAAATCAATAAATGTGATTCACCACATAAACAGAATTAAAAACTAAATGATCATCTACGTAGATGCAGAAAAAGCCTTCAATAAAATCCAACATCCCTTCACGGTAAAAACCCTCAACAGACTAGGCATTGAAAGAACATACCTCTCAAAATAATAAGAGCCATCTATGACAAACCTACAGCCTACCTCATACTGTATGGGCAAAAGCTGGAAGCATTCCCCCTGAGAGCCAGAACAAGATAATAGTGCCCATTCTCACTACTCCTATGCAACATAGTACTGGAAGTACTAGCCAGAGCATTCAGGCAAGAAAAAAAAATTAAAAGAGAATTCAAATTCTTTCTCTTCACTGAAGATGTATTTCTCTACCTAGAAAACCCTAAACAGTCTACCAAAAGGCTTTTAGACCTGATAAATGACTTTGGTAAGGTTTCAGGATACAAAATCCATGTACCAAAATCAGATCAGTAACATTTCTTTTTTTTTTTTTTTTTTTTTGAGATGAAGTCTTGCTCTGTTGCCCAGTTTGGAGTCCAGTGGCGCGATCTCGGCTCACTGCAAGCTCCACCTCTGGGGTTCATGCCATTCTCCTGCCTCCCGAGTAGCTGGGACTACAGGTGCGTGCCACCATGCCCAGCTAATTTTTTTGTATTTTTAGTAGAGACGGGGTTTCACTGTGTTAGCCAGGATGGTCTCGATCTCCTGACCTCACGATCTGCCCACCTTGGCCTCCCAAAGTGCTCGGATTACAGACTTGACCTACCACACCCGGCCCAAAATCAGTAACATTTCTATACACTAATAACATTCAAGCTGAGAACCAAATAAAGAATGCAATCCCATTTATAACAGTCCTCCCCCCCAACCCCCACCACACACACACACACACACACACACACACATTCACACAATACCTAGAAATACAGCTAACCAAGGAGGTGAAAAATCTCTGGAAAAAGAACTATAGAACACTGCTGAAAGAAATCATGGTTGACACAAATGGAAAAACATTCCATGCTCATAAATTGGAAAAATCAATATTAAAATGCCCAAAGTGATCTACAGATTCAATGTTATTCCTATAAAACTACCAATTTCATTTTTCACAGAATCAGAAAAATACTGTTCTAAATTCATATGAAAGAAAAAAAGAGCCTGCACAGCCAAAAAGAGCAAAGATGGAGGCATCACATTACCTGACTTCAAACTATAATACAAGGATACAGTAACCAAAAGAGCATGGTACTAGTACAAAAAAATGTACACATAGATCAATGGAACAGAATAGGTAACAAATAGATGTCATGGTGGCTCATGCTTGTAATCCCAGCACTTTGGGAGGCTGAGGCAGGCGGATCGTCTGAGGTCAGGAGTTCGAGACCAGCCTGGCCAGCATGGCGAAACTCTGTCTCTATTAAAAATGCAAAAATTAGCCGGACATGGTGGCAGGCGCCTGTAATCCCAGCTACTATGGAGGCTGAGGTGGGAGAATCGCTTGAACTCAGGAGGAGGAAGAGGTTGCAGTAAGCTGAGATCACACCATTGTACTTCAGCCTGGGCGAAAAGAGTGAAACTCTCTCAAAAAAAAAAAAAAAAAAAAAAAAAATCTACAAGTTAACATCAGTCCTACAGAGCTATAAAGAACTCAGGTGTAGAAAATCTACCCAGCACTGCACTGAAAGCATACAGCTCTCCTTTTTGCTTATTTCTAAGTTTTAGGTGATTTTTCTGACAACATTAACATATCTTTATTTAGTAATTCTTTCTCACTACAATACAATTAATGGTTCAATGTATTTGTATTCGATGTTGCTTCTAATCTTATTTGTTTGGGAAAAGGATACAAAATATAGAATCAGGAAATTATAGAAGCTCCTAATTCTCTTACTTTCCACATTTTAAAATATAAGTTCTAAACTTCCAGTTTCCAGTAATGCATGTAAGGAGCTTGGAAGTCACCAGACCATCCTAGTAAGTACAAAGTTGAGCAAACTGAAAATTCAACAATATTTCTTAGGCCTATAAGAAAGTGAGGTCAAAGGGCAAACTGCTGCACCAAAATTGGAGAAACAGAGAGACAGATACAGAGAATCACAACTCACTGGAGCAGAAATTTTTATGGATACAAATACTGGGGTAGAAAACCTGAACTTTAATTGATGAATTGCTTAAGTTTGAGAGTTAGAAACTCCAGGGAAACCCAGAAATTTGATGTATCTCCTACACTTTTATAAGTTTACCTCCAGGAGCTGGAACAAGTTCTCACAGTAATTAGCAGAATAAAATTCACTCTGGCTTCAAGGAGGTTAAGAAGGAAAAGAAGCATTTTGAAATACACAAGAGAATTATGCTCTTAGTGAGGTCTTCCCTCATAAGAAACTAGTTACCGGAACCTAACCTACTGTGATTTTATCAGTGCCCAACTATCTGAGAAAAGGGAAATACCTAACTCCAGCCCCCTCTGGCCATCCTATTACATCTAAGGGGAGATTTAAAAAAAAAACAAAAAACAAAACAAAACAAAAAAACAAGATAAAACAATACTGGGAAACATTCCTCACATTGACTATCCAGAGGCACAGGCTCACTAAAAGGTTAAGACCTAACCATAGGATTATAGAATGCTCCCATTCCCCCACAGCTTACCACATTACTAAAGACCTACTCAAATCTGTTTATCATGTTCACCTATCAAGCAAAAATTGCAAAGCATGCTAAAAGGCAAAAAAGATAATTAGAAAAGACAGAGCACATATCAGAGCCATATATGGAAGGTAAAATAGAATTATCTAACAGAATTTAAAAGAAATATGATTAATAAGCCAATTGCTCCCATGGATAAAGTAGATAGCATACAGATGAACCATGTAAGCAGAGAGAGAAAATACTAAGAAAGAACCAAAGGCAAATGCTAGAGATCAAAAACACTATAAAAGAAATAAAAAATGCCTTTGATGGGCTCTTTAGTTGACTGAACATGGCTGAGGAAAAAGTTTCTGAGCTTTAGGATATATCACCAAAACATACGAAATTAAAAGGCAAACGGAACAAAGACTGGAGAAAAAACAGAATAGAATATTCAAGACCTGTAGGAAAGTACAAAAGGTATAACATGTGTAACAGAAATACCACAGGGAAGACAAAGAAATGAACAGAAGAAATATTTGAAACAATAATGTCTGAAAATTTTCACCAGATTAATGTCAAACAACAAAGTCAAGATCCAAGAAGCTAAGAGAACACCAAGCAAAATAAATGTACATAATAATAATAATAATAATCCTAGGGATATCATTTTTAAACCACAGAAAATCAAAAATAAAGAAAAAGAGTCTTAGAAAGAAGCCAGAGGAAAAAGCACTTTACCTATAGAGGAGCAAGCATAAGAATTATATCTGACTTCTCAGAAACCATCCAGGTAAGAAAAGAGTGGAGTAAAATATTTAAAGTGCCTAGAGAGAAAAACAAAAACATCAAACTAAAATTCTGTATCCTGTGAAATCAGCCTTCAAAATTGAAGGAGAAATAAAAATTTCTCAGACAAACAAACTTGAGGAAATTTGTTACCAGTAGACATGTCTTATCCCCTCACCCCGACCCATCAAAAAAAGTTAAAAGATGTCGTTTAGAGGAAAGGAAAATTATATACGTCGGAAGCTTGGATCTACATAATGAAAGGAAGAGCACCAAATAAGAAATAGGTAAAGTTCAACAAAACTTTTCTTTTCTTATTCATTACTTCTAAGAAGTAATATTTTGTTCAGAATAATAGCAGCAATGTGTTTGATTATATATGCTTAGGTATATATATATGTATATCCCATCTAAGGGATATATGTATATATGTGTATATATATGTATATATAACTGTGTGTATACACATACATACATATTTGCTTAGGTATACTTAGATATGAGAAATGAGTGACTATGATACAAAGGATGGGGTGGAAGAATTAGAATTATATTGTTATTATAACATATTCACACTGCCTGTGATATAGTATAGTGTTATTTGAGTGTGGGCTTGGATTCATTACAAATGTATATTACAAACTATGGAGCAACAATTTTAAAAAGTTAAAAAAGGAAGTATAACTGATATGCTAATAAATGAAAGGAAATGAAATATACTCAATTAAAACCACAAAAGGGAGAAAAAAAGTAGAAGACAAAGAATAAGAGCAATATATAGAAAACAATAGCCAATATGATATTAACCCAAATATATAATCACTTTGAACATTAAGTGTCTAAATGCAGTTATTAAAAAACAGAGATTGTCAGAATCAATCAAAAAACAAGACCCAACCAAATATTGTCTGCAAAAAACCCACTTTAAATATAAAGACATATACTTTAAAAGTAAATGAATGGAAAAGATATTCTATTGTAACATTAATTTTAAAAAGCAGAAGTATCTATGTTATTTTTAGACAGCTGACATTAAAGCAAGGAAACTTATCGGGGAAAAAATAAGGAATGGCATTATGTGATGATATAGGGGTCAGTTCTCCAAGAAGATATAAGAATGTTTAATGTGTATGTGCCTAAAAACAGTGTCATAATACATGAGGCAACAATTGATAGAACTGCAAGGTGGTGTAGATGAATCCATTATTACAGTTGGAGAATTCCAGACTCCTTTGTCAGAAATGGACAAATCCAGGAGGCGGAAAATCAGTAAGGGCATAGTTGAACTCAACAGCACCATCAATCAATGGGATATAACTGACATCTATAGATTATACTTCATCCAACAGCAGTTGAATATACATTCTTCTCAAGCACATGAAACATTCCTCAAGATAGACTGCATTTTGAGCCATAAAATACTTTAACAAATTTAATTAAATGAAATAATAAAATGTCTGCTCTCAGATCACAATAGAAATCAGTTAGAAATTATTAACAGAAAAATAAATGGACAATTCCAAAATACATAGAGATTAAACAACACACGTTCAAAGAAGAAATCTTGAGAAATTTTTAAATATTTTGAACTAAATAAAACTAAAAACATTTTTGAAGAAGCTTGTCAGTTTTTTTTTTTACAAAATGAAACATACTCTTAGCATATAATCCAGCAATTACATTTTTTGATATCCTAATGAGCTGTAATCATATACAAGGATGTTTAATTTATTCTTAATTACCCAAACTTGGAAGCAACCAAGATGTTCAACAGTAGGTGAATGGATAAACTGTGGTATATGCAGACAATGGAATATTTTTCAGCACTAAAAAGAAATGAGTTATCAAGTCTTAAAAAGATGTGGAAGAAGCTTAAATGCATATCGCTAAGTGAAAGAAGCCATTCTGAAAAGGCTATGTACTGCGCATGATTGCAACTATAAGACATTTTTGAAAAGCCAAAATCATGGAGACAGTATCTAGATTAGTGGTTGCCAGGGGCTATGGAGAGGAGAGGGATAAATAAGCAGAATACAAAGCATTTTTAGGGCAGCAAAACTATTCCGTATGATACTATGTTGGATATATGTCATTATAAGTTTGTATGAAGCCATAGAATATACACCATCAAATGTGAACCCTAAGGTAAACTGTCAACGGGGTGATAATGATCTGTCAATGTATGTTCAGCTGTAACAAATGTACCACTGTGGTGCAGGATGTTGATAATGGAGGAGGCTGTGCACGTGTGGGGGCAGGAAATGCATGAGAAATCTCTACTTTCACCTCAATTTTACTGTGGACTGAAGACTGCTCTAAAGTGCATTTTTAGGCCGGGCGCAGTGGCTCACGCCTGTAATCCGAGCACTTTGGGAGACCAAGGCGGGTGGATCATGAGATCAGGAGTTCAAGTCCAGCCTGGCCAAGATGGTGAAACCCCATCTTAGCTAGGCATGGTGGCTGGTGCCTGTAATCCCAACTGCTCGGGAGGCTGAGGCAGAGAATTGCTTGAACCCAGGAGGCGCAGGTTGCAGTGAGCCGAGATTCTGCCACTGCACTCCAGCCTGAGCAACAGAGCAAGACTCCATCTGAAAAAAAAATTTTTTAATGTATTTTTAGAATATGTGTATATATACATAAGTATATATATGTATTCCTTCTACTTCAGTTAACTGTCCCCCACAATACACACACATATACACGCTCAAAGTAGAGAATTCAGAGCAAAAACATAAAAGACAATCTCCTCAGCTATCATGCAGTCCAGTAGCTCTTAATAGCTTTTGACTAATAAGAATGAAGTAAATGTTGTATTGTCCAAAAAGTGATTGGATCATTCAATTTCCTCCTTAAAACTGAAGATAGCCACTCGGCATTTTTGGTTGTAAGGATGGAAGACTTACTCAGGCCCACCTTGAAGATATATGTAAATTGGAATTGACAAATTGTTAAGGCAAGACATTGCTGCAGATGAGCTCAAGCCTCTACAGCTCTCTGTAGTTTCTCTCTCTTCTCATCTTCTCTCATCCCCTCCCCCTAACTCTCCTTTCTCTTTCTGTTCTTTCCCTTTCCTGAGCCTCCTGTCCTCTTCTCTCTGTGCCCTTTTCCCTTCCTCTTTCTCATGTAATTTCTATTTCTTGGCTTCTCTGCTTCCCATTGAATTTATGATTTGTTCTTCTAAAATATAGATAAAATGGCTGTTAACACTCCCTATTCCATATAAATTTTGAGAACTAGAATTATTAGTGTATATAATTATCAGCACATACATTAGGAAAAGCCCTTTGTACCACAATGTTATGGATTTTCACAAGCCCATGCTGAATATTCTTGGAACAGGGGCATTTCCAGTCTAATAAGTGGCTGTTCATGGGGAAAGGAAACTTAATTTCACTGAAACATGAAGGTAAGGAAAACTTTCAGGTACAGAAAAATACTAGACATTGCAGGCCCTGTGAATAATGAGTCCAATTTAAAAAATCTAAAAAATGTATTTCATTTCTTATGACTGTGTAAATTTAAAAATAATTTATTAGAGCATGCATTTAATATATTTTCTGCTTTCTTTCAATATAAGGAAAAACACATTCATTTTAGAAAATATAGCTATTACAGAGCAAAATGAATAAAATCATATCTTTTGACTCTGACGCAGAGACCACCACTGTTAAAATCTTGAACAAACATATCCGAACAATCTGTGTATATATAGATACAACTGAAATGATATCTCTCTATATATATACTCATATATACTCACCTATATGAATAAATTTGTTGATAAAGTTATACAATTAACTTAATCAATCATAAATTATTGACATATTCTTGGAGTTCAAATTTTTGCTTAGTATAAAGATAATATAACAAACAAAGCAATAGACAGATGTCTCCACATATTAATGAGTATTTCCTTAGGCTTCATTTATAGATTTGCTAAGTCCAAAATAAGCCAGTTTTTAGACTTTTGATATACACATATTTCCAAATTACCACCCAAAAAGTTTATGCCAATTTACATGCCCACAGAAAGTTCATAAGAATAGCATTAGCTACACATGATAAATTTTAATAGGCTCCATATTTTAAGTTTTAATAATTTGATCAAAACAATTTAAAATATATATGTAAAAAGTATGCATGACTAGTAAATCTATGAAAGACATATTTGAGTTTTTCTGTTGTGAATTGCTTAAGCACGTCACTTTTTTATTGTTGATTTATAAAAAATCTATTTTTAAGTGTATACTGATGTAACAAACCTGGACATTCTGCACATATATCCCAGAACTTAAAGTATAATAAAAAAAATTTTAAAGTCTATTTATCATAGCGATATTGATCCAATATCTGATATCAAAACAGCAAGCATTTTTCACAATTTATCATTTGTCCTTTAATTTACTTGTTATGAAAATAACTTTACATTTTTATTTAATTAAATATATCTATTCTGTTATAGTTTTTTTATCACAGTAAAGAGAAATTCTACTTTTCTGAGTTTATTAGGACTCACTATTGGATTTTATCTAATGCCTTTGACATCAATTACAGTAATATATTTTTAACCTATTAAATAAATTATATTAGTATAAATTATAACATATAATGCCTAAAAACTTTTGAGTTTTAGAAATATTTTAGTATTAAAATGCTCAAATAAATAAACATTTTAAATAGTACAATGATTATCTATATACCTTTATTAGTCAGGGTTCCTCAAAGAAGCAGAACCAGTAGGATATGTATACACAGAGAGAGATAGAGATTTCTTTTAAATAATTAGCACATGCAATTATGGAGGTTTGGTAAGTCAAAATCTGATGGGGAAGTTGACAGGCTGGAAACTCAGGGAAGAGTTGTGGTTAGAGTCCAAAGGCAGTCTGTTGGCAGAATTCCTGATTGCTTAGAAGAAGTCAGTCACTGTTCTATTAAGTCATTCAATTGATTGGATGAAGCACACCCATACTATGGAGGATAATCTGCTTTACACACAGTTCATCAATTTAAATGTTAATCTCACCCAAAAAACACCTTTACAGAAGCATTCAGAATAATGTTTGACCAAATATTGGGACACTGTGGCCCAGCTAAGTTGACACATAAAATTATCCCAGTACCCGTCATCTAAATATAATCATTGTTCCACAAAAGACCCCAAATAGCTAAAGCAACCCTGAACAAAAAGAACAATGCTGGAGGCATCACACTATCTGACTTCAAATTCTACTGCAAAGCTATAGTAACCAAAACAGCAAGGCACTGGAATAAAAACAGACACATAGACAAATAGAACAGAATAAAGAACTCAGAAATAAAGCCACATACCTACAGCCAACTCATTTTTAACAAAGGTTCCAAGAACATATGAAAGAGAAAAGAAAGTCTCTTTAATAAATGGTGCTGGGAAACTGGATATCCATATACAGAAGAATGAAACTAGATCCCCATCTTTCACCATATTCAAAAATCAACAGAAAATGGATTAAAGACTTAAATCTAAGACCTGAAACTATGAAACTACAAGAAGAAAGCATTGGAGAAATGCTACAGGACATTGGTCTAGGCAATGATTTTTTGGGTAAGACCTCAAAAGCATCAGCAGAAAGCAAAAATAGGCAAATGGGATTGCAACAAGCTGAAAAGCTCTGTGCAGCAAAGGAAACAATTAACAAAATGAAGAGACAACCTACAGATTGGGAGAAAATATTTGTAAACTGTCCATCCAACAAGAGATTAATAGCCAGAATATATAAAGAACTTCAACAACTCAATGGCAAAAGCAACCAAAACTGAAATAATCATATTTTTAAATGGACAACAGACCTGAATAGACACTTCTCAAAAGAAGACATACAAATGGCCAACAAGTATGTGAAAAAATGTTCAACATCACCAACCATCAGGAAAATGCAAGTGAAAACCACCATGAGATATCATGTCACTCCAGTTAGAATGGCTATTATCAAAAAAAGAATAAAGAAACAAATGCTGTGATGTGGATGTGCTGAAAGAGGAAAGTTCATACACCGTTATGGGGAATGTAAAGTGGTACAGCTATTATGGAAAACAGTATGTAGTTTCCTCAATAAATTAAAAGATAGTACTACTAGATGACCCAGCAATCCCACTGCTTGGTATATATCCAAAAGAAAAGAAATTATTATATCAAAGAGCTGTCTACACTCCCATGCTTATTGCAGCGCTATTCACAATAACCAAGACATAGAATCAATCTAAGTGTTTATTGACAGGTGAATGGGTTAATAAACCTGGCCATATGGCATGTTCTCACTTATATGTAGAAAGTGAAAAAAAAAAACAAAAAACAAAAGTGAATCTTGTGGAGGTAAGGAGTAGAATGGTGATTATGAGAAGCTGAGAAAGGAAGCAGAGATAAAATAAATAAAGAGAAGTTGGTTAATAGGTATTAAAAGATAGAAGGAGTAAATTCTAGTATTTGATAGTATAAGAGAAAAACTATAGTTAATAATTTGTGTATATTTCAAAATAGCTAAATTTGTGGAACTTTGAACTTGAGGGAGATAATCTAGGGTGTCTGATGGAAGAAATCTCTAAGCAGCATAGCATTCAAGAGGTGACTTGGGTGCTGTTGAAGGCATTCAGTTTTGTAAGGAGAACTTACAAAACTGTAAGTTTTGTAAAGCACAAAAGTTCAGAAATTTTGTATTTCTATGTTTTGTTTTTTGTTTCAATTTGCTTTTGCTTGGTGGTAATATTTCTTTCATATACTTTTATTTGCAAAACAATTTTACATTTCATCATCTACTGTTTTCTTATAGCATCTTGCTGTGGGATGTACATGTTCGTTTTTGCTTGTTTTTTTAAGATGTTAGGGTTTTTTTGTACTTTAATTAGAAGGGAGAGTCTATGGAAGTGGGTTTTCTGGCTTCTCAGTTTGAGGGTTCCTTCTTCTGTTGCTGCAATGAACAGAAGTTGCTTTATTGTATCAAATCTTTTTGTGGCCAGGCTTTCACTAATTCTCTATTCCTGGCTGCTGTTTTCAAAGGACACTTGCAATTTTCATATTGCCTCCCTTTCTGTACTCCAGAAGTGGTGCCTTCCTAAAATTGCCAATTCCGGTCTTATGCACTCTGATGCCTGTTTTATTCAACTCCTTCATTGTGAGTCCTCTGGAATGGCCCATCTCACACCTGCTCTCAGCAATTCCCTGAGAGTAGGACTCTCTCCTTCTGAATGTAAACTCATAAACACTGATGTTATTACACTATTAGGGGCTCTGGCAACAACTCTGTCTATAAGGTTTTCCCTAATTACATGCAAATTTGAGTGTATAGTCTTTCCATCTCCTATTTACTCTGTAGAACTAGGTTGTAAGACTTTTAATTTGCTCTTCTTTAACTATATGTGGATTTTAGGAGGAAGCACTAGGTGATTCCAATGTAGGTATTCCAACGTAAGCCATTATCTGAGGGAGGCTGAAATTCCTGGATTTCTTCAGCTTAATTTAAATTTTATAATCCACAATATTTAGAATAAAATAAGGGTGATTTTCTGTATGAATTCAGGATACAAAAGGCTTTCTTTAACAAGACTCAAGAAGTGGAAGTTATATAGGATGAGATTGATAAATTCAACCACATTAATGTTAAGATTTTTGCTCAACAAAGTCAGAAAAAATAGACTAAAAAGACAACAAATTGGGCAACTAAAAGGACAAAAATTAATGTCTAATACATATCACTGACAAAAGATTGGGATCCAAAATGTAGGAAGAAAATCAATGAATCAATGGGTAAATGACAAAAAAAATCTGATAGAAAAATGGCAAAGATATAAATAGTTATTTCATAAACAAACAAAACTCCATGGTCAATGAACATATAAAACACATTCTAAACTGCTTTGGTAATTAAGGAAATGATAATTAAAACTACAGTGAGATATGAATGTACCTCCACAAAGTTAATCAAAAATGTACACAAGTCAGACAGTATGCAATAAAAAGAAATGAGCTATCAAGTCAGTGAAACTCATGGAGAAATAGGATAGTCATTATATTCTGGGGTTTGAGAGTAAGGATAAATAGTAATTGTAATGGGGCATGAGGAGAGCTTCTGAGGATAATATTGTTTCTTGATCTATATTCTGGTTACACAGCTGCAAGCAGTAATTCACTTGTAAAACTTATTGAGTAGTAACATATGATTTCTGCATTTTTCCATATATATGTTATATGATTAAAATGTTGAAAATTGCTAAGTTAATCATTAGAATAGAAATAAAACAGAAAGTCTTAAAACCCTGGTATGGGAATTTTTTTAACATTTATAAATCAAACTAAAAATAATGGAGAGTGAAATTTTTTAAATCAGATAAAAGTAAACATTTTTAAACGACATTAATAATTTTAGGTAAGTCAGTAAATACATGCAGATTGGGGTAAACCCATTTTTGTATAATTTATGAAAGATTAAAACAACACAACAAAAAAATTAAGTAAATGTATATACCATAAAAATACTAAGATAAAGAAATCAGGGGCCAGGCACGGTGGCTCACACCTGTAATCCCAGCACTTTGGGAGGCCGAGGCGGGCACACTGCCTGAGCTTAGGAGTTCGCAACCAGCCTGGGCAACAAGGTGAAACCCCATCTCTACTAAAATACAAAACAATTAGCTGGTCATGGCCATGTGCACCTGTAGTCCCAGCTACTCGGGAGGCTGAGGCAGGAGAATTGCTTGAACCTGGGAGGCAGATGTTGTAGTGAGCCGATATCGCACCACTGCACTCCAGCCTGGGTGATGGAGCAATGGAGTGAGACTCTGTCTCAGAAAAAAAAAAAAGAAGTCAGGGAGCAGGGAGAACACGTGCAGGGGTTCACACCTAATAATCCTAGAGCTTTCATAGGCCATGGCAGGCAGGTTACATAAACTCAGGATTTCAAGATCAGCCTGGACAGCATGGCAAAACCCTATTGCTACAAAAAACAAAACAAAACAAAACAAAAAATTTGCTGTAGTCCCAGCTTCTTGAGAGGCTGAAATGGAAGGTTGCTTGAGCTGTGTTTGTGCCACTGCACTCCAGCATGGGCAACAGAGGGAAACCCTGTCTAGAGGAAAAACAAACAAACAAACAAACAAGAGTGGCGGTTATTACCATAAAACAAAATAGAATTCAAGGGAAATACAGTATACAAAAATAAGAGAACAATTATATATTAAAAGTGCAATCCCCTAAATGATAAGAATCATTTAATTGTGTGAACCAACTTGTTAAGGTTCAAGTTTGATCAGTAAATAGCACCTCTCCCCTCTATCCATTGTGTCCGGAATTGATTCCTTCCAGTGGGTTCTCCGTCTCACTGACTTCAAGAATGAAGCTGCGGACCCTCACAGTGAGTGTTACAGCTCTTAAAGATGGTGTGTCCGGAGTTTTTTCCTTCAGATGTTAAGATGTGTCTGGAGTTTCTTCCTTCCAGTGGGTTCGTGGTCTCGCTGACTTCAGGAGCGAAGCTGCAGACCTTCACAGTGAGTATTACAGCTCTTAAAGGTGGTGTGCCTGGAGTTGTTTGAACCCACGAACCCACCCTCCCCGTGGGTTTGTGGTCTTGCTGACTTCAGGAATGAAGCTGCAGACCCTCACCATGAGTGTTACAGCTCATAAAGGTAGTGTGGACCCAAAGAGTGAGCAGCAGCAAGATTTATTGTGAAGAGTGAAACAACAAAGCTTCCACCGTGTGGAAGGGGACCCGAGCAGGTTGCCACTGCTGGCTCCCGTGGCCAGCGTTTATTCCCTTATTTGGCCCCGCCCACATCCTGCTGATTGGCCCATTTTACAGAGTGCTGATTGGTCCATTTTACAGAGTGCTGATTGGTGTGTTTACATTCCTTTAGCTAGACACAGAGCACTGATTGGTGTATTTAC
This sequence comes from Homo sapiens, assembly GCF_000001405.40. NCBI lineage: Eukaryota > Metazoa > Chordata > Mammalia > Primates > Hominidae > Homo > Homo sapiens. Next base: position 101,478,376 of record NC_000004.12, on the reverse strand, counting down.
AATCCTTTAGCTAGACACAGAAGTTCTCCAAGTCCCCACCTGACCCAGAAGCCCAGCTGGCTTCACCTCTCACCATGTTCTGAACAAATTAAGAAATAGAAAGAGTTAAATAAATGGAGACTGAATTATCAAAGCTGATATTGGAAAAAGGGTATTTTTTTCCTGTGGATACCTAAGCTGTATAATAGTCAATCCCAGTATTGGACATTCACAGCAGTATTGCTAAACACTGCAGGCCTACCCTACAAGGGCAAGTTATTTACCCATAAGCTGATCTTACACCCATAAGCAATTGAGCACCCATAATCCCTATAGAAAGGTCAACAACAAGAAAAAAAAGAGAGGAAGAGGCAGAATCATGCATGTCTAGTTCTTTATCTCTAAGTCATCAATTGCTGAAGTTACCCCCAAGAGATAAATGGATAAGAAGGGTAAATAAAGGTCAGTGGTGATATGCTAATGACTCTGCCTCCATCTGGCAGAGATGGTTGTCACAAATATCCATACTTCTTTAATAATAGTTTTTTAAAAATACTCCTTTGTTTTAGCTAGGTAGATGGATATCCAAATGGACATTGCATTTCCAAAGCCTTCCCTATAACTTGATGAAGGCATATAAGCAGTTCTAAGCAATGGATTGAAAATAGAAGTGATGTGTGCCACATTCAGATTAAGCCATTCAGGTTTATTTACTCTGCTGGCTGAGAGAAGGTGAAAACTTAGGACTCCAAATTGTAGTAGTCCATAGATAAGCAGATCAGCTGTCTTCAGCTCTGCCACCCTCAAGCCACATGTATAAGTCACTGTTCTTCAGGTTTTCTAGTTCTGACTACTTAGCCTCTACCCTAACTAATGCAAAACAGGTACCTGTAAATGCAGTGATGCCAAAACGTAAACCTAAGACTGTTACATTAGCTATTAGTTGGTAGGAAATAATGGCAAAAATATTGTATGGTGGAAAGTTGACAATATTTATTGCACTATGATAAACTGTCATCTTCAGTAGGTTGAAGGATGGACTATGTGCTCACAGAGGGCTATAATTTTAGCAGAACTTATTGGTGTGTGTTGGAAGCTCCTTACTGCTTTCAAAAAATTCCTACACAAGCTAATTATAAGAAATGGCTCTAAAAAAAGTGGAAATAGTTGGATAAAAGGTCCCAGCCTTTTTTCAGACCTTCAAATTAACAGTTTTCTACTAGACAGTGGGAAGAAACCCAGCATCAAAAAAAGAGTCATGTTCCCACTGAAGTCTAAGGACTGAAGTCTAAGTTTCCTGATGGCATAAAGGTAACTCAAATAAAACTGAGGAAGAAAATGGTGGGCCACACAAAAGGCAATTTAATAAAAGAGGGAAGCTGAAAGTTTGTTGTTGTTGTTGTTTGTTTGTGTTTTGGGACAGTCACTCCATCACCCAGGCTGGAGTGCAGTGGTGCACGCTCGGCCAACTGCAACCGCCACCTCCCAGGTTCAAGTGATTTTCATGCCTCAGCCTCCTGAGTAGCTGGAATTACAGGTATGCACCACCACGCTCAGCTAATTTTTGCATTTTTAGTAGAGATGGGGTTTACCATGTTGGCCAGGCTGGTCTCGAACTCCTGACTTCAAATGATCCTCCAATCTCAGCCTCCCAAAATGCTGCAATTACAGGTATAAGCCTGTAATTGCACACCCAGCCACACCCGGCCAGGAAGCTGAAAGTTTTAACAATTTTCTAAATGGACATCTTTTAAGATATAGATCAGGACCTTACTAAGTTGGAGAGGGCAATTATATTACCAAAAAAATTCATATGTTTGACCCTCAAAAGCATGTCACTTTTCACTTTCATTCTCTGAAATAATTCCTTAACACCAAACCAAATTAACAGGAAGCAGTTGGTGAAAGCCACTCAGCTTCCAGTACTACTCCTGATGTTGCTGTAAAAGATGTTGAAATAATGTTTGCCTTTAGAAGACAAATCCAGAGACTAAACTGAATAATGAACTAGAGAGTTCTGCCTCCATGTAGAAAGAAAGAACTTTCTCCATAATAAGAGCTAGGAGTCAATACAAGTTCTTTCCAGCAAGATTTCATTATGTCTGTGGCTCAGTGATGCTATGTGCTTCCTATTATTTCCTCTTCCATATAGGAATTATTTTAATTTGACTAGTTTTGGGAGGAATACAGATTAGACATCAATCAGGTCATAAATCATAGGGCAACAGGGAGCTATACTTTGATCTAGACATGGGCCACGGTTGGGACATTGGGTTGTCTCCCTTAAGGAGGGGTTTAGTGTATTCTAAGTGTAGAAGGTTCTGCCTGGATATGTGGGAACCAAAAAGAGCCCTTTCTGGCAGTGAAGACTAGTCCATAGATATCCATGCCTTCCTTCACTAATTATAGAACTCCTGAATTCTAGCTTTTCATATAGGCTATACAAAAGATCAGTATTCAGAATCTATGGAGAATATTTAAAAGTCAAAAACATACAGAAGAAACAACTCAAGAGAAAAACAGAGTTCTTCTAGTTAAAGATGGCCAGTTGAACTCACAAATGACCATCGAATTCCCCTCCCACTTCCCACCTCACCCTCCTAAAGGTAAACAAAAGTGATTAAAAAGAAGAGAGAAAAAGTGCAACTCACAAAGGAAACAGGATCCAGGAAGGGGACAAGCCACAGCATTTTGGGAGCTGGAAAGCCATAAGTAGCAGTCACTGACCCAGTGACTCTGAGCACACTGAGTCCTGAATAAGCAGAGGGAGGGCAAAAAATCACCACTCTTCATGTCATGCTGCAAAGCCGGAAAGGCTCAGAAATGGGAGCAGAAGTCAGCTTGGGAGGTGAGGCTGAAGGTGGGATTAGGGATGGAGGAATGCTCAAAATCCAGAAATAACAGACTGGATAATCTTCTCTCACTCTGTGCATCTAAGCAACTGCTCCCATACCCCATAAATGCCCTGGCTCCTCCCTCCTCCATGATGTTTATTTCCCACCAGGGCCTCCACTCAAGATTAAAGGATTATTATCTGGAGAGGGCAAGGTAGATGTATTGAATACTAGGAAACAGCAGGCAGAATTGAAGGCAGAGAAATTGTACTGAGAGAAGGAGCATTAGATGCAATTTGCATTGTGAGTGCTAAGAATGAGTAACTGCTTTTCATACAAAATTTTTGCTCTGATGACTATGTCCTCTAGTTATTTTTATTTGAACTTACTTGATAAGTATGTGTGCCTCAAAATATTTGTTTTTGGCTTAAATCGTGGGTTTTATTTTCTTTCACGTACCAGTTTAATTCATTTATTTTTTAAAATAAGTGATTTATCTTGCCTTACTTACATATATTATTTTATACATGTTTAGTAATGCTTCCTTGATGGTATTTTTGTTGCCAATTTCCTTGTTTACAAATATGTTTTTTCCTCTGTGTTCTGTTTTTGTAAGGTATATATCTCATTTTCATTCCCTATTTGTTAACTTTTAAGGCTTTGAAAGACCATATTAAATTAATCATGGTTTAATTAAAGTCAGAGCCAAGAATGAAATGGCATCATTTATATGTGTCCTCCTTCCTTCAAATGTATTAAATTCTTGTCTGACCACATGTGTTCCCAAACAGTTTCTCCACTAAACTCCTCTTGATCTGTGTTAGACTAATCTGGGGTTCTAAATCCAGGTAATTGTTATTTCGTGTTTTCTTTATGTAATGTCTGTTTTATTTTGAGAACAGTTTTTTATTATATTCATTTGTGAAACAGATTTCTAATGATTTGATTTTTATATATTTAACTAGTTTATCAGTCAGGATCCAAAAAATACAGAAAAGTAGAAACTATTTTGCCTCAAGATGCAGAGAATTTAATGCAGGGACTTGGCTGCACAGGTGAAGGGTAGCTGAGAAGCCAAGCAAAAGACAACGAGGTAACCCAGAAATTAGAGAAAGCAAGGAGCCACTGCTGTCTCTAGGGACAAGAGGAGACAGTGATACTTGCCTAAATCACCCAGTGGTAATCATGGTAGGTCTGTCCTGAGAGAGCTGAAACCATCAGGGACTTACAGCCACTGCTGAACATACTTCAGAGGAAGCTACCTTCCTTCATTTCTTAAATCTCCCACGAGGGCCTATCACTGGCTAAACCTCAGCCAAAAGTCATGACAAGAGGGGCTGGCAAGGGTTAGAGCCACATGATATATGGTAGAGCAAGGAGAAGTCAAGGAATTGATCTGAGGTCCACTTCCTTCAATTACTTAGTGTCTGTTCTCATCATTCTACTCATATTAATAACTACATGTTTCAATCTGACAGGCACTTATCCATTACACAAATGTAGATAATCCCACACTCTTCCCAACAAGGGGAGACACCAAAACCATCAGTCACTGAATCAGGATCAAGTTTAGGATCTTCAAGAAACCAGTCCTTACCATTCAGGTCAAATATGGTTTCTTGGACTATGGCTTACAAATTAAGTTAGGTGTCACCATCACATCTCATACAAAATAATAGTGGAAGAAGAATGGGGACTGTATTAGTTTATAATACAAATTTCTGCAGCCAGATTGAATTTCTCCTCAGAAAATGGGATTTTCTTTTCTATCACATGTCAGGCTGCAAATTTTGCAAACTTTTGTGCTCTGGTCTCTTTATAAAACTGAATGCCTTCAACAGCACCCAAGTCATGTTGTGAATGCTTTGCTGCTTAGAAATTTCTTCCACCACCTACCCTAAATCGTATCTCTCAAGTTCGAAGTTCCACAGATCTCTAGGGCAGGGGCAAAATGCCACCAGTCTCTTTGCTAAAACATAACAAGAGTCCCCTTTGCACCACTTCCCAACGAGTTCCTCATCTCCATCTGAGGCCACCTCAGCCTGGACCTTACTGGTCATATCACTATCAGCATTTTTGTCAAAGCCATTCAACAAGTCTCTAGGAAGTTCCAAACTTTCCCAGATTTTTTTATCTTCTTCTGAGCTGACCAAACTCTTCCAACCTCTTCCTGTTACCCAGTTCCAAAGTTGCTTCCATATTTTCAGGTATCTTTTCAGCAACACCCCACTCTACTGGTACCAATTTACTGTATTATCCTGTTCTCACACTGCTGATAAAGACATACCTGACACTGGGCAATTTATAAAAGAAAGAAGTTTAATGAATTTACATTTCCATTGGCTGGGGAGGCCTTGCAATCATGGCAGAAGGCAAGGAGGAGCAAGTCACGTCTTAAATGGATGGCAGCAGGCAAAGAGAGGGAACTTGTGCAGGAGAACTCCTCTTCATAAAACCATCAGATCTCATGAGACTTATTCACTGTCATGTGAATAGCATGGGAAAGACTTGCCCCCTTGATTCAATTACCTCCCACCATGTCCCTCCCACAACATGTGGGAATTCAAGATGAGATTTGGGTGGGGACACAGCCAAATCATATCATTCCACCCCTGGCCCCTCCCAAATCTCACGTCCTTTTTACATTTCAAAACCAATCATGCCTTCCCAACAGTCCCCCAAAGCCTTAACTCATTTCAGCACTAACTCAAGAGTCCAGAGTCCAAAGTCTCATCTGAGACAAGGCACTTTTGCCTATGAGCATGTAAAATCAAAAGCAAGTTAGTTACTTCCTAGATACAATAAGGGTAAAGGCATTGGATAAATACAGCCATTCCAAATGGAAGAAATTTGCCAAAACAAAGGGACTACAGGCCTCATGCAAGTCCAAAATCCAACAGGGCAGTCAAATCTTAAAGTTGCAAAATGATTTTCTTTTACTCCATTTCTCATATCCAGGTCATGCTGATGCAAGAGGTAGGTTCCCATGGTTTTGGGCAGCTCTGCCCCTGTGACTTTGCAGGGTACACCCTCCCTCCTGGCTGCCTTCACAGGCTGCATTGAGTGTCTGTGGCTTTTCTGGGCACATGGTTCAAGCTGTCAGTGGATTCTGGGATCTGGAGGATGGTGGCCCTCTTCTCACAGCTCCACTAGGCAGTGCCCCAGTAGGGACTCTGTGTGGGGGCTCTGATCCCACATTTCCCTTCTGCACTGCCCTAGCAGAGGTTCTCTGTGAGAGCCCCACCCCTGCAGCAAATTTCTGCCTGGACATCCAGGCATTTCTATACATTGTCTGAAATCTAGGCAGAGGTGCTCAAACTCTAATTCTTGACTTCTGTGTACCCCAGGCTCAACACCATGTGGAAGCTGCTAAGGCTTGAGGCTTGCACCCTCTGAAGCTACAGCTCAAGCTCTATGTTAGCCTCTTTCAGCCACAGCTGGAGTGGCTGGGGTGCAGGGCACCAAGTCCCTAGGCTGCACACAGCACAGGGACCCTGGGCCCAGACCATGAAACCACTTTTTCCTCGTAGGCCTCCGGGATTGTGATGGAAGAGGCTGCCATGAAGACCTCTGACATGTCCTGGAGACATCTTCCCCATTGTCTTGGGGATTAACATTGGGCTCTTCATTACTTGATTAATATATACATAGCTGCTATAATTTGTGAGTTTTTGTCTCGATCCAGGGCCACATTTACAAACTTCTTCTACCACCTGACACTGTTTCCCTTGCCCTCAGCAGTGCCTTAGTTGGTTGGTGTTTTTTACCTGGTGGGATAATATTACATCTTAATTCCAGATGTGGCTGTGTGCTTAGTGGCCCTGCCTTTTTTGATTTACTCCACTGACAGTTACTATCAGAATAAGATTACTAAGAGGTGTACAAGTAAAGTCCTAGGTTGCAGACATAATTCCAACTGCTCCCATTTGTAAAATTAATCCAAGGTCTTCTTTATAATTGGGATCAATTATCCAAGTTCCTCCTCTATCTGTTAATTCTGTGGCTTGAAGGGCCTCAGATACTGAGGTGGTGGTCTGAACTTCTACTGATGGGGCCACTATTTTTTCTTCTGCCAGAAACATTCCACCATGGGAATAAAGAGCTCACCACTGCTATATAAGTCTTGTGGTAAAATCAATTCCTTGGTCAGAAGCAAAGTGTGGAATGCCATCATGGTGAATAAACTTTCTCTAAGTCCTCAATTGTGGTTGTTTGCAGTAGTATTATGGCAAGTTAAGGAAAGAATGCAAACCCAGAACAAGTATCTGATCCAAGGAGGACAAATAATTGCCTCCTCTCTGATGGAGGAGAGGCAATGTAGTTGGCCTACCACTAAAAGATCAGCTGGTCTCCCTGGGAAATGAAGCCATAGGTCCCCAGAATTAGCTTCTACTATTGGCAAATTGGGCAGCAAGCAGGGACCATCACCATATTAACCTCGATGAGTGAAAAACCATCTTGTTAAATCCATGCAAGTTTCCATCCCTGCCACTGTGAGGTCCTTTATACATAGTTCTAAGGTGCCTGGAGAAACAGAATAGCTGACATAAGTTGGGCCAGCTAGTTTCACCTGATTTTTAAAAGCCTCCTCTGTAATGCCTATAATTTTATGAGAAATTATATGGACATGATATCATCCCACTCTGTACTCATGCAAGAGATTCATCCATATGCTTCTTTTCCAGACTCCCTTGCCATTAATCATCCAATCCTGTTTTTTCCAAGGTCCTGATCCACAAGCCAAGACATTAGTTACTGTCCATGAGTAAAATCCTTGAGCCATGCCTCCTGTCAGGCAAAGTGGAAAACTATGTGTATATATATGTATATATATGTATATATGTATATATGTATACACATATGTATATATGTGTATATATATGTATATATGTATACACATATGTATATATATGTATATATGTATACACATATGTATATATATATGTATATATGTATACACATATGTATATGTGTGTATATATGTATATATGTATACACATATGTATATATGTGTATATATATGTGTCTATGTATACACATATGTATATATGTGTATATATATGTGTCTATGTATACACATATGTATATATGTGTATATATATGTGTCTATATATACACATATGTATATATGTGTATATATGTGTCTATATATACACATATGTATATATGTGTATATATGTGTCTATATATACACATATGTATATATGTGTATATATATGTGTCTATATATACACATATGTGTGTGTCTGTGTGTATATACACACAGAGACACACACATATATACACACACACACATTCATAGTTTTATATACATATATATGTATACTTTGTTTTCTTCCTTTACTAGAAGGCCACCTCTGAGTGGCCATGTAATATGGCAGTGGGGCAGTGGATCATTTCCAGCTGGTGCAAGCTTATACTGCAGAGTACTCCACAAACAAAGCCTGAGGTATTATTTTTTTCAGCTTATGTGAGCTATTCACAATAATTTTTCCGTAGGTGTGGGTAGAAGGAATAATGACAATTAAGCACAAGTAGGCATCATGAGGGCCTGAGCAGCCTGTCCATGCAGTTTTCCTGTTCCTTCCATACCTGCTTGAGCCTAATCTAGACCATAATACTTTTATTACAGACTGATTAATCCTGCACAATGTTCTGGATGAATCTGACAACATGTATAATGGGCATCTCAGATTACACAGTACTTTAATGTCCCATGGTCTAGCACTCAGCCTCTATGAAGTCTCAATAGCAAGTCAGGAGTTTCTTCACAAAATAAAATAATTATCAGCAGAAGATTTTTCCCCAACTATAAGATTTGTGCCAGGCATCTTTTAGTGTAGTTTGCCAGAGTTCCCATATAACATCCTTATTTACCATTGATACTTAGAGCACCACTGAATACAGGGAATGACAGAGAGCAGCTTGCAAGAGCCTGACCCTGTTGCACAGCCTTCTTTTACTTTATTCCCACTCAAAACATGCAGCAATAGGGTTGCTCAATAAATGGATCAGAGCATCATTCCCAAAAACCTCCAGACAATCCTGCCAAGCATTGTACCACTATCTTAATGGTAGGCAGTGGAAAGCACTTCTTACTTCCACTATGGAGGAAATATCGAAACATACCTAAAATCTTTGGACTTCCAAAATTGACTCAGCTGGCAGACCTCCACGTTTTTATAGGTTTTATCTCAAACTCTAGCACATATGTATACAACTAAAGCATCTAGTGCACTAGATATTTCTCAACAGATCCAATCTGCATGATGTTATCAATATAATGGAGCATGTTCTGAAAGATAATCAACATGCCACTAGACTGTATGATTAAAGAGATTTGGAAAGACAATCGAGGTAAATCAGTGAAGGTGCACTTGTATTCATGTCAAGGGAAAAATATCCACTTCTTGTCATCCGTGCTGCTGCCTATGCTCCAGCAGATTTTTTGCACACATGGATGTAGTCATTCCTCACATCCCTCTATGTCACTTCGTTTTGCCATTCTTCACGCAAAGAGGCTCATACTTATCTATCCTTGAATTTGACTGTAACTTGCTTTGAGCAACAGAATGCAGTAGAAGTGATACTGTGAGACTTCTAAATCTAAGCCTCAGGAAGCTTGAAGCTTTTGCTCTTGCCCTTTCTACGTATAGACTGACTTGTAAAGAAGCCATAGATAGGATACCAAGGGATATGATAACTTTTTGGTTTTACTGTGGTGGAGGCTACAGGCAGTTGCAAGGGTTTCCCTTGTCTCACCTTCTTATCATAACAGCTCTCACTCCACATAACAGGGGGGAAATGTAGGGAGTTTTCAATGGGTTAGAGTATTCCAACTCTGCATTCAGGATCTGAGAAGATATCCACAGGTTTGGTCTGTGGGCCCACTGGGCTCTTTGAGAGACGAAGTGAAGCTTGTAAAATATTCAACTCAGAAATGACGTTGGTCACTGCCACTCAGAGCCCACTGACCAGTACTAATTATGTGCCTGTTCCTAACTAGAAGGGGCTGGATACTGTACAGAACACAGATATTTGTTGAGCAGTAAATTCTCTGCCACAACTGTCTTTTGCTTGCAGAAAACAAAACAAAACAAAAAAGCGCACACACACACACACACACACACACACACACAAATTAGCTTCAGTTTTATTCCTCTGTAGGTAACTTTCTCTCTGTTTTTTGTTTACCTAGCTATTTTATGGTATTTTTTCTTTATCTTTGTTGTTTAAATGATTCCCAAGGTAAATATAAGCATAGACTTATTTTCATTGATTTTTCTGGGAACATAACCTACTACCATAAGTCCTGACTATTTCCTATCTAATTGTTTTCTGAAAGTTGCTAAATCCAGATTGTGGTATCAGTGTTATTAGCAATAAGGAAGATAGGAAAAACTGAGGGGTAAATGCAGAAAGCACCTGAATGATGTACAGATCAAAACAAAAGAGAAGAGAAAGGCTAATACTTTTTCCTTGGCTTAAATGTTAAATTTCTGAGTCCACTGATAATGTGGGAAAATTATAAACTGTCTTTCTACTTTCTCAAGTGGTAAAATAAAATCTAAGTGTGCTATATGTAAAGCACATTGACTGAAGAATCTATCAGTGAAAAAATGTACAATCCCCTGAACCCAGAGCAGATACTCAAGTTCTTTTCCAATGTCTGTCCCCACATCTCAGAGCTTATAAGGGTACACTGGCACTTAGGATATGAGATTTTGAATGATTGAAGTATACTGCTATGTTGCAATTTCACAAAATACAGGCATATATGTAATGCTCACCTACCAGCCTGTATCTTCCGTAATATGCCAAGTTGTTCAAAAGCCTCCTCAGAAATGCTTGGTTGTCTTGTACTGTTCTCACTGCCTGTACATTTCTCAGTTCAGCCCTAAATCCTACACGTCATAGAAAACCACCAGCACAACATGCAAAAGAAAAAAAGTGGAAAGAAAATAATGAAAAAGAAAATGGATGTATCTACTTAAAGAAGTCTGGATTTCCTATTTTCTTATTGAAAGGTAAAATACATATAGAACAAAGCAGTTTCTGACCCATGTGTTTTCTCTGTCTCCTCTGTCTTGCCTATTTTCTCATTTGAGCAGTTCATAGAGAATAGAGAGAGCCTAGAGACAGAAGATACCATAAGCTAAAGGAGAATGAATCATTAAATATGTGTTCTGTTGTACAGTTGTCACACTCCAGAGCTGTCCATTGCTTCTGAGCAGAGCAACATGAACATTTCTCACAACTAATGAGGGACAGAATTTCCTTTTATTTATTTGCTTACCATTTCTGTTCATCAACGGATAGTTAACTATGTCTTCATCTAGCAGGAACATGTCTAGTAGAAATATGTACCTAAGTCTGATGAATATCTTTTACATTTCTCTGACGACTAATCCATTTTGAAAGAATAACAACATAGAAAATACTATATAGTTGCTCAGTAGTCATTCCTTCTATTTAGAAGGAAAAAGAAAATTAAGTTTTTAAACAAAACTGCAATATTCTCTAATTTTCTGCTATTATTCACCATGTCCTCCCTCAAGCAGGTGGCTCCTCCATGTAAGAAATGGTAGCAAATCAGCTATAACATAGTTTTAAAAATCTTTAATCCAGCCATAATTTATCTTCAATGAAAATAATCCCTTTCGGATAAGAGAGTACTAGGATATGTCTTTACTAGAAAGGAATGATATTTATAAAACATAATAACAGTTTTATTTCCTGATAATACCTTTATAATGTTATAGATAGAACTAAGGAGAATATGAAAAACGTGCTATAGAACTACAGATGGTATAAATAATGTAGATATTTTTGTCGACCTGTTATCCTGAAAGTCAATGCAAATTTGAGTGTATTTATCAGAATGTTGATATTAGATGAATATCATCATCTGCCATTTTCCACTTTCCTATGAAATATATAATTATTACATTTCTCAAGTTTTCTATGACTACTTCTTAAATCCATAATTTTTAACTTCTTTCAAAATGTATATACATTTTTAATATTCTTATAAAGGTTTTAAGGCAAATATTTAGAAATAGATAAAAGAAGACTTTATGCCCAAAACTTAAACACAAGTAATATTCTCAATGGTTCCAGAATTCTGATAATGATAAAATGAGTTATAAATAAGATACAAGAGGCTGACACTGGAAAATCGACAAGGGACTATTCATATCATAAAATTCAAGAGATACATTGGGGCTGAGAGAACCAAAAGAAAAGAAAACCCTGTAAGGTAATTTTAAAGTTTTATTTCTGAGAAAGCAATGCAAAGCTCAAGGTGGTAAGCTAAGAATTTACTAAAAAATTTAAGCTCCCTACTAATATCTTAAAAATCCATGCAATAAAAATAGCAATATCCATGTACCTTAACAAAGTAATCTAGAAAGGTTAACTATAAAAGAAATAGAGAAACAAATATTACTGGAAAATGGCATCAATTAGGAATGTATTCTGTTGGTGCAAAGTAATTGCAGTTTTTGCCATTGCCACAATTACTTTTGTGCCAACCTAGTAAGTTTTTACAGAATAAATAAGAACACACACATGAATAAAACAATAAATACCAAAATGGGATTATAAAAAAGTTAATATTCATTTATAACTTTAGAAAAAGCACAATTCAATGAAGGATAGAATATTTTGTTAACACAATAAAGGATATTTATGTAAAAACAACAATCAAACTGTATGTGGAAAAAATTAATGGCTATATCATTAAGGAATACTAAAAGAATGCTGACGGTTTGATTTAATATTTCTGAAAGTGATAATGGAGTAAGACAAAAATATATTTCAGGTTTAGAAAGGAAAAACTAAATGTATTGGTCTGTTTTCACACTGCTATAAAGAACTGCCTAAGACTGGATAATTTCGAAGGGAAAGAGGTTTAATTGACTCACAGTTCTGCACTGCTGGGGAGACCTCAGGACATTCACAATCATGGCAGAAGTCGAAGGGAAAGCAAAGCACTTTCTTCAAGAGTCTGCAGGAGGGAGAATGAACGCAGGAGGAACTACCAAACCCTTATAAAACCATCACGTCTCCTGAAAACTCACTCACTATCCTGAAAACAGCCTAGAGGAAATGCCCCCATGATTCAATTACCTCCACCTGGTCTCTCCCTTGACCCCTTCACACGTGGAGATTATGGGGATTAAGGGGATTACGATGCAAGATATTTTGGTTAGGGACACAGCCAAACTATATCACCAAATTATTACTTAGAAAAATCAAAGAAATTAACTAAAATTATTTTTAAATGAATTTAAAATACTAGCCAATAAAGTGAGACAAGAAAAAATAAACAGCTAAAATTTTTTATAAATAATTTTATAAGCACTAGTGAATGAAGAAAATTTGTTTTCAAATTTATAAAAGAGAAAAATGATCATCTACCTAGGAAATGATAATTATTTTTAGAGAATTTCATGAAGTTTTTGGCTATAAAATATCATACACAGAATCAAAACACTTTCTATATACTTGCAATAATTAGGAATTAAGCATTATTACAGAAATTCCAAGGTAAATCACACAGCTTGAACATGCTTACTTCCATGCCGTGTCAAAATGGCAGTAATTTAAGAGTTTACAGCATTAATGTATAAGGACAAAAGAAATGGGATTGGTGAGAAATGAGAGCAAAGAAAAGGATAGTTTTAGAACCTGGAGAGCAGGTGGATCAGATAAGAAAAAGATAAGTGCTTCTGGGAGGAGAAGCCAAGAAACAAGCCCTGAGGCTGTATGAGTTCAGTCAGGAGTGAGGCCTCAGGTGCCACTGAAGGTGAGACAGCAGGTGGAGATGATAATAGGTCTCACTGAATTTCTATTCCGAAAAAAAAAAAAAAAAAAAAAAAAGTAAAGCCTGGAATTCCTGGCCCCTCCTCCCATGTGGGAGAAAAGACCCTAACATTGAAAAGAGAACCCAGAGAAAGCAAAGTAGAGGCAGGGGGATAAGTACATGTTCAAAAGAAATATGATTAATATCCTCGGAGACTTTTTTTAAGAGATATTGTATTCTTAACAAAAATAAAAGGATAACATTCAAAAAGACTAATGGAGTTGGGCACAGTGACCCAAGCCTCTAATCCAGCACTTTGGGACTTTGAGCGACCAAGGCAGTAGGATCACTTGAGGCCAGGAGTTCAAGACAGGCCTGAACAAGATAGCACGACACCACCCCATCTCCACAAAAAATTGAAAATTAGCTTGGCATGGTGGCACACACCCGTAGTCCCAGCTACTCTGTCTGAGAGAGGAGGCGTGCTCGCACCCAGGAATTGAAAGTTACAGTGAGCTATGATGGTACCAATGCACTCCAGCCCAGGCAACAGAGCAAACAATACTGTTTCTAAAACAAAACAAAAAGACTCATTGAGGACAGCTCTTATAAAGGTAAAGAATTAAAAGGCAGAAGGAAAAAAATTATTACATGTATTATTTTTCAAGAAGGCTATTAAATAGAACATTTTTAAAAGAACAATAAAATTCAAGAAAGAAAAAAGAGAGCAGATAGCAATGGAAGTGGAGGAGAGGGAACTTGAAAAATGAAGACCCACTGAATGCTCAGCAGATTTAATAATGGAAAAGGAAAACTCACACCAAGATACCTCATTATAAAATTTCAGAATACCTAGAGGGGTAAGTTTTCATGTTCTGAAAATTTTAGAAAAAAAATGTCATTTGCATAGAAGTTATAATTAAAATAGCATCATTTAATATTGTATAACCGTGCAGGTGTTTCCATTGAGGAAACATGAGGGAAGAATACAAGGGACTCTTTATAATTTTGGCTATTTCCTGTGGGGCTATAATTATTTCAAAATAAAAAGTTTACAAGATTTCTTCAGACACTGCAAGAGCAACACCGGAAGCTAGAAGACAATTAATTAACTTAGCAAGGCCTGCACATATCTGATGGGAAATGATTTCCAACACAGAATTCTATCCTCAGCCAAACAATTATTCAAGTGTGAAAAAAATATATATTATTAGATGTGGAAAGTCTCAAACAATTTTACTCCAAAGACCAATTTCTCATATTCCTGTAAGATGTTCCCTCACGAAATCAAGGGAATAAAACCCAAATGAATAAGACATGAAATCCAAGAAATATTACATCCAGATGAAAGAGAGGCTTAGGAAATCCTAACAATGCTGAGAAAAGGGCAGCTCTGGAACACAGTATGGGAAAACCAGAAAGCAAAAGACCAAGTTGGGAGTGAAGGCTGCCAGAAGCAATGTCTCCAAAATAAGTAAATAAAATCAACATACTATGTGATACATTTTAACCATTTGAAAAAAGATTTCTATTTCTTGTGAGAATCTGAGAATAAATTAGTAATAATGGTTATATAGAAGAAAACAAGGCAAAAGAAAAATGAATTACTTAGCAACTCACAAAAAATAAAAAGATGACCAAGGAAAGCAATATGCAATAGAGTCATCATTTATAAATAATAATAGCAATGTCATAATAATACAAGCAGTGAATATTAATTTAACTAAAATGTTTGGGGTAGGTGGCATATAAAAGAGAGTACAATAGGAATCTATGGATAAGATACGAAATTCACAGTTCAAAAATAGCAATGTGATTATGTTTTTTAGAAATATAGAAGTAAATGAAAAACAAAAAGCTAAAATATTGGAAATGATTTCCTCCAGAGTATAACAATCAGATTGGGGCCAAGTGGAGCAAAGTGTTCTCATTTCTCATTTTAAGAACCATTTGACTTTCTAAATTATATTAATGAAATGCTTTGAATAACATTAGATTAAAGTAAAAATAAAATATAAAGAAACCTCTAGGTTCTCTTGACACAAAGTGAGCAACACCTAATTCATCCACCCTCAACTTCTCATTTTAATAGCAGTGAAAGCATTTTTCTTTAAGATTCAAAATTTCATAGGGACTGGAAACTTAATTTATAAAAGCCACCAATTTTCACAGTCAGATGGCAATGGCATTAATAAAATCTCAGAGGAACATCCTTGTTGGGGATATGCAAGAGGAGAAGACACGAGGAGAACTTCCACATTTTGGACACAGATTCCCACTACTCATTAGAAAGAGAGAAGCCTCCAAGCAAGGAGCTGCTTTCTCAGGAATCACAGCTCTTGTAATACTCCCCTCCCCATCATCCTTCCCTTTAATAACTTTTTTGGCACCAACTGTGGAAATAATTTCATGGCAAAAGGCACTTGAGCTAAAAGCCACTTACGTGTGACAGTGTGGCTGTGACCTAAGAAGATCCATGGAATAGAACTCCTGAGAAATTACACGTTGGTTTGTTTTGGGTTTTTTTTTTTAACTCACTGTTTTTAATAAGGAAAGAATCACAAAAACTTATGAGTATTAAAATTTATTTCTCACCAAAATAAGTCTAAGAAATAAAACCAGAAATTCCTTCTTCTGCCTAAAATATCCAAATTAAATACCTGCAAAATAGCGGAATTCTGGCTAGGAGTCCTACAGATTGAAAGAAAACAGGACTCTTTTCTTCATGAGATGTTCAATGACCTTGTCAACAATTCCAACCACCAACACACTTCCCCTACTCTCTCTGTCCCTCTCTCTTTTAGTTTTTCCAGAACACTTAGCATCATCTGACATACTATGTATTAAACTTAAGTATATTCTATTATCTGTAAGCTCTTCCTAAAGCTAAAATATGAGCTCCATAAGGATGGACATTTATCTTTGTTGTGTTTTCACTGATACATAGCCCAGTGGCTAGAAGAATGACTGGCACATAGTAGAAAATAACTCTTTGATGAATGAATGAGTAAATTTTAGCAGGCACCACGTGGATAATGGAAAGGATCAAGGACAAACTACACACTCAATTTACTGAGATCAGGACTGAAGAGAACTTTCCTTATATCAAAATAAACAAACAGAAAGAAAAAAAGAAACATGAGGCCTAGAAAAAAAAAGTTTACAATCTAAAGGATCCACTATATGCTGGCATTTTTAAACTGTATTATATTTTAATAGATAATGTATTCAAATTGGTCAAAATCAAGACCATGGAAAGAAATACAAATGGAAATTCTGTTCCCACCAATGTCCCTATCTTCATCCTCCCCATTTCCCCCAGCTAATCCCTGTTGGTAACCATTCTCCTCATTCCTACTCCTGTGCTTCCTTCCACAGTTTCTTTATGCCAATACAAGCACACAGCAATGTAAATTCCTATTTGTCCTTTATTTCAGAAGTATTTTATGAAATTTGCATTTTTTTTCCTTTTTAAAATTTTTGTTTTAGGTTTGGGGATAAATGTGAAGGTTTGTTACGAAAATAAACATGTGTCATGGGGATTTGTTGTACATATTATTATATCACCCAGGTATTAAACTCAGTACCAATAGCTATCTTTTCTGCTCCTCTCTTCCTCCCACCCTCCCTGCTCAAGTAAACCTCAGTGTCTATTGTTCCCTTCTTTGTGTTCATAAGTTCTCATCATTTAGCTCCCACTTGTAAGTAAGAACATGCGGTATTTGGTTTTCTGTTCCTGCATTAGTTTGCTAAGGATAATAGCCTTCAGCTCCATCCATGTTCGCACAAAAGACATGATCTCGTTCTTTTTTATGGCTGCATAATACTCCATGGCACATATGTAACATTTTCATTATCCACTCTGTCATTGATGGGCATTTAGGTTGATTCCATGTCTTTGCTATTGAAATATCCAGTGCTGCATTGAACATTTGCATGGATGTGTCTTTACGGTAGAATGCTTTATATTTTTCTGAGTATATACCCAGTAATGGGATTGGTGGATCAAATGGTAGTTCTGCTTTTAGCTCATTGAGGAATCGCCATGCTGCTTTACATAATGATTGAACTAAGTTATACTCCCACCAACAGTGTATAAGGGTTCCCTTTTCTCTGCAACCTCACCAGCATTGGTTATTTTTTGACTTTTTAATAGTAGCCGTTCTGACTGGTGTGAGATGGCATCTTATTGTGGTTTTGACTTGCATTTCTCTAATGATCAGTGATACTGAGCTTTTTCTCATATGCTTGTTGGCCCCGTGTATGTCTTCTTTTGAGAAGTGTCTGTTCATGTCCTTTGCCCACTTTTTAATGGGGTTGTTTTTCTCTTGTAAATTTGTTTAAATTCCTTATAAATGCTGGATATTAGACCTTTGTCAGATGCATAGTTAGCAAATATTTTCTCCTATTCTGTAGGCTGTCTCTGTATCCTGTTGATAGTTTATTTTGCTGTACAGAATCTCTTAATTAGATCCCATTTGTCAATTTTTGCTTTTGTTGTGATTGCTTTTGGTGTCTTTTTAACGAGATCTTTGCCTTGTTCTTATGCCCTGGATGGTATTTACTAGGTTGTTTTCTAGGGTTTTTACAGTTTCGGGTTTTACATGTAAGCCTTTATTCCATCTTGAGTTGATTTGTGTATATGCTGTAAGGAAGGGGTCCAGCTTCAATCTTCTGCATATGGCTAGCCAGTTATCCCAGTATCATTTATTGAGTAGGGAATATTTTCCCCTTTACTCATTTTTGTCACCTTTGTTGAGGATCAGATGGTCATAGATGTGTGGTCTTATTTCTGGGCTCTCTATTCTACTCAACTGGTCTATGTTCTTGTTTTTGTACCAGTGCCATGCTGTTTTGGTCACTATAGCCTTGTAGTATAGTTTGAAGTCAGGTAATATGATTCCTCCAGCTTTGCTCTCTTTGCTTAGGACTGCCTTGGCTATTTGGGCTCTTTTGGGGGTTCATATAATTTTTAAAATAATTTTTTCTAGTTTTGTGAAGAATTTTGTTGATGGTTTGATAATAATGGCATTGTTTCTTTTGTATACCAGCTACTGCATCCTTCAGCTCCTGTATTATTTTATTGTGATTCTCATTTTCCTTGGATTGGATTTTGTCATCTTCCTGAATCTCAATGATCTTTGTTCCTATCCATATTCTGAATTCTATTTCTGTCATTCCAGCAAGCTCAGTCTGGCTAAGAAATCTTGTTAGAGAACTATTACAGTTGATTGGAGGACATATGACACTCTGGAAATTTGAGTTACCAGAGTTCTTGCATTGATTCTTTCTCATCTCTGTGTGTGGGTGTTCCTTTATCTGCAGTGTAGACGGTGTACAGTCAATAGACTTCTTTTCTGGATGCTTTCATCAGGCCATGGCTTTGTGTAGGGTTATATTTGAAGCTGACTTCTTGTCTCTGGTTTCAGAGTGGGGGTATGTTAGTGAGATATTTTTAGTGTTGAAGCTTTGCAGTGTGATCCAGCAGATGACACTAAGGCTTATTGGTCAGTTGATAGATTCTTGCTCAGTTGTGTGACTTCCTTATATTTCCTCACAGTTGTGTTCCCTCTCAGTGCTCTGAAAGTGTGAGTTCCTCCCCCTCTTAAGTGCTGGCTGTAGTTCATGACTTAGCATTCCTGGGCTTCCTACTGCAGCTCTGGGGCAATCTCAGTGTTTATGTTTCTCCCCTAGCTTAGAGGCAGCAGTAGTGGTGGTGGCCAAGGGTAGTTTGCCTGACTCCTGGGGGCTCCACCCAAGAGAAATGCAGGTCAGTCATTGCTCAGTGCAATCAGCCCAAGATGGAGGGTTTGTGCTGTGGGCCCAAGCCAGGGGTTCCTTGTCTGGTGATGAGTTGGGTGGTGGGGGCAGTGGTATGGGACCCATGGAAGATGAACTGACCACCTCTCCGAAGGTCAACAGCAGCTTGTTGGAGTTATGCATAAAGCACTCAGGGTTCTTTATTCCTTCATTAGTCTGAAGGTGGCAAGGGCAGTTCCTCTGCAGAGGCACTGGCAGAGAGGCTTTCAGTTGCCCCTGGAGGCTCTGTCCAGGGTGTTGCTGAGTTGGTACTGGCTCGATAGTTCTGGCAGGCTTGGCTGGAGGCCCTGGCCTGAAAGACCTGCTCTGTGGGGAGCTATGGGCAGGGGCACCCATGTAGCAGTCAGACCACGTTTCTGTAGGGCTGCTGCAGTACGCTTGGGGCCCACTCCAGTGCCTAGTTATCTCGGATTTTCCAGAACCTAGAGGTGTCACCAATGAAGGCTGCAAAACAGCAAACATGGCAGCCTGTTCCTCTCTCTGGGAGCTTTGTCCCAGCGAAGTATGGACCTGTTGGCAACCCAAAGGCACCTGTAGGAAGTGGCTGGAGACCCGGGTTGGGAGGTCCCATCTAGTAAAGAGGAACAGGATCAGGACCCACTTTAAAAAGCAGACTGGCCATGTTTTGGTACAGTATCTGTCCTGTGCTAGGGATCCACTTCAGCCACTGGGTGCCTCAGACACTCCAAAGCCCAAAGGCTGGAATGGGTAAGTCACCCCAACAGCAAAGATGGTGGCCCACCCCTCCCTCTGGGAGCACTGTCTCAGGGGGAATTCAGATCTCTGTCAGCTGGAGAGCTCAGGCAGGGGTGGCTGGAGGCTCCAGTTGGGAGGTCCTGCCCAATGAAGAGAAAGGGGATCAGGCACCCACTTAAAGCAGCAGACTGGCCACATATTGGTAGAGGAGCTGTGTTGTGCCGAGGGATCTTTTCCACCCTGGGTGGGCTCAGAATCCAAAGCCTGAAGGCTGGAATGGATAAGATGCCCAAACAGCAAATATAGTGGCCCACCCCTCTCATCCCTATAGCCACCACCCCTGAGATCATAATGACAGGATCAAATTCACACATAACAATATTAATCTTAAATGTAAATGGGCTAAATGTTCCAATTAAAAGACACAGACTGGCAAATCGGATAAAGAATCAAGACCCATCAGTGTGCTGTATTCAGGAGACCCATCTCACGTGCAGAGACACACATAGGCTCAAAATAAAGGGATGGAGGAAGATCTACCATGCAAATGGAAAAAAAAAAAAGAGCAGGGATTGCAATCCTAGTCTCTGATAAAACAGACTTTAAACCAACAAAGATCAAAAGAGACAAAGAAGGCCATTACATAATGGTAAAGGGATCAATTCAACAAGAAGAGCTAACTATTCTAAATATATATGCACCCAATACAGGAGCACCCAGATTCATAAAGCAAGTCCTTAGAGACCTACAAAGAGACTTAGACTCCCACACAATAATCATGGGAGACTTTAACACCCTACTGTCAACATTAGACAGATCAATGAGACAGAAAGTTAACAAGGATATCCAGGAATTGAACTCAGCTCTGCACCAAGCGGACCTAACAGACATCTACAGAACTCTCCACCCCAAATCAACAGAATATACATTCTTCTCAGCACCACATCACACTTGTTCCAAAATTGACCACATAGTGGAAGTAAAGCACTCCTCAGCAAATGCAAAAGAACAGAAATTATAACAAACTGTCTCTCAGACCACAGTTCAATCAAATTAGAATTCAGGTTTAAGAAACTCACTCAAAGCCGCTCAACTACATGGAAACTAAACAACCTGCTCCTGAATGACTACTGGGTAAATTACGAAATGAAGGCAGAAATAAAGATGTTCTTTGAAACCAATGAGAACAAAGACACAACATACCAGAATCTCTGGGACACATTTAAAGCAGTGTGTAGAGGGAAATTTATAGCAATAAATGCCCACAAGAGAAAGGAGGAGAGATCTAAACTCGACACCCTAACATCACAGTGAAAAGAGCTAGAGAAGCAAGAGCAAACACATTCAAAAGGTAGCAGAAGGCAAGAAATAACTAAGATCAGAGCAGAACTGAAGGAGATCGAGACACAAAGAACCCATCAAAAAAACAATGAATCCAGGAGCTGGTTTTTTGAAAGATCAACAAAATTGATAGACCGCTAGCAAGACTAATAAAGAAGAAAAGAGAGAAGAATCAAATAGATGCAATAAAAAATGATAAAGGGGATATCACCACCGATCCCACAGAAATACA
Source organism: Homo sapiens (assembly GCF_000001405.40). NCBI lineage: Eukaryota > Metazoa > Chordata > Mammalia > Primates > Hominidae > Homo > Homo sapiens. Next base: position 101,456,667 of record NC_000004.12, on the reverse strand, counting down.
AACTAACATCAGAAAATACTATACACACCTATATGCAAATAAACTAGAAAATCCAGAAGAAATGGATACATTCCTGGACATATCCACTCTCCCAAGACTAAACCAGGAAGAAGTTGAATCCCTGAATAGAACAATAACAGGCTCTGAAGTTGAGGCAATAATTAATACCCTACCAACCAAAAAAAGTCCAGGACCAGACGAATTCATAGCCGAATTCTACTAGAGGTACAAAGAGGAGCTGTTACTATTCCTTCTGAAAATATTCCAATTAATAGAAAAAGAGGGATTCCTCCCTATCTCATTTTATGAGGCCAGCATCATCCTGATACCAAAGCCTGGCAGAGACACAACCAAAAAAGAGAATTTTAGACCAATATCCCTGATGAACATTGATGCAAAAATCCTCAATAAAATACTGGCAAACTGAATCCAGTAGCATATCAAAAAGCTTAGCCACCACGATCAAGTTGGCTTAATCCCTGGGATGCAAGGCTGGTTCAACATACGCAAATCAATAAATGTAATCCAGCATATAAACAGAACCAAAGACAAAAACCACATGATTATCTCAATAGATGCAGAAAAGGCCTTTGACAAAATTCAACAGCTCTTCATACTAAAAACTCTCAATAAACTAGGTATTGATGGGATGTATGTCAAAATAATAAGAGCTATTTATGACAAACCCACGGCCAATATCATACTGAATGGGCGAAAACTGGAAGCATTCCCTTTGAAAACTGGCAGAAGACAGGGATGCCCTCTCTCACCACTCCTATTCAACATAGTGTTGGAAGTTCTGGCCAGGGCAGTCAGGCAGGAGAAAGAAATAAAGGGTATTCAATTAGGAAAAGAAGAAGTCAAATTGTCCCTGTTTGCAGATGACATGATTGTATATTTGGAAAACCCCATCATCTCAGCCCCAAATCTCCTTAAGCTGATAAACAACTTCAGCAAAGTCTCAGGATACAAAATCAATGTGCAAAAATCACAAGCATTCTTATACACCAATAACAGACAGACAGCCAAATCATGAGTGAATTCCCATTGACAATTGCTTCAAAGAGAATAAAATACCTAGGAATCCAACTTACAAGGGATGTGAAGGACGTCTTCAAGGAGAACTACAAACCACTGCTCAATGAAGTAAAAGAAGACACAAAGAAATGGATAGAAGAATCAATATAGTGAAAATCGCCATATTGCACAAGGTAATTTATAGATTCAATGCCATCCCCATCAAGCTACCAATGACTTTCTTCACAGAAGTGGAAAAAATACTTTAAAGTTCATATGGAACCAAAAAAGAGCCCACATTGCCCAGACAATCCTAAGCCAAAAGAACAAATCTGGAAGCATCATGCTACCTGACCTCAAACTATACAACAAGGGTACAGTAAACAAAATAGTATGGTACTGGTACCAAAACAGTATGGTACTGGTACCAAAACAGAGATATAGACCAATGGAACAGAACAGAGCCCTCAGAAATAATGCCACATATCTACAACTATCTGATCTTTGACAAACCTGACAAAAACAAGAAATGGGGAAAGAATTCACTATTTAATAAATAGTGCTGGGAAAATTGGCTAGCCATATGTAGAAAGCTGAAACTGGATCTCTTCCTTACACCTTGTAAAATTAATTCAAGATGGATTAAAGACTTAAATGTTAGACCTAAAACCATAAAAACCCTAGAAGAAAACGTAGGCAATACCATTCAGGACATAGGCATGGGCAAGGACTTCATGACTAAAATACCGAAAGTGATGGCAACAAAAGCCAAAATAGACAAATGAGATCTAATTAAAGAGCTTCTGCACAGCAAAAGAAACTACCATCAGAGTGAACAGGCAACATACAGAATGGGAGAAAATTTTTGCAATCTACCCATTGGATAAAGGGTTGATATCCAGAATCTACAAAGAACTTAAACAAATTTACAAAAAAAATAAAACAACCCCATCGAAAAGTGGGCAAAGGATATGAACAGACACTTCTCAAAAGAAGACATTTATGCAGCCAAAAAACACATGAAAAAATGCTCATCATCACTTGCCATCAGAGAAATGTATATCAAAACCACAATGAGATACCATCTCACACCAGTTGGAATGGCGATCATTAAGAAGTCAGGAAACAACAGGTGCTGGAGCTGATGTGGAGAAATAGGAACGCTTTTACACCGTTGGTGGGAGTGTAAACTAGTTCAACCATTGTGGAAGACAGTGTGGTGATTCCTCAAGGATCTAGAACTAGAAATACCATTTGACCCAGCAATCCCATTACTGGCTATATACCCAAAGGATTATAAATCATGCTACTACAAAGACACATGCACATGTATGTTTATCATGGCACTACTCACAATAGCAAAGACTTGGAACCAACCCAAATGTCCACCAATGATAGACTGGATTAAAAAAATGTGGCACATAAACACCATGGAATACTATGCAGCCATAAAAATGATGAGTTAATGTCCTTTGTAGGGACATGGATGAAGCTGGAAACCATCATTCTGAGCAAACTATCACAAGGACAGAAAACCAAGTACTGAATGTTCTCATTCATAGGTGGGAACTGAACAATGAGAACACTTGGACACATGGTGGGGAACATCACACACTGGGGCCTGTCATGGGGTGGTGCGAGAGGGGAGGGATAGCATTAGGAGAAATACCTAATGTAAATGACGAGTTAATGGGTGCAGCACACCAACATGGCACATGTAAAATATGTAACAAACATGCACTCTGTGCACATGTACCCTAGAACTTAAAGTATAATAAAAAAAAGAAAAAGAAAAAAAAAACAAAGTCATCTCTACCACTCTTTCTTTATAGCTTGCATTCTTCTAAAAAGTACTCAGCAAAATGATGAAGATATTCTATCTCCACATTTACGAAAGTCTTGTAAAGAAAAATCCTTCTTTTGGCTGGGCACGGTGGCTCACGCTTGTAATCCCACCCAGCACTTTGGGAGGCCTAGGCGGGCAGATCACCTGAGGTCAGGAGTTCAAGACCAGCCTGGCCAGGCCAGGCGCGGTGGCTCACGCCTGTAATCCCAGCACTTTGGGAGGCCAAGGCAGGCAGATCACGAGGTCAGGAGATCGAGACCATCCTGGCTAACACGGTGAAACCCTATCTCTAACTAAAAATACAAAAAATTAGCCGGGCGTGGTGGCGGGCGCCTGTAGTCCCAGCTACTCGAGAGGCTGAGGCAGGAGAATGGCATGAACCCAGGAGGCGGAGCTTGCAGTGAGCCGAGATCGCGCCACTGCACTCCGGCCTGGGCGACAGAGCGAGACTCCGTCTCAAAAAAGAAAAAAAAGAAAGACCAGCCTGGCCAAAATGGCGAAACCTTGTCTCTACTAAGAATACAAAAAGTAGCCGGGCATGGTGGCACTGGACTGTAATCCCAGCTACTTGGGAGGCAGAGGCAGGAGAATTGCCTGAACCTGGGAGGCGGAAGTTGCAGTGAGTGAGATCGCGCCACTGCACTCCAGCCTGGTGACAGAACGAGACTCTGCCTCAAAAAAAAAAAAAAAGAAAGAAAAGAAAGAAAAGAAAAAGAGAAATCCTTCTTTCATATTCTTAGAACAGAACTAAATAAGTAGAAACAAAAGTCTGTCTCTGACCATTAGCAGAGAAAATAGCCAAGAGCTAACATCTGCACTATTTTAAAAGCAAATTGTTTCCCTTTTGGAATTTCTTTTTCTCTTGTCTTTTCCTTTCTTTTCTTCTTTCTTTCTTTCTTCTCTTTCTTCTTCTTCTTTTTTTTCTAGATGGAGTCTTGCTGTGTTGCCCAGGCTGGAGTGCAGTGGAGCGATCTCGGCTCAGTGCAACCTCCTCCTCCAGGGTTCAAGCAATTCTCCTATCTCAACCTCCCAAGTAGCTGGGATTACAGGTGCACACCACCACTCCCAGCTAATTTATTTTGTATAGTGTATTTTGTATTATTTTGTAGAGATGGGGTTTCACCACATTGGCCAGGCTGGTCTCAAACTCCTGACCTTGTGACCCGCCCGCCTCAGCCTCTCAAAGTGCTGGGATTACAGGCATGAGCCACTGCACCCAGGCCTGGAATTTCTTACATTGTAAGAAAACTATATTCAACATTTAGTATCAATCAAAGGTCTAAGAGAAATCTTAATCTCTGAATTTTTTAAAATTATCAACTGATTACTTTTGTTGAGTGCATAAAATTCTGTGGGTTAAAATTAAAAGAAGCATATGTGTATCCAGGAGAAATGTTTACATACGGAAATTTTCCCCAGGAAACCAGAATTTCTTTCCTTGTATGCAACTGTAATTTGTAATAGAATTAAAACTCTAAATTCTAATAGAAAATATCCTGTATAAAATTGTGCATTGGTGGTTTTATAAGGAAACAGTCAAGAGGCTAGAATTGTTAATGGGTTAGTAAAAGAAATGATAACATTGAAGCCATATTTAGTTAATACTGAGTTGATTTTAAAAGGACTAGTGCAGCAGGGTCTGGAGACAGACTTTATCAGCTGTCTAACACTAGACTACTTGTGTTCCAGAATCCTGAAAGATTTGCAAAGTCTGGGATTAATAGAAGGCTTGAAGTATATGGAGAGAGATGAGGTTAATGTTTAAAAGAAAGCTGATGGGGATAGAAAAGATTTTAGCCAAACATGGTGTCACTGTTAACAGTTTAAGAGAGCTATTTTTTAAAAAGATGCAAGGAGCTGAAATTTGAACTTATTGGTGCTGGGTATCATTCATTTGCAACTGCAGCAACTAAGAAAGTGACTTTTCTTTACTTATCTTTACTCTTTTTCTTTATTTGTCAATTGAATTATTGTGCCATATAGAAACAAAAAAAAAGTGTTAACAAACCAGAAATAGGATTTTGTTTGGTGTTCTGGGAAAAATTTTAGGTTAGAGTTAAGTACTCTGAGAGCTTGGATCAGATCTCCTATAAAAATATTTGAACTTAAGAAAATAACTTATATTCCATGGCATTAATTTAGTAATCAAGTGTAGAAGCAGTATAGGGTTTCAAAGCCTGGATTTTCAAAGCCTGGATTTTGGAGCAAGCTGCCAGGATTGAATCTCAGCTATGCCACTTACAAGATACATACTTTGCAAAAGTTACTAAATGTTTCTGTGCCTTGATTTTCTCTTATGCAGGATGGGAAAAGTAATAACACTTAGCTCATAGGGTTATTGAGGGAGTTACATGATTTATTATCTGGCAAGCATTTAGAAGAGTGCATGAGACACAGTCATTGTTTTAGCAATATGATGAGAACTTTGGTCTAGAACTCAGTGGTTTTCAGATTACTTTAAGCTATGGGAACTTGGTTCGAATTAAATGCCACACAGATGTCTAAATAATAAAACAGATGGAATTAGAGATGTTTTCATTGGACAGACAACAATGGATTTGAGAATCATGCCCTCCATCTTTCCAAACCTTCCCAGGTGACCCCTTAGACAACATTAAGAAACCACAAAATGATGGAACACAGTTTAAAACACTAATGAGCCCTTCCAAAGCTGCCATAGCTCATTTATCAGTGGGGAATTTTTTTGTGGCTGGTAATAGAAATCTGACAATAGTGGTTTAAACATAAAGATCTATCCTTTCATCTAGAAGTTGAGCAGCGGGCAGCTAAGGCCAGTATGGTACTCTCCAAGGCTAATAGGAAACTATGCTCTGTCCTTCTGGAGCTCCAGTCAACATAGTCATGATCCAGACAGAAAATTATAGGAAGGAGAAAAGGACAAAAGTAGCTTTTTTATAAGCTTCACTCAACATCTTTCATTAACATCTCTGTTTGTCCCTACATACAGGGGAGGCTAGGAAATATAATCTTTTAGTTGGTTGCGTTTCTACCTGGAATTAAGTAAGAATTCTATTACTAATGAAAGAGATAATGAATTATGCTAAGCCTTCACCTTTTACATATTAATTTTAAAATGCCATTGTGTTTTATGAGTAGAAGAAATGTTAAAGCTGCCTCTTAGATCAAATAAACTGCGGAAAGAATAGTACATCAATCAAAATCTGACTCTTTTAATTGGCTTTTAATCACCCTTAATTCTTACATGGCTTCTGAAAAAGTATATTAACTCCTCTGGTAATTAAAATAATTTTCAATGAAAGTCTGCCAAATTCGTTTGAAAGTATTTTCTTCTTGGACAGAGAAGTAAAAAAAATTGTTAAAGAGCTGTCCATCTATAAAGTGAGGGTAATTTGAAGTTCTAAAATAAATAATGCATGACAGAAGTATATATAGCATGATGTCCAGCACGTTAGGTTTACAATAGATAATAATTCCCTATTTTCTATTTTGTTAATCTGAACCCCAATTTCTTCATCTACATTATGAGGAATTTAAGCCAAATAATACCTAAGGTTTCATGAAACTTAAACATCCTGTGAGGCAATAAGAAAATTCTAGAAATTCAAAACATTTTAGGGGAAAGGGGCTTCAGATGCCCTCAGAATTAGGTATTCAATAGGTAACTTCAGGAATCTAGACTCTATATAGACTAGTTGTACTACCGGGGCATGGCAAAAGCTAATTATTTGCCCAAGGTTAAACTTTTCGGGGAGTACATTTTAACCTATTGCCAAGATAAACTTATAGAACTGGAAAGGAGAGGAAAATACTTTTTACCCTCACACAATTCATTTCACCTAGCTCAGTTAATTATAAATTATTAGTTCTCTCATTCGTCGTATTCTTTGAGCTCCTACAATTTACAGGGCCACTACCATTTGTAGTACTTTATGAGAAATACAAATGAAATAGAAGTTGAAGGGTCTGCCATAGATAGTCTTGAAGCATGGCAAGCAAGAAAGCATTACATCAACAAATATTCACTTAGCTTCTCCTGTTTGTCAAATCCCAAATAAGAAATTGGGTATTAAATGTCAAATAAGACCCAAAGCTTGATATCATAATGAGTCTAGTCACCAAATGTTATGCTCAGGGCCACTGTACCCCTTGCACAAATCACATTACTTTATTACTCAAAACACACCTTAAAACATTGTCTAGCAAATAATTCTTCCTGTTTCATAGGTCTTCTATTCTTATCAATACTTAAAGCTGACTCAATTTCTTTAGACTGAAGAAACTTCCACTCCTCTGCAGAACAGATCCTCTGAGAGTTTTCATGGGATAATTATTATGTGTGCCTGCAAGCAAAGGATTTGGCTGAATAAGGACACTTCTCCTAGAGCACATAGGAAAATCAAACTCTGGAATTTGTAGCAATGTCAAATTGGGGGAAAAAAAAAGTCTGCCTAAACCTTCAAGAAAACCCACTATCAAAGTAAAATTCCAGTTTCAAAATCAAAATGAGATTTTTTTTTTTTTTTTGAGACGGAGTCTCTCTCTGTCACCCAGGATAGAGTGCGGTGGCACAACCTCAGCTTACTGCAACCACTGCCTCCCAGGTTCAAGCGATTCTCCTACCTCAGCCTCCTGAGTAGCTGGGACTACAGGCATGCACCACCACACACGGCTAATTTTTGTATCTTAGTAGAGACAGGGTTTCACCTGTTAGCCAGGCTGGTCTTAAACTCCTGACCTCAGGTGATCTGCCTGTCTTGGCCTCCCAAAGTGCTGGGATTATAGGCATGAGCCACTACGCCCAGCCAAAATGAGATTTCAGAGGTTTGCCAAGCTCAGTTCTCCAAGATATGACATGGGAAACTTGTATGTGTGTTAGGCTGAATTTAGCTTTTATTATCATCTACTTTCTATAGCATCTTGTCTCTTTTTCCTTTTCTCTATTTTGAATTTCTACTTTTCAATCTTTGTAATGAAAAACAGCTGGAGGTGCCAGACTGAGTATGATCTCCATCTCAAGTTCCATAACAAATTTCAAAGTCTTCTCCTTCCCCACATACAGTACCTTTAGGAGGCCTGGGAAATGTCTTTATGTCTCTTCTTTGACTTTGTTCTTGTATTTTATACTTTAAAATCAATTATTAAACCTCTGATTCTAAAAATCAATTATTGAATTTCTGGTGATTTTTGTGGATTTTTTTTTGTTTTCTGTTGGAGGTACTATGAGTAAGGATAGGATTTATGGCTGGGTAATAGGCAATCAACCTAGAAGAAAGGAGAGATGGCCCCTATCCTGCAATAAATAGATCATCCCCAATAAAATTTCTTGCTATTGCTGTCATACACTGGACAAATCTAAAGCCCTTCTAAGAGCTGCTTGGCTACCAACACTCATGGACCAAGATGTTAAGCATTGCAGTTTCAAAACATACAGAATATTTAGAAAATTGAGAGTATGTCAGAAATATTAATTTGTGTTTCTATCCAGAAACAGAGTGTCTAAGAGCCCAGAACAAGTTTTTATCAAAATTCTATTTTGAGCTTCTATTCTCCTTTAGAGTTAGAAGAAAAAATGTAAATTCTAGGAATATTTACGTAAATTCTAGGAGTATAAGAAGTGCCAAAGAAATGAAAGGAAGCCATTATCAGTACAACAATGAGTGCTGGAATTAAAACTCTCCATGTAATATATGAGTTAAAGATATGATATTGTTAAATGAAAGTTGCAATACCTTTACATAGGATTGAAATCAGCTTTAAAAGGTAGATGATAAGGTGACTGAGAAAAGGAATATGAAGGCTTTAGTGATCAATTGAATATCATGTTTCAAAGAAAAAAATTCATGTGTTTTATGAAATCAGGTATGTAGAGCAACTAATAGTATATGGAGGCATGACAAAAGATAGTGTAAATAAATATATGAATAAGTATAAACATTAGAATTTGCTTTATAAAAAGTCTGGATTCTGGTCTCCTTGAGTTAGTATCATATGTGGGTTTTTACTCTTTTTCCTGAGACTAAGGTTAAATATGAGACAATTCAGAGTGAATAAAGTAGGAACCAATAGAAAAGGCTAGATTCAGTGAAGAAAAGGAAGACTGCTATAAAGTAGTAACAGAAAAATGATTCAGATATTCTTTAGATTGAAGATCATACTCCAACATCTTTCTGATTCTATTACATAGGCCCATGTAAATAGCAAAGAATAGAAAAACCTAGAAACAGAAGGAAAAAAGAGGGCTATGACAATATCATAAGACTACAATGTTATCAACAAGGTCAATCACGTATTTCAGGAGTATCGCTGTGTCCCAAAACCATGACTTGGCAATAAAGTACAGGAAGATCCTACTGCATCCTGCTTCTCTAGAAGTGTTCCAAAATAAAGTACTTGGATAGGAGGGCATGACTCCCCACCTCTAAGTTGAAGCCCAGTGCAATTGTCCAGCACCTGTTATTTCCAATATGATAAATCATGCTTAATTAGTAAGGGTTTTCCTCTTTAGAATCCCTTGTGAAGATGAAAAATTTTAATCAAAAAGATCAGTCTTTCTTACACATCTACTAGGGTGACCTGGAAAGAGCACTGATGTTCATATCAGTCAACTGGATTTGGAATTCAGCTGGACCTCTACTTACTGTGTGCACTCAGGGAAGGTAGTTACACAGTCTGTTCACTGTTGAACTAAAGGTTGCAGTAATAACAACTATTGTCCAGAGTTATTGTTCCTATGAGCTCAGAAGTGCTTTCTAAAATTGCCCATGAGCATCCTTTTCATATTCTCAACTAAAATCCACACATTCCATTTGATGAAGGAGGAGGAGAAGGAGAAGGAAAAGGAGATTCTTATTGATATAAGTATGCTAATTCACTTGTTAGTCTTCTAAAATAGGAAATCAATGGACATTATGTTCTTGGAATACAAAAACAGATTTCTTCCACTTGCGACATAGAATCACTTTTCTTTTAGGATGGTATCTAGTATTAAGCCTACTGTGCTAATCAGCAAAGATTGGGAAAGTGTAGTTTTAAATGGATCTAAAGCACTTAAATATATGTCCAGCATTTTGCTACTAATGTTTCTAATGTGCACAGTAGCTGTGAAATGGTTAATTGTGGCATAAATTATTTCTATAATTCTAGTAGAATAATAATATAATTTTTATATTTAGGTGTCATTCCCACACAAAGACTTTGGAATGCTTTAAAGATAACCTGTCATCAAGTATGTACTCACTGTTTCCCTGGGGCATCCAAAATATCTCTTTTCTCCTAATGAAGGAAAAGAATATAAGTCTTATAAATTACTGAAATCAAGTAGAATGACAGTGTTAAAGATGATAATAGAAACCATAACGTTCATTTTTCTTTATATATCTAAGAAATAGATACATATTTTTCTAGTGTAATACATGTGAACTAGAGAAACTCATCAAAGAGCTAGCAAATTATTAGAAGAGCATCAAAAAAGGAACCTACAGTTAATACCCAGGGAGAATTAGGTTTCAATCAAAATTTAACTATTCTCTGGGTATTCTGTGAATTTTTAAATTTATATCCAGAACAGGAAAGCTGGGTTTTCAGTAAGTGAGATGACCCACAAGTTGAGAGATAGGTAGATAGAGACATAATTTATTATTGTTTTATAAGTAGATAAATTGAACTTAAAAATTCTTCTTTTATCAGTTTTACTGGTAATGATAAAGGTTTCATAAAATTTCATAGCTTCTGCCAAAAATGATGAAAGTCATTTTGTAACTTATGCAAAATATGTTGTAGTATGTACAAGCTGTTACAGGTCATATATACTGAATTGTAAACATGAATAGGAAAAGGATAGAAATACTCTTCTTTGATAAAGGCAATGGTAACAAGACCCTTAACAGCTAGGAGAAAAATCAAGAGTAAGAAAAGTTCTTCAAAAGAACAAAACAAAGAAATGTGCAACCTGATCATAAAAGCATGTTGAAGCTTTGAGAAAGAAGAAAATCTCTGGTCTCAAACGAAAAGAAGGAATAATTCCTCAAGCATGGATCATAATTACTGAAGTTCAGGAGCCCTGGGCAACTTAGGTGTACAGATGACTGATTAAATGCGAAGCCGTATGGTACAAATCTAAAGGTCTTAAGCATTTAGGTATTTCTCCTAATGCTATCCCTCCCCTTACCTCCCACATCCCAACAGGACCTGGTGTGTGATGTTCCCCTCCCTGTCTCTATGTGTTCTCATTGTTCAGTTCCCACTTGTGAGCGAGAACATGCGGTGTTTGGTTTTCTGTTTCTGTTAGTTTGCTAAGAATGATGGTTTCCAGCTTCATCCATGTCCCTGAAAAGGACATGAACGCATGCTTTTTTATGGCTGCATAGTATTACATGGTGTATATGTGACACATTTTCTTTATCCAGTCTATCATTGATGGACATTTGGGTTGGCTCCAAGTCTTTGCTATTGTAAAGAGTGCTGCGATAAACATACGTGTGCATGTGTATTTATAGTAGAACGATTTATAATCCTTTGGGTATATACCCAGTAATGGGATTGCTGCGTCAAATGGTATTTATGGTTCTACATCCTTGAGGAATCACCACACTGTCTTCCACAATGGTTGAACTAATTTACACTCCCACCAACAGTGTAAAAGCATTCCTATTACTCCACATCCTTTCAAGCATCTGTTATTTCCTGACATTTTAATGATCGCCATTCTAACTGGCATGAGATGGCATCTCATTGTGGTTTTGATTTGCATTTCTCTAATGACCAGAGATGATGAGCTTTTCTTTTCATATGTTTCTTGGACACATAAATGTCTTCTTCTGAGACGTGTCTGTTCATATCCTTTGTCCACTTCTTGAGGGGGTTGCTTTTTCCTTGGAAATTTATGTTCCTTGTAGATTCTGGATATTAGCCCTTTGTCAAACGGATAGATTGCAAAAATTTTCTCCCATTCTGTAGGCTGCCTGTTCACTCTGAGGGTAGTTTCTTTTGCTGCGCAGAAACTCTTTAGTTTAATTAGATCCCTTTTGTCAATTTTGGCTTTTGTTGCCATTGCTTTTGGTGTTTCAGTCATGAAGTCCTTGCCCATGCCTATGTCCTGAATGGTATTGCCTAGGTTTTCCTCTAGGGTTTTTATGGTTTTGGGTCTTATGTCAGGTGAGCTAAGTTTCGACAAAGACTTTCTAGAAGAAAAAAGCATCCCTGAGATTAAAGTTATAGTGATTTGAAGGGAGGTAAGCTTAAAACTTTTTAATATTCATTGTCCAAACAAGTGTTGTTCAAGGCCTTGCATGAATTCACATGGTATGGCTCTGACTTTTATCAAATATACGATTCAAAGTTCTCTGTTGTCTAAAAATTGAAGATAACAAGTATTTGAAGTTTTAACCCTCAAAGTTCCTGGCAGCAAACACAATAGGGGTGATAACAGATAAATTTAATGAACAAACAGTTTACAAGTCATAGGCAAGTTTATATGTAAAAAAAGAGGATATGGTGAATAATCTCAGGGCTAGAGACCATAAAGAGCCAATGCTTAGAGAGAGAAAGGCAAGATTAATTAGCAAGATACATACTTGTCAGGGAGAATCTCATTTTAGCAGCTATGGCCTTTGGTATAGGAACAAAGCCATAGGCAGAACCACACTGAAGCAAAGATGGATGGAAGTAGAAAGGGGGATATACACCAGGACCTCTTTATTTTCCCATTCTCTTGTTTCCTGCCAATGCCTCCTACAGATTGAACCCAGTGGCAACCAGAGGGAAAAGAGGCCCATTGTTTTATTCCTTAGAAGGCAGCCTACCCGGAGCTTGCAGTGAGCCAAGACCGCGCCACTGCACTCCAGCCTGGGCAGCAGAGCAAGACTTCGTCTCAAAAAAAAAAAAAAAAAAAAATAGAAGGCAGCCTCCCAGTGCACAGAGCAGGGTGAGAACAAAAATATAAGGTGGAAGAGTCAAATAGAGACTATCTAGTACAACCGCTGCCCATTCGAAACATTCTCAGAGTTGCTTCAGTAGTTTTCTGAAAGTCAAGAGAACATTTGGGCAAAAACAAGGTCCATCTATTCTATGATTTATTTTGTGCCTTGTTCATAATTAACCAACATAAGAGTTTAACTGGCAGTCTACAACTATAGAATGGTAAGTACATTAAAATATGGGGTATTGAATACTCCAAGGATAAAAAAGATGATTAAAAATAATGAGGAGTTTACATTATGGAATGACACCTTTGTTTCTGTACTATAATCAAAACAATGACATAAAATGAAATTCCAGATGTGAGAATGAATTACGCTAGTATAGAATGGGCAAGAGAGAACATTAAAAAGTGACACCTTTAAGGCCGGGCGCGGTGGCTCACGCCTGTAATCCCAGCACTTTGGGAGGCTGAGGCGGGCGGACCACGAAGTCGGAAGATCGAGACCATCCTGGCTAACACGGTGAAACCCTGTCTCTACTAAAAATACAAAAAATTAGCGGGGCATGGTGGCGGGCACCTGTAGTCCCAGCTCCTCGGGAGGCTGAGGCAGGAGAATGGCATGAACCCAGGAAGAGGAGCTTGCAGTGAGCCGAGATCGCGCCACTGCACTCCAGCCTGGGCGATAGAGTGAGACTCCGTCTCAAAAAAAAAAAAAAAAAAACAACAACAACAAAAAGTGACACCTTTAAATCTGAGTTAATAGAGAACACTGCAATGATCCCATTGTTGATTAGAAACAAACAGTAACAAAAACTGTGGGACTATTTTATATTCAATTTAGCAAGATTTTGGTATTTGCAAAGTGACAAAGCATTGAAATCAGTCTTCATGAAAGAAATATCTAAACACTGAGCAGCACAGAACAGTCAAGAATCTATTAAAGGTGAAGTCAGGACATTAAAACAATCAGGGCAGTTAAGACCAGGTGTGGTGGCTCACGCCTGTAATCCCAGCACTTTGGGAGGCCGAGGAGGGTGGATCATAAGGTCAGGAGATCTAGACCATCCTGGCTAACACTGTGAAACCCTGTGTCTACTAAAAATACAAAAACAAAACAAAACAAAAAAAAATTAGATGGGCGTGGTGGCAGGCGCCTGTAGTCCCAGCTACTCGGGAGGCTGAGGCAGGAGGGTGGTGTGAACCCGGGAGGTGGAGCTTGCAATGAGCCAAGACCGTTCCACTGCACTCCAGCCTGGGGGACAGTGGAAGACTCCATCTCAAAAAAAAAAAAAAAAAAATCAGGGCAGTTAACACAAGGACATTTACAAATATGTAGTTCTTAGGTTTGCAAGTAAATGTTCTTATACCCAAAATGCACCTGGAAGTAAGCACTAGACGATGGAAGACATGCAAAGGAAGATACTGTTATAAAGATCAGTTTGTGTTAACAGATTAAGTTTTAGTCATAAGTTAGAGGACACAACATAGCCAGGCTCCTAGTTAATTTAAGCTAGAATACAGATAAATTGAACATATTCTTCAATGTTCTGGCCTGAAGCTTAGTTCTCTAAATTTCTGCTGAGGGCTATGTGACAGACTCTTTTCCAGAAGCTAGAGGCAGAGATGAATAAACCATGGTTACTGCCCTCAAGGAGGCTGTAGGGCTAGTGGGGGAAAGGGATGCCTTAATCCTTTACTCTAAAATGTTCCATTGAAAGAGGCTCTGATGAGATGGGAAAAGCAAGAAAAATGGCCAGGGCTGAGAATCATGGATGCCCAAATCACACTCTGCCACCAGAGTTCCTTCCTCAAGTTCCCTGAAGGAGATGTGTATTCAAGGAAAAACATCTGAAAAGGAAAAATCTTGAAAGCTTTGGCAAACAAACTCCAGTAGCGTCTACATACTAGACACACTCTCCCACCATTCCCACAGGAGAGAACTACACTGATTGTCTCATGAATAACTCTCTTTCTCCTCATTTTGACATTGCTAGTTTGTACCATAACTGAAAAAATATTCCTATTTCTGTTATCTATTACTGTGTAACCAACCACTCCAAAACCTAACGGCTTAAAACACTACTGTTTATTTCATTTTCTCTTGTAATTCTGCAGGTTGATGAGGCTCTGTTCTTCTCCTCCACTTGATGTTGGCTGGGGCTGCAGCCATCCAAAGGCTCAACTAGGCTAAAACATCGAAAATGGCTCACTCACATGTCTGGCAGTCCATGCTAGCTATTGGCTGGAGCTCAACTGTGGCGGTTGTCAAGAACACCTGCATGTGTCCTGTACTTTCTCCAAGTGACTGGGGCATTGCACAGGCTGTCAGCTGTTGTCTGAGAAAGCATCCCAACAACAAACATTTGAAGGAAAGGATGCAGAAGCTGCCAGTGAGCTTAACATCTCAGCCTAGAACAGGCACAGTATCACTTTCACCTCATTCTGTTGGTTAAAGAGTTACGGGGTTGACCCAAAATCAAGAGAAAGGAAAATAAACTGAAATAGAATTACCAGCCATCTTTCATTTGCTCCAATCCTTGAACATAAAAAATTCACATCAGCAGTCCCAAGAATGAAGTGAGGGTATGATGATGATGGGGTGCTGCCAAGAGTAGCCCCAAGTTCTCTCTAAAGGCTGGGATCTTTTATATAGGGAATTTGAGTAGCAATTTGTCAGTGTTATTATAATTGGCCAATAACGTCAACCAGTCAAAGGCTGGGGGAGAATTGCTTAGTTACTGACTGACTAAATTATAAATCAGAATTTGCAAGTGGAAGAATAGAGGTGAATTGAAAAAAAAAAGTCAAGGGAAATAAATGCTCAAAATGAGATGAATTTGGGGAAATAAGTCAGGAAGTTGGTGCTAGGTCTGACCTCCCTGACTCTGGGAAGGTCCAACTTTTCCCATAAAGTGAGTTTCAGTTAAGAGTAAATTAAAATGCTGTGGAATTAATATAACATTTAGCAAAAACGCCTTTTTGGAGAATCTGAAACTGAAATATGCAATATGAATAAGGTTAATTCAGTGTCGTGTCATTTGAATTGTTATTCCTGTGTTCTTCAATGTTCTCTCTTTCCCTGCATCCACTTAAAGATGCTTTTTATTTTAAAAACAACAATGATACGCTATGGCATTTCTTTAACTGGAAGCACAGTCTGTCCAATCAATGGGACCTCTAGCCAACACTCTCTTACAGAATGTGAAGGAATAGAGACTGAAAGAAGTTGAGGGAACTTCAAGTCAAATGTGTTTTTTTCTGTTTGAGCTCATTTAACTTTTCAAAATTAAGCCAAGTTAAAACACAAAAATAAACCTTACTATTTCAAACTCATTTAAGTGTTTGTATATATTACATCAATTAGTTTTAAATATGTTTTTTAAATTTGCTGCCTTTAAATGTATTTTTATTTTATTTGTCAGAGATTTTCTTGGGGAGCAAGCTTCCAAGTTTATAATGGAAGTAACAAGAAGATCAGCTTTCATCAGTAGAGAATTGCTTTTATAGGCAATATTTATTTCACAAAGAGAGGTTTGTCTGTATTCTCTAGCTGACAGTTTGTAGCTAGTAGCTGTTCTTTGGGACTACTTTTCTGCTATTACCTTAATATCAAAATATTTGAAATTAGTTTATTTAGTAGAGGGGAAAAGAGAGACTGTGAAACAAATAATTTCGAATGGCTGAAACAGGAGTAGTTAGGCAAAGTTCCAGAGAGCAGCCAAGGCTATAACTACCCAGCTCCTACTGACATCAATGTGAGTAATAAAACTAAATCCTCTGGAGATACTTTGACATTTTAGCCTGCAGTATCTTTGGAAATGTTTCACAGTGAAATTGTATTTCCAATTCCACAGCCAACACTCATTCTAACCACCTCCGTCCCATCCTCCCAAACATACAATAGCATCTAACTCTGGTCATTTGCAGTGATGACTTCAATTTATATAAACTGAGCATAGAGAAGGGTAAGGCAAGCAGCCATTTCTGATTTGCCCATTTCAAACAGTGCTGCAACAGTGTTTTCTTTCCTTTGGCCAATTGACAAAGGAACTGTGCATAGCCTTTACCAAGTGTTCTAAGCCCTACCCAGAGAATCTTCAAAAAGGATGATTGGTAAACACTATAGAAATGGGTCAATCCTTAAAACGGAACATGTGAACCTCACTCTCATGGACAGGAGAGAGAAATAGGAGAGACAGGAGAGAGAGCACAGGAATGAGGTCTCTCTCTCTCTCTCTCTCTCTCTCTCTCTCTCTCTCTCCTATCCCTCTTTTTATTGCTTTTTTTTTTTTTTTTTTTGGAGACAGAGTCTGGCACTGTCGCCCAGGCTGGAGTGCAGTGGCAAGATCTTGGCTCACTGCAAGCTCCGCCTCCCGGGTTCACACCATTCTCCTGCCTCAGCCTCCCGAGGAGCTGGGACTACAGGCGCCCGCCACCAAGCCCGGCTAATTTTTTGTATTTTTAGTAGAGACGGGGTTTCACCGTGTTAGCCAGGATGGCCTCTATCTCCTGACCTTGTGATCCACCCGCCTCGGCCTCCCAAAGTGCTGAGATTACAGGCGTGAGCCACCACGCCTGGCCTTTTTATTGCTTTTAACCTTTCCCAAAAGAGCCCAAACCACATCTATCATAAAATAATATGTGCTGTCTGTTTATCACACTTCATAGATCTCTTTGCCGCTCACCTAATGAAGATGTATTTGGAGTACTAATCCTATAGGGTGATTGTGAGAATTAACGAATATGAAGTGCTGAGAAGAGTGCCTGGCAGATAGCAAATGTTCAATCCGTGCTATCTGTGCTTATGAATCCTTACACAGGATTTGGATTGATATGCCACATAGTCTATGCCTGGGTCTCTTCTGAACTGACCATTTAAACCACAGAAACACACAATTTTGCCTACAGACTTTTGCCCATCCTACTTCCATGCATATAAAATCATTCAATTTTATATCCAGAATTTTTAAAAGTAGGTAAAAATAATGGAATTAGTGCAGCCAATGACTGGCAGTTTGGTAATATATAAAAACCCCTTGGAAAATTCACTGCCTCAAGAAATGATGATGATAGTGGTTGTGATGGTGGTAGTGGTGGTGACGGTTCACATTTACTGAGCATCACATGTCGTCCAGGAATTGTGCTTCACTTATTATATAGTTATGTCCAAACTACACATCAGCTTTTTGATATAAGTATTTCTGTATCTGTTTTTATAGTGTTATCCAATTACTCGACTCTACTTCCTTAATAGCATTGTCCCACCCATCACTGAAATGAAACAAAACCACCTATGGTCTCCTTATTGCTAAATCAAGTTAACCCCTTCTCACCTTATCCTGCTTCATGATCTCACTATCTAGCAAGTGATACTATTGATCATTTCCTCTTCCTTAAAAATGCTCACTATCCTTGGTTTTCATGACATTTCCTTCTCCTGGATTTTGCCTTTGTCTACTTACTGTCATCACTTTTTTGTTTTTTTGTTTTTTTTGAGACAGAGTCTTGCTCTGTCACCCAGGCTGGAGTGCAGTGGCATGATCTCGGCTCACTGCAAGCTCCATCTCCTGGGTTCACACCATTCTCCTCCCTCAGCCTCCCAAGTAGCTGGGACCACAGGTGCCCACCATCACACCAGGCTAGTTTTTTGTATTTTTTTTTTTTTAGTAGAGATGGGGTTTCACCATGTTAGCCAGGATGGTCTCGATCTCCTGACCTTGTGAACTGCCTGCCTCGGCCTCCCAAAGTGCTAGGATTATAGGCGTGAGCCACCGCGCCCGGCCTGTCATCACTTTTAAGTAGGTTCCTATTCCTCTGTGTCCCTTAAGGGAGTGGCTTTCAAATATTTTTATTGCAACCATGGGAGGAAATATATTTTAGATCACAATTCTTATTCAAATACATATTAATACACTTCATGAAACAATGCTTCCTTCCAATGTTCAATGTATTCTGATATATTTATTTTATCTCATTAAAAAGAATACTGTTGGTCATAACTTACCAAATTAATTTTATTGTTTACACATTTTTCAGCTTTCTGTCTCGACATTATGTTTTCTCTTGCATATGGCTCAAACAAGTTTTGAAGTGACCAGTCTGCCTGGTCACAGCCATCTAAACATCTGTCACATACTAGCACATGGTGGTAGCAAAACCCAAGAGAATAGGTAATAGTCTTAGCTAAGCTTCAAAAGCTTAGAGGAGAATTATAATTAAGTCCCCCAAAACATTTTTTAAATGATCCCATAGATGTCGAAGAGGCATTTTGCTAAATGTTTTCAATTGAATGAACAAATGCCATGTTAGGGAATGGGTATTAAGTATTAGAGATAGATATATTTTCTAATTTTGAATCAACAAAAACACTTAATATGAAAAAAGGCTTTAAAATTAGAGTAAAATATAATATCAGAATTATTTTCTTATTTTAATATTCCATTGCATTATTTTACTCCTAAAAAGAAAGCAAACAAACCTGTGTATCTCTTGTCATCACTTCAAACTTCACTTATTCATTCATGAATACATTCAATCAGCAATAGCTATTTAGCATTTTCTATGTACAAGGTAATGTGCTTGAGGCCACAAATCAAACAAGGATAAATTAGACATAGACTTGTTTCTCAAAGGTGTTTCATGTTATTTATTTAGTCATGCATTACGTAGTGATGGGGATACATTCTGAGAAATGTGTCATTAGACCATTTTGTTGGGCAAACATCATAGAGTATACTTACACAGACCTAGATTGTATAGCCTACCACACAGCTAGTCTATGTGGTGTAGTCTATTGCTCCTAGGCTGCAAACCTGAAGAGCATGCTACTGTACTGAACACTGTAGACAACTTTAACACAATGGTAAGTATTTGTGTATCTGAACATATCTAAACATAAAAAGTTATAGTAAAAATACAGTATTATAATCTTACAGGACCACCATTGTATATGTAGTCCATTGTTGACTGTAACATTATTACACAGCATACTACTATATTTATTTATTCATTTAAATATTTTAACTAATAGTTACTTTTTTAGTACTTTTCTGTTTCTCAAATATTTGGAGATATATGTTCATTGACTTTTTACTCGAAGATCAAGTCATGTTTTTTAATCATGCTCTTTTCATTGCTACTATAAATTCAAATCCAATCAGTCATTTTCATGTGTTTTTATTTGTTTTTTACATAAAACTCAAGTGTTCTTTTTATTCCGAAAAGGTCTTGTTGCTTGACAATTAACATTTAGATCCAAATAGGTGAGTGATTAGCTATGATCCAGTTGTATTATATGCAGTAAATATTAATCGCCAACTAGATTTTAAGCCAGAAAACAAAATCCCAATAAAGTGGATTTTTGTCTATTTTTAAGATGTGTTTTCATGGCTTTAGCAAAACTTATTTAGACAACAACCTCCTATTTACTGTTTTCTAATCTCAAAGAAAATGAAAGATTGTGTTTTATCTTCCCAGAGCCTACAGAGTAACAGTATTTTTAATCTAGTAGAATTCTTTTCCAGTCAATATATATAAACTCTTGTAAACAAATCATGCAGGATGTTATTAATGAGTAGTTCTATAGGCACTTTAGGAACGACTGTGCCCTGACAATGGTGACTAAAGACAGGGTTCACGCTACACTCTTGGCCCAGTATGATACGCCAGGTACAGCTTATCCGAGATGATTTCTCTGTTTGGAATGGCAGTCAACCATGGCAGTCCAGATGGTAGACAGAAACATTAGTTTAACACCATACCAAGAAGAGTCTAAAGATATACGTGCCCTACAACACAGCAAATCCACTTTGAAGTATACATTCTTGTATACATGCCAAGAAAACCTGCATGTGTGAGGATGTTACTCTAAGTGTTGTTTGTAACAGTGAAAACCTGTGCTTATTTGCAGCATTATTCACAATAGCCAAGAGGTTGAATCAACCTAAGTGTCCATTAGCGGACAAATAGATAAAGAAAATCTAGTATGTATACTTAACAGAAACTTATTCATCTATTAAAAAAAACTGTGAAATTCTTTCATTTGCAGCAACATGGCTGAAACTGGAGGTCATTATTTTAAGTAAAATAAACCAGCACGTAAAGACAAATATCCCACTTATATGTGGGAACAAAAAAAGTTGGTCTCATGGAGGTAGAAAGTAGAATGATAAATACCAGAGGCTGGGAAAGGTATGTGTGTGGGAGGAAGGGATGAATAGAGGTTGGCTAATAGCTACAAACTTATAGTTAGTTAGAAGAAATAAGTTCTAATGTTCCATAGTAAAGTAAAGTGACTACAGTTAGCAACAACATACTGTATATTTCAAACTACCTGGAAGAGAAGACTTAAAATGTTCTCAACACATAGAAATGATAAACACTCAAAGTGACAGACACCATAAATACCTTGAGTTGATCATTACACATTCTATGCATTTAATAAAAAATTATAGGCGCCCCAAAAATATGTGAAATAGTATATATGAATTGTTTTAAAAACTTAGGGGAACTCAAGTGTCCAACATACACACACACAACATGAAATTCTATTGTGTGAATACTGTAAAGTAAATAATCTACTTATAAATGCATCATTGAACATAAATATGACTACTGAATGACAAAAATATAATTTAGAGATATACAGATAATATGCTATAATCACATGCACAACTTTTAAAAGCACACTATGAGAATATGGTAAATTATAAAACATAGATAGAAAAAATACACACCAATTTTAAAAGAGAAGTTTCTTCTAGAGAAGGAAGGAGAGTGTAAGAAGGGAGGGAAAGAATTTCATTTGCACCCTTAATAGTCTTTTTAAGGATTTGAAATACATGTGGCCAAATGCTGACAATTGTTAAAGCTGGGTGGTGGGTAATTTGCATATTTTAATTTATTCTCTTTGATCTTTCTTATAATTCAAACATTAGTGATTTTTAAACTATATTTTGAAATAACACAAGTGGCATGGAAATTTGGATCAGATCTAAGCCAGAGTTAATATCCAGTGTAAGAAAATTGAGGCTGGAGTCATCGAAAAGTCTTCATTCATCTCATCCAACAGATAGCACAATTATGATTTCAGGAAGTTTGTCCAATTTGAAGCAGACTCTAGATGAAGTTATTTATTAACCAGCTGGTGGGTTGGTCTGGGTTGTAGTCAGGAATTATAGATCTCACCCAAGATGGAAAATAGCAGTATCAAGAAGGAACCTAGTCACAAGTACCAGGTAATAGCTATAACACTAGCAAGATCACAAAACCAATGTAGAATGTGAATCCATCATTGAAAAATGATCAGGATGAAGTCTTGATCCTGTGTTAGTGTTAATTAATATAAAAAATAAAGCAGAATTATTTAATATGGAAAAAAGTTAGTGTATCGCCTGGGCTCCCCTGATAAGCAGGGAACACCAATAACAGGATTACAAAAATAAAACTAACTTGAGATCATACCCACTGTTTTTTATGGCATTTCTCATTTCCTCTATACCTCTGTCAAACTCTACAAAATGAGGTATTATGCCATGTAGGCTCTTCATATGCATTGCTTCATTTTATCTTTATGTTTAGGTTTGATATTATCATCAAATTTCATAGATTAGGGAACTAAGGCATTGTTTCCAAGTATTAAAACTGGACTTTACACCCAAATAGGAAAGGAAGGGAAGGAAAGGGAAGTGAAAAGAAGGGAGAAAGAAAGAAAAAAGGGAAGGAAGGAAGGAAGGAAAGTAGGAAGGGAGGAAGGAAAGAAGGGTACCTATATACACTATATTTCAGTAGAAGAAACCTTTAAAATATTCAGAGAAAAAAAATCTCTTGTAGTATAAGGCCAATAAAATGTCTTATTTCTTCCATATCCAAATCCATTGTTGCTATTAATACAAGCGGAAACATTGACCAACAGTGTCTCTCCCTAAAGAACTGGTAGAAACTATCCTTATGCAAACACTCTTGACTCTATTTCAAAGATTTATGTAGTCTTTTTTGCATCTTTAAAGTGAAAATAACAGATGAACAAATGTAAAATAACCATGAACCAAAAAGACATATATGAATGATTTCCCATAAATTTAAATCAACATTCAGTTGAGGAAGTAGGAAGAAGACTGAACATATACCAGTCCAATGAGAATTTTATTTTTACATTTTATGTTTGACATTCTAGTCTTATGAGAAAAACTCATTTTGACATTTTTTTTAAACAAAATGAAGTTTTAAAAGCTATAGTTGACTCGCATTTTTGTGAGTGTCTGATGTTCTCATGAGGAAAAATGCAGTGTAGACCGAAAGTCTGAAAGACTGAATATCCTTTGGGAATACAATAATTTGGGCAACTTGAGAAAAATGAGAGAAAAAAAATTATCTGGAGAATAAGTTCCAAGTAATATAGCAAAATTATAAATGAATTATGGCTAACTATATAGGAAAAAGCCTTTTTATTTGGAGATATTTTTAATATAGAGAACCTTTAATATTATCATAGGGAATAGTTTTGTTTTCAACAGTTGAAAATAAAATGCCTTTGCGTGATAAGAATGAATGGCAGCTCCTGAACTCCCTCTTGCTGCAAACCCTTCACCACTACCCCCATTATAGGGAAGAGCCAATGAATTGGATAAATGTAATTGAGACTTTAATCGCTCTTTAGATAAGAGAAAGTGAAGCATTTTTGTGATTCTGGCAGGCCCCAAGGTAGAACAGAAAAGAAGCCTTATGATTTCCAGTGAAACTGTAAGGCCCTATGAACTCAAAGCTTTACTAATTGCAAAAAGTTCCTTCCTCAATATAGGTTTCCAATATGGTTTCATGATGGGGAGCATATGATTAAGCTGAAGTACCAAAGACGAATAAATGTTACATTCCAAAAGAGATGTTAGATAAAATGCCAAAGTCATAAAGGAATTTAACTTGGGGGGACAAAAACAGTTACATGTTTCTTGGGTTTGTTACCCACACAGAGATTAAAAGAGCCAGGTTAGGTAAGGGATTAGTGAGGAAGAGGGTTTTTTGGATATAAGTCTTTGGAGCTGAACAGAGAATAAAATAGTAAAGTTTGAGGGGATTGTAAGTAAGAGATATCCATACATGGAGGCAGACTTCCACATAAACCATAAAAACTCTCCACAAAAGAAATAATCAGCTTCAAACATTCACTGGGATTGGAAAATGTAGAGCCATCTCTTGGCATCAAAATAAGAACTTTTCTGCTCTCCACAATCTATCTATTCTCCTTCCTTTATGTCCACCCACCCTAAACCCAGCTGAGACAGAAAGAGTAGGCCGCAATTGAGGACAGAAATAATTCAGAAGAAAAGAAGTGACTGAACAACCTCCCTTCCCAACAGGCTTAGAATAAGAATAATGATGGGTCATGAAGTCACTAAAAGCAAGCAAAACCAAATACCCTGCACTTTTCCCTGAATGATAAAAATTAAAATAGGCTTCTTTACAGAACTTTAAACAAGTAACTCAATTTTAACTTTCTTTATACATTTATATAGGTAATTTTTCAAATTATCATTTACAAATCTATTTCATTTCTCTTTATTGAATCCCTACATATCAGTTGCCAGCTCTATTACGAAAACAATTTTTGTCTTATTCTCTGTGCGTCAATGGTAACATGCATACAATAGACATCAAATAGTGTTTTTTTGTTTTTATTTTTTGCCTCTGCACTGAGCTAAAGAGGTAAGAGTAGAAATCTGAAGAACCAAAATATTACCACATTCTTTCACATAAGCACATCTTTTCATGCAGAATGACCCCATCTTGGAGAATGTAAACGTGAGCCAAAAAGTTATATTTCATCAATATTCAATTGCAGTCAGCCTTCAGTATTCACAAGTTGTGCATCCATAAATTCAAGCAACCACAAATGGAAACTGTGGGATGGTTGTGTCTGTACTGAACATGTAAGAACATTTTTTTTTCTTGTCATTATTCCCTAAACCAGGGGTCCCCAAACCCTAGGCTGCAGACCGGTACTGGTCCATGGCCTGTTAGGAACTGGGCTGCATAGCAAGAGGTAAGTGGCAGGTGACAAGCATTACCACCTGGGCTCTGCCAGTGCAACATTAGTTTCTCATATAAGTGTGAAACCTATTGTGAACTGCACATGCAAGGGATCTAGCTTGCCCACTCCTTATGAGAATATAACTAATGCCTGATATGAAGGTGGAACAGTTTCATTCCAGACCCGCCATGCCACCCTGTCTGTGGAAAAATTCTCTTCCATGAAACCATCCCCAGTACCAAAAAGTTTTGGGTCCACAGCCCTAAACAGTACAGTATAACAACTATTTACATAGTATTTACATAGTATTACAAGTAATCTGAGATTTTACATATATGGGAGGACCTGCATAGATTACATGAAAATGCTACACTGTTTTGTGTAAGGGACTTGAGCATCTGCAAATTTTGATATTTGCCAGGGTCTTGGAACCAACTTCCATGAATACTGAGGGACGACTTTATATGGAATAAGTAAAGGAGTAAAAAACCTTACTGCATATAACATTGACAACTCAAATGAGGAATCTGTGCAAAAGAACAGTCTAGCAAGTAAAATTTGTGACTTGTCACTATTAATTACCTAATAATATAGCAATGTTGGCAATGTTCTTTTTGTGGCGGTCTTCATTATAATAAGTTGCCATTTAACCTTTAGGATGCTAATTTCAGAAGAAATTTATTTACTGAATCCATTTTATTTTGATCTGATTCAATTTACTTTCCATGTCAAGTTATTATTGCTTCTAAACACAATACGAGTACTTACAAAATCATTCCACTTTTATTAGAAAATATTAGTGTCCTACAAATGTTATTAAATTTAATTACCAAAATCTAAGTAGTCTCTAAAAAAAGATTCTGTATTTAGGCCAGGCGTGGTGGCTCATGCCTGTAATCCCAGCATTGTGGGAGGCCAAGGGAGGTAGATCATGAAGTCAGGAGATCGAGACCATCCTGGCCAACATGGTGAAACCCCGTCTCTACTAAAATACAAAAACTTATCTGGGTGTGGTCGTGCATGCCTGTGTAGTCCCAGCTACTCAGGAGGCTGAGGCAGGAGAATAGCTTGAACCAGAGAGGCGCAGGTTGCAGTGAGCCAAGGTTGCACCACTGCACTCCAGCCTGGTGACAGAGCAAAACTCCATCTCAAAAAAAAAAAAAAAGATTCTGTTTTTATAATGGTAGTATAATGATGCACATCTACTTTCCACTAAACAAATTGTAGACATGCTAGCTCAGCCAAAATTCATGGAGAATTTATCCACTCTGGCATTCTCACTTCCTATACTTTGTGTTAAGTGAAAACTTCACACAAAAATTAATACTTCCTTATGGGCAGGACTTTTGTCAAACAGTAGTGTAGTGACACTAACATTATGTCTTGACTTTATAAGCTAAAAATAAAATCCTAAGCCCTCCACCCACTGAATGGACACCCTCATGGCCAAAGGGACCCCAGGAAACCTTAAAAATTGATTTCCCAGTCATGATGGAATGGAGAGTTGGACAGATTACACCCTCATTACATGTCCAACTCATTACACCCTTTTCCTTTTGTGGTTTAGACACAACTGACACAACTGACCAAATCTAATGTTACAATAGAGATCATAAGATGGACAGAACAGACTCTTCTGGAAATAAGATACCAAACTATAAGACCTAAGGCCATTCCAGGCAAGGGTTAAGTCATGCACCCCTATACTTACAGAACAGACTATGTTCTAACTGCCATGAGGTTTTTGTTGTTGTTTTGTTTTGTTTTTCTAGTAGCTAAACAAGCACTGGCCTTAAGATTAGCAATATTAAAACAATTTGCAGCTACATCAGATGCTAACTGGCCCTTTGTTTCACCAGCCATAATTATAGCTTGGATTGAACAAGAGACTGATTTCAGTAACTTTCTCCTGATAAGTAGACCACCAACGATGAACTGGTTCTGGCTGGTTTACAGAGACTGTGCACTTGCATGCCTTTGTGTCCTGAAAAGACCTTTTGACATATAGGTCTAATTGTAATACATTTAAATGCTATGTCTCCACCCCAAAGTGAACATAGGTCATATGTTACATGCACGTTTTTTAACACTCATGTGTCAGGACCACCTTCATGAATATTCATAGCTCCTTCTATAACCTGTTGAATAGGTATGTTTAGCCAACCTGTTCAGCATAAAGCTCCCAACCCAGCCTCTCCTCCCTCAAAGTGCCTGTCTCTGGTCTTTGCTAGAGGCTGTGCTTCCCAGCCTGCAGGATGGCCACCTTGTAGGCTGCAATCCTTTCCCAGAAATAAGGTCTCCTCCCCTTTCTAATTGTATTAATTATGGGACTTTTTTCATTTAACACCTTCATCTAACAAACCCTAGAGAGAAGTTGTAATTCTGCAGAGGACTTGGATTGGGTCTTTGTGAAAAAGCTTTCTCTAGCTCTTAAGACTTATGGAAGTTAAACATTTCCTGCAACAAGACAAAAGAAAGCTGTCTTAGTCCTTTCATGCTGCTATAACAAAACACCTGAGACTGGGTAATTATAAATAATAAAAATTTACTCTCTTAACAGTTTTATAGGCTCAGAAGTTCAAGATTAAGGTGCCAGCAGGTTTGATGTCTGGTGAGGGCCAGGTCTCTCCTTTCATGGTAGCACTTTGAATGCTGTGTCCTTACCTGGCAGAATGGATGGAAGTATTAAAAAGGCCTAACTCTATGTGAGGCCACTTTTATAAGGGCTCTGCCCACATGACTTAATTACCTCCTAAAGGCCCCATACTTTAATACTATCACATTGGTGATTAAGTTTCAGTACATAAATTTGGGGATATTCAAACCATGAAAATATTTTTTCCAAGTAAAGAATAACAAGCACTGTCAGACTGGGAGATGAGTAAATGTGCCTGGGTTATGGGTCTGCCAGTTAGTTCAGAGAGAGGCCCTGTCAGGCTGCAGAAAGCCCAGAGAGGTAATTATCAGGGCTTCTTATACCTCTAAACACATCAACCTGAATCTTCAGCATAATTCTGTAAGACGGTTGCAAAAATTGCCTTCATCAAGGCAAGATATCAAGCTTTATAACCTAAGTTTCAAGTAAATATATTATTCTAATAAGTATATAGTGAGCGGGCATCACATATGTACAATTATATGGCAGTCATTTAATAATAACTTAGCTGAAAATATGTCTAGTCATTGCAAGACTTAGGAGAGTTTAAGTGTGGCAAATTAGAGCCTACAAAGGGCCCACAAAAAGATATTACATTAGGAAATAAATAACATTATTAATAAAACCACTCTTCATATAACATTATTAAAATTAATATAAATAAGAAATGAGGAGTACAGGAACTCTTTGTTTTCCATTCTGCAAGACAAGGAGACCATTTTTAAAAGCATTTAACATTTTCTGAAGAAATATTTGCTATTGAAGAGCAGCCTCCATCAGCTTAGAACGTACAGACAATCTTCTCTCTAGTAAATGGGGTAGAGAATGGTCTCTTAAAGTCACAGAAAACCAGACCACTACATTATGCAGTGACTGAGAGGCCCTAGGTCAGTACTTCTCAGCAGTAAGTCTATGTAACAGAGCTGAAAAACTAAAGAAATAAAGAAATCACAAGTACAAAATGGAACAAATGCAGTGGAGGTAGTTTTGTTATCAAAAGCTTATACCATTTAACTCAGCAATTCCATTTTTAGGCATTTATCCATTGTAAATACTAGGCTATATGTGAAATGATACATAATAATGATTCACTGAAACATTGTGTGCCATAGCAAAAGTTTTGGAAAAAGAATTACCATCAACAGGGACTGATTTTGTAATTTACAGAACATTTATATATTGTCATACTAAGCAGGTATAAAATGGAACTATGAACTCATATGGGACCTTAAAGATTTTTAAAGTGAAAAAGAGTACAGAACATTATATATAGCTTTTTAAACTTTTACTTAAATGGGGAAAATAAGAATATATATTCCCATTTGTTTGAATTATGTTTGAAGAGATTCCAGACAGATATCCAAGAAACTGTAACACAAAAGTAATTTTAATGGTTACAATAGAGTAGGTATAAGAATTGGGTGAATGAGAGACAATGAAGTGAATACTTTTCACAGTATGTATCAGTCAGAATCCCAGAAGAAAACAAATGACAAACTCAAATAAAGCTAACTTCAGAAATGTTTAACAAAAAAATACTTACAATGGTGTGGAGAGGGTGTAGGGAAACCAAAAGGAATAATTCAGTACCAAGCCTAGTGCTGATGTGGTTGGGACTCCCCCTACATCTAGAGATTTGAGAGATGGAGCAGTCAGCCCAACCTGGAAGAGAGCACCATGTAAGAAAGCATTGGGAAAGGAGAATTGCCTTTCTGTGAAGACACAGGTGGACTACGATGACCTCATAGAAAGGGATCCAAATAAATAAGTACCCTAGCTCTTATTCCTCCTCCTTCAGATCTCCTTCTAGAGCTAACTGGAATCCAGAGGGCAAGGAACCCTGCTTATGTAACTCACAGGTATCAGACTACATGGGCATTAAAAAAGTGGATATAGTGCAGAGAGGGTATGGGCAAAAGGAAGAACATCCACTAGTGTCCTTCATCCATGTATAAAGATGACATCAGCAATTCAAGGGACATATAAAATCCCATCTGCTATCATACCATCATTGAGTAATGCCAATTTTGTCATATGCCCACCTGAAACTTAAAATTTCTAACCAGTCAGTGTTCTTGATATGAGATGGAGAATAGAAGGGAATAAAAAAGATTATGTAACCTAAATATAACTGCTACTGTTTCCATAAGACATAAATGGTTATTGAAAGCTGTATACTTGTATTATTCTTCCCATTACCAAGTATGATGTCAAGAAACTTGACTGGACAGATTTTATGCTGAGTAGGGTGACTCAAATTTCCATTATTATAGAATTTAGTCCTTGGTTGTCTTGACCTTATTGGAATGATGGAGTGTTCTCTTGACCAGGACTATTTTTTTTTTTTTTTTTTTTTTGAGAGGGAGTCTCACTCTGTCACTCAGGCTGGAGTGAAATGGCACAATCTTGGCTCACTGCCAAGAACCTCCACCTCCAGGTTCAAGTGATTTTCCTGCCTCAGCCTCCCAAGTAGCTGGGACTACAGGTGCGTGCCACCACGCCTGGGTAATTTTTGTATTTTTAGTAGAGGCAGGGTTTCACCATGTTGGTCAGGCTGGTCTCGAAATCCTGACCTCATGATCCGCCTGCCTCAGCCTCCCAAAGTGCTGGGATTATAGACGTGAGCCACCGTGCCTAGCCTTGACCAGGACTATTAAGCAAGGGAGTAAAATGAGGTACCCTAGTGAAACTCCAAGGTTCCAGACATAGTCCTTCTTCTTCCAGTGTATGTTAACAACCCAATTTCTCCCAATACTTGGTACCAAATTACTGTATGGCCATACCTTGGATGACCATTAATGCAATGGAATAAAAGTCTAAAAACGGCCAGAAGCTTCCAATACTTCAAAATCATTATTTCCTTAAGTACTAGTTACTCCACATCCACGGTGCTTAAGGGCATGATGACGGAAGTAAAATTTCTTAAAACTCATTGTTAGATTTCATCACAAGAGTGGCTACTTCAATGTCAAACCCTTGTTTTTGGCTATAGGAAACAGTCATGATACATGGCCTGCTGGATTAAGACATGTGCCATAAATTAGCAAGGTTTTATCAGTAGTAAAACCTGTAAATAAGCCTAGCTAAGTATTTTATTTGTAGAGACAGAGTCTTGCTATGTTGCCCAGGCTGGTCTCAAACTACTAGCCTTAAGCAATCCTCCTGCTTCAGCCTCCCAAAGTGCTGGGATTACAGGGGTGAATCACCATGCCCAGCCGGAAATACTTTTGAGTTGCAAAGTACATGTTGCTCTAAAAAATTAAGATAAAGAATTTTGAACCTGCATTTACATTTTTTTGGTTAGTGTTTTGACTTGCTAAGCAAAAAGAAGAAAATATACATTCATCTCAAGTATACATGAAATAGTTTCCAAGATACATTAAATGTTAACCCACAAAACAAATCTTAACAAATTTAAGGGGATTGAAATTAGAAATTAATAACAGTGAGAAAATAGGAAAATTCACAGAATATGTAGAAACTAAATAGCACACTCTTGAACAACCCCCAAGTCAAAGAGGAAATCAAAAAGAAATTTTTAAAATTTCTTGAGATAAATTAAAATAAAAACACTACTTCCCAAAACTTATGGGATGCAGCAAAAGCAGTTATATTAAGAATAAATTTTATAGCAACAAATGCTTACACCAAAAAGAAGAAAATCCAGACACAGTGGCTCGTGCCTGTAATCCCAGCTACTCAAGAGATTAAGGCAGGAGAATAGTTTGAGCCCAGGAGTTCGAGGCTGCAATGAGCTATGATTGTGTGCACTTCGGCCTGGGTGACAGAGTGAGAACCCATCTAAAAAAAAAAAAAATGAAGAAGAAGGAAAAGGAGAAGGAGAAGGAGGAGAGAAGGAGGAGGAGGAGGAGGAGCAGGAGGAGGAGGAGAAGGAGAAGAATTTGAAATAAACGACCTAAATTTACACTTCAGGGAACCAGAAAAAAATAACAAAATAAACCCAAATTTATCAAAAGAAAGAAAATAATGAAGATTATAGACAAGTAAATCAAATAAAGAATTTTAAAACTATACAAAATAATTTTTTAAACTGAGTTGGTTTTTGCAAAAGGAAACAAAATCAACAAACCCCTAATTAGACTAAGAACAAAAGAGAGAAGACATAAATTAAAAAAATCTGAAAGGAAAGTAAATACATTACAACAGATGCCTCAGAAATAAAATAGTTCATAACGGACTATACTATGCACCGGGTGCAGTGGCTCACGCCTGTAATCCTAGCACTTTGGGAGGCAGAGGCTGGCAGATAACGAGGTCAGGAGATTGAGACCATCCTGGCTAACACGGTGAAACCCCGTCTCTAATAAAGATACAAAAAATTAGCCGGGCGTAGTGGCTGGCGCCTGTAGTCCCAGCTACTCGGGAGGCTGAGGCAGGAGAATGGCGTGAATCTGGGAGGCGGAAGTTGCAGTGAGCTGCAATAGCAGCACCACTGCACTCCAGCCCGGATGACAGAGCGAGACTCCGTCTCAAAAAAACAAGGGGGACTATTATCTATTATGGAGAATCATATAACAAAAAACTGATTAACCCAGAGTAAATGGACAAATTCCTAGAAACGTACAAACTACCAAGACTGAATCAAAAAGAAATAGCCTGAACCCACCAATAACAAGAGACAGAATTAGTAATCAAAAACTTCTCAAAACAGAAATGCCCAGGAAAATATGATGTCAGAACTGAATTCTACAAATCATTTATATTTTATGAGGCCAGAATCATCCTGATCCCAGAGCCAGAGGAAGACATCACAAGAAAAGAAAACTGCAGGCCAGTACCTTGGATGGACATTGATGCAAAAATCCTCAATAAAATGCTAGCAAACCAAAATGAACAACACAGCAAAAAGATTATATATCATGAACAAATGGGATTTATCCTTGGGATGCAGGGTTGGTTTAATGTATGCAAACTAACTGATATGCTACACCACATTAACAAAATGAAAGATAAAAATAATATGATTATCTCAATAGACTCAGAAAAATCATTTGCTAAAGTTCAATATCCTTTTATGATTAAAAAATATTCTCAATGAAATATGTATAGAAGAAATTTTTCACAACATAATGAAGTCCATTTATGAACAATTTCACAGTTTACATCATAATAAATTACAGAAAACTGAAAGCTTTTCATCTAAGATCTGGTACAAGGCAAGGATGCCCACTCTCACAATTTCTAATCAGCACAGTACTGGAAGCACTAGCAAGAGCAATCAGACAAGAAATAGAAATAAAAGACATCCAAATCAGAAAGGAAGAAGTAAAATTATCCATTTGCAGATGACATAATCCTGTATGTAGAAAACTCTATAAGTCTCCACCTACGTCCACACACAGACTGTCAGAACTAATAAATTAGTTCAGTAAAGTAGCAAAATACAAAATCAACGTGGAAAATGTGTAGCATTTCTTTACACTTACAACAATTTATCTGAAAAAGAAATCAAGAAAACTATCCCATTTACAATGTCAATGTTAAAAAATGCCAAGAAAATCTAAAAAACTGTTCTTGA
The DNA here is from genome assembly GCF_000001405.40 of Homo sapiens. Taxonomy (NCBI): domain Eukaryota; kingdom Metazoa; phylum Chordata; class Mammalia; order Primates; family Hominidae; genus Homo; species Homo sapiens. Next base: position 101,423,683 of record NC_000004.12, on the reverse strand, counting down.
TTACGGAGACTAAAGGGATGTAATCACTAAATGCAGTTCATGATACTGGTTTGGATACTGAATCAGGGAAAAAATATTATGCAGGACATTATTGGGATAATTGACTAAATTTGATAATCGACTATATATTAGACAAAAGCGTTTTATCAATATTGATTTGTCTAATTTTGCTAACTGTACTATAGTGATGTAACAAAATGCTCCTCTTGTAAAATATGTAATAAAATTTTTAGGAGTAGTGGGACACAGTATCTATAACTTATTGTTAAATAATTCAAGAAAAAGTAGATAAAGCTACTGTGACAACATATTCACAATAAGTGGAACCGAAATTGAGTGAAGCATATAGAGAATTTCTCTGTTCTACTCTGACAATTTCTCTGTAAGCTTGAAATTATTTCAAAATAAAATGTTTTTTAAAAAGAATTCCAATTCTACATAAATTTATCTGAAAAGCAGAAAATGAGTTAACAATCTCTCAGTATTAGCATAACTTCATATTTTAGTGTTAGCGTAATTTCAAACTCAAATTTCAGAAATGGCAGGAAGAAAAAGGGAAATTACAAACCAATTAATGAAAGTGGATTAAAAATTTTCTAAACAAGAAATCCAGAAATATAGAAAATATAGAAAAGGATACTATTAAATATATTGTGACTAATCAATTAATGCAATTTACCATATCCACAGGGAAGCAGAGGAAAATCAAAGTCTTATCATTACATGACAGAAAAGATAAAATTTAACTTTGTTCCATGATATAAATTCTCAACAAACTAAGAACATGGAGAGACTTTCTTTAATTCCAGCTCAGGTTGACAATCCCTTTCCAAGTGGTTATTGTAAATCTCTTACTTTTAAGAAAAAATGGTCTGTTTGCAAATTTTTCTGCTTCCTTAAAGTGCCAGTTTCATTATGTGGCACTTTGCACATGTGACTCCATTTTGGTTTGGTCTGTTCGGGCCTAGTGTATGAGCTCACTCCAAAATAATGTCCTCTCATTATTTTATTTAATGGATTCTTACCTTCACCATATGCAAATATGAATTCCCTAGGGGTAAAAAGCAAATAAAAACACATAATTAACAAATAAAATATTAATATAGGCTATATCTTCATAACTTCGAGGTAGGGAAACATTTCTTAAACAAGTACAAAAAGCAATATTCATAAAAGACAAAGGTTGATAATCTGGACTAAATTAAAATTAAGAACTTTGTTTTTCAAATGACACCTAAAATGAGTAAAAACACAAGACAAAAAGTGGAGGACATATGTACAACACATTTAACCCATAGTTACTTGTATCTGAATTACATACAAGTTAATAATAAAAGGAAAAATACATGATAAGAAAATGGGAAAAGAATATGAACCAGCAATTTACAAGAGGGAAAATCTAAATTGCTAAAAATATACAAATATGTTCAATTTCACTGGTAAAATAAAAATGCAGATTAACATAACATGATGGCATTTTAAATTTCAAAATAAAACATAAATTATCATAATATTTACCTACACTTTGAAAATATATATGCACATATATGTGTATCACATAGCTGTTATTATTATACCTATTACAAAGCTCAGAGCAGAAAAACTCATCCAGTTACACATTTAACATGCTACAATAATCTCACCAATTAATCACTGCTTAGATACCTCCAGATATAAGGAACTCAAAAAAATTCATCTAATCTTTGAACAGCTCAGGATTGGAAAGTTATTGCTTTTCTTATTTTGCTGTGATTGATTACCTTCAGTTTTGAATGAACATTTGTCTTCTCATTCTTTTCTCCACTTGAATTTTATCTTATCCCTATAACCAGGCAAATTCTTTTTTCTGAACAAAATACTTTATAAATTAGAACCATCCAGTAATAGCAAAATTTAATTCAAGACATGGTAGCCTTCTAGTACTAGAAGTATACTAGCACATGATGAATTATCATTTTTCACCATATTATGAAAGGTCATATGCATTAAATGACTTCCTGAGAGACATTTAAGATTGGGTTTCATCCAGGCAATAACTAAAATTCCTTACATTATTTCCTGGGGAAAGCAGCCGCAGCTGGATGTTGCAGCAATGGCAATAGCTTGAAGGGAAGAAACAGGGGACAGCCCTGGTGCCTAATGACCAAGAAACTCTACCCAGCCTAGGACTTGCTCACTGCTTATGTATGTATGAGAATTGGCACTCTAAGACTTAGAGCTGTGCTGTACAACAGAGAACCACTAGTCATATATGGCTATTAAATATTTGAAACGTGGTAGTAAAAATTGAAATGTGCTATAT